>NC_000005.10:38213073-38845598 GCF_000001405.40 Homo sapiens
CTGGAAGTGAAGAACCCAAAACAGCTGGGGTTCAAGGTTCCAGGGGTTATTTAAAGACATGAGCAAATACCTTTCAAAAGAAGACATACGTGTGGCCAAAAAGCATATGAAAAAAAGTTCAACGTCACTGATCATTACAGAAATGGAAATCAAAACCACAATGAGATACCATCTCACACCAGTTTTCAGAATGGCTGTTATTAAAAAGTCAAAAAATAACCCAGCAATCTCATTACTGGGTGTATACCCAAAGTAATATAAATCATTCTGTTATAAAGACACATGCACACAAATGTTCACTGCAGCACTATTCACAAAAACAAATACACGGAATCAACCCAAATGCCCATCAATGATAGACTGGATAAAGAAAATATGGTACATACATACCATGGACTACTATGCAGCCATAAAAATGAATGAGATAATGTCCTTTGCAGGGACATGGATTTAGCTGAAGGCCATGATTCTTAGCAAACTAATGCAAGAACAGAAAACCAGATACTGCATGTTCTGTCTTATAAGTGGGAGCTAAATAATGAGAATACATGGATACATAAAGGGGAAAAACACACACTGAGGCCTATCAGCGCGTGTAGGGTGGGAAGGGGGAGGAGGATGAGGAAAAGTAGCTAATGGATACTAGGCTTAATACCTAGGTGATGAAATAATTGGTACAACAAACCTGTGTGACACACGTTTACCTGTGTAACAAACCTACACATCCTGCACATGTACCCCTGAACCGGAAATAAAAGTTTAAAAAAAAATAAAGACAAGGTGCCTAGGGTCAAGGGAGGACTGATAGAGAAAAGAGAATGAGGAGGGAGCAGAAAGAAATGTTAATCACTTTAACACAACTTTAAATGTCAGTCATACCTAGGATTGGTGTGAGTTTTTAGTTTAAAAAACTAAAAGAAAGAGGTTGGGCATATCATCATTTTTTGTCCAGTCAATAGTAAAAAAATCAACTTGGCACAAATAAAGGGGCAATAGGAATTATTTTAATAATAAGCATGAGGAGTACATAAGCCATGTACTTTTATCCCTTTGCATTTTTCATCAGAATACTTTCAGACTGCATGCTTCAATTTAAGTGCAGGACATCTGATGTGTAACATGGTCCTCTGGCTCAGATTGACACTTTCACTACATGTAGGCATTGGCTGGAATTATTTTGCAAGTTGGAGATTATTTCACATCGTTCCAGAATGGGCAATTAGGGTCTGTTTTAAGATGAGCTGTGGGTCAAGCTAAGGTATGAGTGGCCTTTTGCATGACCAGCAAAGACAAAGCTGAGTGTCAGCCACCACGGAAGAGGGTCTGCATCTGAGCAGGAAATGTGGCACGTGACTGTGTGAGGTGTGGCCCCTGCTACCAACAGCAACAGCAAGCCTGAGTGAGCACTCTGCCAGGCCCACGCAATCCTTCTCTGAGAATGCTGGCCACCAGGCTGCCATGTTGCCCAGCTCCTAAGGTACCATCCACTCCTGTTGTGACTGCGAGGGCTTTCCTCATATAAATACAGCATGAATGTGCTTCTGGGAGTTGTAAAAAGTGGTGGCCTTCTTGGTCCCTAAACTTTTGTGAGCATGTCACCTCTGATGCCATGGAGATTGACTAAGTTTTACAAGGCATGGGCCAAGTTTCCAAAGCTAAATCGTCTGAGGTCAAGCCGGGGGATGTGGGGACTCCCAAGAAGCTAATGGGTGACAGGAGATGGAGTATGGCTTTGAGCTCATGTCGTGTATTGGAGCCAAAGAAGGCTCTGGTGCTAGAATAGGATAAGGAGTTTTGAAAAGTGTCAGAACCCCTTGCTTTGTTGGGCAGAGCCAGATGAGAAGCGGTCCTCCTGGGACAAGCCTCAAGAGTCAGGACGGTATATTTCCAGGTGCCCAAAGGAATGGGACACACCGTTTACACATCACAGGAGTTTAGAGGAGAGAAGGTTAGGTGGGCTAAGTGATGTCATTTCTCCCAGTGTGCTTTTCTTTATTTTCTTTGACTTTGAGCATATATTTATTTTACAATCACTGTCTTAGACAGTTCAGAATGCTATAACAAATTGTCATAGACTACTGGGTGAGTTAAACAATAGAAACTTATTTCTCACAGTTCTAGAGGTTGGAATTCCAAAAGCAGGACACCAGCCTGATTGGGTTCTTTGTGAAGGCCATGTTCTTGTTGCCTCTCCAGAGGCTGGAGAGCAGGGATAGAAAAAGAATCCTCTCCTGACCCTTCTTACAAGGACACAAATCCCATTCATGACGGCTCCACTCTCATGACCTAATTACCTCTGAAAGGACCCAGCTCCCGAGACCATCACATTGGGTGGTTAGGATTTTTATATGAATTTTGGGAGGACACAAATATTCAGTTGATAATAATAAAAGAAAATAATATCTGTTTCTTTTTTAGCAAACTTAGCTCAAGCATGTTGATAAAAGAGGTGGCAACTCTATAAATACACACCATGAATTTACTATTTATTATCTACATTAAGTCACAATAATGACAATAAATTACATACATACAATTATGTTATAATTATAATTTAAAATAATTTATTTACACAAATTATTCATGATCCTAAGGATTCGTGAGTATCAGCAACAGCATAAACTTGGTCATCTCTCTCTGGACGGATGTCTAAGGACAGAGGACATTTCCAGCATCCAGACCATCAAGACATGTGAGCTTCTTGTGCCCAAAATTTTGGCATGTCATCTTAACACCTGTGCTTGGTTTATCTAATTCCTTAGTAATTATTAACTGTATTGAAAATTCTCATATCCAGTACACCTCTGGTTTGAGGCAAGGTTTTTATTACAGAAATTCATTTCCCTGACCCACCAGTATTACTTTGATGTGTTCTGGTTTGAGAGTTAGAAACCTAAATGCTATCCGTGTTTCTAAGCTTAAAATTTTTGGAACAGCCACTATATCCATTTGAAAATGTGGACATTCAAATTAATCGGTTTTTGCCTCAGTTGTTTGAACTCAAAATACATTCAATAGCAAAGAGAAGTCACATCACATCTGAAGCCCTAGGCAGGTGGGATTTTTAGCCCACATTATTCTCTAGTGGGAGGAGGATTTCTTTATACCAATATGCGTATGAAAAATGTGAAAAAAATTCACATTTTCTATCTTTTCTTCCTTGTATGTTTCTCAACATCCTTTCTCCCCTGTTTCTATGATTCTTTAATTGTATTACTTACAGAAGCTCTGTAAAGGGCTTAGAGGCATGGTTTATAGGAAAGATGTCATGTAAGATGATGGTGTCGTGTACACAGCTGTACTATGTCAATGTGAAGCATTTTGGGGCATGAGGAACACAGAATTCTCAGCAGCAAATGAAAATGAAATGAACAAAACATTTTTCAATTCATTGGAAAGTGATTTCCTGTAGTACCCATGAGTTCAGAAAACACATTTAGTTTCCTCTACGAGATGAATCAGAAATGCAAAAATAAATATTAGGTCTAAAATGGTAGTAACTTCTAAACTTGGACCTAAAAGAAAACTTGAATTCATTAAACTTATTTATAGGTGAGAATATTGATACCTAGATAAATTAAAAGGCTTGCGGAAGATCTCCCAGGCAGCAGAAGAGCCCATCTTAGAACCCTGGTACCTTATCTCCCAGTGAAGTGTCCGTTTCTGTAGGCCTCGGGTGTTCATTCTTTTAACTTACCCGGGCCACATTGGAAGAAGAATTGTCTTGGGCCACATATAAAATACGCTAACACGAATGATAGCCGATGAGCTTTAAAAAAAAATTGCACTCTCATAATGTTTTAAGAAAGTTTCTCAATTTGTGTTGGGCTGCATTCAAAGCCGTCCTGGGTCACATGCAGCCTGTGGGATGGACAAGCTTGCTGTAGACTATATTGTCTTGCTCTTTCTCCAGCAAAGGGTTGACTTTATATGACCTCTGTCTTCCAGTCAGATGTGCTTCATTATAGCATCAGAATTTGGGTGCCATCTGGACACAAACCTTAACAGTCTTCCTCCCAATCACTATACATGATATAAGGAGCACTGGAAAAAGAAGCACAATTCTGCTGGCTAAACCCCCTTGAAAAAAAAAATGAGCAACAATTATGACAAAATTAAGACACTGGATTTTAAAAAGCACTGATATGAAAGCTTTGATTCATGCTCATGAGCAGTTCTAAGCAAATTTTTCATTCCCAATTCTACCTCTTCAGAAACTGAAATGTTCACCAGTTGGAGTTCATTTCAAAGTGAAAATTCCAATTCAGTGAAGTTGAGATGAAGATCTGAGTTGACTCTTGTTTTATGATGACCGAAGTTTCTTATCCTTGCCAACTTTTCCTTTTTTCTTTTTTGTATATTAATGATGCCTCTTTTTCTTCCTCTAAGTTTTAGCTCCATAAAACACCATATTTAACTGTTCTACTTGCCACAGTCTAAACAATTCTCCAATCAAATAGTTCTGCCTAGCACAATACCTCCTCTCAGAAAGCCAAAAACATAGATATGGAGCGAACAAAGTGCAACTGTGTTAAAGTTGTTTAATAGCCCGCCAGTGAGCAGCCCACCAATAAGGGGGGCACAGGAGAGGGGGTGGGGATGGAGGGGAAAGCATAGACATCCAAATCAAAAGCACAAATTTTGTCTTCAGAAACAAAGTTAAAGGATACCTTTTTTAAAAGGATCCTTGGGATAAGAATGCAAAGTGTGACCTAATAATATAGACTCCAGCGTCAGCACTTCTCAGGGAGAGAAAGCTGTCTTATCCGGAAAAGTTAGATAGATGGATGGCTGTTGCCACGGGGGTTTTTAGCTGCCCACAGAGAAGCTCTCTGAGAGTCACTGTGACATTTTGGGGTGCCCATTAGACAGATAAGGACATCTCACCAGTCCAGTGAGATCAAAGGAGTCCCATTGGTGTGGCCAGAGAGTCTTAACATCCTTGAAATGGTTGCTCATCTTCAAGTTGCTCCTTATTCTTTAGTGGTCAGGAAAAACAAAGGAATTTTGGTTGGGGGCAGGGGAATATGGAGGCGTCTGGAAAAAAGGGACTGAAGCTAAGGAAGAGAGTTTAACAATAAGCCATTGATGATGAAGAATGTCAGAGATGAGGCAGAGAAGATATTAACGGAAATCATGGATGGATTTGAGGCAAAGCAGAATGGGATCAGATCAAGGGGACCCAATAGAAACAGCGTTCTGGCTTTTCATCTTTAGGCTTCTATGGGAATGTGTGCACCCCGACGGTTGCACGTGCAAATCAGCTTAATGTCACAGAAAGAGATGTGTTCCCTTTTCTATTGAGTTATATGAAGCACTAGATGGAGGGATGTTTTGAAGTAAAACTACGACTTTTCATTTGGTAAGATTCATTTATCGAAAATGACAATGACATAGCCTGTAATACATTGCTGAATAGTGTGTCAAGGGTAAAAATGGAAGTCTTGGAGATTTAATTAGTTGTTTCTAAATTATGCTCTTATTTGGAGGGAAATTTAGACCTTCATTTTTCATTCATTGTTAGAGTATCTTTCTACTGTATTTGATGAGCTCTGTCCAGGTGACATGCAGATATTTGTGACCCTTCTGCTGGTTTCATATTTCTCATCCAGACCTAACTTTACAAACCAGAGTTAGTTTCATTGTCCCTTTGGGTAATTTTCAAATATTGGAGTACATAGGTATGCAGTGAAAGCCTGTTAATTTATGTACTCTTAAACCCTTCTCCCAGAGATTCTGATTAAGAATATGTGGGATTCAGGAACCTGCATTTGTGACCAATGCTCTAGGTGATTCTGACTCTGATGTAGTTGGCCCACCAGAGGCACTTTGAGAAAGGCTGTCTTGCCTCATCCCCTTGCAGTCTCTGTTTACTACTGCTTATCCTGCACTCCCTTTAATTCCCATTGACAGACAGGACTCTTCAGGGTCCAAAAAGGGAAAACCTAAGTGCTTCAAACTTTCTCAGAGTCCATGCCATATGCCAACAGCACCCAACAACATGCCCAATGATTCCAACTCCAACTCTTCCATTCTTTGGAATCAATTTCTAATTCCATCTGCTCTAGAATGTCTTCCTGATCAGGCAAAGTGAGAGAGAGCTTGGCAATAGCTTTTCTTTAGGCAAATCACAATCACCTCTTTAGCCCTTTGCTCCATCAACTACAAAACTAGACAGATGGACAAGATCAATGGTTCTCAGATCTGTTGGGGAAGCAGAGTACCTACAAGTCTTTGTGAAATGCTGTAGAATATAGAACCATTTACTGACTTCTAGGATATGAATCAGAATCAATTTTACTAAAATAAAGCTTTGGACCTGGCGTGGTGGCTCACACCTGTAATCCCAGCACTTTGGGAGGCCGAGGCAGGTGAATCACGAGATCAGGAGTTTGAGACAAGCCTGATCTCAATACGGTGAAACCCCGTCTCTACTAAAAATACAAACATTAGCCGGCGTGGTTGCACAACTATAATCCCAGCTACTTGGGAGGCTGAGGCAGGAGAATTGCTTGAACCCGGAGGTGGAGGTTGCAGTGAGGTGAGATGGCACCACTGCACTCCAGCCTAGGTGACAGAGGGACACTCCATGTCAAAAAAAAAAAAAGAGAAAATTTGGCCATGCAATATAAAATCACAGCCATGACTATCTGAATGGCAGATTGTCTTTCTCAAAGATGGCATACCCACCTGTATATCCTATCTCACATCTCCATCTTATAATGTGACTGACATTCCTTTTACTGAGAGGTGGGCTTTATATTCCCACTCCTGTAATCTCAACAGGAGCTTGTAACTGCCCTGATCCACAGAGTATAGTGAAAATGATCATTTGTGACCTCCAAGGCTAGGTCACAAAAAGAATACAGCTTCCATCTCTCCCACCAGCACTGCCTGCTTCTCCTATGGGAAGTTACTGGAGACATTTTAGAGAAAAGGCATGACATTATTTGTTTTTAAAAAATAACTTTGACAGGTTAGTGAAGAATGCCTTGTATAGACAAACATGGGATCTGGGAGGCCTGCAGGAGTTATTTTAGGAAAGAAATTGTAAAGATTTTGACAAAAGTATTATAGTAATATTAGATATAAATATAAGTGGATAGACTTGGAATATGCCTTAAAGTAAGAGTTGACAGGATTTGCCAGTGGATTTGTTGTGGGAGGAGGTGGTGAGAAAGAGGATTCTCTTAGCTTTTTGACTTGATCACCTGGTTGGAAAACAGAATCATTTACTGAGGTCGTTATGGTAAAGGAAGGAGTAACTTTGGATTGGGAAAATAGTTCTGTTTTGAGATCCTACTCATCGTCCAAGCAGATACATCAAATCCAAGGAAAAGTGCACAAGTCTACAGTAGAGGAGATAGGTCAAGGCTAGACATGTATATATAGCATCATCAGCATATTGGTGCTATTTAAAGCCAGGGACTGGATGAGATCAAGGAGAGAATTGGAGTTAGGAAAGAGAAGTGGGTAGAGGCAAAGCCCTGGACAATCCCTGCTTGGAGAATTGGTAGAGAAGGTGTAAAGGAGTAAAAGTAAAGGATTAAAGCAGAAGGAATATATTTTCCTTACCAATTGCCAGGGTCTTGGCTGACGCTCCTATAACAAAAGATAGATTAACAAGAGAAAAGCATAATAAATTTATTTAACCCAAGTTTTACATGACACAAGAGCCTGGAGTAATGAAGACCCCCAAACCCAGGGAAAACTCTATTTTTATGCTTAGATTTGATGAAGAATGGACCACCCTGTAGAAGTATGATTGGACAAAAAGGGTCTGATTTAGTGGGAACAAACTGAGGAAGAACCTAGCAAGGCTTATCTGTTCAGATGGATCTGTGGCTTCCAGGTATAGGGCAGGATGCCTTATGCCCTATTTTTAGGTACGATAGGTCATGGAATTCCTTCATGGCCAGCTGTTACACAGAAAAGCAGAGAGTGACCTTTCTGCTTTTGCTGTTTTCTCAATTTCCAAGGTGCCACATTTTGGGGTTGAGTGCTCTGAACTCCAACACCAGCAAAGGAGGCCAAGAAAGACATCGTTGATGTCACAGAACCAGGAGAGCTGGCATGTTTATATGCTGATAAGAATAAATGAATATAGAGAAGCAAGGCTGCAGAGGAAAGAAAGAACCACAGAAACACAGTCCTTAAGAAGGTGAGGGAGGAGAGAGTCAGAGTGGAAATGGAGGGCTGATCTTTCAGAGGACGGAAGACCATCTGTGTAACCAGAGGAGAGACAAACCATACGTGTGTAGAGGCTGCAGTTGGTAGACCTGACGTGGGAAGATGAGAGAGTTTGGATGAGTCCTTTGCTCTAAACCCACTTGTGTGTCCTTATGTCCTTATGGAAAACCTGTTTATCAACTCAGCTGGTCCTTGGAGAGTTCCATTTGGCAACAATTGAAGGTGTGTCTGGATTGCAGAGTTAAGGAACTCAGAGCTAAGACTGTCACTGGGTAAATGGCAAGATAGATAATGTTTATCTTTAAAAATGCCCCCTCCCCCACTCTTTTACCTCCTCATCTCTTTGTTCAATGTTCTCAATGTCCTTTGGTAATTCAAGTCAAAAAAGAAATAATTAGAAAGTCTTCTCAATACCAAGCTGTGAGGACAAAGTGTCACCCTTCCCAGCATTGTTTGCCTTTTTAAAGAGAGTTCTGGGAAAAGAGAAGACAGTTCCTAATGCAAGTCCCCAGTGGAAGAAATTCAGGCTTGAGGAAGATTTGGAGGGAGTGGCTTTCCAACTTCCAATCCCGTAGGGACAAGAAGAAATGGATAAATTCCTCGACACATACACCCTCCCACGACTAAACCAGGAAGAAGTTTGAATCTCTGAATAGACCAATAACAGGCTCTGAAATTGAGGGAATAATTAACAGCTTACCAGCCAAAAAAAGTCCAGGACCAGATGGATTCACAGCTGAATTCTACCAGAGGTACAAGGAGGAGCTGGTACCATTTCTTCTGAAACTATTCCAATCAATAGAAAAAAAGGGAATCCTCCCTAACTCATTTTATGAGGCCAGCATTATCCTAATACCAAAGCCTGGCAGAGACACAACAAAAAAAGAGAATTTTAGGCCAATATCCCTGACGAACATTGATGCAAAAATCCTCAATAACATACTGGCAAAACAAATCCAGCAGCACATCAAAAAGCTTATCCACCATGATTAAGTGGGCTTCATCCCTGGGATGCAAGGTTGGTTCAACATATGCAAATCAATAAACGTAATCCAGCATATAAACAGAACCAAAGACAAAAACCACATGATTATCTCAGTAGATGCAGAAAAGGCCTTTGACAAAATTCAACAACGCTTCACGCTAAAAACTCTCAATAAATTGGGTATTGATGGGACATATCTCAAAATAATAAGAGCTATTTATGACAAACCCACAGCCAATATCATACTGAATGGGCAAAAACTGGAAGCATTCCCTTTGAAAACTGCCACAAGACAGGGATGCCCTCTCTCACCACTCCTATTCAATATAGTGTTGGAAGTTCTGTCCAGGGCAATCAGGCAGGAGAAGGAAATTAAGGGTATTCAATTAGGAAAAGAGGAAGTCAAATTGTCCCTGTTTGCAGACGACATGATTGTATATCTAGAAAACCCCATCGTCTCAGCCCAAAATCTCCTTAAGCTGATAGGCAACTTCAGCAAAGTCTTAGGATACAAAATCAATGTGCAAAAATCACAAGCATTCTTATACACCAATAACAGACAAACAGAGAGCCAAATCATGAATGAACTCCCATTCACAATTGCTTCAAAGAGAATAAAATACCTAGGAATCCAACTTACAAGGGATGTGAAGGACCTCTTCAAGGAGAACTACAAACCACTGCTCAATGAAATAAAAGAGGATACAAACAAATGGAAGAACATTCCATGCTCATGGGTAGGAAGAATCAATATCATGAAAATGGCCATACTGCCCAAGGTAATTTATAGATTCAATGCCATCCCCATCAAGCTACCAATGACTTTCTTCACAGAATTGGAAAAACTACTTTAAAGTTCATATGGAACCAAAAAAGAGCCTGCATTATCAAGTCAACCCTAAGCCAAAAGAACAAAGCTGGAGGCATCACGCTACCTGACTTCAAACTATAGTACAAGGCTACAGTAACCAAAACAGCATGGTACTGGTACCAAAACAGATATATAGACCAGTGGAACAGAACAGAGCCCTCAGAAATAATGCCGCATATCTACGGCAAAGATCTATCTGATCTTTGACAAACCTGACAAAAACAAGAAATGGTGGGCTGGGCACAGTGGGTCACGCCTGTAATCCCAGCATTCTGGGAGGCCAAGGCAGGCGGATCATGAGGTCAGGAGATCGAGACCATCCTGGCTAACACAGTGAAACCCCATCTCTACTAAAAATAAAGAAAATTAGCCAGATGTGGTGGCAGGCACCTGTAGTCCCAGCTACTCAGGAGGCTGAGGCAGGAGAATGGCGTGAACCCGGAGGCGGAGATTGCAGTGAGCCAAGATCACGCCACTGCACTCCAGCCTGGACAACAGAGCGAGACTCCACCTCAAAAAAAAAAAAAAAAAAGAAATGGGGAAAGGATTCCCTATTTAATAAATGGTGCTGGGAAAACTGGCTAGCCATATGTAGAAAGCTAAATCTGGATCCCTTCCTTACACCTTATACAAAAATTAATTCAAGATGGATTAAAGACTTACATGTTAGACCTAAAACCATAAAAACCCTAGAAGAAAACCTAGGCAATACCATTCAGGACATAGGCATGGGCAAGGACTTCATGTATGAAACACCAAAAGCAATGGCAACAAAAGCCAAAATTGACAAATGGGATCTAATTAAACTAAAGAGCTTCTGCACAGCAAAAGAAACTACCATCAGAGTGAACAGGCAACCTACAGAATGGGAGAAAATTTTTGCCAACTACTCATCTGACAAAAGGCTAATATCCAGAATCTACAAAGAACTCAAAACAAATTTACAAGAAAAAAACAAACAACCCCATCAAAAAGTGGGCAAAGCATATGAACAAACACTTCTCAAAAGAAGACATTTATGCAGCCAAAAGACACGTGAAAAAATGCTCATGATCACTGGCCATCAGAGACATGCAAATCAAAACCACAATGAGATATCATCTCACACCAGTTAGAATGGTGATCATTAAAAAGTCAGGAAACAACAGGTGCTGGAGAGGATGTGGAGAAATAGGAACACTTTTACACTGTTGGTGGGACTGTAAACAAATTCAACCATTGTGGAAGTCAGTGTGGTGATTCCTCAAGGATCTAGAACTAGAAATACCATTTGACCCAGCAATCCCGTTACTGGGTATATACCCAAAGGATTATAAAACATGCTGCTATAAAGACACATGCACACGTATGTTTATTGTGGCACTATTCACAATAGCAAAGATTTGGAACCAACCCAAATGTCCAACAATGATAGACTGGATTAAGAAAATGTGGCACATATACACCATGGAATACTATGCAGTCATAAAAAATGATGAGTTCATGGCCTTTGTAGGGACATGGATGAAGCTGGAAACCATCATTGTCAGCAAACTATCACAAGGACAAAAAACCAAACACCACATGTTCTCACTCATAGGTGGGAATTGAACAATGAGAACACTTAGACACAGGATGGGGAACATCACACACCGGGGCCTGTTGTGGGGTGGGGGGGAGGAGGGAGGGATAGCATTAAGAGATATACCTAATGTTAAATGAAGAGTTAATGGGTGCAGCACACCAACATGGCACATGTATACATATGTAACTAACCTGCACGTTGTGCACAAGTACCCTACAACTTAAAGTATAATAAAAAAATAATCAAAGACTTACAGGATTAAGAAACAAAACATCAACCAATCTACTGTATACAAAACTGATTGCTATGCACAGATGCCTTCTGTTTTATCTTTCAAGGATTTAACTTTGACATTCTGTGACCCATCATGAAAGAGGAGAAGGAGAAAGGAGGAGGGAGAAGGAAGAAAGGGAGGACAGGAAATGTTAGCATAGTTGATTGACTCTAGCTAGCTATGTCATAATACATCTCTAAGAGTCAATTTATATATTTAGTGGTAACTCTGGTGGGAGTATTCAAACATTGTAATTATAATGTATTCTAGATCAGAATGGACTTGATATAAAGGTTGGTTTGGTTGTCTCCACTAGTCATTGCACTTGTCTTGATTAATAAGGTATACAATTCCACATAAAGCGTTTATGTGTGTTGTATCAGAGGCAAAGTAAAAAAATATAACTTGCCTATTTTATAATAGGGAGAAAAGCAGAATAATTCTAACAATAACAATAATAATGATGACAATAATAGTAGCTCTCATATTGAGGACCTACTACATGCTTTGTACACTGTTAGGTAATTAATATTATCCCATTTATGTATTTATTTTGAGACGGAGTTTCACTCTTGTCGCCCAGGCTGGAGTGCAAGAGTGTGATCTCGGCTCACTGTAACCTCTGCCTCCCAGGTTCAAGCAATTCTCCTGACTCAGCCTTCCGAGTAGCTGAGACTACAAGTGTGCGCTGCTACACTCAGCTACTTTTATATTTGGTCAGGCTGGTCTCAAACTCCTGACCTCAGGTGATCCACCCACCTCGGCCTCCCAAAGTGCTAGGTTTATAGGCATGAGCCACCATGCCCAGCCTATATTATCTCATTTAATTATTCTCATTTCACTTGTAGATATTTTTTTAAAAGTCCATGATTTCATAAAATAAGTACTCATAAAGACTGGTCAGAAATAATGTGGCCCTCCAAACTTGCAAAGGCCAAAGGACAGTGATGTTTAACAGCAGTGTTGGTCAAGTGCAAAGTATGTGTGTTCACCGTGTTGATTTCTGCAACAACTGTCCCTTCTCCACTCAAGCCAAATGAAACAACATACTTACCCTCTGCATTTGCGCTTTTTTTTTTTTTTAAGCCAGGGTCTTGATCTGTTGTCTAAGCTAGAGTTCAGTGGGTGAGCCATGATCAAACTTCTGGGCAGCCTCAAACTTCTGGGCTCAAGTGATTTTCCTGCTTCAGCCTCACAGGTAGCTGGGACTACCACCATGCCTGGTTAATTTGTTTTTTCATTATTTGTAGAGACGGGGTCTTACTATGTTGCCCAAGCTGGTCTCAAGCTCCTGGCCTCAAGTGAACCTCCGGCTTTAGCCTTCCAAAGCTCTGGGATTATAGACGTGAGTCATCGCCCCGGCCTTGCCTTTTTGTCTCAGTTCTGAATCTTTGAATTTTTCCCAGACTCTTCACTGATGGTGAATGCTATGGACTGGAAATAGTGTGTAGGTCAAACTACCTTTACGGCAGAGCGTGCTCACCCAACATAAACCTGCAGCTGGCCTCTTACTATTAACCAGCAACCAACACTGAAGAATATTTTATTTTAGCATCTTTGATGCACAGAAGCCAATAGCATCTGAGCCACAAAACCTGAGTTTGGATCTCACTTTTGTTATTTATTAGTTGTGTAGCTTTGTGCAAGTTCCTTAGCCTCTCTGATGCTCAATTTCCTTATTAGTAAATTAGGGGAATTCTGACGTTCTTGTGAGAATCAAATCAGAGAATGTACATGAGCACCATACTTTATAATTGAAAGAGACAATGAATTTGCTGGGTTTTAGTACCTTTCTGATTTGGAAGGAGGAGACAGAGAAAGGGATGGAGGGAGAAGGAGGGAGAAGCGATGGAGAAAGAAAAGTGTTTTGAAGACTGGGAAATGTTTTGCACATATGAGAAATGTTTGATTACTAGTTATAATGATGAATCAGTTTCAATTAAAATAATCACAATAAATAGCTAACCGTTTTTCTCTTCCCTCACTCCCAATAATTTCCAATATCTGCCCCACCAACACTTGTGTAAGGAAGTAAGATTACAGATTACAGTATCACCTTCCCGGGGTAAATCTTAATGAGGAGGAAAAAGAAAACAACATGGAGTTTTGGGATGATTCAAAAACTGAACAGCCAGCCTCTGAATAACTGAGAGCTGGCTCCTTCTGCAGTGTTAGCGAGCTGGCTGGTGGAGAGTACACACGGGCATGATGCACCCAACACCCTCACCCAGCGCCAAACACAGGCACGGGTACTTGACCATGACTTCTTAAAATCTAAGTTCCACCAGGTCCAGAACAGTCTGCTCTGCATTTGGTGCAGTATACTCCGGGTATGCTCATTGTGTATGCTTCATACATGTTTAAAATATAGGTCTGCCACGCTTTCTAATGACTAAAGGGAAAGTGAGGCTACTTGTCTGCAAACAACACTTAGTTGATGCAGAATTAAGGAAATATTTCTACTAGAATTTCTGAAAAAGTGTCCGTGGGATGATATTTAGGCTATGAGTTTAGAAACAAGCAATAATATAATTAATAAGTGAAATATATTTGCGTTTTGCTGGGGTTTGTTTTGCCACTTTGAATTCTGAATAAACTGGTGTTTGAACTCCCAGAAGAACCAGTAAAAATAAATAAATAAATAACAGAGCTTTCATTTGTGTATTGTTCTGGATGCTACTGCAATGGAATAAATAATGCTATCAATCAATGCTTGTGATATAAAGGCTGTGATTTCTTTTACTCTCCAGCAGGAACCACACGCCTGAGGGCTCATTAGTACAGGGCAGATGCCGATACCATTTGAGAAGAATGTGGCATGGAGAATTAAATGCTTTCTGAGAATGAATGAGATCAGCAGCCATCACATACATTTACAGCTTGGCCTTTCTCTTCAGTCTGCAAATGGATTGAGGTGGTTTTCCCAGAGGCCACTCTGTCACCTTCATCACACAGGAGGTGAGAACTCGGCCCTCAGCCAGGCATCAATGTAGGAGTGGGCACCTTGAATTGCTTCAAATATTGGTGTGAGGCTGCAGGCTGAAGATTCCTGTGAACTCAGCCCACATCCATTGCTGGGCTCTGTCACCCCATTGCACCTGGCTAATTCTTTTCTTTTATAATTTGTCAGGTTATGGGGGTGCATCACCTTTGGAAATAGCAAAATGAATGTTTGGATCGATTTGCTGAAGTCTGTCTTCAGGCACGCATGAGTGCAGGGGGGACAGTGGGGGGATAAGGATGGGGCAGGACACAGGGTCTGGCTGTTTGAAATGGAGCCAGTGTGCTTGCTGTAGAAGGACGTCTCTGTTGTTTTGATTCAGAGTTAATTGGGGGCTGAAATCCTAATGCCCAGAGCAGATGCCTGTTCCTAGGGTCATGACCCTGCTTTATCCACATATATTCCTGAGAGCAGAATCATGCTGTCTCCATGAATTAGCCTAGAGGGAATTGCTAAACATTCAGAATGTAAAAGACTCAATGACCAAAAGCACACATGTTCCCTCACTGTGAGAACATGAAGGGAAAGCCTTCAGGTTTCATCTTCGAAACAGCTCAACACCCTGGCCCACTCTGCCCAGTGACCCATCATGTGTTATTTCTTTTAGGTCATCAGGTTCTGCCAAAGTGCAGGGCAGGACAGGAGAATCAAAGGAAGACTCAGCAGCAGTGGGGGTGAGGATGGGACTGGGGAAGGCGAGTTAAGAACAGCCCAGAATGAGTAGTGCAAGGCTGAACCTTTCTCCTGGGGCTCAGAATTTTAAAAATGGTCTCTTGGTATTGAAATGACTGCATTGAGGGTGAATTCTTCTTTTTTATCCCCCTAAAGTTCATTCATGTAAAATTATTTCCCTACAATCAAAGTGTCTAGAAAAGAGGCTTGTTGTTGTTAGAGGAATGTTTCCTCTCTGAATGTTCAGTAAGCACCATTTCACTACTCTCTTCAGCCATGAAGTCTTCTAGGTTAGAGACTGTGTAATTGTTCACCAAACCATTTCCCATTTTCTCCTGGACACACACTAGACTGCACTTCCCATCTTCCTTTGCAGGGAGGTACAACCATAAAACTGAGTTCTGGTCAATGGAATGTGGGCAGGAACAATGTTCACCACCACTGCCACCACCACGATCGCCACCAGACCTGGCCCATAAAACCTCCTTTGCAGTCCTCCGGATTCCTTTGTTGCTGGCTGGGAGCAGAGGAGCCAGGGGATAATGTGGGAGGGAGCTGAGGGAAGGTCGAACCTGAGTCCCAGATCTGTGGATAGAATTCAGGGATCTAAGACTTTGAATGGGGAAAAAAAATGCATCTTTCGGCTGGGCACAGTGGCTCACGCCTGTAATCCCAGCACTTTGGGAGGCCAAGGCAGGCAGATCACGAGGTCAGGAGATCGAGACCATCTTGGCTAACACGGTGAAACCCCGTCTCTACTAAAAATACAAAAAATTAGCCAGGCGTGGTGGCGGGCGCCTGTAGTCCCAGCTACTGGGGAGGTTGAGGCAGGAGAATCACTTGAATCAGGGAGGCGGAGCTTACAGTGAGCCGAGATTGGGCCACTGCACTCCAGCCTGGGCAAAAGAGTGAGACTGTGTCTCAAAAAAAAAAAAAAAAAAAAATGCATCTTTCCCTGGTAAACTGAAATCTAGTATATTTTTTTCTATTACAAATGAAAGCAACAAACCACAGAAAAATTAATAGTACCTGTCACCTATAGACTTTGGCACCAATAGAAATAACAGGTACTTTCATATCATATTACAGTTATTGATAAGATCACAATATGCTGTGTGATCATCACTACTGGGACACTGTGGTTATTACTTACACTTGCCTCTGGATCTTATTCTAATAAGGAAGCACCTATATCACAATTTCTTAAATATTTAGATAACAATATTTGAATATTATTGGTTTTGTAGTGCCAAGTAATTCATGTTATACATTTAAATATACTATTCTGAGGGAGGTCCTTAAGCTTCATCAGGCTGTTAAATAGGTCCATAGTACAAAAAAGTTTGACTCCGTGTCTTGGATATGGTGGGGCCACAAGACAGAGGAATCCTGGATCCTTGAATGACTGCTTAGAGCAGGCTCCTTTCCCTCCCTTTCCCACTCTCCCACCAATCTGCGTTAAACTCAGACATGAGTGAGAAATAACCAGACATTTGCAACGGCTTATTCCAGCAGTTAGTCTATGACTGACACAATCCTAGAGGAAGAGGAGTAGGGAAGAAGTTAACATTCTGAATGTTGATGTGAGCATTTTGAAACTCAGTTTTCTAGCTCTAACTTTCACACATTTGGCTGCTGGGCCTTCACCTTTGTGTCCTCAGTGATGAGTCCTTTATGGTTCAGCAGAATGAAAGCAACTTATTCTCCAACAGCCTTATATCAAGCACTCTTACAGCTGCATCAAAGTTCAGCTTGAGAAGGGACACACAATCGAGCTGGTGTGGTTCAAGGACAGGATTTTAATTGCTCATAAAACTGGCATGCAGTAGTATCTGACTATGTACACCACAGTTGCATAAAAAGACAGCTAACCAGCTCTGCCAGAGCATACTAAAGAGCACTCTAGCGTTTTCCATTTAAAATTAATGTTTCTTTCAATGCAGAAGCCATGACATCTAAAACATGCAAATTTATTTTTACAATTGACTTTAACACTAAAAAGACATTTGGTAATTAAATGAGTTAGGAGAGTGTGATTAGCAATGGCTGAGCATGTGCCTCTTGTTATAAGTTTAGAGGGAAATTGCTTTTTCATTCCTTTTCTTTTCCTGATTTAACAGAACATTTTCCCATAGTTCTATTTTAATGAGCTCCTAATGATGTTCTAAGTATTCCCTTTTACATTGTTATAGAGCAATGGGTTTATAAACCTAATTAGGTTTGATGATTATAAAAATTCAAATCAATATCACATCTATAACATGCAATTTATTTTTAACTTCAGTCTATCTGTTGGTAGCTAATGCATTGATATTGTTTAACTTTTAGCTTTTTACTTAGGTGTATGGGCAAACAAAATACTGTAAGTAGCACTCTTAGGTTCCCGACACTTAAATTTCAAGGAATCATCTAACACTTAAAATTGGCTTTGTTCTTGAGCAGCCTAAATATCTTAAGAGCATCTTATCATTCAATTTTCTAAATAATTTTTTGTATAATTAGATAATACAATGCATATACTATCCAAACAAAATAAAAGAACATCCAATAAAAAAGCAAGTCCCCTTTCTCCCTTGACTTCTAGAAACCTAGTTTTCTTCTCTGGAATCTACCACTGTTAACAATTTATTTTATATCTTCTCAAAGTATTCTGTGTATATATAAATAAACATGTATATATTTCAAGTTTCCATACAAATATATTAAACTATAAATATTCTCTAGAACTCTTCTTTTTAAACTTAACAATAACTTCTATAAGATCTTTCCATACACATATATAAAGAACTTCCTCCCTTTTCCATATAGTATTCCAGTTTATGGATGTGCCATGCGCTGTATTTAGGTTGTTTCCAACCTCTTGCCGTAACAGTGTTTTAATGAGTAGCTTTGCCCAATAATGTCATTTTGCACATATGAGCATGCATATCTATTATCAAATACCAATGAGCACAGGATATAAGCATTTTTAATGTGATAGATATCATAAATGATTATTATTATATAATAAATTCTTTGCAACAACTGATGTTGGACTCCTCCACTAGGGAGGAATTCTCCCAAAGAATTCCAGTGACGCAAGGTCCCAGCGATTTGTTTGGCCTCCCTGGTCCTGCAGAAGGGCTAAGTAAATAAAATAGCCTAGACCTAAAGATGCTGAACAGAAACAAATTTGTAAGACACCGAAGCGTTTGGGCTTGGGGTAGGGAGGTGAGAGAGGAGTGAGAGAGGTTGGGCGGGGTGAGAAAACAACAATTGAGAATTAAGACCAGCCAGGCTGAAGATGCCAGGAAATGCACACGTAAGAGAAGGGGGGTGGTACCTGGAAAAGTTCATTGTGCAACTGTGGCAAGAGACAGAGAGAGAGAACATGGGACCTGGAATTAGAAAACCTGCGTTCTAATTCTGCCTCCATCACTTAACTACAGCTGTGTGATCTTGGATGAATTAGGATAGCAATACTTACTTTGCAAGGTTGTCATAAGGAATAAAGAGACAATGCACGTGAAAATGCCAGGTAACCCAAGTGAACTTGACGAATGTTAGTGGAATCTAAATAAATGTAACTTTCAACATGTGTAAGTACAAAGGAATCCTAAATACTGAAAGTTCACCAGAACATCAACTCCATAAGAGCCAGGGCTATGTTTAGCTGCTTTACTGCTATATCCCCTGTGCAAAGAGTTGACATTGAATAGATGTCCCATGAATATCTATGAAAAGAGTGAAGTTTGGACCAACTCTGCAAAACTGGAGAAGGAAATGAAAATGCAAGGAGAAAGGCTGGTTAAGGATGGAGATAGAGCTTTGGGAATTCTGTGCTTCTAATGATCATCTTAATCATTATGAGGAAAACCTAATCATGTATCTTATTAAAATGTGTTGATTGGATAAACATGTGAATGAATAAACTCTTTAAGGTGCTTTCCAAAATTATTTCATGAAGTGAGTAAGCTCCCCAAACCCTAGAGGAGGAAAGGGAAAGGGTATTTGTATTTGAAATATTTGTATTACAGTGATTTGAACTGTTGACAAAGTTGTTCTGTATTTTATTTTTCTATAGCTTTAAACATTTTTTGACTCATGTTTTGGTTGGAATAAAGCATTCTGGTTGCCTATTATTGGCTACATGATTCTAAAGTCTGCTGTATTAATGTTGCTTCTGTCTCCATATGGAAATGTATAGATAAGAAGATAAGTCCTCAAGCTTTCTCAGTGATCAGGCAGAGATGAGGGAATTAAATGAGAGAAGTTAGGTCAGATGATCTTGAAGGTCCTTTTCTGCCCTAAAATTGTAGAATTTCATGAATAAAAGCACAATGGGAAGAGCAGGGGTTAATTAAAAAAACAAACAAACCTGGATCCTTATGAGAGAGAAGCCACATTACGTGTAGAAGATTATAACAAACGCCTCACATTTATAGAGTGTTTACAAAGGGGCAGGCTCTACATAACTGTTTCACTTAATCCTTACAATCCCTGTAAAAGAATTGTTGGAAATTTTGTCTGGTATCAAGCAGCTGGAAAGGAGGCGATCTTTCTAAGCACATACCATAGTTTAAAGCAGCAAAGTTGCCAACAATAACTGGCTTTGTAAAAATAATTGCTGCCCCAAATCAAAGAACTGTCTTCCACTGAGTTGAAAGGGCTATTAATCTGGGGGTGGTCTTCCAGGCACAGAAACATGCAGAGATAATGTCATCTTTGACTCGGAAGGACAGAGTTCTGTGTGACATGGAAGCCTGAGTGGTTATGACTTCATGGGACAGGGCTTCTTTGCTTGGCTTTTTCCCCTATCTAGAATGAGTTATATCCTCAATTGGTGACAATCTTTCTCTTTTTTTTTTCTACTTCTATTGTGAGCTGGCCTAAGCAATTTAGCAGCACAGAGTTCCTAGGTTCCCTTTATTAATATTGGATATACACCAATAGTCAGTGGTAGGTGAGGAACATAGCTCTCCAAGCCCATGACCACACTACAGGCAATAAAAACAAGATGCAGAAAAACTCTGCAACCACACATTTATTGACAAGAAAGCATAAAAGTATACAACTCAATAGCTCCAGGTATTTGCCCTTTTAGATGATCTGATCACTCCCTGTTTGAATGGCACATTTGGGGCACATGCAATAATATCCTAGAGGCAGGGTTCAGCTAGGCTTATGGTTGCCAACAGGTAAGCAGAATTATCCAAACCAGCGGTAGAGTACTATTTTGGAAACCATGTGATATGGTTTGGCTATGTCCCCACCCAAATCTCATCTTGAATTATAGTACCTATAGTCCCCACGTGTCATGGGAGGGACCTGGTGGGAGGTAGTTTAATCATGGGGCGGTTACTCTTATGCTGCTCATGCTGTTCTCATGATAGTGAATGAGTTCTTACAAGATCTGATGGTTTTGTAAGAGGCTTCCCCCTTCACTCTGTTCTCATTCTTCTCACTCCTGCTTCCATGTGAAGGACATGTTTGCTTCCCCTTCTGCCATGATTGTAAGTTTCCTGGGGCCTCCCCAGCCATGCAGAACTATAAGTCAATTAAACCTCTTTCATTTATAAGTTACCTAGCTTCAGATATTTCTTCATAGCAAGATGAAAACAAATTAATACGGTAAACTGGTACTGGGTAGTGGGAAGCTGCTGTAAAAATATCCAAAAATGTGGAAGCGACTTTGGAACTGAGTAACAGACAGAAGTTGGAAAGTTAGGAGGACTCAGAAGAAGGCAGGAAGATGTGCGAAAGTTTGGAACTTCCTAGAGACTTGTGGAATGGTTTGACCAAAATGCTGATAGTGATATGGACAATGAAGTCCAGGCTGAGGTGGTCTCAGATGGAGATGAGGAACTTGTTGGGAACTGGAATAAAGGTGACTTTTGTTATGCTTTAGCAAAGAGACTGGTCGCATTTTGCCCCTGCCCTAGATATCTGTGAAACTTTGAACTTGAAAGAGATGATTTAGGGTAATTGGTGGAAGAAATTTCTAAGCAGCAAAGCATTCAAGATATGACTTGGGTGCTGTTGAAACAATCAGTTTTATGTATTCACAAAGATATGGTCTGAAATTGGAACTTATGTTTAAAAGGGAAGCAGAGCATGAAAGTTTGGAAAATTTGCAGCCTGACAATGCAATAGAAAAGAAAAACCCAATTTTCTGGGGAGAAATTCAAGCCCGCTGCAGAAATTTGCAGAAGTAACAAGGAGCCAAATATTAATCACCAAGACAATGGGGAAAATGTCTCCATGACATGTCAGAAGTCTTCATGGTAGCCCGTCCCATCACAAGCCTAGAGGCCTAGGAGGAATAAATGGTTTCCTGGGCTGGGCCCAGTGCCTTACTGCTTTGTGCAGTCTCAGAACTTGGTGCCCTGTGTCCCAACCGTGGCTAAAAGGGGCCAAAAAACAGCTCAGCTGTTGCTTCAGAGGGTGCAAGCCCCAAGCCTTTGAAGCTTACACCTGGTATTGGGCCCGCTGGTGCACAGAAATCAAGAATTGTGGTTAGGGAACCTCCTCCTAGATTTCAGAGGATGTATGGAAATGCCTGGATGTCCAGGCAGAAGTTTGCTGCAGGGGTAGAGCCCTCATGGAGAACTTCTGCTAGTGTACTGCAGGAGGGAAATGTGGGGTTGAAGCCCCCAGACAGAGTCCCCACTGGGGCACTGCCTAGTGGAGCTGTGAGAAGAGGTCCACCATCCTCCAGACTCCAGAATACTAGATCCACCAACGGCTTGCACTGTGAATCTGGAAAAGCCTTGGGCACTCAACGTCAGCCTATGAAAGCAGCCAGGAGGGTGGCTGTACCCTGCAAAGCCACAGGGGTGGAGCTTCCCAAGGCTGTGGGAGCTCACCTCTTGCATCAGTGTGACCTGGATCTGAGACATGGAATCAAAGGAGATTATTTTGGAGCTTTAAGATTTAATTGCTGCCTTGTTGGATTTTGGACTTGCATGGGGTCTGTAGCCCCTTTGTTTTGGCCTATTTCTCTCATTTGGAATATGTGTATTTACCAAACGCTTGTACTCCCATTCTATCTAGGAAGTAACTAACTTGCTTTTGATTTTACAGGCTCATAGGTGGAAGGGACTTGTCTTGTCTCAGATGAGACTTTGGACTTGGACTTTTGAATTAATGCTGGAATGAGTTAAGACTTTGGGGGAGTGTTAGAAGGGTATGATTATGTTTTGAAATGTGAGGTCATAAGATTTTGGAGAGGCCTAGGGGGGAATGATATTGTTTGGCTGTGCCCCACCCAAATCTCATCTTGAATTGTAGTTCCTATAGTCCCCACGTGTCATTGGAGAGACCTGGTTGGAGGTAATTTAATCATGGAGGCAGTTACCCTCATGCTGCTCACGCTGTTCTTGTGATAGTGAATGAGTTCTCATGACATCTGACGGTTTTACAAGGAGATTCCCCCTTCATTCTGCTCTCATTCTTCTCACTCCTGCCACCGTGTGAAGAAGGACATGTGTGTTTCCCCTTCCACCATGATTGTAAATTTCCTGAGGCCTCCCCAGCCATGTGGAACTGTAAGTCAATTAAACATCTTTCCTTTATAAATTACCCAGCCTTGGGTATTTCTTCATAGCAGTGTGAAAATGAAATAATACATCAACCTTGGGAACTATCTTCATGTGTGAAGAGATTTATATTCTTAAACCCTATTCATTCAAGGACAGACAGGGTTTCTAGGCTACTCTAGGCCAAGGAGTCGCAAACTATGGTGCATGGGCTAAATGTAGCCTGTGTCTGTTTTTGTAAATAAAGTTTTATTGGAACACAGCCATGCCAGTTTATTTACATATATCTATGACTGATTTTATACTACAATGACAGAGTGAGTGGTCATGATAGAAACCTTAAGGCTCACAAAGCCAGAAATACTATCTGGTCCTTTATGGAAAGAGTTTGCCAACTGCTGCACTAGCCAATCCACATATATTAAGCACTATTATTTACACCAATGAAAACCCATTTCTAGCATTCATTATGCTAATTAGAAAAACCTGTAGTGTGGATCATAAAGATAGCCAAAGTGCTTACAGTAGTTACCTCTGCAGTGTTGTCTTCTGATTAAATGCCAGATGACATCCCTGGAATGCACATGTCCTATTAGGACAGTAATAGCCTTAGAGTATTATTAAAACTAACACACATTTGTAGAATATTGTTTATTTTAATTTTTTTTTTTTGAGACAGGGTTTCTCTCTGTCACCCAAGCTGGGGTGCAATGGCACAATCACATCTCACTAACCTAGAACTCCTGGGCTCAAGTGTTCCTCTCATCTCAGCCTCCCAAGTAGCTAGCACTACAGGCATGCACCACCAGGCCAAAGTGATTTTTTTTTAAAGAGACAGAGTCTCACTCTGTTGCTCAGGCCAGTCTTGAACCCCTGACTTCAAGCAATCCTCCCACCTCGGCATCCCAAAGTGCTGGGATTACAGGTGTGAGCCACTGCACCTGGACAATTTTGAATATTTTTAAGAGTCAATTGTAGGCATCATAACATTTCCCTTTATTGCTTCTCACAACCCATTTTCCTTCATGATTAGGGTTAAACTTTTGGGCACGCTCATATCAGTAACAATATCAAACCCAGAGTTTGAAGAGTATAACATCCAATTAGATCTCAATGCAATAGCTAAGATAGAGCAAGTTTATTAGTATCCTTATTTTGCAAGATAGAAAAAGCTAATGCTTGAAAGTATCCCTAATCTTCAAGTTGCAGAACTGGTGAGTGATAGAGTGAGACTTGAATCTGAAGCTTTTCATTTTCTGAGTACTAGAGTCTTTCCTCTACACGGTAGTAACTTCCCAGTAACAATGACTCATTGATCAGGGTTTTTTTTTTTTTTTTTTTTTTTTTTGACAAAGCTTAGCAGAGTTTAACTTCCATCAACAGAAATAATTCTCTTTTCAGAAAAAAAATAGCCTTCTTATAGCCTTCTTGACAATTTTGCAAAGGAACTTTATCTCCTTTCTTTACATTTTTTATTCTTAAAGTTGAAGAGTCACCACTAAGTAGTGAAATTGATTACTAGAGGTGGGAGAAATTTCCCAGAGGAATAAAAACAATGAAGGTAAGTGCTTAAAAATGGGTCTGTTTCATCAATTACAGAATAAAAGGAGTGTCTGAAGGATCAGCAGACTTAGATGTGTCTAGCTTGTACAGAGCGTTACAGGCTCTAGTGCTGGTCATAGAATCAATCATACATGTTAGAACAGGAAGCGGGTCATTATTAAGTCAACAAGTTCACTCCACTTGACCTTTGCAATGCTGGGTTGTTCTCTCTGCTATGTCTCTTTCAATATGAATAGTTCATTTATTGTGGATTGGCCAGGGATTATTGGAGCTGTGTGGTGTTTCTAGTCCCTTCTCAACCACTTTCCCCAGTGACTCAGATCCTCAGCTTTCCACAATCTATTCCTCCTCATCCTTTGGCATTATCTTGGCCAGATTTTAGCCCATAATTGTGGCTGATACATTTTGCTTCTTCCATCTTCAGGTTCTGACTTGGAGATAGAAGAGACCTTCCTCCAAGATGGTCCCTTCATATGCCATAGGCTCCAGTGGGCCTCTGAGGAAGAAGGAAAAAGGGAAGATACTATATTCATGAGAAAGAACGTTAGGATATGAGCCTGAGAAGGAAGTTAGGGGTCATCTCTGCAGATCCCAGAGTGATTGTTTATCAGTGAATTAGATCACAGGTCATAACCATGCAGATTCTAATAGCGATGGAGTCCTCTATTGGAGACTTTAAAAATTTTTAAACAATCTTAAAGCAACAACTCAACAGCATAAAGAGACAACTTAAAATGAGTTCAAGTGTGAGTCAACTGGTAGATGTTACAACGCTGTCATGTTAGAAGAACTCCCACTGCGTGTCTTGAGAAGACCTGAGTCTGTTAAAGGTAGCTACTCATTTCTGAACATCGGGAAATGTTCCATGTGATTCTTCTAGTTGACATTTTATGATGCATGAAAATAACATTATCAATGTTGGGAGAAAAACAAGACTTTCGAGAGCTTGAGTTTAAAATTAAATATTTATGATCTAGCCTTAGTAGAAAAGAGAAAAGATCAATGAGCTCTTGAATGCAATTTTGGGGGAGAAAACTTATTCCTCTTTTAAAGATAATTTACTTTTCTTTTCACAGAATATAACTTTAGGGTTCTATAGTGAGTCATTTAGGATGGGTTAGATTATCCTGTGGTAACACACAACCTCAAAATCTCAGAGGCTTAAAACAACCAGTCTATTTGTTATCTACATTACATATCCATTGTGAGTGTTGTCCTCACTCTGGGATCCAGGATTATAGAGTTTCCACTCTCTGGAACATTGTTGATCCCTGTGGCAGAGAACGAGAGTTTTGAAACAGCTTGAAGTAGCAACTGATGGCTCCAGCTCCAAAGTAACATTTGTTCACAACTCATTTGGCCAGCACAGGTCACATGCCCCTACTCAATCACAAGGGGCTAGGAAATGTAATCCTACCAAGTGCCTGGAAAGCAGAGAGCTGGGAATATTTGGAAAATAGTGCTGAAGACTTCCATATGTCATTACATTTGAAAGGACAAAATTATTCTGGTGTGTGTTCAAAATCAGGCATGTCCCATGCTGCCTATAATGTTGGTAAGTTGACTTTTTTAGAGTGAATAATCAAAATAGCAAAAGCCTCTACCCATCGGTTCTGTGCATTGGAGAGTGACCTTTGGAATCTCCTGGGAAGCTTAAAAAACACCGATGCCTGGGTCCCACTCTAGGGATTGTAATTTAATTAGTCTGAGGTGCAGTTTAGACATCATAATTTTTTTCAAGCTCCCTAAAGTGATGCTAGTGCACAACCAGAGCAGAAAGTCACTGGTCTATTCTAAGGGTCCGGGTTTTAGGGTGATTTTCTTTCTTTTTTTTTTTAAATTTTATTTATTTATTTATTTATTTATTTATTTATTTATTTTTTTGAGAAGAAGCTTTACTCTGTTGCCCAGGCTAGAGTGCAGTGGCCCAATCTCGGCTCACTGCCACCTCCATCTCCCAGGTTCAAGAGATTCTCCTGCCTCAGCCTCCAGATCTGCTGGTATTAAAGGCACCCACCACCACGCCCGGCTAATTTTTGTATTTTTAGTAGAGACAAGGTTTCACCATGTTAGCCAGGCTGGTCTCAAACTCCTGACCTCAAGTGATGCTCCCGCTTTGGTCTCCCAAAGTGCTGGGATTACAAGGCGTGAGCCACAGCGCCCAGACTTTAGGGTGATTTTCAGCTCCAACAACATCTCTCTATCTGCGTGGTCTTCAACAAATCAATTTACCTCTCTGGGCCTCAGTTTTATCATCTGTAAAATTAGGGGTGGGATATATTTTTTTCCACCAATCCTTCCAGCCTTAAAAATCTCTCAAAGGCCACTGACTCCTATTTAGAAAATATTTCAGAGCTCAGGTTAATGTGTAAGTGCAGCCAAGTGACTTTGTAAGTTAATCTGCTCAAACTCTTGTAAAGGCAATAATTGGAAAGAGCCTTTACCAAGTAAGTAGTTGTCTCTTTTCCCTAAACTGGGAAGCAGGCCGGACTTGGGGGAAAAGTCACAAAAAAGATAGTGACAAAGAAAGATAAAAAGTTAACTTGATCTCTTGGTTCTATGTGAACTTCCTAGCCTAAAATGAAAAAGATGTATTACTTAAGGCCATTCAGATAAAAATAAATTTTGAAAAGCCACTTCCCTCAATTCTTGCTGAAAATGAAAAAGTTAAAGGTTTCACAATTTCTTCACCATGTAATCCTATCTCAGTGCTGTCAGTGTCTTAATAGTGTATTGATTGGCTCACACTCCTGCTATCTTTAAAGAAGCATTATTGCTCTGTTGGGCCAAACATGAAAAACTATGTTTAAAGACATTTTTAAGGTTTTTTGATTTTCCAAAAGCTTCTTGGGGCCTTATCGAGTTTCTCTGGCAGCTAGAATTAACTCTACAATGCTCTTTCTCTATTTCTGAGACAGTGAATTCATCTGAAGCCAGCAAGTTATCAATGACTCACAAGACAGGGAAGATAAGGGGGCTCTCAAGATAAATTAATGTGGTAATTAGTTACCTGGACACCTGTAAGTTTAGATTAGTGAGAGCATTTTTGCTGCCATTGCATTGGAAATTCATGATAATTTTCAATAGTCATTTAAATATGTGAGGCTGACTCCGGTGTCAAGGAGTAGGGAGTAAGAAGGAAAGAAGATAGATTGCAAAAATTAAAACTTTTATTACAAAAAATAGCATTATACTGTTGTTCAATTATCGAAATGCCTGGCAAGCTGAAATATGACCAAAATCTTCATTTATAGCCCCACTGTATGGTATTTATTTGATATCTATAATTGTTTTCTCAATTATTATAAAAAAGCATCAGAATAACTTTTATTGAATGCTTAGAAAAATATCTGATGATCATACACTAAAATGTTATGACTTTGAGTGATGGTTTGTGCTTGGGTCTTTTATCTCCCTTTTTGGATTTTTTGTGTGTTTCACCAGTTTTCTCTACTGAACATGTATTCTTTTGGACCCAGATTTCATTCCTCACTGTGCTCTTGGGAAAATTACTTAACCATCCTGAGCCTCATTCTGCCATCTCAAAGTGAAGATAATAATAGTATCTACCTCAAAGGGTCATGGTAACTGTTAGATTAAATCACCCGAAATGGCTGATATTTGACTGCCTTTTGACCTATAAAGATGTTAATATGAAACGGCTCAACATAATATTAAGTAAGTATTTAACATTGCATCTGACAAATCCTAAGCACTCAGGAAATATTAGCTATAGAAGTACATTAAGGAAATAGAGAACTAGTTCAGAAATGGAGAAGATATCATATGCAGTTTTTAAAGTCAGATTTATTGAAGATAAGTTACATTTAGTATATAGTTCTATAAATTTTGACAAACACATACAACTGGGTAACCACAGTCAAACTACAGAATGATTCAATCCCCCCACCAAAATCTACTGCACCCCCTTGTAGTCAGCTCCTCCCCTCCCCTCCCCTCTATCAACCACTGATCTTTTCTCTGTCCCTATAGTATTGCCTTTAACAACGATTTTTCCACCTTACTTTAATTATCCAGATGTGTTCATTTACCTTTTTCCTGTGTGGAAAGGCACCTACTCCTACAGAGGCGGAAGAGAAACCCCATCCCTCTGGTCAACCACTAATTCAGTTACTTCCCAGAAAGCATGGTTTAATTAGCACTGGGGAATGAAGGATGCTGGGCTCCAGGGTGCGTAGCAAGCAGGGGAAAACATTTGCTGAGTGTTTATTTTATTCAGAGTTCACAACTCCACGTGAATGGAGGTGAGAGTGTGATCAGGTCGACCTTTTGGGCTACTTTACCCATTATCAAACAAGGTTTTAGACTCTATGATTTTGCTGTTGTTTAAAACATACACACCTGGCCGGGCACGGTGGCTCAGGCCTGTAATCCCAGCACTTAGAGATACAAAGGCGGGCAGATTGCCTAAACTCAGGAGTTTGAGACCAGCCTGGGCAACATAGTGAAACCCCATCTCTACTAAAATTAGAAAAAATTAGCTGGGTGTGGTTGAGCGCACCTGTAATCCCAGCTACTCCGGAGGCTGAGGCATGAGAATTGCTTGAACCCAGGAGGCAGAGGTTGCAGTGAGCAGAGATTGCACCACTGCACTCCAGCCTGGGGGACAGAGCGAGACTCTGTCTCAAAACAAACAAACAAATAAACAAACAAACAAAAAACATACACACCTGCTTGTCAGAGGGCTCATTAGCTAAAGATCAATTTAAATTCCAGATCTCCAAATAGCATTTAACAAAGATCTGTTCTTGGTCCAGCTCTCCTTTTAGAAAAATGCCCAACCTATGCATGTAGGCAAAGACCTCCTTTCTTGGAGGCCAGGCATGCCTAGCAGGATCTTGTTCGTGTTTCATGCTCTTTGATTTACATGTTTCCTGCCTCTTGTCACCTTTTCATCATGGTATTACTTTGCATGAATATAATTTGCTACAACATCCAAATGACTGATCTTTATAATCTTGAAATCCAAATGTCTCTCCCTGTTACAAGCCTTCAGTTCTGCATTGTTTACAGGATGAAATCTGCACTCCTTTGCCTTTCAAATAAGCCCTTTATCAAATAAGCCCTTTATCTGATCCCATCTAGATTTGCACAATTCAGATAATAAGTTTGGTTTATTTGATGCAAATTGAAACCAGTACCCACCAAGTAGAGAACCTGGAAGATTTACAAACATAGGTCACTTATTAGCCATAAAACAAATTTCAACAAATCTCAAAGTGTTGGTATCACAGACAGAGGCTGTTTCACACAGTGGAAAAGTTCATAGACTTAGGAACCCACTTGCCTTTCTTTGGCTCCCGACCACTCCTGGTAGCACCTCTGTAACCTTGGTCCGTTTCCTTAACTTCTCTGTGTCTCTGTTTCCTCTTTTGTGACGCTCAAAGGCTTTGGTGAGGAAAACTGTCCTTCCTCCATCATAACACACTCTCCCAGGCTTCTCCGCCTTTGCACTTGCTGTTTCTGCAACTGGACATGCCTTCTCCATGCTGAGTTCATCTGGAAACTCCCATCATTCTTGGAGTTTCAGAATCAAATCCCTGACTTCCTTAGGTAGCCTCTGGGCTCCCTAGGCCTTTTTGAACAGCCAGGAAATCCATTTAGTAGATTTATTATATGAAAGTTGCTCGGATCTCTGTCCCCTGAAGTAGAAATAGCATCTAATACTTAATGAGTAGTGAGTGCTTATTGCAAGCAAGGCACCGTTCTACACTTTTTCATATATCAATTCATTTATCTCTAGAACAACTCTGTGAGCTGGCTGCTATTATTTTCCCTACTTTACAAATGAGGAGACTGAGGCACAGAAAGCTGTGTAATTTGCCTAAATTCACCCAGCTAGGGAGTGGTTAAGATGGAATTCAAACCTAAGAAATCTAGCTCCAGCATCCACATTTTTAATCATTATGCTGTATCAAGAGTATGATTAACTAAGTGAAAGCTATAGGTCAATGCCTGTCAATCTAATTGTGCATAGGAATCACCTGGGGACCCTGTGAAAATGCAGATTCTGACTCGGTATATCTGAGGTAGCACTAAGATTCTGCCTTTTTAACAGACTCCCAGACAATGCTACTGGTCCACGGACCACACTTTCAGAAGCAAGGCCCTAGACCAGTGGTTCAAAGCTTTGTTTTCTTTTGTCTCAAGACCTTTTTACATTCTTAAATATTATTGAGGATGGCAAAAAGCTTTTGCATACATATGTTATATCTGCCAATATTTACCATAATAAAAATTAAAACTAAGAAATTTTAAATTATTTAAAATAGTTAACTAAGCCCATTACATGTTAATGTAAAAAGGATAGTTCTTCAGTTAATCCTTTGTGTATAGCATGACGTGGAGTCTCTGGAAAACTCCACAGTATAATCATGAGAGAATTTGAGCCAAAAAGGTAGATGACATCTTATTATTATTATAAGAAAACTGTAACCATACAGAGCCCCTGAAAAGGTCTTAGAGGGGCCACCAACTGTCCCCAGACCATACTTTGAGAACCACTGCTTTAGATTACTCAAGAATCCTAGAGTATTGTGAAAGTTGTAGCATTCATTGTGGAATTAAGCTTTAGTGCTTTGTAAAATGTCTGACTTGCAAAATTCTATAAGAATATTCTAACTCTAGATTCTGTCTCTTTTTCTAGTTGCGAGTTACACCCTCATCTTCATCTTATTTATTTATTTTTTATTTATTTATTTATTTATTTTGGACACAGAGTTCTGCTCTTGTTGCCCAGGCTGGAGTGCAATGACGCGATCTCAGCTCACCGCAACCTCCGCCTCCTGAGTTCAAGCGATTCTCCTGCCTCCAAGCGATTATCCTGCCTCAGCCTCCCGAGTAGCTGGGATTACAGGCATACACCACCATGCCCGGCTAATTTTTTGTATTTTTACAAACGGGGTTTCTCCATGTTGGTCAGGCTGGTCTCAAACTCCCGACCTCAGGTGATCCGCCTGCCTTGGCCTCCCAAAGTGCTGGGATTACAGGCATGAGCCACCGTGCCCGGCCTCATCTTCATCTGATAGTGGTGCATAACAATGGGCTCAGCGGAGTTAAGAGTCTCTTCTGAAAACCAACAGCCCAAAATTGTTACCCCACCCCCAGACAGAATATTTGATATAGAAGATCATTAAAAGGAAAAACACATATTTTATCAAGACCCTAAAAGATTTTTAAAATTGCTTTAGAATAAATCATCCCAATGTAACACATTGACTTCAAGCTACTATGATTTTCCTTTGTATGCATTTACTACATTTATGTTTAAAGTTTTTGTCCAAATATGGTTCCGCAATTTAAAATATATAAAATGTAGAGAGTTTGAAATCATTTGATATGTTTAAATATCACACACTCCCTTCTCTTTCCTACCTTTTTAGACCTTACTCTTATGACTGGATTTCTAAGCTTACACCAACTCTACGCAGGAGCACATTTGAATAGGCTCATTGGTTCCTTGATCTGAACTTCCCTTTGAGCTCTGAATTGTTTCCTTAAAACATCTGCTTCTCTGTTAGGTGTGCATCAATCTGAGTCCTCAACTGTACGTAGGGAGTTATACTCCTTGCCAAACTTGTTTATTGTCTTGTCAGGGCTCGACAGATATCATACTGCAAATTCAAGCCTCCAGGTTCCCTCTCTGGAAACCTGTGTCCCCAAGCCTGATGCTTTCAATTCAGAGAATCATAGAACCTCAGGATTGGAAAGGATCTTTGAGGTCCTCTAGACCCTTGCCACTCAAATGCGGGCTTCAGATCAGCAGCACGGGCATCATCGGGGAGCTTGCTAGCAATGCAGAATCTCAGGAGCACCCCGACTGCTGAATCAGAATCTGCGTTTTAACAAGATCACAAGAGATGAGTGTATACATGAAAGTTGCAGAAGGGCTGCTCCAGACCAGCCTCCCACCTGAGGCAGAAGTCTTGTCTGCAGCATCCTCCTCCCAGCTACCCAAAAGTGCTCATCAACCTTCACCTTCCAGCTTCAGGACATCACTCTAGATGTCCTTTCATTCTAGAACAATGGTTCCCAACTTTGATTGCACATTAAAATCACTTGGGGAGATTTGAAAAATCCCAGCGCTGAGGCCTCATCCCTGACTGATATAACCGGAATCTCTGCAGATGGAACTAAGGCATTGGTATTTTATGAAGTTCCCCCAAGTGATTCGAATGTGCAGCCAAGCTTTGAACTACTGATCCAGAGCCATTCATTTGCATCTTAGGCTATCTACTTTTTTCCTTGCTTTGATTTCCTGTGAAAATGCAAATATCCCCTCAGAAAGGCAAAACTGTTATCTCCCATTTATACTTTTCTTGGAAATAGGGTTTATTTTTTTATCAGCATAAATAATTTATTGCTAACTCTCTAATATCCTATACTAGAGGCTTGGCAATTGACACAGTATTCTGGGATGGGAAAGCCAGAAGTTAGGAAATGAGATGAGAGGGGAGGATGTGAAGACAGTTGCTAAGGGGCAGACTTCATGCCTTCTGGTGACCAGTTATTGGTCAATCAAGCTACCTTGGGCAAGAAGGAACTGGGCCAGGCCAAGAACTCGAAGCTCTCCTGTGGCCAACCCACTGCAGGTTTCCAGCACATTCTCTTGCTTCCTTATTCATGGTGCTGTGGGGTGAGGGAAGTGTGGGGAGGTAAGACACTCTACAGCTGCTGCGGTTGTGGGCTCTGTCAGCTGAGTGTGGGGTCCCCAGTCTAGTCCTTGGCCTGATAGATCTAAAAGAAATTTTGTTAATGTTATGATCTTGCCGGCCACAAAACTACTGGCTGTTTTCCTAAACTCAATAATACTCTTGAGTAATAAGCCCTTTCGTTTGTGACATTACTGCTTAACAAACTGAAATCTGGATTTTTTGCAAGATTTAAAAGAGTATAATTTTGTGAACACATTATTAGCTTTTAAATTAGCTAGCTTTATTTAGGTAGTGCTGCATTAGAATAATTGTTGTTTGGGAATATATGCATAATGTTAACAAGTAATTCTGAAGAGACTAAACACATAATCAGCCAAAAATTTAGGGAGAAGGAGAAAGTATTATTTTAAAAGGAAAATTAATAGTACATAGTTATATATTAATGTGCTCTTAATAAAAATATAACACAAAATAAATCCCTAATAATACATAAATTTGGAAGCTTTAACATTTTAGATTCTAATGAGTATCATTCACATATTAAAATTTAGAAAATGTATAGCTTGGGACTGGGTGCGGTGGCTCACTATAATCCCAGCACTTTGGGAGGCTGAGGCGGGCGGATCCCGAGGTCAGGAGTTTGAGACCAGCCTGGCCAATATGGTGAAACCCCATCTCTACTAAATATGCAAAAATTAGCCGGGCGTGGTGACACACACCTGTAGTCCCAGCTACTCGGGAGGCTGAGGCAGAAGAATCACTTGAACCTGGGAGGCAGAGGTTGCAGTGAACCGAGATCACGCCACTGTACTCCAGCCTGGGCAACAGAGCAAGACTCCATCTCAAAAAAAAAAAAAGAAAAAAGAAAAGAAAAAAAGAAAATGTATACCTTACAAACTCTCCCTCATACATATTTATTTTTGCAAACTAAATAATTTTTCAAAATAAATAAATCTAATTAATTTAGATTTTGAGGATAAAATCCTATCACATCTTCTGCCTCCCATTTCCTGTTAGCTAACCTTCAAATCTGGATAAACACATTCGATTGTTGTTTAAGAATGAATCAGATACATGCGACAGATTTATAGACGCTTTAGGGATTTGAAAAGTTGACTATCAGTTCTTTAAATTACCCAACATGTAATTTTTAGAGATAATGTGCTATTAAACTTTACTCTTTAGACTAAGCAAGTATTGTAGACAGAAGGAATTGTGTTTTGGGTGCCTGAAGAGCTGAAAAGAGGCTCAGAATATTTATTTTCTTTTTCTTTTATGTAAACATTAACTTTCTGATTGTAGTAAGAACACATGTGATCTTAACAGAGTTTTAAATGTACAGCACAGTATTGTCATTTATAGACACAACATTGCACAGCAGATCTCTAGAACGTATTTATCTTGCTTAACTGAAGCTTTATACTCATTGATGAGCAACTCTCTATTTCCTCTTCCCCTCATCCCCTGGCAACCACCATTCCATTCTCTGCTTCTAAGAGTTGGCTATTTTAGATACCTCATATAAGAGGAATTATGCAGTATTTGTCCTGCTGTGATTGGTTTATTTCATTTAGCAGAACGTCCTCCAGGTTTAGCCATGTCTCACAGACTGCAGGATTCCCTTCTAAGGCTGAATTATTAATAATATTCCAGTGTATGTACATATATACCACATTTTCCTTATCCATTCATTTGCTGAGGGATGTTTAGGCTGCTTCCACCTCCTGGCTATTGTGAGCAGCGCTGCCATGAACATGGGTGTGCTCATAGAGTATTTCTGCTCTCCATCGCTGAACCCGCAGCTTGGCTTCCCGAGAAAATGTGAGAAGATGAAGAGCATTTTAAGAGGGCTTTTTTTCTAAGTATGATCGTTTTCTTTCAATAATATAATATTTGTCTTTTTAATTAAATCTCAATTTTGGTACATATATTCTACTTTTTTTTACCAGCTTATATTTTCATTTCAATAATGCTTTATCTTTCTATTTGAAGATATAGAAATTGAAATTAAAACTAACATTTTAGCTTAAGGGTCTATTCTACTCTCAAGTCAAAAACACTTGGAAAATTGCCCTGTAGTGATTACTTTCCTAAAATTTTAAAAAAATTATTTTAAAATCCCAATCATTTCCCAAATGAATCTTTTATACAAAATCAGATTTCTTAAAGAAGGGCACACCTAGAAGGAGCCACCAGTTTGGACTGGCAGCTTTGCTTATCTACTTGACTTGTCATTAAAATGCTAAACAGTTAAAATTTGAGACCAATCTATCAAACTGGTGAGCTAATTCTGTGAACTTTCTGGAATATAGGCGACAATGTTCTTCCTGCTATCCACATCTTCCATTTTTGTTCCTTTCTCCACTTCGAATCTGTTTTCTTTTTTCATTTTTTAATGGGAGATCTGGATTTTATTATTACTCAAATCAGCCTCCTCAAGCATTTGGGGATCAGAGTTTTTAGGGATAATTTGGTGGGTGGAGGGCCAGTGAGTCGGGAGAGCTGCTAATCTTTTTCTTGACTTCAGGGACAGTTCCTTGTCCTCATTTCCCTCCATATAGTCCTATACTGCTTGGGAAAGCCCAGGTGTGCACAAGCATACTAGCATGGGTGCACACATACATGTACATACACAGGGGTACACATACATATACCAATACTTTCATTTGCATTAGAAATGAAAGTCATTATTTTTCCACTGTCTGCTTTTTACCCTGAAGAAAGTAGATAGCTTGAATTGTGTTGTTGTTGTTTTTTTTTCAATGAAACCCCATGATTATGAAAGAGCGTAGGACCAGAGAATGATTAAAGCCATACTTCTCTTCATCAAACAAATACTTACAGGCTTGCCTACTACATACAGGCCAACATTTCCACAGTCTGAGTTTTCTTCATGGGTTCATCTGGACTCAGCGATCATGTTAGTGTATTCCTTCAACTCTGACATCAGAGTTTTAATGTTAATAGCATTTCTCAAGGATAAGTAGTTGGGACCTGGGCACAACTGAGAAGGATGTGTCTGGAGCTGCCATGCCCAAACACAGACACAAGGATGTCTGGGCTGAGAAGGATCCTGTGCTCTACCAGTTAAGCCCAGGAAACTCATGTCAGATAGGCAATGTGACTCATCTAAAGACATATAACAAGTAATAAACAAAGATTAGAAACAGGGAACATGAAAAACAGGCATACTGGATAAATTAAGAGGCACTAAAGCTAAAGGAAAATACGAATGGGCTAGCTGTTCCCAGGAGCAGCCAGGACTTAATGGTGACTCCTACCAGTTGTGGGTGTATCCTGTGTGCATTTTCCTTTCCTTAGATGGCTCGGCTGTGATTCCTATCCCAGAGAATCCCCTTCTGGTAGTTCATTATCTTTTGGGGGAGATCATTCATTGTTCCAAAATACAATCCTTGATTTTCCATTATTTCCAGTTCCTGTACAAAGTGTCTGGATCAAAGCTTCATCTTTGGCCTTAAGTCTCATGTGCCATCCAAGTAATAATCTACTAGTGCTTCTGGAGTTTAACTCTGGAGAGGACTTAGCTTGTCTCTGTGATAGATGTGACTGATGGAATGATAAAGCCAAACCACATTCAGTGACGCTCAAGGGTGTGGCATGAGCAGTCCCTTGGATTATCCTATCTGATGGGCACACCCTTTAAAGTAGATGTTACGTTTCATTGCAGGGGGGAGGAAATCAAAGCTGTTTCCTCCTTCTTAACTGTTGATCTTTGTTCATATTGTCAATTAATTTTAAAATAGGAATCTAAGCCATTCCCTCCTACTTTTTTGGATAAGGAATTTCCTTTGAAATTATTCTGTTCTTATTTCCTGGCACGAGCACTGCCATCCTGACATGCCACCCACCTTCTCCTCTGGCTTGAACCCTTCTCTCTCACACCCTTCCTTCCCTGGGACTGGGTACCAACCTAACCATAGCTAGCTAACCATAACATAGCTAACCCTAACTCAGCTACTTGTCACCTTCTTGACACCTTCTACTTGGCGACACTCACTGATCAGACTGTACTTACAAATCCTTCCATCCCCTTTGTCCTACTTCCCTCTTTAAGAAAAACGCATGGACATACATACGGGAACAGACACTGGGAACTAATAGAAGGGGCGGGGAGGCAGGAGGGTGTGGGCTGAAAAACTACCTATTGGGTACTATGTTCAGTACTGGGGTAATCATCCATACCTCAGCCGTACCTCAAACCTTAGCATCACACAAAGTACCCATTTAACAAACCGGCACACGTACCCCCGAATCTAAAATAAAAGCTGAATTTCTTTTTAAAGAAAAACACATAAAAATATCAAACTCAGACTGAAAAACTGGCCTTTTGCTTCTTTTTACAGGTTTTTTCTTGGCATCAGAAAATCTGCATTTGTTTGTACCATTGCAGAAGAAGCCAGAAACGAAGCCAGCATTTCTCTGCTTCCTACGCTCACCTCCCCACAGGAGTCTTCCCTTCCCTCCCTTCTCATGCCTGCCATTTCCGCTCTCTGGATGGACTAAATAGGGCTGGCTTGGAAACCGTGAGTCAGCTTCCTACAACCATCTCAGAGGCAAGGCATTGCTTTTGTCCTGCCATCTTTGTGTGTGTGTGTGTGTTGTGTGTTGTGTGTGTGTTGTGTGTGTGTGTTGTGTGTGTGTATTAAATGCTGCATTTTATTTTGTTTTGTTTTCATTTTCCTTTTTTGGCTAGAGACTTGCTTTCCAACCTCAAAGTTTTTCCTGATAAAAAAATTTATAAGACTCTTTTGTGTTTAACAAGTGACATCTGCCTGTCCTGGGAAAAGGAAAGCAGCTCTGTCATGAGAGTGGAGATCGTGAGCCCTGGGACAGACTGAGGCGGCATTTTATCTGACATCTTCAATTCCCAGAGGAGAAGAATAAGGGATAGAGTGGTTGATGGAATTGCTAAAGTCCCACGGACAATAGTGACAGAGATGGAACGAGAGTGCAGATCTCCTGACCTCTACTCTGTGGAGATCTCCTTGCTGCCATGTCATTTCACAAACTAGCCCTGAGTTTGAAATTGTGTGTGAGTCTCCAAAGAGATGCCTGTTAGTATGGTACGCAGTTGCATTTGGCCACTTTGGGGCTCTCTCGTTTTGTTGTGTCCTGTGTGGTTCATGGTTAGGTGGAGGTCACAGGACCCTGGAGGATCCCTGACATCTTCAAGACATGCACACGACAGGGGGTCTCCCTGTATTTTCAGGAAGACGATGGCTTCTCCATATTCCTGAAAATACAGGGAGAGACCCTGGCGTGTGCATGTCTATTTTTCTTGCTCATCCAATCTGGCAGCTCTAGACAGAACCATATAACTTGTGAGGTCTGCTTTTCATGCCCACCTCCCCCTTGGGAGTGCCAGTTTCCAGCTCTTCATCCTCTCTTTCTCCTAAGGTGTTCAGGATCTATATCTTGTCTCTTGGTTTCTCAGATTCCATCTTTCTTCCTGTCCCACCAAGCACTCCACCTAGACTGCCCTATATTCTTTTAAAATTAATTCATATTTTCTTTTGAACCCAAATAGACTTTCCTATGATTAAAAACATAAGCAGTGAAAAATAACACAATGCTAATTTTCCCCCATTCACCTCAGACACTCCAGCGCTCTTCCCACACTCATTAACACATTTGCACTGCCTAAATTTGCTGGATTCACTTTTCTCCTTGTAGCACATGAAGCTCTAAGCCCTTTTTTTTTTTTTATTTTTGAGATAGAGTTTTGCTCTATTGACTAGGCTGGAGTGCATTGGCATGATTTTGGCTTGCTGCAACCTCTGTCTCCCAGATTCAGGTGATTCTCCTGCCTCAGGCTCCCAAATAGCTGGGACTACAGGCACCTGCCACCATGCCCGACTAATTTTTATATTTTTAGTAGCGATGGAGTTTCAACATGTTGGCCAGGCTGGTCTCGAATTCCTGACCTCAAGTGATCTGCCCGCTGGGCCTCCCAAAGTGCTGGGATTACAGGCGTAAGTCACCCACTGCATCCAGCCAAAGCCCACTTTTTTTTTTAAACAGATGTAGAGTGATTTATTGCATTCCACAATTTATTTTACCAGTCTCTTCTCCAATGATGGCTACCTTTATTGCTTTCAGGGGTTTGCTATTACTAACAATCTATATCCTAGATTCTGAAAATTTTTCCTTCCCAAATTACTATTAAACTCATGTATTATTCTACTTGCTGTAGACCCTGGAGCTGCTGTCCTAAGTGACAGCTAAATGAGCTAATAAATGAGTCCCCACTGTGTTAACAGGCACAGTATTCATGAGCCCTTCCTTCCCCTTCAGGAAACATATGTCTATTTTAAGAGGGACCACCTGGATAAAAGTTCTTAAAACATTTCTCCCCCATGATTTTTGGAATAGAAGGGCTATAAGTCATAAATGAGTCATAGTTTTAACCCATGGGAGTATTTCAAACGACAGAAATTTCATGAAGATATTTGTAAAATACTTCATTAAGTGTGATATTTGGGGGCAGATTGGCTTTGTTGTAAACACATAGAGCTTCATCCAAAACACATAATGCAGGGTGGCAATCTAGAGGGCTTATCCCAGGTGAGATGTGTAGTCCTAGCTTTAGCCCTGAGCCTCAGCTTGGCTGACGCTGGCAGAGAAGATACAGCACAGAAGCCACATCCTGCAAACCACATCTCCTCCCTGTGGAGATGCAGCTGCCCATATCAAAATCAGGAGGGAGCATCAAGTTAAAAAGGCTGTGAGCACTACCTCGCATCATACATAAAAATCTATTGCAGATCTAAATGTAGAAGGTAAGCAATAAAGCTTTTCAAAGAAAAAATGGAATAATGTCTTTGTGACCTGGGGCAAGTTGCTAGCCATAAATGAAAAAAATCGATCAATCATACTACATTAAAACTAGGGTTTCTGTTCATTAAAAGTCGTCAGGAGAGTTAAAAGCCAAGACAGAGTGAAGAAAATATTACCAATATATTCAACTACAACAGAAAAACTCCTCTAAATTGTATCCTGAATATATGAAGAATTTCCACAAATCAATGAGAAATAAGTAGAAAACCCAATAGAAAAATGGGCAAAAGACATGAATAGGCACTTCACAAAATAGGATATACAACAACCAATAAAGAAGTGAAAAGGTGCTTGACTTGTTTTCAAGGAAACACAAGTTAAAACCACAATGTGGTATTATTAACATGCAACAAAATGGCTAAAATGAAAAGGACAAACAACATCAAGTGTTGGTATGATTTTTGAATGACTAGAACTCTCATATACTTTGATGGGAGTGTATATGAATATAGCCACTTTGGAAAACTGTTTGACAATACCTTCCAAACCTAAACATATGCCTATCATATAACCTCATAATTCTGCTCACAGGTATACACAGCAGATACACATACATATGTCTGCCACAGACACATACAAGAATGATCACAGCAACATCTTCGGTTGTAGTTCCAAACTAGAAACAACCCAAATGTCTATCAGGAGTAAAATGGATAAACAAATTATGATACATTTCTATAATGGAATACTACACAGCAATGAACATGAATAACCACACAACTTGGATGAATTTTTTCAAACATAATGTTGAGTAAAAGAGGAATAAGTGATTACATTACTGCATGATTCCATCTATATAAAGTTCAAAACCAGGCCAAAATAATCTAGGTGCTAGAAATCAGGAAAATGGTTACCTATTTGGTTGTAGGGTAGGTTACAGTTAGTGGGAAGAATGAAAGGCTTTTGGGGTGCTGGTATTGTTTTATTTCTTGATCTGGGGGTTTATTACACGTTTGCTTTGTCAGTGCAGTCCATTGATTACATACTTAATTATAATCAAGTATAAGCAAGGAGGACATAATGCATAGCAGATGGCTATGCATTATACAGTATCTTATTATATATGTTATCATTTGTAATACAGGGTCTTTGTCACTCAACCCAATAGCACATTATTTGCACTCTTATTTAGGGCTTCCTTTGTTCTGCTTTATGGAACAATTGACAGTGCAACTGTCTTCGTCTCCCAACAAATTTGTAGTCTTCTTGAGTGCAAAAAATATTGTTGCATTTTCTCTAATATATTATTTCTGTTCTTAGCACAGAGACTTACACATAATGGGATTCAGTCTCAATGTTTGTTTTACATTGGTGTAGGGAGAGTGTTTACTTATTTTTACTGATCTACTTTTATTTGTGTGTTTTAATTAAAGGTAAATGGGAGGTTAGAATTCTCATCCCTCATCCTTCTTCAAAAATACACACTTCTAGAGAGGAAGCATGAAGAGGGCTTTGTGGGGGTGCTGGTCATATCCTATTCCTTGATCTGGGCAGTAGTTAATAAAGTTATACAAGTGTGCTCACTTTGCTATAATTCATCAATTGGTACACTTACTATTTGATACTTTTGTATGTTGCATCTTGATTAAAATGTAACATATAAATATATGTATATTTATATTTCTAGTTTGATAAGACACTACGTTGGTGAGAGTTCACGGAATTAGTTAGGCACATATACTGCTTATTGGGGAGTAAAATAGTACAACCTCCTTGGGAGGAAATGTAGCCAAATTATCAAAATTGAAAAGGCATTTACTGTTTGACCGAGCATGGTTAGTCTAGAAATGAACCCTACAGTCTACTATAACATGTGCAACTTATTACATATTCAGTGTCATTCATGCCTGCTGTTTATAATAATTGGAAACAACAGAAGAAAGAACAAATAAATTACATATCACATGTAGAATATTATTCAGCAGTTAGTAAGAAGGAGGCAGATCTGTATCTGCTGATTTGGAAGGATCATCAGGTTAAGAAGTACGTAGAAGATGCTCTTGGTTGCGTTAAATATATGTGTATATAATTAGCTTGTCCATTCATAGACCATCTCTAGAAGGATATCCAAGAAACTGGTGATGGTAGAAGGAAGAAAAGGAAACTTATTTTTCACTATACACTCTGCCTGATCTGCATTTCAAATTTTACATGTAGATATAACCAATTTAGAAAAATAAATCAAAAGATGATTCTTGGCTGCTGCCTCTTTGTCACTCTCATTTAGAGTCTTAATAAACATTCTATAATTGATAAGTTTGCCTTTACTTTCTTCTACCAGCCTCCAAATCTATTCCATGCAGCAAAGGTCAGATTCCTCTTCCATGATAATGAGCAAAGTAGGCAGGTCACTCTTCTGCTGGTGACCTTATTAATTGAGTTTAGACCTCCAGTGAATTTGAACAGATTTTTTTTTTTTTAATGAAACATTCAAAGCCTCTTGGCCCCTCTTTAGTTCCCCTCCTCTCAGAAAGCAGGAAGAGAGTGAAAGGCAAGTGTTCTATTTGTCTTTAGTCAGATTTACAAATGCCATAGTTGGTTTTCAAACTGGAAGGAGAGGGAATCTTCCAGTTCCCTTGGAGGATGCGATTTGAACTGCAAAGGAAGGGAATAAGTTTAATGTAACATGTGCTCTAGATTTGAAGCAGATTTTGTGAAATAAGGTCTTATCTCAATGGCCTGATGATCCAGAGTGTTTGCAGGCCCTCAGAGGTAAAAATACAACAGTATAATCTAATGTTGTTTTTCCCCAAGGAAAAAACAAGAGGGGTCTCTGAAGAAACCAAGCCTATTTCCCAAATCGCCTATGGTCATCTGCAAAAAAATGGAAGGGAGGCCCAGGGCCAGGGATGCCGAGGTGGTGTGGGCACATGAGGAGGACATTGGCAAGAAGGCTGCCCAGGCTTGCGAAATTTGCAGTGGACAATTTGCACAGGGTCTGTTAAAAGGCACATGCAGAGTAAAGGTAGCTTAGATTAGATGATGCTGTTTTATCAGCTATTAAAGAGAAAGCAAAACCTGGAATTTACTGATTGTTTCGTCCAGCCCATTCATTTTTACCAAGGCACACTATACGCAGAGCCTAGGATTAAACACCCACATCTCCCGATCCTCTCAGTCCACTGCTGTGTTTACTTTCCACATTGTTCTCTCAAAAGCCTGAAAGCTGGAATCAGACCCCTTGGATTCAAGCGCTGCATGGGAGCTGCATGACCTTGGGCAAGTTTCTTAACCTTCCCATGCTTCAGGTTCCTCACCTGTAAAAGGCGAGAATAGTAATGACAGTATCTTCCTGGTATGGTTGTTATTGGGATTAAAATGCACTTCAAAGAAGGTCTGGTACATAGGAGACCTTAAATAAATGGTAGCCATAATATCAACGATTATTATTACTTCCAGTTTCAGCATCACAGAGAATCATTTTTAAGTAGGAAAGCCTGCATGGGAGGCATCTGCATTGCAACACTCGCTTGGTTCTGGGTGCCACATTAAGTCCGAGATAAGAAATCACTTTCGCATAAAGAAAGGCCTCTAACAACTTCTCAGCTGGCGCTGGAGGAGCTCTCTCACACAGGTGGAGTTCAAAGGGAGGTGGCACGACCCGACACCAATGCTGAAAGCAGACTCCTGCGTGGAGTGGAGGCATGGCCTAGATGACCTTTAAAATGCTAAAAAGTCTATGATTTTGAGACCTTTGAGACTAGCAGCCTTGGGGGCAGTCACTTTGCTTAGCTTAGTGGCCGGCTTTATGGTCACCTTGGACGTGAAGAGCATAGTTCTGTCTGAACTTTGCTCCAGTTCTATGTAAGAGGACAAGCTCTGGTGTCACAGCTAAAACTTCCAAATACTCAAGTTGGAGGGGACTTTGAATTTATTTGTGAACAGACAATTGCACACTTGAAAATGCCAACACATAAGGGAACACACTCAGCTTTGCTAACTAACAAGATTGAGCTCATTACAAACTCTCCAGCCAGGGGATATTTCATTCTTAAAAGAGGAGTAGAAATCCTGTGTGTGTGTGTTTGGGGGGCTGGGGAGGGGAGAAGAATATATCAGTCAACATTGTTTCCTCCCGCGCTCCCAAACATAGGCTAACTGTGAAGAGCCAGGACGCCCACCGAGTCCTGGCAGCGTTGCAAGGTGGGGAGGGGGCGGGCGCGGTCCTGTCGCTAGTGACTGCAGATTTCCTCTGCGGGGCACTTCCTACGGCCTTTGATCTTTCCCCAGGAACTGCCGAGGGCCGCGTTTGCCTCTAAGTTTATTCCCTCTTGGTTTATTTATTGTATCTGCTTTCTCTTCTCGCTGGTTTGGAGGTCAGAACGCCAGTATGCAACGGGACTTGTGTCCCAGGCAGGGTCTCCCCTCTCCAGGCACTACCGCGAAATCTGGCAAAAGGTACATTTTACTGAGTCCTAGGGCAGCAAATTCAGCGGCGGAGAAAGAGTCTTTCTCCATTCAGGAGACAACCCAGGAAGCCCGATCCCGGGATCAGAGGCCAGGACCCCGCCCCGGCCCCCTGCCCCAGGCCCAGCTGGGCGCCGCCCAGGGGCTTTTCTCGGTCCGCCTGGGGGCTCGAGCTCGCGTCCCTCCCTAAGACGCCAGGCTTAACTTGGAGTTTCATCTCCTCCCCAGGAGGGTCTCAAGTTGCCTTCCTCTGCCGGGAAGGGCCCCCACTCCCCCGCTCCAGGCCCTAATCTCCACCCGGCGTCCCAGTCTGAGCGGCCTGGCCTCAGCTCTCCATCTGCGAGCCTTAAATCCCATTTATCTTCTTAGCGCCTCAGACCCGGACGGTCCCGCCTCTCTTCCTCTCACCCCCACCCCACTTGCAAATCACAGACCCCCGTCTACCCCTCGCATCCCCCAAGTGCGCTGGACCAACTACAGCAACCTTTGAGGTGTTAGAAAAAGTCGCCTAGAGGGGCGCGGCAGGAGGAGGGCCCAGGTGGGGTGGAGGGGGGGCGCCCCAAGATTTCAGGGTGAGGACCGCGGAGGGTCCTGGACCCGCAGTCGCCTAACTCCTGCCCTGCGTCTCCAGTGCTTGAAGTCGGTCCCTCCCAGGTCCCCAATCTAGGTCACCAGCGGGGAAGGGCTGCGCTGGGGGTCGCTAGAGAGGGTGAGGGGCGGGCTGTCTGCTTCCGAGGTGGGCGAGGAGTGAAGGTTTCAGGGCCTGTCCCTCTCACTTCCACTCGATTGTAATTTCATCCCCGGGCCGGTCGAGCCTCCCTCCCTCCCGCGGCCAGCCCTTCCCTCCCAGTCGGCCTCCTTCGTCGCCCCCGCCCCCGCGAAAAGCCCTGCAGCTTGCAGCCGGCTTCACTCGCGCACGCCGACCTCCCGGCTGCAGTCCTACCTCTTGGAACTACCCGTGTTTCCGGGCCCAGCCCTCGCAGCCCCCCACCTCCTCGCCCCGGCCCGGGGATCCGTTGGGGCCGCGTCCCCCACGCGCCCCCGGAGACGCCCTTTCCGTGTGCGCCCGGGACTTGGTGAAACTTTGCAGGCGCCGGCTGCGAAATGGATTTAATCCGAGGCGTCTTGCTCCGGCTCCTGCTCCTGGCTTCCAGCCTCGGACCCGGCGCGGTGTCGCTCCGAGCGGCCATCCGAAAACCAGGTAATGCGCTCCTCCGCCCAGAGCCACCACGCCCCGAGCGCCCCTGCTGGGCTCCGGGGCGAGGACACAGAGCGGGCAGCGCACCGCCTCCCTCTCCCCGACCAACGTCTGCTTAACTCGCTTCAGCTCTGCCAGGAGCTGAGAAAAGACGCAAACCTCGCCCTCCCCCGAGCCCGGGCGGCGCTAGGGATATTTATTTATTAAAAGAATGATCAATTTTCCAGACATAGTAGATAGAGGTGGTGGTCCCCGTGTTTGACCGCAGAGAGCTGACAGTTGGGACAGCGATCGTGCTGTCTCAATTACAGAGGATGGCAACCATGCAGAGGAGTCAAACCAGCCCCTCCTGCGTCTCCAAACATTTTACTCAATTCATATTGTCCAGAGCCCAGCCATTTCCTGTTAAGTGTCTGAAGGGTTGCCTGGAGCCCCCTCTGCCCATCTCGGGTCCTGCCCACGCGTTGTGCAGGGATGTGGACTCTGCTCTTAGCATCCTCTTCCACTCTGGGGCCATTTGTTCAGAAGGAAGCACCCAGTGGGTTAATTTTACCGTGTTTTGAACTCCTGTCTTTGCTTTGGCATTTAAACAAAGAAATGTACGTTGTAACCTGTTATAAGGGACTGGGAATTGGGGGAGAACTTGAAACCATAATAACGTGTGTTTCCTCTAGCTGCATATAGGTAAAAAGTCTTCGTTTATTTTGGTCTACTTTGATTTGGCCTATGCTGTGAGATTATTCAAAGTAGAACATTCTGAACAATGAAGTTCTAAACATTGTTTCCCAAATAACGATTTTTATTACTTTTTGCTGGGACCATATTTAGAATTCTGAAAAATCTGTTTTGTCTTAACTTACTTTGTAAGGGAGGTTGTCTTATGGGATTAATTATATCTTATGAACAATGGAAAACAATATTACTTTTATTTGAATGCAGTCTGCAAAACCTCACAGAAAGTGCAGTTTGTCTTCACAAACGTTTCTGTAAGAAAGAGGCAAAGCTAGGAAAATTTATCAGAGGGCAGAGAAAATCGTCTTAGCGGGATCCCATGTGAATGCTTAAATATTTTCGCATTGAAACTCTCTATCTGGAAATATGACTTGTTGCATTTCGGCTCTGGAAGCGTCCTCAGTCTTTGCACTGTGTCTCTTATTACCAGCACTTGTTACCTGCCTTGAAATCTAAGGTCATTATCATAATCTACACCATATTTAAATTATGAGCCACTCCATTTATGAGCTCTTCAATTCATTTTGGAGATAATAGCTTCAGTCCAAGGTAATATCACATTAAATTGTTTCTCTTCCTGCACGCACACATACATATACCTTCAAGGATTTCAGTGAAGGGCTTCTTTCTAACTTTCCTCCTTAAGATAACCACATCACGATCAATTGCATTTTGCAGATTTATTCACATGAAATCATCTATTAATTGTCACAATTTTTAAACAAAGCATAGTTATATCTATAGTTTTAAAGCATGAACAGTGTATGCAATGCTTTTTAAAGGATATATTTTAATCCATTTAAGGGGAATTTTTAAAAAGCATTTTATAAAAACCTGTTGTATAAAACTGCTCATGTGGGTCATCATATTTTCCTTCTTATTTTTTGGAGTTCTTCTCCTAAAAAGATTTTCTACCTGGTTCATTCAGGGTCTCATTCTGATATTCATGCCAGGAATATGCCATGCTGGCCTCTTTGGTTTTATTTGAAGCATAGATAGGGTTTTGATAGTGGAAACACCACCTCTTAAATACTTTGGCATATTAATTACATCAAATTTGAGATAGAAGTGTTTAGACTAGGTTCAACCTAGAAGAGTTTTATTTTTATTACTTTATAATTTTATCCAGACACTAGCTTTCAGGTTGGAAAGCTTCTCAGATTAAAATGACAGCTACTTCATAACTTCAGGGGAAATTTCCCTCCTGGGCTCATTTACATCCCTTGGAAAGACTAGTTTTTGATCCGGAAAATTGGTCCAGATTAAAAAACTGAATGTGCCCTGCTTGGCTCTGATGTGAGCAGCAACTAGCTAATTTATAATCTTCCCCAGACACTAGCAAATCCTGCTAGTATCCATATGGGAGTTTCTTTGTACCTTGTTTCCTCAACAGAAATTGGTACATAGACAGTACTTTGAAGGTATCGTGGCCACGGTGCAGGCATACTGGAGCGGTTCTGTCTTATTTGGATGACCCTCCCTATCTCCTCATACTCCTAAATCTACTTTTGATAAGTATAGCATTGTTGGAGAAGTCTTGGATTCAAAATCAACCTGGAAATTCCCCATCCGCACCTACCTCTGGTGAGAAAAAACTGAGTAGCAGCTTCAAGTCTGAGTCTAGTTTGGGTTCAACACAAGCAACCTTTCTCTTCACCCCAAGATAGCTCATCTTTTGACATTGAACATTAATAAAGAAACCTCTGCATTTGCCAAGACTTACAAGAAATGACAGTTTTCAAATTAAGTGAAATTAAATCATAATAACTAACACTAAGTGCTTGCTACACTGTTCTAAGAACTGGATGCACAGTGATTTATTTAATCAACCCAATAGCCCTGGGAGATGGGGACTATTATTATCACTGTTTTACTGAAGGAGAAATTGTGGCTTAGAGAGGTTAAATATCTCATCCAAGGTCACACAACTAGTAAGCGGTGGAATGGAAATTTAAACTCTGATATTCAGGACCAGAAACTGAGCTCAGAACACTGTGTTTGCAGAGGTGTGTAGCATGTCTTGTAGGGTGTCTTCCTGGAGGCTGAAGAGTGGAGCTCCCGTGGGTCAGATATTGGAGCCTAGGTGGAGGCTGCTGTTTTGTGTGGGGATCCTGCGTTGCTCTTAAACATTTGTAAATGGGATCTGCCCATGCCTGCTAAGACAACAGAGTGCATATGATACTGAAAGAATTTTGGAAGCTACTGTCTACTGGCCTCATTTATAAGAATCACAGGGTGTGGCCTTATGGGGTGATGATGAACCACTTGCTTCTCTTGTTGAACTCCTGGGGATTAAGGCTGGTGAGGGTCAGAGGGCCCACTACAGTACCTGAGGGTAGAAAAAGGGGCCTCTGAAGAATGGGAGGGTTTAGGGCCCTGTCCTTTCCCCAGACCTTCACGGTGTGGACACACCACTCATTGGATAGCCTTCATTCCTTTTCAGACTACAAATTAGAATCATAGGCCTGGAAAGAAGTGAAAAGTCCTCATTTTGCAATGAGGTTGAGGGTGACTCAGTAACTTGCCCCAGTTAACATCAGAAGCTGAACTGGAACTGGCACCTGGACCTCCCACCCTCCTGAGTGGTCTCTAGCCTAGTGCTGGTCCCATCACCTGAGTCTCACCAGAAAGTGCGGGAGGACTGCCGTGCTTCTGTGGTGGGGCAGGAAGAAGGGAGGGGAAATCCAGACAACTGCGGGAACCAGCATGCAACAAGTCACTTAATTCCCGCAGGCATATTGCTAACTCTTGTCCTTATTATCATTTTAAAGTCAGATTTATTGAGGTATAATTTATATGCAATAAATTTCATCAAGTCTACAGTTTGATGAGCCCTAACAAACATACACAGTAATGTAATCACCGCCGGAATAGAAATATATAGAACATTTCCATCATCCTTAAATATTACCTTGTGTCCCTTTGTAGAAAAATGACTCCCTCCCAGCCCCTGGTAATCACTGATCTAACTTCTATCCCTGTAGTTTTGCCTCTTCCAGAATGTCATATTTTGTGTCCACCCTCTGTCGCATAATGCTTTTAAGATCCATCCATGTTTTTGCATATATTGGAAGTTTGTTCCTTTCTTATTGTTGAGTAGTGGTGCGTTGGATGGACCATGGAATTCCAGTTTGTTTAACCATTTGCTAGTTGGTGGACTTTTAAGTTGTTTTCAGTTTTAGGCTATTATGAATAAAGTTCCTAGACACGTGCACGTAGAAGTCTTTGGAAGATATATGTTTCCATTTCTCTTGATAAACAGAAGGAGTGGGATCACTGCATCACATGGCAGGTATATGTTGAGCTGGATAAGAAATCACCAAACTGTTTTCCAAAGTGGCTGTACCATCTTACATTCATACAATGTACGAATGTTCTAGCTGCTCCTAATCCTCTACAACACTTGGTAGAGTTTTTTTTTGGTTTTGTTTTAGTGATTCTATTCTAATAAGCATGTAATAGTATGTCATCACAGTTTTAGTTTGCATTTCTCTAATGACTAATTATATTGAACATTTAAAAAATTTATTTATTTGCCATCTTTTCTTTGGTGAAATCTTTGTTTAAATGTTTGGCTGATTTTTAAAACTTGGGATGTTTGCCGGGCATGGTGGCCCATGCCTGTAATCCCAGCACTTTGGAAGGCCAAGGTGGGCAGATCACTTGAAGCCAGGCGTTTGAGACCAGCCTGGCCAACATGGCAAAACCCCAGCTCTACAAAAAATACAAAAATTAGCCGGGCTTGGTGGCGCGTGCCTGTAGTCTCAGCTACTTGGGAGGCTGAGGCACGAGAATCACTTTACCCTCAGAGAGGGAGGTTACCATGAGCCAAGATCGCACCACTGCACTCCACCCTGGGTGACAGAGGAAGACTCTGTCTCAAAAAAAAGAAACAAAAAACATTGGGATGTTTATTTTCTTATGATTGAATTTTGAGTGTTTTTTGTATGTTCTGGATGCAAGTCCTTTATGAGATCTGTGTTTTGTAAATCTCGGCTTCTAGTATGTGGCTTGTCTTTTTATTTTCTTAATGGTGTCTTTCAAAATGTAGAAGATTTACATTTTGATAAAGTCTAATTTATCATTTTCTTAAATGGCTCGTGCTGTTTTTTTGAAAGCTTAACCCGTGGCTGCAAAGATGTTTCCCTATGTTTTATTGCAGAAGTTTTTTAGGTTTTACATTTAGGTCTATAATTCATTTTGAGTTAATTTTGTATGAGGTGTGAGATATAAGTCAAGGTTTATTTGCTTTTGTATGGATATCTTGGCTTTATTTTCTAAGCACTCTTATGCTTGGTGGTGGGAGGTGGTACATCAGAGGCAAAGGGATCTCCAGCTTGGAAGGCTTGCTGTAGCTCTCAAGCTACAGTGGCTGTGCCATTAAGACCTCCTCATTCCTATGCAGTAGATAGGGTATAGATCGTTTGTCTCTCTACAAGGTTCTGTCAGTGAAGTCAGACTTAGGGCTGACAGCCGTGGCATGTCTGGGAAGGATTCCTGGGGTTAAAGACCGGTGCTCCCAGGCTTAGAGCCTGGGGTTGCTCTTTGTTTATTTAGACAAGTCTCCTGACATTTATTAACTCTCTGGCACTAGGGGGGCTGGAGAACTGCACATGGGTCCTGCCTTTCCTCCTGCCTGTCCAGTTTGCCTGAGGTCCCAGGGTCAGTCGAAGAAGGTCAAGTCAGCGTTCAGAGTTCAAGGTTTTCCCTGGAGTATCTGGGTGTCCATAATCATCCTTAGCACGATGCAGCTCTCTCATCTTTTTCTTTCCACTTTGTCAGTATTTCTCTAGTGGTATAATCAAACTAAAATAAAGATGTAAGGAAAGTCAGGAAGCAAAAACAAAAGGCTGGAAGAGAAGGGTTAGCTTGTGGGCAATACATCTTGTTGGTTGCTGGTAGAGATACATGCACCTCTAGAGGCATTCTGCTGCTGCTAGTGTGAGGCTGAATGGCTAAGGGGCAGTGGCCAGGGATCAGGGGTCATCCTGGTCTACTTCCCCAGTGCCACCTTGATCTACCTGGAATTCACAAGAGACTGGTTAGTTCCTCACTTATAGCTCTCATCCAAGCCCTCTTCCCAAAGCATGGCAATTGGGGGAGATCTCTCATCTGTATGTTCCTTCCTGTCCCCTTTCCAGTCCACTGTACTCCATATCCCAGTGCTGATTCAGGCTGTCTCATTTATCAGGGAAATCTTTAGCTCACAAAAGCCGTGGGGCACTAGAAGCTAGGTGCTAGGGACCTAGCACACTCATCCCCAGCACCCAACTCCTAGCGCCCCACGCAATTCAGGCAGACAGAAATGTTTTCCTCTGATTCTTCACTCCATCACTGTGCTTCCCCTCCTATTGGTTTCAACATCTTATCTAATCTTCATAAGGAAGCACTTCTCTCTTTGACTCCATCTCTCTTTGTTAGTCTCACTCTTTCCATTAATTCTCTGTGAGAGGTAAAGAGACAGAGGAGTCAAGGTCAGGAGTAAGTGTAGTTTAATGTGAGGCAAGACTTGTTTTTCCGAATTCTTTCTCAGGGAAGAGTGGCTTGGCCAGAAAGGAGCTGAGTGGTGCTTTTTGTTCTTCTTACCCAGAGCCGAGGGCTTTAATAACCTTAGCATTCTTTGGGGAATAGTAGTCCATCTGTTTATGGCTTACTACAGCCCAAAAGTGGTCTAGTAATTTTGGCTAGATTTCTGGAAGACTGAGACTCAGCATCCGAGGCTGAGGTGGGACTCCAGCTTGCCCAGGGCTATCCTGTGGCTACCTCGTGTTCTCCTGCCTCACACCCTGGCAGGCCGGACTGTAGTGTTTCCCAGCTGACTGAATGATGTGATGTCTTGATTGCAGCAGAAAATCTTTTGAGTTGCTCAAGGCCCGTGTGCCTTGCCTTTGTTTTTGCATGTCAAGCTGCACATCTTAGAGATGCACCTGCTATTTCAGTTATCGAAAAAGGGAAAAGGTGAGGAGATATGGCAGCCTTTAGAGGAAATCCCCCAAACTCATCTTTGATTTCACTGATTGTGGACCTCGCCTTCGAGGAAGGACCCCAGGGTGTAGCTTCAGCCTCCTGAAATGAGCGGGGGTACTTTTGCTTCCTTGCAGAACCCCTCATGGGTTCTCATGCAGTGGCTTAGATGAGTCAAATAAAATTTCTGCCAGCAGAGGGCGCACATTCCAGAGCTGGCTCTGCGCGGGTCTCCGCCCTCAGCAGTAATTCCTGCACTAAGTGGATCTGAATTTTTAGAGTGCAATCCAGGCACCTGCCTTTTTAAACAAGAACCTCAGATGACTTGATGCACACTTTGAGACATGCCAAAAGAGAGTTTGGACTCTCCCACTGCCTCCCTCTCCCTGGTACCTCGACCCAGGTACTCTGTGTTATGCTGATCTTCACTGCTTCATACCTCCACGCCCAGCTGTGACTGCTGACGACAACATGTTGCTCTGGGCATCTGTATTTAACCAGAACAACCCTGTCCTTAGACTCTAAGCTGACCGGTGAAAGAGGGAAACCTTGCAATGGCGTTAACAAAAAGCCACGCTGTTCTCTATATAACCAACATTTTCCCCCCTTACCTCCCTCACCCCCAATCCCAAGCTTATTCTTTCAGCCTTCAAGGCTGGTTTCTCCTGGTGGAGCAGGAAGGCTTGGGTAAGAGCACATATTTTGATATTCCACACATTGGGGTTCAAGTTCTGACACTTTACAGCTACATGGTGACAGTGGGTCAGTTATATATGCTCCATAATCCTCAGTTTACTGATCTGTAAAAATAGGATAAAGAAAGACCCTACCATAAAATGTTCCAGGGAAGATCCAATACAGTAATGCATGTAGCAGGGCATTAAAAAGGATTAAAGACTGACATGTGAAGGCAATATTTAAGAAATTGGGATTGTTTAATCTGGACAAGGAAGAAAAACCTGAAAGAATTTCTATATTTCCAGGCATCAGAAGTAATAAACATAGACATTTATGATTTTATGTACTTTTATTCTTTTCTATAGGTATTAAGGTATGGTTACATGTGATGTAACTTGTATTGAATTGTAACATTTTTCAGACAAATGAATTAACAAATTAGAAAGACTCCCTGGTCAACCACATGCCTTGATTTTTGGTTTGGAAAATGAGGATGATTTTTGCCTGGTAATTGTCTTGGGGGAAGTTTTGCAGGATGTGGTAGGGCAGCAGCTGTTCCTAAAACAGAATTATCCAAACTGATATGTTACTGGGAGTCAGTGAAAGTCTCCATAAAGCCAGAGAGCTCAGAAATGGTCCAGGTTTTGCTCACTGATAAGTTGATTGGAGTAAATCAGGAATCACTGCTAGGGACATGGAAAAATAGACCGGGCTCACTCAGTCCATTTCCTATTGATGTTTCCTCAGCTGGAAAGAGCCCCCACTTATCCAAAGCAGGCTAGTGCTTTGAAAGAGCTGAAGTGCTACCTAAGGAGAGGATATGATCTAACAATAGTCATAGTAATTATTATTACTTTCACCAACCACACCGAGCAAGGATATACATCCCAGTGCTTTGATCTCATTTCCAGTATCCCCCTTATCTAAAGACACTTGACAATTCTTTCTTGTCTGACTCTGCAAGTCTTGAGCAATTTAAATTTTAACACTTGTGTTTGCTGACAGGGCACCCAAAATCCCAAATCAGATTTAATGCAATGTTAATGCTATTTATTTTTCTTGCTGCAATAAGTTTATATTAGCCATTTAGTGGCTTACATTGTGCAAAACGAGTTGTATCAGCAGGCACTTTTCTGTAACATCTGGGCACTTGGAAACATAATACTTAAATACAACCTGAGTTTAAAGCCTTCCACAGACAGATGGCTAATTTGATTGATCTAATCTTTCAGTTAGGAATAGATCCCATGATCCTTTGCTTGTAATTCTTGAGTGAGCAGATAAATAAAAAAATGGGTGATGGCTGTGAATTAGGCACCTGTTATATTGTCTGTAATTTATTTTTTAAGTACTTCAATATAAACAGTGACTCTACGAATTACTTTAATCTCTACCCTGGGGGAGCTTAGTTAACACTTGAAGTAATCCAGGCTAGAAGGCACCGCTCTGGCATAAGAATTTACAGCTATTTTCATCTCTTGGTGATTGTGCCATGCCAGTGGTTAGATATTTGGAACTTCACCTCTGTCTTAGGCAGGAATCCAGACTGATTAGTGATTATTTGAAGAACTTTACTATGACGTTCCAAGTGGCAGCAAATATACTTAGAATGATGTTATCAGATATTCACGCTAGAGGGTTCATTAATTAGCATAAATGATGTTAGATGCAATGTTTTTATTGGTGAAAATATGTGATTAACTAGAAAGATTATTCATGTCCCTCTATTTTTACGTGGACAAAGAGTAAGAATCCAGCAACTCCAGAAATCAAGCTACTTTCGAGTGGCTGAATACAGCTAGAGCTCCATTCATTTCTGTGTTTCCCTCACACAACAGTAGACTCATTTGCCTGGCCCCACCCGGCAAGATGGTTTGTTGATTTTTCCATTAGAATATTGATGTATCTCTCTCAGCAGATACAAGCAGTTGCTTGTATTAATTAGGGTAATTAGCATTACCTATTGTAATAAATCCAAATCTGGGTGGCTTGACACAAAATTTATTTTTTGGACTTAGTCTAAGTCCAAAGTGGATGTTCCTTTCTAGGAAGCCCACCTCAGCTGTCTTCCTCCAAAGGGTGACTTGAAGACTCAAGTCATTCTGTCTTTAATCCCACCATCTTATAATACCACCATCTTTAAAATGGACCTCCAGGGTGGGAGGTAAAGAAAAAGAAGTCTTGTGAGAGATTTTTCTGTGCCAAATCAGAATATGGTCATGTTGCCCTAACCCAACTATACGGTTTCTGGGAAATGTCGTTCAGTAGTGTGCACAGGAAGAAAAATAACTAGATGTGGTAGATTGTCTCTGATGCAGTGCTTTGGAGTTCCTGAAATGACAAGAGGAAACATCACCAAATTTACAGCAGCAGGTTGTATGATAATTTTCGTGGCTTCTTTCCCATGGATATTTTATACGTGGCAGAATTTGACTTGGAATTTGCTTTTGTTGTAGTGTACAACCTGGTTGAAAAGCAAATAGTTACCATCTACTTTTACTTGCTGGAGGCCACCACAATTTTAAAAAGGAATCTAAAAACTAAACAGTCAAATTGATTTAGGCCAGTTTGCAGTAAGGTTCAAAAATATGTATATGGGTAAGTGCATATGTGCTATATGTTACTATATATATTTCCTACATTTTACAAAAGGTAAAATTAATCCCTTTAAAAAAAGTTGGCCAGGCTCAGTGTCTCACACCTGTAATTGGGAGGCTGAGGTGGTGGGTGGATCGCTTCAGCCCAGGAGTTTGAGACCAGCCTGGGCAACATGGCGAAACCGCATCTCTACTAAAATACAAAAAATTAGCCAGTTGTGGTGATGTGCACACTTACAGTCCCAGCTACTCAGGAGGCTGAGGTGGGAGGATCACCTGAGCTCAGGAAGTTGAGGCTGCAGTGCAACATGATCCTGCCACTGCACTCCAGCCTGGGCGATGGGAGTGAGACCCTGCATCAACAGCAACAACAACAACAACAAAAACAACCAAAAATTCACTACCCAGTGGATTAAATAGAGTGAGTTTCTAAGGCATATCAACTAGAACTCTAGTCCCTCCCACCCCTAGTTTACTAGAAACTCCTTCTGTTTGTGTCCCATAACAAAAAGGACTGACTAGTCATGGTAGAATATTCAGTAAGGGTTGCTTCTTAAATTATAAAAAAATCTTTTTTTTAGACACCACAGCCTTCTTTGATGAAGATGAAGATGCTGTGGGCTGATCTCAACAAAAACAAATTGATACAGTTGGTTGAACCACTTTTCTTTTCTTTTTTTTTTTTTTTTAGACGGAGTCTTGCTCTGTTGCCCAGGCTGGAGTGCAGTGGCGCAATCTCGGCTCACTGCAAGCTCCGCCTCGCAGGTTCACGCCATTCTCCTGCCTCAGCCTCCCGAGTAGCTGGGACTACAGGTGCGCGCCACCATGCCCAGCTAATTTTTTATATTTTTAGTAGAGACGGGGTTTCACTGTGTTAGCCAGGATAGTCTCGATCTCCTGACCTCATGATCCGCCCGCCTCGGCCTCCCAAAGTGCTGGGATTACAGGCCTGAGCCACTGCGCCTGGCCTGAAACACTGCACTTTTCAAAGCACTTCTAAAAATGATCTCATTTGATCTTTGCAATCCTTGCCCTACCAGGAAGTCAGGGCTGATGACTTAACAAAAAGGAAATAGCCAGGACATGAACCTAGGTCATCCAGCCTCTAGCCCTTGTTGCTTCCCATCAACCCAGCGGTGTTTCTGCAGCTAATGGATAAGAGCATGATCATTGCTATGTGCTTGAGTCTAGCTCTGCAGCCAGGAGGGACCTAGTCAAGAAGACACGCTCTTCAACCAGGCTTCACTTAGAAAGACTCCATGCGTGTCATGGGACACTCTGTAGAGTAACCTGGGACAGCTTTCAGTCATGCTCCTCACTGGTTGGTATGTGGGGAAAGTGGCTTATTTTACAAAATACTGGATGACTACAGGTCAGTTTGCAACTGAGAAGCAGCTGTTGCAGCTGGAGGATATCCCCAAAATCTTTTCAGATGTCTTCTATGGAAAACCCTTTTGGGATCTCAAGGACCACCCAGATGACACTCTGAAGCTTTCCATCCCTCCACAATTTAGCCATCCTTTTTAGTAGCAAATGATATTTGTTAGACCTTCAATGTGGCATATTTCAAGGTTTATCATTCCAGTCTCAGGATTTCTGTTAGTTTCTCAAACATCTCTTTGATGTTCTGGGAATTCCCAATTGGTGTAGTTAAATAAACCATTAGTTTGGAAAAAAAAAAACAACAAGCATTCATTTGATAGTTGTTTTTAAGTAATTGACAAGCTTAGCCACAACCTACACCCATAATACACATCCCTTCAGCTTGAAGGAATTGTAGTAAGACTCCAGTCAGACAGACCTGGGTTTGAATTCTAGCTTTAAAATTTATTTATTGCTGTCTGATTCCAGATAGAGTAGTTTCTTTATGCCTTATATATTTCATCTGAAATTTAAGGTTCATAATACCTACTACAAAGGTTTTGTGTGATAAATAAATGAGAAACTATGATGACGGAAGATATACCTGCAAAAGTACCTAAACATTTGGTACATAATGGGCATTCCAATGTTAATGCATATTAATTAGATTCATTGTGGTCTATAGAGTTTATAGAGTGGTAGAGATGTTAACTTTTCTATATTTATTGTAACCCCAAATATTGACAACATTGACATAAATGTATAATTGAGCTTAGGCATCCATGAAAGTGGAAATGAGAACAATTTCATTTCCTTAATTTCATATTATGAATTATTAGAGTTTATTTCCTCAAATGAGGACTTTTGGTGTTTATATTAGTCATAAAGTTATTGATATTGATGAAAGAGTTGGAGTCAGTTTTGAGTTTAATAAAAACACCCAACCTTTGTTTTGGACTTTGTACAAAATCAAGAAGAAAGGATCAGGCCACTATAGTAGTAATAGATTTTTCAGGCATCAGCTGCATGGCTCCCTACCTTGAAAGACATCATTTGCAGTTAGAATATCAAAATTTCTTTAGCTACTTTTTTACTGTGATATTAAGAGAATAAATGTAAAAGATGCTATTTCTATGATGTGTTCTCCGCCTTCATTTTGCTTCAACCGTACTCTCTACCAGAATAGTCTTCCCAAAATGAAGTTCTAATCCTATCACTGTTGCATTTAATATTCTTTTCTGGCTCACTACTGCTTTCCAAACTCTAAAGCTGGGCCTCTGAAATCTGTCACAATATAGCCCCAACTCACTTTCCTGTCTTCACTGAATACATGCCTGTATTCCAGCCAGGATAGATTATTTGCTATTCCATAGACCTCCTCTTCACTTTCCCAATGCTGAATGTTATCCACATGTTGATCTGACCCCTTGGAATATCCTTCCGTTATCTCTACCCAAGGAAACACAAGCTTCAAAGCATGTCCCAGTTACCTCCAGTTCTATGAAGTCTTCGTGTACTCTTCCAGCCAGAAGCCATTCCTCTCTTCTCCCTTTCTACTTTATATTATGTTATCTGTCTACTTGACTCATGTCTTCTGTTAGATTTGTAACTTGTTCAAGAAAAGCACCATGACTTCTCTACTTTTGTATCCCCTGCATTGCCTAATGGATTATCTTACACATGGTTGGCCCTTCACAGCCAGTTATGGAATGGAAAACAATGGCTTCCTTTGGGGCAAATACATTTTCACATTGTGTGATTAATTTGATCCTATTCCAAGCTTCTGAATTCATTTCATACAGAAAAAGTGTCACTTCCATGTGCCAACATTTTTGCACAACATATGCAGACATTTGAAAACCCACATTTCAGTATGATTCAGAGAAGTGAATGCCCCAGGGAGTCACTTTGAAGCAATATATAATTTAAATCCCACCTACATGCTGCCAAAGGCTATTGGAATAGTGGGGTTTTAAGGAGACTCTAATTGAGTCTGTGCTGTGAAATATGTCATGTTCAATACCTAGAGAACAGGTAGAGCTTGAAGTAATGCATGGGGCTGCCTCAGACTTGCTTTATAATGTCTTTGGAGGCTAAGAAGCAAAGGCAATACCATTTACTCATACACTGAAAAGTAGTAGGTGGGGAGGGGTTAAAATAGTCCAGTGTCCAACAATCCTCCTTCCCCCATTTGTCTTTAAAACCAAAGGAAAGAGAGGCTTGTGTGGGAATGGCATCGGAGGTATGATTGAAAAGGTCAAGTTGCGGGAAAAGGATAAAGCTAGACCAGTCTGCCATAATGAGAACTAACTGTGAGATCATAAGTAAAACAGTACTCCAATTCTTCAACATTCTTCTTCAATTTTATTGTACTGACCCTGGCTTGCTTATGAAGATCAATTCTGTATTCCCTTGAAAGCAAAGCAGCCAAAAGCTAGAGTGTTTGCAAAGGATTTTTCATTCTTTGTTTTTTAAGAACCAACATGCCTGATAAAAATGAATACTCCTGGTAAGTCCTATTGAAAGCAACCAGTTGACTGAAACATTCATCAGTTGACTTTTTGAGAGGTGTGTGTATGTGTGTGTGTGTGTGTGTCTGTGTCTGTGTCTGTGTGTAACCTAAAAGTAACCTGCATTATAATAGCAGTTAAAAATGAACTAAATTGTTTTGAAGTGGTGAAGTATTAGTGATACATGTACCAATGTCTGAAATTTACTTTGAAACACATTTAAAAAAATAAGATTTAGAAGAGGAGGATGGTATAAGATGGTGGAATAGGACTCTCCAGCAATCATTCCCCTGCATAAACATCTATTTGAATAACTATCCATGCATGAAAATACTTCACAAGAGCTAGAGAAACCAGGTTAGAGACCACTGTATCTAGTTATAGCATAACAATAAGAAAAGACACATTGAAGAAGGTAGGAAGGATAGTTATACATTACCCATGTCACCCCTTCCCCAGCAATAGGCAGCACAGCATGGAGAGACACACCATACACTTGAGGGAAAGAAAGAGAAATAAGCAAAGGAGTTTGCTTTGCACTCTAATTCTGGGCTCACCACAGTAAAACCCAGCACTGGGAAGTCCTACACAGCCCGATGACAGGCTGATACCCACAGACATAGCCCCTAGACCTATCCCTACACCAGATGGGAACACATAGCCCCTGCAAGATGGACTCAAGTTCTGGCCTGCATCACTGCTGGCCAACTACAGAGGCTTTGGACTCCACATAATCCCTAGTGACAGGAAGGCCTCAGAAGGTGTGACTTTTGGGCATGCCCCAGTGCTGTACTAGCTTCAGTGGCCATGGGCTTTGATTACACATCAGCACTGCAGCAGCCTTAGCAGCCGTGAGATTCTAGCCCGTGCTGTGACAGCTTTAGCAGCCATGGGACTTCAGTTTGGCACTGTGCTGGCTGTGACAGACCTGGGCTTAGAGGGCCCCCACGCACTGCAATGTGTGCAGTAATTGCAGTCTTGGGGACCACACCCTGACAACCTGCCCAAAATCTCTAGATAGGCTTACTATTGAAGGACATTCCTAGACAGAGCTAGACTGTGAACACTGGAATAAGTATCTGCTTCATCAATGTGCAGACATTGACACATGACCAAAATGATCAAGAACAATTTGGGAAACATGACATCATCAGATGAACAAAATAAGGTGCCAGTGACTAGCCCTGAAGAGATGGAGCGCTATGAACTTCCTGACAAAAAATTCAAAGTAGCTGTTTTAAGGAAGTTCAATGAACTTCAATAAAATGCGTAGAAACAGTTAAATGAAATGAAGAAAAGAATAAGTGACCAGAATGATAAATTTAACAGAGAAATATTAAAAAATCAAATATTATAACTGAAAAATACAATGAACAAAATGAAAAATATATCAACAGCAAAGTTTATTAAACAGAAGAAACAATCTGTGAACCTGAAGATATTTGAAAATATACAGCGAGGATTAAAAAGAAAAAATGAAAAAAGAATGAAGAAAGCTTACAGTATTTATGGGATAGCGTCGAAACAGCAAATGTTTGAGTCATTGGCATTCAAGAGGGAGTAGATGAAAAACAAAGGGGTAGAAAGCTTATTTAAAGAAATCATAGCAGAAAACTTTTCAAACCAGGAGAAAGATATAAATATCAAATTATAGGAATGCCAAAGGTCTCTAATCAGATTAAATCCAAATAAGGCTGTCTCAGGACATATTATAATCGAACTGTCAAAGATCAAAGACAAAGAGAGGATCCTGAAAGCAGCAAGAGAAAAGGAGCAAATAACATATAAGGGATTTCCAATATGCCTAACAGCAGACTTCTCAGGAAAACACTTACAGGCCAAGAGAGGGTGGGATGATATACTCAGTTTTGAAGGAGAAAAAACTGCCAACCAAGAATACTGTACCCAGAAAAGCTGTCCTTCAGAAATGAAGGATAGATAAAGACTTTCCCAGACAAACAAAAGCTGAGGAAATTTATCACCACCAGACCTGTCTTACAAGAAATGCTAAAGGGAGTTCCTCAGGCTGAAAGAAAAGGGTGCCAATGAGTAATAAAAAAAATCTGAAAGTATAAAACTGAATGGTAAAAGTAAGTACACAGTCAAATTCAGAACACTCTAATACTGTAAGGTGGTGTATAAATCACTTACATCCTTAGTATTAAGGTTAAAAGACCAACTGTTTAATGATAACTACAATCATTTGTTAAGGGATATGAAACATAAAAATGTAAATTGTGACATCAAACATTCAAAATGTGGAGGGGTAGTGAAGTTAAAGTGTAGAGATTTTTTTTTCCAATCAAAGTTAAGTTGTTATTAGCTTAAAATAATCTGTTATAACTATAAGATGTTTTCTGTAAGACTCGTGGTAACCACAGAGCAAAACCTATAATATACACACTAAAAACAAAAGGAAAGGAATCAAAAATACTACCAGGGAAAACTACTTAACCAGAAAGAAATATGGTAAGAAAAGATGGAAAGATCTCCTAGAAAACAATTTTAAAATGGTGGTAATAAGTGTGTACCTATCAATAATTACTTTGAATATAAATTGATCAAATTCTCCAATTAAAAGACATAAAGTGGCTTGAAAAACAAGACCCATCTATGCACTGCTTATAAGAGGCTCACTTCACCTGTAAAGACACATATAGGCTGAAAGTGAATGGATGCAAAAAGATATTCTGTGCAAATGGAAACCAAAAGAGAACAGTAGTAACTATGCTTATATCAGATAAAATAGACTTTAAGTCAAAAACTATAAAAAGAGACAAAAAAGGTCGGTATATAATGATAAAGGAGTCAGTTCAGCAAGCGGATATAACAGTTGTAAATATATGTATACCCAACATCAGAGTACATAAATATAGAAAGCAAATATTAATAGAACTGAAGGGAGAGATAGATTGCAATACAGCAATGTGAATAGTAAGGGACTTCAATATCCCACTTTCATCAATGGGCAGACAGAAAATCAGCAAAGAAACACTGGATTTAAACTGCATTCCAGAACAACTGAACCTAACAAACACATATAGAACATTCTATCTAACAGTTGCAGAATACACAATTTTCTTAACTGCACATGGAACATTCTTCAGGATACATTATATATTAGGCCACAAAACAAGTCTTAACAAATTTAAGGAGATTGAAATTATGTTAAGTATCTTTTCAGACCACAATGGCATAAAACTAGACATAAATAACAGGAGGAACATTGGGAAAATCGCAAATACATGGAAATTAAACAACTTGCTCCTGAACCACCAATGGGTCAATGAAAAAATTAAAAGATAATTTATTAGTCCATTTTCTTGCTGCTGATAAAGACATACCTGAGACTGGGAAGCAAAAGATTTAATGGACTTACAGTTCCACATGGCTGGGGAAGCCTCATAATCATGGGGGAAGGCAAGGAGGAGCAAGTCATGTATTATATGGATGGCGGCAGTCAAAAAGAGCTTGTGCAGGGAAACTCCACTTTTTAAAACCATCAGATCTTATGAGACTTACTCACTATCACGAGAACAACACGGGAAGGACCTGTCCCCATGATTCAATTATCTCCCACTGGGCCCCTCCCACAACACATGGGAATTATGGGAGCAACAAGATGAGATTTGGGTAGGGATGCAGGGCCAAACCAATCAGATAAATTGAACTATTTCTTGAGAAAAATGAAAATAGAATTACAACATATCAAAGCCTATATGATAAAGCAAAAGCAGTTCTAATAGGGAATATTTTAGCAATAAATGCCTAATAAAAAAGGAAGAAAGATATCAATTAAATAATCTAAAATTGTACCTCAAGAAACTAGAAGAACAAGAAAATAAACTAAACTCAAAATTAGTGGAAGAGAATAATAAAGACTAGATCAGAAATAAATGAAATATAAACCAGGAAAACAATAAAAAGATCAACAAAACAAAGAGTTGGTTTTTTTAAAAAAGATAAATAGAATTGACAAACTTTTAGCTAGACTAGAAAAAAAAGAGAAGAGTAAATAAATAAAAATCAGGATGAAAAAGGATGTATTACCGTGATACCACAGAAACACAAAGATCACAAGAGACTCCTATAAATAATTATACACCAACAAATTGGACAATCTAGAAAAAATGGATAAATGGCCACATACAACCTATCAAGACTAAATTATGAAGAAATAGAAAATCTGAACATACCAATAATGAGTAAGGAGATTGAGTCAGTAATCAAAAGTCTCCCATCAAAGAAAAGCACAGAACCTGATGGTGTCACTAGTGAATTCTACCATACATTTAAAGAAGAACTAATACCTATTTTTCTCAAACTCCTCTAAAAGAATTTAAGAGGAGGGAATACTTCCAAACTCATTCTACAAGGCTAGCAGTACCCTGATACCAAAAATCAGATAAGGATATAACAAGAAAGAAAACTACAGGCCAATATCCCCAGCAAACTTGAATACAGAAATATTCAGCAAAAAATTAACAAACCAAATTCAACAGTGTATTAAAAAATCATTCACCGTGATCATGTAGGATTCATCCCTGGGATGCAAGCATGGTTCAACATATACAAATCAATAAATGTGATACCTCACATTAACAGAATGAAGGACAAATACTGTATGATCATCTCAACAAATGCAGAAAAGGCATTTGATGAAATTCAACATTCCTTCACCATAAAAAGTCTCAACAAATTAGGCATAGATGGAATGTACCTCAACATAATAAAGTCTGTATATGACAAACCCACAGCCAATACACTGAACAAGGAAAAGTTGAAAGCTTTTTTTCTAAGATCTGGAATGAGATAAGGATGTCCATTTTCCCTACTCTTATTAAACATTGTACTAGAAGTTCTAGCCAGAGAAATTAGGCAAGATAAAGAAATAAAAAGCTCTAAATGGGAAAGAAGAAGTGAAACTGTCCCTCTTTGCAGATGACATGATCTTATGTATAGAGAAGACCGTAGATGCCACTAAAAAACTGTTAGAACTGATAAAAATCAGTAAAGTTGCAGGATACAAAATTAACATGCAAAATCAGTAGCATTTCTAGCAAACTGTCTGAAAAAGTCAAAAAAAATCTTGTGTATAATAGATACAAAAATTGAAATACTGAGGAATACATTTAAGCAAAGAGGTGACAGATCTCTACACTGAAAAACTATAAAATATTTACGAAAGAAATTGAAGAAGACACAAATAAATGGAAAGATATCCAATATGCACAGATTAGAAGAAAGAATATTGTTAAAATGTCCATAATACCCAAAGCAATCTACAGATTCATTGCAATCCCTATCAATATACCAATGACATTCTTCACAGAAATAGAAAAAAAAAATCCTAAAATTTGTATGGAACCACAAAAGGCCCCAAATAACCAAAGCAATCTTGAACAAAAAGAACAAAGCTGGAGGCATCATGCTACCTGACTTCAAAATACACTAAAAAGCTATAGTAATGAAAACAGCATGGTAGTAGCATAAAAACAGACACATAGACCAGTGGAACAGAATAGAGAGTCCAAAAGTAAATCCACACATTTATAGCCAGCTGATTTTTGACACAAGTGGTAAGAACACTCATTAGGGAAAGGATAGTGTATTCAGTAAATATGCCAGGAAAAAAAACTGGACATCCACATGCAGAAGAATGAAATTAAACCCTTATCTCTTATGATATACAAAAATCAACTCAAACTGGATTAAAGACTTAAATCTAAGACCCAAAACTATTAAATTACCAGAAGAAAACATAGGCAAAGAGCTCTATAACATTGATCTGGTCAATGATTTTTTTTTTTTTTTCTGAGACAAGTCTTGCTCTGTCACTCAGGCTGGAGTGCAGTGGCACGAATTCAGCTCACTGCAACCTCCGCCTCCTGGGTTCAAGCAATTCTCCTGCCTCAGCCTCCCGAGTAGCTGGGATTACAGGTGCATACCACCACACCTGGCTAATTTTTGTACTTTTAGTAGAGATGGGGTTTCACCATGTTGGCTAGGCTGGTCTTGAACTCCTGACCTAAAATGATCCACCTGGCTTGGCCTCCCAAAGTGCTAGGATTACAGGCATGAGCCACCGTGCCTGGCCTCTGGTCAATGATTTTTTTTTTTTGATGTAATTTTTGGGATAAAGCACAGCCAACAAAAGGAAAAAGACAAATGGGATCCATCAAACTAAAAGTTTCTGCACATCAAAGGGAACAAACATTCAACAGAGTGAACAGACAAAATACAGAATGGGAGAAAATATTTGCAAACTATATATCTGATAAGGGGCTAATATCCAAAATATATAAGGAACTAAAACAATTCAATAGTGAGAAAACAAATAACACAATTAAAAAGTAGGCAAAAGATCTGAATAGACATTTCTCAAAAGAAGACATACAAATGGCCAACAGGAATATGAAAAAATGCTCAATAATATCACTAATCATCAGAGAAACGCAAATCAAAATTACAATGAGATATCATCTTACCCCAGCTAGAATGGCTGTTATCAAAAAGGCAAAAGATAACAAGTGTTTGTGAGGATGTGGAGAAAAGGGAATTTTTATTTACTATTGGTGGGAATGTAAATTAGTATAGCCATTATGGAAAGCAGTATGGAGCTTTATCTAAAAATTAATAGAACTACCATATGAACCAGCAATCCCACTAGTGGGCATATATCAAAAGGAAATGAAATCAGTACCTTGAAGAGATATCTGCACTCCCATGTTTATTACAGCACTAGTCTCACTAGCCAAGATATGGCATCAACCTAAGAGTTCATCAACAGATGAACAGATAAAGAAAATGTGGCGCATATCCACAATGATATATTATTCACCATAATAAAAAGAAGGAAGTCATATCATTTGCAACAACATGGATGAACCTGGAAGGCATTATGTTAAGTGAAATAAGCCTGGCACAGAAAAACAAATACCACATGGTCTCACTCATATGTGGAGTCTAAAAAAGTTGATCTCATAGCACTAGAGATTAGAATGGTGGTAACCAGAGGCTGGGTGGTTAGTGGGGAAGGGAGTTAGGGTAATGCTGGCTAAAGGATACGTAACTACAATTAGATAGGAATAAGCTCAAGAGATCTATTGTACAGCATGCTGAGTATAGTTAATGATGATATATTGTATTATTGAAAAATGCTAAGAGTAGATGTTAAGTGGGCCTAACATAGTGATAACTATGTGAGGTAATGCATTTGTTAACTAGCTAGATTTAACCGTTCCACAATGTATATATACTTTAAAACATTATGTTGTGCATAATAAATACACACAATTTGATCTTTCAACTAACAAAAATTTTAAAGAAGCTAAAAAAACAAGGTATACTGATGATGAAGAGAGGGACAGATTGTTGGATAGATATATAATAAAGCCAGTATAGATTTTGCTAGTTGGTGCATATACACATAGTCACTCAAAAATTCTTTTACTTTTCTGTATGCTTGAATATTTTTATAATAAAGTGATGATGGAAAAATATGAACTACCAACAAAAGAAACTACCAGTTTGAAAACATAAATGACTACAAATCTTTACCCATAGTGAGTTTCCGGCATGTTCTGCCGTGCACTCACGTACTGGTGGGTTTGCTACGATTGTCCTGCTCTTCACTCCACAGTTACTGTCAGCTCTTCTCTGCCCTGCTCAGTGTTCTATGGGGCCTGACCTCACTAGCTGTATCACCTACTCCTTTGCCCCCTGGCTTCTTTGGGTTTAGCCAATGGGAGGCACCTAAAGGAGATCAAATGAGAGCAGGGGAGAGAATTTGTTTCTTTTCCCCACTTCCCCCCGATTCCTCTCTCCTTTAGTACAGCTTCACTGGCCACAGCTGTGTCTCTCTACAACTACATACAGCCCCTGGCCCACCATGGCTTCCAACTCTGGCTGGCTCCGTGACACCACTCTCCAGTTGCACTCTTGGCCCTGGGTAGTAACAATGTCTTATTGGTTCTGGTCTCTGGGTGCATCAGTGTCCCTAGTTGTTCCTTAAAGCTGCTCACACCTCTGTAAGTAGTTTTCTAATTGAAATCTTTCTTTGATTAGGTAAATTCCTCTTCCTGCTGGGATCCTAATTGATACCTTTGGTACTACTGCTTTGTAATACATGCCTATTTATATGTTCCTCCTTAGGCATAAGCATAAGGTTTTGATTTGTGTTTAGTTTGCATTCAGAACTCTCTGAGAATTAGGTCTGATCTAGCTGAAGGATGCCTGCTGTAAATTCATGCAGTAACTATAGTGTAAGAGAAACCATGATCTTTGAGGATGAGCTACCCCTGGGCCCAAATCTGACCACTTGGATAAGGGGATGTTAAGACTGACATAGGGATAGCTGTGTGGTGTTGAGAAATGATTGCAGTGGTTTCCAGGACTCAATAGAAGTTCTATGAATAAGTTCTAGAGATCCCTTATACAGCCTTGTGCCTAGAGTCAACAACATTGTATTTTACACTTAATCTGTTAAGAGGGCAGATCTTCTTAGGTTCTTTTACCACAAATATTTTTAAAAACAGTCCTGTTACACATATTATGCTAAGTTTTGATTAAAGTATGAACTAAATAAAGAGATAAGCTAAGCACCATATCTAGTGTTGCCAGATAAAATAGAGGATGCCCAGCTGAATTTGAATTTCAGATAAACAACAAATAATTTTATAAAAAAAAATCATTGGATCAAACAAATAATTTTTAATGTAGAGCTATCCAAAATATTGCATGGGACATATTTATACGAAAAAAGAAATCATTGTTTATCTGAAGTTCAAATTTAACTGGACATTCTGTGTTTCTGTTTGCTAAATCTGAGAACTCTAATCATATAATAATTATAGTAATGTGTCATATTATGTTTTCTCAGTCTCAATGCCTCTTGTACCTGATGGTAATAGCCATATGTCTTTTGTGGAAGTGGCACGGGGAAATTGAGTATGACATTTGGAAGGGGACTGATAGGTATTTGAATCTGGACTCTATCTTTACTAGCTAGGTGAAATGGGGCCAGAAAATTAACCTTCCACATGATTTACCACCTTCTCCCAATAAAATGGGTTTACTACACAAGACTTGCAGATTCTGTAAGATTGGCCAACAATAAATTGACTGTGCTTGATACACTGTAGCTGCTAAAGAAGATAAAGTTATTTTATTGTTCTACTTATTCTAATAAAAATAATTTAACTGGAAAAATAATTCTAAGAATCTAAAGGTTTCTGGACACAAATGAAATAAAGGGAAGATAATTCTTCATCTCTTGAGAGTCATCATGAACCCAAACTAACCTCATATTACTTTAGTGAGTTTTACCTAAAGGGAAAGATCACTGTAAGCTTAGATTCTTTCCCACTTCTGTTTAGGTTTAGCTTTTTGCTGATATTTATGGTCTCAATATGTTTTAGACTCTTCTGATTTCTTGGCTGTATCTTATACTTCCTATTTTACTGATTAGTAGAGTTGAAAATGATTATTAGTCAAACTAAAAATTTAGAATTAATTAGGTCACCTCCATTGTCTTAGTTTGGATTTCCCAGAAACAGAACTTAAGACAAAGATTTGAATGAAAATAGTTTATTTGAAAGGTGCAAACAAAACAAATAAGGGGAGGGGAAGTGAGACAAGGAGTCAATGAAGGTTTCTTATCAAGCAATTTACATGTGGATGATTAGAACCTAAACTCATGGGAGAAACTCTAGAACATGGTATAGAACAAGCAGCTCAGTTATCCCACCTGAGGGGTGAAGCTTGGGTATCGTTATCAATGCTATCAGTCACTGTGGGGAGGGCTGTGGGAAGGTAGGTGTTAATTCCCTGGCACTTCAAGGCTTATAGGCAGAACAGTTTCTGTGTCTTCTGAGAAAACCCTCAGGCAAAAAGTTGCAGATCCTGGTAGCTGGAAATGGTGAGGCCCCAGAGGTTATGGCAAGCACCCACATTTGGCCATACCCATAATTGCTAACTTTATTTAGAAACTTAAGACTGAATGCCATTTACCATTTTGATAGACAACTGTTCCTTCCTCATACTAGGTTTATACACTGTATATATCATGGGAAGAAGGCAAAATATATTAGGAAACTCCAAATCCTGAATCCCAGTTCTCATTCCCAACCTGCATTGAGTTTTTTGTTTGTTTGCTTGTTTGTTTTTTTCTGAGACAAGGTCTTCTTCTGTCACCCAGGCTGGAGTTCAGTGGTGCAATCAGGGCTCACTGCAGCCTTGGCCTCTCAGACTCAAGTGATCCTCCCACCTCAGCCCCCAGCCCCCTGAATAGCTGGGACTACAGGCATGTGCCACCACACCAGGCTAATTGTTTTTGAATTTTTAGTAGAGACGAGGTCTCATTGTATTGCTCAGAGCTCAAGTGATCTGCCCACCTAGGCCTCCCAAAGTGCTGGGATTATAAGTGTTAGCCACCATGCCTGGCCTGGGATTTTCAGTGGGGAAGAAAAAAATTTACATCACAGTACAGTCTACAGTCTTTTGATTGAATGACCCGTTCTCCAATTGCAGATATTCTGGAAGGGCTTGGGATTTGGATCCAAGAACCACCTCCAACAATTACTGGAGGGGGAGGGGGGAAAAGCTTTATTCATTTGTGCTGAGAAGAAGACCGGTAGGAATTACAGTCTTCATTGCTTATGATTATACCCTGTTGTTATAATTTGCTTCTAGATCATTCATTGTTATAATGGGGAAGAATCCACGTTTACATATAAAGGCATGCATTGTGCCTTTACATAATAATAATGATAATTAACATTTATATAGTGCCTGCTATGTGCCAGGCACTGGTAGTAACAGCATAGCCTCCTAAGGCTGGCAGGGTACAATCTTAGAATTTTAGCATTAGAAGGGACTTTGGGGCTAACTGTCCAACCCTGCCTGGTCTAGGGCAGACAAGTCACTTGTCTGAGGTCATGCAGCTAGTTAGTGGTAGAATCAGGATGAGGACCCAAGTCTTCTGACCCCTGGTCTACAGCTGTCTCTGCTAGATCCACCACCTCTCTGACTCCATGGGATAGGCAGAAGAAACACGTATGTAGTGGAGTTTCTGTTTTCATTAAGTAGTTCTTGCCTTTTGAATTTAGTCTTTGCTTCTACATTTAGAGGCAATGAACCCTCAGCCCAGGTTTGTAAGACGGTTCCATGCCTGGAGAAAGGAATGACCTGTGGAGAGGTTGTTCCTGCTCTCTAGTCACAGCCAAACCTACCTTCTCAGCTCTTCATTAGCTCCAAACTACAGGGTCTGTGGGAGGCACCAGCTTGTAAGCCACAGACACCTGCAGGTAGAAAGGCAGGGGTGTCAGCGTAGATGTGAAGACAGTGCATTTGTACAGTGTCAAAACTCCCGTCTGGAATGATCTTCTCAGCCGACTCCAAAGTGAGGCACTACTGAAGGGGAGATAGAGGAGAAATTTGTGTCATAGGACAGTGTCAGTGGCTTAGTTAATCACTTGGCTTGCCTCTCATTGTTGGGGATAACCTTGAGGAATTAATCTACTGTGGCAAGGTTCCAGAACACTTTTTTAAAACACAGTTACAGTCATACCTCATAATAGAGCTCTGCCTTGTATAGAATGGATTCTTTAGAGCCAGGGTTAACAAACTTTTTTTTGTAACAGGTCAGACAATACATATTTTGTTCACTTTTATTTCTATTTACGGGGTCTTTCTTGCAACTACTCAGCTCCACCATTGTAGAGCAAAAGCAGCCACAGGCTATATGTGAATAAATGTGCATGATTGCTTTTCAATAAAACTTTATTTATGGATACAAGGTGAGGGCCAAATGTGGTCCATGGGCTGTGGTTTGCTGAACCTGCTTTAGAGTGCTGGAAACCCAAGCCTTCAGATAGGGAGCTCCAGCAGGCCTGCTGCTTTCTTTTGTTTGCCTGCTCTATGGTCTCCTCATTCATCACTGACATTGTGAACATTCTCTTTTCCTGCTGAAATTCTCTTGTTTCCTGGCAAATAGCTTGATTCAATTCTCAAGCACCAGCAAAGACTGGGTTGTTGTAATGGTTGAAATGTATGCTGCCACTAGAGAAAGTGCAGTGGAGTTAGCTTCAGTAGTTGCTGGAGTCACTCTAATTGTAAATAATCTTGAGAAGATAAAGACATCACCAAATAAACTCTCCATTTTGATGTAGATAATAGGCAATAATAACTATGTATATTCAAAATACATAAACAGAAAGCTTTATAGACCTGATCCATACCCCATTCTGCTCATATTTTAAAGTAGTGACAATAGCTCTGTTATAAAGAAAAAACAAGACTCAATTGTTATCAAGAGCAACTATTTTCATATAATTACAGTAGAAACTCTCTTGTCGAGTCCAATTTGGATTTGTTAGTTGATTGTAGAAGTTAAGGGGATGATATTCACGTAGATTTTATTATATATTTTTTCACTTCAAAATAGCAATGGGAACTTTTTTAAAAAAATGAGAGCCCACCAATTGGAGTTCTTGGTAATCCTTCAAGCACAAACTGCAGCCCCAGTGCATGATCAAAGTGCAGAATGCTTCTAGATTTCCCCATCTTTTAGAGTTGCAGCAATTGTTTTTCAGAATGACCTTTATGGAGTTATTCTAAAGCAATCACCTTAGTTTTTACAGAAACTTTTTCTTGTTGTACTTGTATTTCATTCATCTACAAAATAAAAAATCATGTGATCAAAACAGTGACCAGGACTGTCACAACGGCCTCATTGTAACTGTGCACTCTACACACACTCCACATTAGCAGGGAGGGTGGAAGTGGGTGGGGGAGGTGATGCACCAGGGCCATACAGAGAGTGCATCCCCAGCCAGCCCAAGCTACCTTCAGGGTCAGTGTCGTATGTTTGACAGAGGGAATGGAGGCCATTGGTCTACTCAGGAAGTAACTTAGTGTATTAGTCCATTCTCACACTGCTATAAAGAACTGCCAGAGACTAAGTAATTTATAAAGAAAAGAGTTTTAATTGACTCACAGTTCTGCATGGCTGGGGAGGCCTCAGGAAACACAATCATGGCAGAAGGCGAAGCAGGCACCTGCTTCACAAGGCAGCAGGAGAGAGAAGAGAAAGTGAAGGGGGAAGAGCCCCTTATAAAATCATCAGTTCTCTTGGGGACTCACTCATTATCACCAGAACAGCATTGGGGCACCTGCCCCCATGATTCAATCACCTCCGTCCCACAACTTGTGGGAATTACAATTCGAGATGAGATCTGGATGTGGACACAGAGCCAAACCATATCACTTAGGTAGACTTTCTTTTGCTCACCATGATTTAGTTCCAACTGATGAAATTCTTTCCAGCGAATGACCCTCCAGTCATCGCTAAAGCCTGAATCTTCTGTAATGACACACATATGTAAAAATTAGAGTGATCAGTAAACTCAGCATTTCAAAAAAAAAAAGTAAATATTTGCATAGCTTAATTATATGCCAGCTGCATTTCAAGCACTTAGAAACAAGAACACTTTTACTCCTCTTAACATCCGTTTGAAGTAGGTATTCCACATGATCATCTTGCAGTGCTCAAGTTTCTTGACTGAGCCAGAAAGAGGTTAAGTAACAGTCAGGGTTAGAACCAAGGCAGGCTGGGCTGGAGTCTTTTTCTTGGCCGCATCTCATTTCTGCTTTTCCAGGCTGAAGTTGCTCTACAGAAGGAGGGTTGGAGACATGACCCAAGTGAATACTCTGACACACAAATCTTTTACATCTTATAGTCGATTCCAATGAGCACACATGATAGGTTCTCAGCAAAATGTATCAGGAGGTATCAGCCTAGGGGAAGTAAGATGTGAGCACACCTTCCCAAATTATCCAGCTCCTCAAGGAAAAAAATGCTTGACTTAGTGGTCATGGTGGACTTCCTGCCAGGAATGAGGTTTTGTCAGGGCATGGAAAGCCCTAGGTAGGAGTTTACCAAGCCTATGTCATCCTTAGCCATGTCACTTTGAAACTCCAGTAAATTTACCTTTTGTAGATATATTGCCATTATGAAGCTATATCTCTGGATTGAATATCTGAGTTTGGGATACTTTGCCATCGGCACCATCTTGCTATAGTTTACACAGATTATAAAATAGTGAGTAGACATCACTCCTGAATAGCGACTTTGCGTCTATGAGATGGTGACCAATGTGTGAATATACGCAGGCAGTCATGTCCAATCTAAACAGACTGAGAGGGGATTGAACACAGCAGGCCTGGCCAGAGCCTACCACAGGGCCCTGACAAAATAAAGTACTTGACTGATATATTAAATGGTATTCATCAACTTCAGACAAGAGGGCCTATGAGGGCAATGATAGAAACACAGGAAATTGACAGATTATGATAACAATAGCTTTGTATTTGTATGGCACTTTGGTTTACAAAATTCTTGTCTCCCAAGATCACTGTTGCTAACAATGTGATTAGTTCTAGGTAATAGATCTTGAAGCCAGGTAGATGTACTTTACAATCCTACCTCCTAGATTTGTGACCTTGGTCAGTTTCCATAATCTTCCTGAGCTTCAGTTTTTTTCTTTCATGTGTAAAATGGGGATAAATCATTTACCTTTTGGGGTTTTATGGTTTATGGCATATAATGCTACTATGAGTTAAGGCGTATATGTGCCTAGCACAGAGCCTAGTTGGCAGTAGGTTCAATGCAGCCCTCCTTTTTTTTTCGTTTGTTTTTGAGATGAGGTCTCACTCTGTTGCCCAACCTGGAGGGCAGTGGCACAATCTTGGCTCACTGCAACCTCTGCCTCCTGGACTCAAGCAGTCCTTCTGCCTCAGCCTCCTGAGTAGCTGGGACCACAGGTGTGCACCACCATGCCTAGCCAAGTTTTGTATTTTTTGTACAGATTGGGCTTCGCCATGTTTCTCAGGCTGGTCTCAAACTCCTGGCCTCTAGTGATCTGCCCACCTCGGCCTCCCAAAGTGCTGGGATTACAGGTGTGAGCCACTGCTCCTGGCCAAGACAAGCATATTTCTATTTAATGACTGGTAAGGCAGAGGCATCATCTAGTTGGAATGAACTCCCAACCAGTCAGAAGGAAATTGATCCATGTTCTAAGCTGAGATGTGGAAATGAGTATCTTTTATGCCCTAAGTGGGGCAATGACAAATCAACGTGATTTTGCTAATCAGTCATTAATGTTTACATATCTGTGTATTCATTTAGCAATTGTTTATTTAATTACCATATGCCAGGTATTGTGCTAACTTCTGGGAACACAGTGAGTGAGAAATATAATAATTTCTCTGAAACCCATTAACGCTTTGGAAAATTCCAAAGATATAATGATTCCTGTTGGAAATAGAAATTACTTAGTTTGTAATTTAACTATATTAGATTTAAATCATCTGATTACAGATTACAGAACTAATTATAAAGCTGAAAGGTACATTATGAACTGCTTTTTCAGTGTAATTTCTTAATATAGATTTTTATTAATGTAGTTTTATATAAATGAAAATTCACTGCACAGGTTAGATGGTCTGCAGATTTAAAAAAACTGTTAAAGATAAAAGGGCTTTAATATGTGGTAAGGCTGTTTTATTGTATTATCCAATTTTCATGACATCTTCTAGGACTTTCAATATAATTAGTAAAATAGCTGTAACTTTTGGGGTTATGAAAGAAAGGTGGTCAGTTTCAAAACTGGAAAATGGAAAAAACATATTGCCAGGAAAGATAGGGTCTCCACTGTGATATAATCTATTATGCATATTATTATTCTAGCCATCTGATCAAATAGAAGGCCCTCCTTTCACAATTGTACTTTAACTAGAAAAACTAAATGATTTCATAAAACTTTATAATAGCCAAGAGTTTGACTGAATAGTTCACATTTAAGATTTGAGAGTGGAGTTTTGAGCTCCTAACGCTTTGGTTCATGAGCTGAGAAAATATAGGTCTCTTACCAATTATTGGAGAGAAGTGGTATTGTTCAGTTACATAATGAAGCTTAGGACAGACTAAATGCTAATTTTCTTGTGGTAAAAGACTCTCAGACTATAAGAAAGGAGATAACAAATATTTGTTTTTTCTTTAACAAGTTACATATTTCAGTTGTCTAGACAATATTAAATTAACCAAATTGTTGAGCAACTGCTTCTCTGGCTCTGTAGACCAGACATGTGTTGTTTCTTCAATATTGGGGTGGTTTTGAGTGGTAGGGAAAGCACTGTGTTATAAGGTAGAAGCAAGCCCCAAGTAGAAGCTACCCCACCCTCATGTCCTATAATTGGGTCTGTGATCACCACATGCTTTTATGAGGGTAACCTTAGAGAAACCCTCTGTGGCTCATCTCCTTATTAATCCAATTCCTGCCCTTATGGGGGAGTGGGAATAGGAAGTCTTCCTTTGGTGGTACAAAGCAGAACCTCTTTAAACTCAGGTCTCATAGCAAACCAGCCTCCCTGACACCCCTCTTCCTCTACTCTTGCCTCTTTCTTTTATGATATCATCTTCCTTTCAGTTTGCTAAGCTTGTATCCTGGAGTCATCTTTAATTCCTTTCCTCTCCTTCTCTACCTGCTAATTCTTCTTCCTTGGCAATTACTCTTTCTTTCCCCGCCCCCACATTTCAGTTTCCAGGTCTTATTTCAGATTCTTTTTACTTGAAACCTGTAATAGGCTCCTAACTAGCTTACTTTCAGTGTTTCTGATTCATACCCATCTGTATTAGTCGGAGTAAGCTAGATAATGCTGCAGCAACAAGCAGCCACAAACCTCAATGGCTTGAAACAAATGTGGTTCATGCTACACTGCCATGGTAGATTATAAGAGACTGATCTCTGAAGCATCTTTACTGAGTGACCCAAGCTCCACTACTTAGAATTTTGTCAGTTTCTGATAGAGGAGGAAAGTGGACAGAAGGATCTCACACTGACAAATGTTCTGTTCAAGAAATGACACTAACTTCCACTCACAACCATTGGCCAGAACGAGTCACATGGCAGAAACATGTAAACCTCTCATGGGCTTGGAACGCATGGAGAAATGGATATCGGATATCCTACACTGAAGGCAAGAATTCTATAATGAAGACTAGGGATATACAAGGAAGGCCAGGGTCCTGCATTCAAGACTAAGTTTCTCCAAAGAAGGCCAAGGTCCTCTAAGGAAGGCCACGGTAGTCTCCTCAAAGCACTCCATTACTTAAAGTCTTTTGGCAGTTCCCACTATCAAACAGCCCAGAATGTAAGGATCTCTAACATTTAATGAATAGCCAATATTTGTGAAGCACTTACTCTGTCAGGCACTTTGCTAGGTTCTTTATACCCATTATCTTAGCTCACAACAGTTATTCAGGTGGACATTATTACCCACATTTGACAGATGAGCAAACTGAGCATTAAAGAGTGTCTTAGTTTGGATTTTTCCAAAATCAGACCACAGAGATGAAGACTTGGGTGCCAGGAAGCCCAAGGAAGGGTCGGGGTAGAGGGTCAGTAATGTGATGAGTGAGTCACCACTGTGAGCAGCTGGGGCTCAGCACAGCTGCAGACCCTCTGAGAGCCTGTAGAACAGCGCTCCGCACTGTGGGCTAAGGAGCTGGACTAGTTTTCCACCGATTCCTATCCCTCCTTGGTTGAGACTTGTTCTTGAGATGTTAACTCCCCAGCAAGTCCACCTGCCCTGCCACAGTAGCCAAGCACAAGCTGTCAGCCAGGATATACCCATAAGCAGAGGCGAGGAAGCTTCAGTTTTCTGGAACTGTGCCGATAACCCCGACAGGATATGAGCATTGACAGCACATGTTACAGAACAGTGCAGTGAGCAAGATTTAAACCCAGTCTTGTTCCAAAACCCACTATCTGTTCACCCTGACCTCTTACTACTTGCTACTACTGGAGATAGCTCTGTGCTCTAACCAAAAAAAAAATGGATTACTGACCTCTCTCCAAACCATCTTGTCCTTTTCCTTCTCAATCCCTTTTTTCATGCCGTTTCTTCTTCCACTTGGAGTTCCCTTTGCCTCTGGCCTCCAATTCAAATTCCGTCTGTGCTCTGCCCAGCTCAGTTGCTTTCTCCATGAATGAAGCCCTTTTTGCCCTCTGGGATGCTGCCTCTCTCCTTTAAAACCCTACAGGGGTCGGCCGGGCGCGGTGGCTCACGCCTGTAATCCCAGCACTTTGGGAGGCCGAGGAGGGCAGATCACGAGGTCAGGAGATCAAGACCATGCTGGCTAACGCGGTGAAACCCGTCTCTACTAAAAATACTTAAAAAATTAGCCGGGCGTGGTGGCGGCAGTCGCCTGTAATCCCAGCTACTCGGGGAGGCTGAGGCAGGAGAATGGCGTGAACCCGGGAGGCGGAGCTTGCAGTGAGCCGAGATAGCGCCACTGCACTTCAGCCTGACAGAGCGAGACTCCGTCTCCAAAAAAAACAAAACAAAACCCTGCAGGGGTCAGTTATGCTCCTGCCACACTCACTCTGTGGTGTCTCGCATAGCAGGGATACACTTAGAGATCTTTTTCTGGATTAGACTGTAGACTCCTTGGGGGCATGGACTGTATTTTATTAAGTTGCTTCAAATATTTGGTGGAATAAGGCAGGTAAATATGACTGTAAATGTGCACACAATATCCATATGCATATTCATTTCATTTTCGGCCCATGTTGGCTGACCTTCCCAAAGGTCACACTGAAGTCTGGATTTGGGGAGGAGAAGGTTTTCTGTTTCTCTGCTTCCTGCACCACTACCAGCTTCTCTACTCACCCAACCTCTGGCATCTGTGTGGCCACTTGCAGTTTCCACTCCTGAGTAGGAACAGAAGAGGGAGCTGACTCATGAGGGCAGGGTGGTTTCCAGCAATTTGCAGCAGGTTCCTCTCCACGTGTCTCCACGTGTCTTATCTGGAAATGTGTACCTGTCATTATTCCCATTAGAAATAGAAGTGGAATGAAAATGGTTTGCTCAATTCTGATGACATGACAAAGAGAATGCAATTAACCTTAAGGAAAATTGCCCAGAAACCTGACACTCTCAGCCATATGCCAAGGATTGCTAATGATTAGGAGGTGACAAAAACCTTTGGCTTTGTTTGGTTCAGGGCTAGAAAAAGGAAGCAACTCTTCAGGGCTGTCACCTGGTATTCAGAGTTGCACTTTTCATAGTCTAAGAAAAATGGCATGGACCGAAGAGGGAAATTCCACCTGGCTCTTCCTCGCTTACATGTTTCTGAAGAATGGCTTTTAGATTTCTATTGCACTGCAGAGCTCTGCGTCAAGAAGTAACAGCACAATCAATGGCCCCAGCCTCGTCCATGGAGTCACTTTCTGGGTTTTGCAACCTGTGAAGTTTTCTAACATGGTAACCCCAACCCCTGCTTGTTAATATTGACCTTCAGTTTGAAATGCTGAGCCCAAGACAGAAACTTCTGGCCACAGATGGTGATTCACTCTAACCAAAGATAAGTGGCCTTTCTCATTTTCCCCCCAGATGTGCAGAAACAGAATATTCCTAATCAAATCCTTAACAATGTCTTATCACATTACTTGCTTCAATAATTTCCTGCACAGCAAATTTATAAGTTAATTATACAGTAGACAAAAAAAAGCATTTTCTTTTATCTGTGTTAAATGAGTTGCCTTCTGATTTCATTGTCCACTCCTTTGTTCTTACATGGCTAAGAGTTTGTTTGAGGAATGGCTTTGTCGTGTTTCATGTGTTTGTCACTGCTGCTTAAATGAAAAGTTTAAAAGGAAAACATTGAAAAAGTTGGCTGCCCAGTGGCGGTCTCTTGCAAGTACAGGTAACCTAAAAGTTTGCTTTCATCTTCCAGGTTTTGAAATCATCCCATTTGTTAATCACATGTGTTCCCCAGTTCGCTGCTGAATGCTAACTGAACACCCAGGTCTTGAGTTGATATTATTCCTGTATCAAAATTGCACAACTATTCCAGGTATACTAAAGGGATAGTACCCACCTGTACACATAGAGGCAATTTAAGTATACTATGCAAAAGTATGTGTTCCTATCATGAAAATTTTGTATAAATAGCTGTAAGAAGATTGATCAGGGCTGGGGGTTGGGTGGCATGTGTGATTAATCAAGGAGAACTTTCTGGAGGAGTTAAATTTTGTGGCAATGTTGGAAGGAAAAGACAGCATAAAGAGCCATGTGAACAACTATAATTATTACACTAGATGAGGTAAGTCAGAGTTTCTATGGGGAACCATTAATCATCACAAAAAATTTCCTGCTCTGTCTATTTTCTTCCCCATGGAACATAAAACAGAGTTATCCTGGTGAAAAGCAGCTTCACTGGAAATGTCTTTTCCTGTTTTCTGTTTGTTTGTTTTTAGGTTGCAGCTTTTATTTCTGCCATTGAGACTCTGACTCCATATGTTTTTCATTTCCACTTGGAGGAGTTTGAAATGCTATTGCCTGAGAACTCTAGTCTAATAAGGGTTTTTACTTTTAACCTTTTAATTCATCTGGTGCTTCAAACTATGAAGACCCTTGACTTTCTAATCTGGGCAGTATAGCAGTTGTTTTTGTATGAAAGAACATAGGATTTGAATCAGAAAACATGGGCTTGAGTTCCAGTTCCTATGCCAGTCTCAGCTGTGTCATCAAGATGGAATCTTCAACCTTTCTGAACTTTGGTTTTCTTGTTTGTAAAGTAAATTAAATAAGGATAACAATACTTATTGCCCACAGAATTACAGTGAGGATTAAATTTAGTCATGTGCATTGTATAAATTTTAAGTGGCTTTAAAACAATGATCAATGCTATTATTGTACTGGCACAGTATGGAGACTTGGCTGACAAGAATTCCTCCTTTAAGGACTTCTTCCATTCCTGAAATACTTTAATCATAAACAGTTATCCACACACACAAAATGTGAAAACATATTTTTTCCTTAGCTGTTTTCCTTTACTAGTTCCCCAAAGTATATGGTTCTTCAAGATACAAATGGTGGAGTTGCAGGTTTTATAGGGTTATATATAGGGTTATATATTGCATTATATAAAAATTATGTAATAAATCAACATTACTCTTGAAAATCTTTATTATGATTATTCATATAGCGTATGTGATTTGGTGTCTACACATATGACTTTCATGTTGGGAGCCTGGGAGCCATTTGTAGGAAAAATATGTCCCTTTAAACACCAAAATCTCACTCAGGATTTGAATGTCACACTGGCAGATGCACATAGGAATTAAGACCTATTAAGGAACAGTAAATTCAGGACTCCTGGCTCATACTCACTCCAGGTGCTCACTCATTAAGCACCCTCTATATTACTGTTTCTTTCTTTTTAAAATTACTCTACTAACCAGCTATTGCTTTATGGAAAACCACACCAAAACTCAATGATTTGTAAGAGTTATCATCTATTCTCACTCATGTCTCTGCAGATTGGTGGGGGTCAGGCTGATCTAGGCTGGACTCAACAAGGCAGTGGTGTTTCAAGCTGCAGGTTCTCATGGGCTTGGACTCCTTGTTATAGGTTAAACTCCGGTCTATTCCACATATGTCTATTCTGGGACCCAGGCCAAGGGGGCATCAGTTTCTCATGGCAATGACAGAGGCAAAAGAGGGAAGCCCAAGTGTGCAAGAACACTTCAAGCATCAAACCTGCTAACATCTCATTGGTCAAATCAGGTAATATCTCTAAATTTAAACATAAGGAGTGGGGACATATATATACCTTGCTTACTATGAAGCCAAAGCAAATAATATGGCCATCCCCAGTGTGAAAGAGGCTGAGAAGTATGCTCCTTCCATTTTGGGGCAGGAGATTAAATACTTTTTATCAGTAATCTAACCTACCCCTATAGCCAAGTGCATATAGTTGAGTTTCTATAAGTAAATACACAGGTGTTGTATAATTTTATAGTATAAGCATAGAAGGTCCAATACCCCTCTCCAATGCTGAAATGACATTGCAGATGATGGTCACAGGGTGATGCTCCCATACATCATCATTTTCATTGTTAAAAAAAAAATTAGAAAGGCTATAGGTTTTACAGGTTTACCTTGGTTCTAGCTATAAATTTACCATTCATCTCCCTTTCCAGAAAGTATATAATAATTTGAATCCAAATGATATTAATTAAGGTTTAACTTAAAATCTACCTTGATTTATTTTAAAAAGCAACTCATTCTTTTTTTTGGTGGAGGGGACAATGTTTTGCTCTTGTTGCCCAGGCTGGAGTGCAATGGCGCAGTCTCGGCTCACCACAACCTCTGCCTCCTGGGTTCAAGCGATTCTCCTGCCTCAGCCTCCCGAGTAGCTGGGATTACAGGCATACATGCCACGAGTCCTAGCTAATTTTGTATTTTTAGTGAAGACGGGGTTTCTCCATGTTGGTCAGGCTGGTCTCGAACTCCTGACCTCAGGTGATCTACCCACCTTGGCCTCCCAACGTGCTGGGAATACAGGCATGAGTCACTGCGCCTGGCCGCAACTCATTCTTAAACTTTGGTACTTTTGGTACAATTAGTAATAACATGCTTGTAATGAAGCTCATGCTGATGGCAACACATCATGGCTAAGAAGCACAGCTAGATCCTGCTAACCGCTGTATCTGAACAACTGACTATAATACAAAGTTTATTGAATATTGCAGTGACCAGGGCTTTTTAATTCACTTTTTATTAGTTTGACTTGGAAAGGAAAGCATATTTGCAGTAGTAGTCAAGACAGAGAGAGGTCGTTTGAATAAATGGATGTTTTTACATAATATATTTAAAAAAGTTTTTAAAAATATGGCTTGTGAATAAAGTTTAGATTGAAAAACTGCTGAACAGGGAATGACCAAACAGAACACCCCTTTTCCTTGCTTCAGATGTAGGTTAGAAGACTCTCATTATTTCATTATTTTACTACATGGGAAAGTCTAGAATATAATTGATTAAAAATAGAAGTCTGACTTACTTTTAAAATTTTAAACTAGAATGGATAGGTAGACCTTGATGTGAAATTTACCCCTTTTAACTTCCCCTATCCTCAAAATGTAATAACAATAAAGTAAGATTATGGTTATTAGGCAACTAGTAAAACCTGTCTTCCTTCCACACTTGTGGTAGGAAAAAATGCTTGTGTAAAGCAGAATGTATTTCATGTTTAAGCAAACCTCCTTTTTCAATTGATAGTGGGTTAAAAGACCTTAACTCTATATTGTGAAGGCAAATATCACAGTGTAAGTAGTACAATTTGCAATTCTGAAATGTGGGGGAGTACTTGTTATATAGTTAGGATTAGTGCTATTTAAATTGCAAAACACAATCAGAGACAAACCTCAAAATAATTGTGAAGCACTTTGGTGGTTGGGTGGGGGACGGGTTGCCATGTCTGTTGATTCCTGGTTACACCCAACTGTGCTGGCTAGGAAATGTTTTAGAAATGTTGCGGATGCTCAACATGGGGATTTGGGGTGGGGGTAAGAAATGATGTACAGGAAAAAGAAAAAGAAAAGGAAAATAGGGTCCATAGGGTATTGATGGGTTCAGGTTAGGAAGAAGAGTTGTCTCCATCTTTGTGGGAGGAGCCAAGGCGGAAAGAAAGTCTTCTGACTTTTATTGCTGTTAGCTATTCTAAACCAAGCTAAAGAGTTGTTTTATAGCAGGTAAGCATTAATCTGATGATGATGATGGTGATGATGATAGAATCAACTTACTGAATATGCAGCCCCGTAAGTTGAATAGTCTGGATTCTCACAGAAGCCAGTTTGACTCTGAAGTCCATGCTGTTTCATCTAAATTCAGCTGCTTCACAGTATACTCAGCTGCCTCTCACTTAAAGAGAATGGCATTTTCTTTACAGTAGAATTCCAACTAATAAACATCAAAGGAATAAGGGAAATAGAAAATCACCATTAGGCAAACACTGCAATAATAACTGAGGCAGGCAAGATCTACCAGTGGATGACAACATTAGTGGGCAAAAGTTTGAGAGAAATAGGATAATTCATAATACCACAGTAGTCTGCACCCAAATATATTTATTAATTATAAAATATAATTTTTATAATTATATTTGTAATATATGCATTTTTACATACATATGTATGTAATTTTGTAATTATATATGTAAATATAATTTTCCACTTGCCAGTGGAGTGGGCAGACATCACTTTATTCCAGTGACTAGGATTAACATCACCAGTAATAAGACATATTGACACTGTGTACCCCTTGATATAATTTACTGAGAAGGGCAAGGCACTTCTGTGGTATTCCTGTGCAAAATTTATAACCGCAATCTAATTGTGAAAAAAAATTACAAACCCAAATTGAGGGATATTTTACAAAACAACCGACCAGTACTCTTCAAAAAACAAAAAAATGTGTGAAAGTCATGAACGACAACGAAAAATTTAGGAATTGTTACAGATCGGGGGAGATTAAGAATCATAACAGCTAAATGTAATATGAGATCCTGATTGGATCCTGAAACAGAAAAAGGACATTAGTGGAAAACTGGCAAAATTTGTATGAATGTTAATTTTTTTGGATTTTTACCATTGTATTATGGTTATGTAAGATTTAACATTAGAGGCAGCTGGGTGAAGGATATAAAGGAACTCTATACTATTTTTGCAACTTTTCTGTAAGTATAAACTTATTTCAAAATAAAAAGCTTAAAAAATTAAAGATAATGGTGTAGTTAAATTGAGAGAGGTCAGGGATCTTATTGTATCCTTAGAGAGTCATCTTTGGGCCAAATAAAGGCCATTGTTTTCCGTTATTTACTTATCCAGAAACATAGATATTCCTAGAATTTTAAAAATATCTAATCTCTTGGCAATGAATTTCAAATCACACAATTTTGGTTTAGCATTAAACTGGCAGTTGGATATTTTATTACTTTGGATTCTGCACTGTGGATTTTGGAATTTTTCTAAAGCCTAGGTTATATGAAGACTAAATCACATCTGAAATGGAAAGAAGCTTTTAAGAACGCTAAACTTGCTTGACCCTGAGCCTGTCCTCGGCAGCAATTACCTGGTCTTTAAAGTCACACTTCTCAGGCAAAAAGCTAGCAAGAGTCATTCTTTAGTAAGTGTGATTAGCGCCAAAGGATCATGCTTATTGTCCCTGGGCTCACTATCCAAATTACAGCAGTAGGAGCTGTACCAGTAATTTCTCAGCTCTGAAAACCTCTCACCAAAGATTCAGAGCTATTTCTGGGCACCCACAGGTCCTAAATCATTTTGTAAAGAGAAGTGGCCAAAGAGGAGATGGCTTGCAGCTGGGATCCACTCCCCATTACTGTCGTAAGGACAATGTTGCTCCAGGGCATTTCAGTCAGGATCCAGTGTCCTTGAGCCAAAATTCACACAGCACGTAAAGAACATCCTGGGAAGAGCGGCTTGGAGAAAACTGAAGACTTCAAGGGCTTGTGAAGACTCCGGAAACATCTCCAAGCTTGACAACGTAGATAAGAGGGGATCTGTTGTCTGCTCAGAGCAGGGGGGAGATGGTTTTCTGACATGCTAAGGCTGGGAACATTTACTAGCAATGAGTCTTTCTTTGACGTTTTCTTCTTTCCCGCCTGTACAGCAACTGGCATTGTTAAAGGCTTTGGCTTTAATAGACTATAATTCCAGCTGAATTTGAGCAATGTCAGAGTCATCATTAGAGATAATTTTTAGGTACTGTCTTCCAGGGTTCTCTGATTAGGAAAGATGTAAAACATCTCAGCTCCTTGTACCTTCTCTGCCTCTCCCTAGGGGCATGGTGCTGTACAAATAGCTCCCTCACTCAGTCCTATTGAGCTCACACTTCCACAAGCCCCAATTCGTTGGATCATCTCTGGGCCTTTAAATCATTTGTAGAAACTCCTGTGTTGGGGTTTTGAGATGGTATTAATACTCTATTATACAGCCCTATCTGAATGCCTGTGAACAATAAAGGTAAACCTCCCACTAAATCACCAAAATAAATATCAATACAATATGTAAATATATTGACAAACATTAGCTAAGATTGTGGAATGTTTATTATATATTAAGCATGGTTTTAAGTTTCTTATCTTTTTTATTTTTTTTCTTGAGACAGGGTCTCACTCTATCACCCAGGCTGGAGTGCAGTGGTGTAATCATGGCTCACTGTAGTGTCAACCTCCTGGGCTCAGGTGATCCTCCCACCTCCACCTCCTGGGTTGCTGGGACCACAGGCGCACACCACCATGCCCAGCTAATTTTTGTATTCTTTATAGAGACAGGGTTTTACCATGTTGCCCAGGCTGGTCTCGAACTCCACCTGCCTCAGCCTCCCAAAGTGCCACATTTCTTACCTTGTATTAGCTAACTTAATCCTAAACTGCACATCTTTAAAACAATATTGGATATGGGCACAATGATTTCTTCCTATGTAACAGTTGAGAAAGCTGGGGCACAGAAAGATAAGGAAATGACCCCTGGGAATTATAACTAGTGAGTGGTAGAGGCAGGTTGTGAACCCAGGTTCTGTGGTCCAGAGACTTTTCTCTTGGTCACTACCATGTGCTGCCCCTCGGCTATGGCTTTTATTGTGTAACACACAAGGAAGAATGAGAACAGACAAGACTGTGCCTACTCAGGTGCTCATTACTGTGGAAAAATACAACTTTTTTTGCCTACTTGTTCTCATTTACCTAAAAGTATCCATGTATTATGTGGCTTACATATAGAAGCCACAGCCCAGTGAGAATTTAGAATTCAGGACACTGTGGCAAGACAGTGAGCCAAGGTGAGGCTTGGCTATGGCGTGTGTCATTGTGTGGATGTTTGTTCCCTGCAAATCTCATGTTGAAATGTAATCCCCAATGTCAGAGGTGGGCCCTGGCAGGAGGTGTTTGGGTCATGGGGGCGGATCCCTCTTGAATGGCTTAGCACCATTGCCTTGGTGATGAGTGAGTTCTTGCTCTGAGATTGTTGGATCATCTCTGGGCCTTTAAATCATTAGTAGAAACTCCTGTGTTGGGGTTTTGAGATGGTATTAAATACTCTATCATTTACCAGAGGTCATCTCACTCTGAGTTCATGCAAGATCTGGTTGCTTAAAAGAGCATGACGTCTCCCCCACTCTCTCTTGCTCCTGCCCTCACTAGATAATATGCTGGTTCTTCATTTGCCTTCTGCAATGATTGAAAGCTGCAAATTCTGATAGCCAGCCTCCCAGAAAGGTGTTAGGATTCACTTGACATGTATTTATTGAGCATGTATTATGTGCTGGGCAGTGTTTTTAGGTGTTTGGGATGCCTTAATGAACAAAAACAGACTCTGTTTTCTGCTGCCATAGAACTTATACTCAAGCAGAAAAAATAAACAATCTGAAAATAAATACATCAATGTATATGTGTAGTACTATAGAAAAGTAAGAAGTGTTGCCAAGTAAGGAGGATAAGGAATGCTAGGCAAAGAAAGAGAAGGGTTGCAGTTTTAAATGGAGTGGTCAGATTGGTCTCACTGAGAAGGTTAAACAGTTAAAGGAAGTGAGGTAGTCAGCAATATGAAGAACAACCAGTGAAAAGTCCCGAGGTGGGGGTGTGGCTGGCCTGTTCCAGGAACATAAAGGCCTGGGTGGCTGCACCACCGGGTCAAATCATGCACAGTCCCAAGGGGCACATTTACACTGAGTCAAATGAGGAGCCACTGCTGGTTTTGAGCAGAGGAATAACCCTGTTGTATTCTTCCCTTCTCTTCTCTTCTTCTCTATCTCTCTCTCTTTTTTTTTTTTTTTTGAGATGGAGTCTCACTCTGTTCAGCCCAGGCTGGAGTGCAGTGACGCAATCTCGGCTAACTGCAACCTTCGCCTTCTGGGTTCAAGTGCTTCTCCTGCCTCAGCCTCCTGAGCAGCTGGGACTACAGGCACATGCCACCATGCCCAACTAATTTTTGTACTTTTAGTACAGACGAGCTTTCACCATGTTGGCCAGGCTGGTCTCGAACTACTGATATAAAGTGATCACCCACCTTGGCTTCCCAAAATGCTGGGATTACAGGCATGAGCCATCGCGCCCGGCCATATTTTTCATTTTGAAGTAAAGCTCTGGCTGTTGTGTTGAGAATAAAAATAGAAACAGAGAAATCTGTTAGGAGGTAATTGCAGTAATCCAGGAGAAAGAAGATGGTGGCTTAGTTCAGGGTTGTAGCAAGCAGCAGAGGTGGTGAGAAGTGATTAAATTGGGGCAATACTTTGAAGATAAAACTAACAGAATTTCCTGACCCTGTGGATGAGTTATGCGTAAAAGAGGAAGGAGCAGAGAATAATGCTGAGATTTTTAGCCTGAGCAACTAGAAGGAAGGACTTTATGTCAAGTCAGATGAGAGAGACTGAGTGAAGCAGATTTGGTGGTGGTTGGGAGATCAGGAGTTCTGTCTTGGAGGTGTTGTTACATGGGAGTTGCTTGTTAGACATCCATGTGTCAGGATGGCTGTTGAATATACAAGTCTGGAGTTCAGAGGAGAAACTGTGGTCAGAACAATGGTACTGAAAGCCAAGTGTGTTGAGGTCACCAGGTGCTAAAAATGAAGAAGCCAGAGAGATAAGGAAGAACCCACAAGAGATTCTCAGGGGGAATGAAGTAAAACCAGGAGGAAACCAGGAGAGGGTTTCCCAAGGAAACCTGGAACCCAAGTGAAGACTGTCAGGAGGAGCAAGTGATCACCTTGCAAATGCTGTTGAGAGGTCAAGTACGGTGAGAACAGAGAACTGGCCGTGGGGTTTAAGCAAAGGCAGAGGACACCGGTGCCTTTGAAGAAAGGTATTTTAGCAGCATAGTGAGGGTGAAAACTGACTGAGGGGAGTTTAAAGGAAAATGGGAGGGGAGGAATCGGAGACAGTGGGTATAGATGACTCTTGGTTGCTGGAAAGAGGATAAAAGAAATGGGTGGTAGTTGCCTGGAGAAACAGGGTCAGGAGAATTTTTTGAGATGGGAAAAACAATAGTAGGTTTAAGTGATGTATAGTTCAGGTTCTTTAAATAGCATTATGACATCTTTCTGTGCTAGGGTTAACATAGAAATCCAAAGAATTATGCTTGGGTCATGGAGCTTGAAGGGGGGTAGGGTGGGAATGAGATGAAAATAATAATGGGAAGAAAAAGAGCTACGTTAAGGTTGAAACTTGTTACATTCTGAGAGTTTGGGAAGAGCTGGTTACCAGTCATGTCTAAATCAACCCAAGCATCTTATTGCCAGGCAAGTTTGTTGTCCAGTGCCTGGTATGAAGTTGGCATCAATTTCCAATATCTCCCTCCCCTGACAGCCTCAAAGGTCCTGCTTAATCTTGTGACAGGAGGAGATCAGGCCAGGGGCGGTGGCTCACACCTGTAATCCCAGCACTTTGGGAGGCCAAGGTGGGTGGATCACATGAGGTCAGGAGTTTGAGACCAGCCTGGCCAACGTAGCGAAACCCCGTCTCTACTAAATACAAAATTAGCTGGGCATGGTGACGGGCACCTGTAATCTCAGCCACTCAGGAGGTTGAGGCAGGAGATTCATTTGAACTCAGGAGGTAGAGATTGCAGTGAGCCGAGATAGTGCCATTGCACTCCGGCCTGGGTGACAGAGTGAAAGTCCATCTCAAAAAAAAAAAAAAAAAATCAGTCTCAATCACATGTATAGATTTTGTAACGTAGACTGGTTATTTAAAGTCAGAGTTCCTTGAGGATAATAATGACAAACATGGCGTAGACGTGGGAATCAGACAAGCTTGCATTCACATTTCAGCTGGGCCATCCTCCTGCTCCATGACCTTGGGCAAGTCTCTGAGCCTCCATTTTCTTAACTGCATTATGGGGTCAATAATAATGACTACCTCATAAGATCATTATAAGAATTCAAAGATAGAATAAATGTAAATATAAATTTTGACATGAAACAAATGGTCAGTAAATTAGCAAGAGGAGAAGGGTTTCCTTTCTAAAATATAATTAACTTTATCTCCATTTCTTGGGTTCATTTTCCCCCAACAGTTCAGAAGCACTTCCGCACACAGACTCTTGACATTTCAGACTCTGTTTCTTTAAGAGATTTATTTATAAGTTGTCTGAGAATCAAAAAAAAAAAAAAAAAAGAACATGGAAAACAAGCCTTTTCTCCCTTGTTTAAGTAGCTGTAAAGTAGACCATATAGATTTTTCTAAAGCTTCCCTGACACCTGGTAAGAGACAAACCTTAGTTATCTCAGCTTCTGAGTATTTTTTCCAAACAGGCCATAAGAGTCTGAGTGAGGATTTCATGAGAAACCTCCATCCTCACTACTCCTGGCTATCCTCATGCCTTAACAGCCCAGATTCAATAATGAGCTCATTCTGGATTCTTAGAATACCCGGGTTTAGCAGGTGTCATTTAACTCAGTTTGTGCAGCTGCTTGTGAGGAAAGATAGGGAAGGGTTGCCATTCCCATTTCATAGAGAAGAAAAGCATGTAGTAGTTGTGGAAGAGCAGAAATATACCCATTGTCCTTGGGATTTACCCAGCACACTCTTTAAAGGACTTCATTAAAGAGAAAAACATTCCCCAAATCTGAGTTGTCTCCCCAAGTCTACTATAGTATTCATCACTCTTCAATCAGTGAAAAATTTAGGGGAGAGGCAGCTGAGCAGTCGCCTGAAGAATGCTAAAATATCACAAGGAAGTAAAAATTTCACTGGAAATATAAGATGAAGACAATGGTAATTACAAGAACACCTCTTACAGACAGTAATTTACGACTGGAAGATAAATATTATAAAGATGCTTGGGGATGGAGTGAATGGGGTAAAACCTTCAAGGGGAATTCTTGTTAACAAAGAGTCTATAAAATGCTGTGTAGGGGAGATGAGTCCAGTTATCTATAGGGCTTCTGAGTTTTGCTGAGAGAGCTAGGCAAGTCTGGGGCCAGAGCTGAATTGCTAGGCAATAAAACTGAAGCTGTGGATCACTCACTCTTCTTTGTCTTCCCTAAAGTAGTGAGCAGCCTAGCTTTCTAAATAAGTATTGCTTGTATATGTCAAAAATATTTTTTTGGGTTTCTGCTCAAATGTTGAAGGCAACGAGTGTAGGTTAAACACACAGCTACTGTTGCCCCTACTCAAAGCTCCACTAAAATTACTATAAATGCTTTTTTTCCAAAAAAATGGTAACAGTCACAAAATTTCAAAACGGAAGGTAGATGGAAAAGTGATAAACAACTTAACAGACATAAGAAAACAGAATATAGCCTTGGCATGGTGGCTCATGCCTGTAACCTCAGCACTTTGGGAGGCTGAGGCAGGTGGATCACCTGAGGTCAGCAGTTCAAGACCAGCCTGGCCAATATGGTGAAACCTTGTCTCTACTAAAAAGTAAAAAAAATTAGCCAGGTGTGGCCTGTAATCCCAGCTACTCAGGAGGCGGAGGCAGGAGAATCGCTTGAACCTGGGAGGCGAAGGTTGTAGTGAGCCAAGGTCACGCCATTGCGCTCCAGCCTGGGCAACAAGAACAAAACTCCATTAAAAAAAAAAAAAAGAAAGAAAGAAAACAGAATCTAAAGCTAGCATTAAGGAACACTGAGAACCTTCAGATTTACCCTTTGGAATTCCCATAAATTCTCAGAGTTTGGTACCAAGTACTTCTGGAAGTAGAAGATAAAAGAGAAGATAAAGAAGACTGATTGAAAGTATGATTGAGAAGTGTCAGCATTCCATATCTCTTTCCAATGTCTGCATAGCCAGGCAATCCCCTCCCTCTTCCCAAAAGACTAGTTAAAAGCAAAAGGTCTGTGAACAGGGGGCATCCATCACAATTGGAGATATGGGTACCATACTGAAAAGTATATATACATGGGATGCGGAGACCTCAGTCTTCTTCCCTGCTCAGTTCCCCTATTTAGGTCAGACTTGTTCCTTTAGGTAGGATATTGAAAGATCTTCCCTGGGATGTGACCAGCCTAAGAAGAAAAACATAATGATATTGATATTGAAAACTCTCAAAACAGCTACAGTAAAGTTCACAGTCAAGAATCCCCACTCACACACACAAAGTTTACAATGAGTTTTTTATTCATGAACACTTAAATATGAGCAGATAATCAAGGATTCCTAAGCATCTAAACAGTGCCTCTAACATGAAAGATAAAAGCCAACACCAGAAAGTCGAAATATCTTGGAGGAAATAGAGACCATGAAGAAAAATGTAACAGAAACACACCAAAAAAACAGTATTCACTTAGATCCCTAGACAGATAAAATACTACAACTGTAAACATGAGCAGGATAGTATATAAAAGTAAATGAATAATAACAAAAGGGCAAAAAGAGCCTTGGGATTTTAATAATATGATATCAGAAATGGAAAACTCACTTAAGGATTAAAAGGAAATTTGGAGAAATCTTTTGGAAAGTAGAACAAAAAAATAAAGAGATGGCAAAAAGGAGAGAAAAGAAAATTAGTGCCTCAATTCAGGACATAAACTGTACAAATAACAGGCATTCTACAAAGGAAGAAAAGAGAAAAAACCAAGGAGATATTACCAATAAAATAGTTCAGAGATACAAAAAGATGAAAATAGACCAAAGCCAGGAAATGAAAAGAAAATGCTACAAAATTCCAGAAAGTAAAAACAAAAACAAGAAAAGTCAAGAATCAAAATGGCTTTGGACTTACCATCAATACTGGCAGCAAGAAGATTGCAGGGCAATTACTTCAAAATTCTGAAGGAAAATTATTTCTAACCTAGAATTCCATACCCAGCCAAACTATCAATGAAGGATGATAGAAGACTCTTACTACATTTACCTCCTTTACATCTTTTCTCAGGAAGGTGTTGGAGGATGACTGTCACGAAAACTTGGACAGAACCATGACGCAGGACCAAAGCTGCAGGAAACAGAAGATCCAATCCAGGAGAGGGATATAAGAAGTCCCCAGAATAATAGTGGGAAGGAGATGCTAGAATGACAAATATTTACTAGATAGAAAAGGCAACCAGTCCAACTGGAACAGGTCAGTAGGCTCTGGATGAAACTTATTCCCCAAAATAATGTTGATAAAACATCTGACATGTCTGAATGTCTTGAGAAGAGATTTAAAAGACTGGCAAAAGTACAAATTTTATATTATTCCAGGGAATCCAAACTAGGAAGATTAGAACACTGGAGTGAATTTATTATGTAGGTTCTGCATGTCACCCTCTCGCTGTGACCCCAGAAATGTTCAGAGGACTTGTCCTTCACCAAGGCAGTAGGACAGACATTCATTAGGTGTGTCCTGGCATCCTTAAGGAACTTGGTAGAGGCTTCTTCTGTGTAAGCCAGAATTGAGAGTGTAAATGGCTGCATCAAAGTGGGCTCCCTAAATTCAGTGGGGATGATGGGATACTGGGTTATGTGAGCCAAGAGGTAGCACTTAATCACCAGAGACTGAGTGGGTGACCATGGTTATGATAATTGGCAGTAGAGCCAAGCAGTAATCAGAATGGCCTGACCTACAGAGCTCTTTGGTGTTGGCTAATTCATCATGGTGTCATTATGACTGAAATAGATGAGCAGTCTAATAAATGATTCCTTGATTATAAAAGTGGAAAAGTTCTAGGCCTAATGAATAGAAATCTTACCTGAATTACTGTGATTTTTTTAAAAAGAGAGAGCATCACTTTGAAGGGGCACCAAATTGTTAGCCAACTCACATATCAAGTTCAACATTTGATCACTTGGTAGTATCTCTTCTAAGACAATGGGCCCCAGAAGAAGCATGTGTTTTCCACCAGATGGCTGCGTGGCTAGGCTGAAGTCCTGGTTGCTGGTGGCCTGGCCTGGCCTGGCCTCTGGGCTCACAGGAAAGCTACCGTTCCTCCCCCATGATGGCTATTATAGTTCGATATCTCATGTTCAGGGCCATTTTACTGAATTGCAGTGGCAGCTATTGGTGCTATTCTATGATTTATGTTCTTTTTGCTTTCATGTAACCCTAATTTATTGTATTTATATATACATTGTAGTTACATGCGGAATATACAATTTTCCTCAGACTAGTGAGAAAGATCACTCTTTGTCTATTACATTAGTGATTCCCCAATGTATGATGCCTCCTGTGGGTATCCACACACTTCTGTAGTACCCTCTCCTTGGACAGGGGCAGCCCTGTGATTTGCTTTAATCAATAGGATGCAGAAGATGTGATATTTAGTCAATTTCAGGCCTCAGCCTTACAAAGTCCTAACAGTTTCTGCACATAGGAAATCTAAGTACCCTAAGAGAATTATACTGTGGGGAAGCTCAGTGTAACTACTATATGAAGAGTCCTCACACAGGAGAATCAATAAACCCGGCTGGCAGCAAGAACCAAGAACCAAGGCCCTGGATCGCTAGCCCCGGCTGAGCTTCTAGCCAACTGCACTAGTGCCTAGTCCCCAGTGTGGGTAAGTCATCTTGGAAGTGGATCCTCCAGTCATAGTCAGGCCAACCCACTGATGCTGTGTGGAGCTGAGACAAATTGTTTTCACCAAGCTCAGCCCAAATAGAAGAATTGTGAATAAATAAATAATATCATTATTTTAAGCCATTAAGTTTTGGGGTTGTTTTTCAGTAACAGATAACATATTCCTATTTTTATTTGTCTATCTGTTGCACCTGGTATCTTGATATGGTTTGATTCTGTGTCCCCACCCAAATCTCATCTTGAATTGTAGTTCCCATAATCCCCATATGTCATGGGAGGGACCCAGTGGGAGGGAATTGAATCATGGGGATGGTATCCCTCATGCTGTTCTCATGATAATGAGTGAATTCTCACAAGATCTGATGGTTTTATGGGGGGCTCCCCTTCACTCAGCCCTTTTTCTTCCTGCCACCATGTGAAGAAGGACATGTTTCCTTCACCTTCTGCCATGATTGTAAGTTTCCTGAGGCCTTTCAGGCCTGCGGAACTGTGAGTCAATTAAACCTCTTTCCTTTATAAATTACCCAGTCTCAGGCAGCTCTCTATAGAAGCATGAGAATGGACTAATCCATACCTGGTGTAGCCCTAAATCTCTGCTGAGCTCCACTTTGTCACACAGCTCTGAAAAAATTGCTGCTGTTTTTCCTATTACTCTTTGCATATTATTCTCTTGCCAGTGATCTTTCTCTTTGCATGTCAGTCCAACTAAAGAAATACTGGAAACTGCTTAGACATGCAGGGGACCATATGCCTAAGGATCTACAAATTCACTGGGTAGGATTTTCCAACATTTTTGACCCCAGAGTTACAGTGACCTGTGGCCTTGCTGCCCAGTCCAGCCTGAGGGGTGGGCATGGCTTTCTTGGCTTTGACTGCTGTCTTGATGTTTCTCTGGTATGCTCTGACTCTTGGGTCTCAGTTTGTTTCAGTTTGTTTCCTTTCCAGCTTCTGGGGAAGGCCTGGTTATTCCATCACCATACTGTTGTGTGGGAAAGAATAGTTTCCCAGAAAAATATGTTGTTGGAAAGATGTCCCCTTAGGAATAAACAGACTTCTTCCTCTACGTGCTTTTTAAATAGTCCCTTTCAAAACCTCTCCCCTCTCACAATTGCTAAATAAAAGACAAAAGGGTAGCCTTTACTACACCAAAGTGGCACAGCCACAGAGTTCTTGTTAACATTTTAAAATCAGCCAGGCCTACTCTTGTCCCTTTTGTTACCTCCTTCACAGGGCTGTGGGGCCCTGCCTGCCAATGGGGCCACTTGTCAATGTCCTTATTGCTCTTTCTCTTTTCCCTTGGTGAAGCTCTGACTGGGTGACTTCTGCTCATGAGACCCTCCGCATGCTGAAGGCTGGGATGTACCAAGGGAAAGAAGCTTGGCAACTTGGTGTCATTGGAAGAACACCAATTTTGGAACCAGACAGATCTGGATCAGAAGCCTGGCTTTGGCATTTTTTTTCCTAGCTGCATGACCTTAAGCAAGTTACTTAAACTTTCTTGGGTTTCCTCATCCAAAAACTAGGATATTTAATGCTTACTTTTAGGGTCACCCCAAGGTTTAAAAGTAAATTATGTTAAGAACTCAGAACTAGAATAGATGCTCAAAAAAAAGGTAGCAATAAGGAAGATGAGGATGATGATTGACTCTAGGGAAAGAGATAGAGGTCAGAGAGCTCTTAAATGCTCCTTTCTATCAGGCCCATCTCACCAAGGTAGTCAGACAGAAGAGCACTGTGGGAGAAGAAAGAATCCGGAATGAAGAACCAAGATACGCCCTGGTTTGCATATCACCTACAAGGTTGCTGTGTTGAGTTGAACAGGTTGTGCACTGCATTGCCCAACTGTACAACAATATGTGGGCTCTGACTAGCTAGGAATCTGAAATGTTGTGTTGGTAGCTGTATAGAATTAGGAACACTGGTGTACTAGAGACAGCTCCTACAGACTCACAAGAGCCAATTGTTAAATTTTCAGGGATTTTGCAAACCAGCTGCCAACATAGCCATTATTAAAAATTAAATTATGTTATATGAATTTATCATCAAATGCTCAAAACTCATCACTTACTAATTATTTTACTACATTTTTGTGTTGTCTGTATTCTTGAAGTTATTTACATCTACTATTTGTACCATGGAAGTACATACTACATAATAATGTGCTACTGCACATCTCTTCCCAAAGTCATGTTCATTGATACTACAATGGTAACTTAAAATTGGCCATGGTATGAGTATTTACACCACAGAAATTGGTATGCTCTACAAATTGGGTCTTTCGGAAAAACTTTTACCAGCACACCACTGAGTATAGGCAAGGTTGAGACATGCAAACAGTAATGAAAACATTTCACTCTTCTCTTGCCCACTGCATGTTGATTATATTTAAGCCCATCACTAGCACTAGTAGGGAAAAGAAACTGAGGGAGTGAAAGGCAGTGAGATTTTGCCTCACCCCATTAGCCTGTGGTGTGAATTGCTCTGCCCTCTCTCTCCTTTTCTGTTTTTTGAGCCCAATGTACCCCATACTGAGAAGCCCACAACCATCAGCTGTGTGTACTCATTGTAAGCAAAGGAACACTTGGACAATGTGACCTAAAGCCTTGAGTCAAGAACACTGTGTTTGTACCGTAAAGCATACATGAAGGTTGCAGCTCCCCGTGTGGCTGGTGTCTGAGAATGCTTATATTTCAGCCTAGCACTTGCTTCTTTTGTTTAATTGTCCCTCTCACTCCGGTACAACATCCAAAGGGGACAGCCAGTCCACTTCAGGACAGTAAATTTAGCTCTTTAGGGGACAGGCAAAATCCAACTTGCCTACACCTTAATAAATGACAGTGACCCAATATTGCACAGTAACACCAAATGCCACTGCTAGTGTAATGCCAGACGATGGCATCAGCCATGACAGCGATGGCTCAAGTAGGCCATGATGGGGAATTCCAAGTTGCTAGCACCATTCAGGACCTCAAGGATTGCCGAGTGTTTGAGGAACACACAGAGAAGCATTGACACTAGATGCTATTTCATCCCTAGAGCAACAGTCAAGTCTTATCTTTTAAAGTGGCTAAACAGATTGGGATGACCTTTCACATATGTTTTTCTAGCTGGTAATCCTCCAAATCCCCAAACAGTATAATCTTTCCTCCTCTTCATTTATTTATTGTAAGCCACTGTTTTGCTCTGAGGTTGCTTTCTTCAGATTAGGAAAGTGGTTGAGAGCTGTGGGCTCCAGGGTGAGAGAGTTGGAGTCCAAATCCATGCTCTCTCACTTACTATCTGTACACTTTGTACCAGAGTTTCCTCATCTGTGTACTGGGAATAATATAACAACCTACTACATGAGGTGACTATGAAGATTAAATGAGTTCTACATATGCACTTGTCAGACCCTGTGTGACACAGGGAGGGCTCAAAAACTGTTAAAATTATTCTTTAGCTATTTTCATATGAAGCTATTCTACCCATGCCTTCTGTACAATTTCCTTTCTTCCCTCCTACCTTCTTCATTCTTTTACCTCCTTCTCTAGGAATCTCTCTGATTGAGTGTTATGATTTAACTCCCAAAAAGAAAAAAAAAATCAATTTTTTTCCCTAATGCCTTAACATAAATATTAAGGCCATTATCCATATGTACCCTTGTGGCTTGAATTTGCAGGCGATTTTTGAACATAACACAAGGTGGCAGATGTAGTGATATAGATCTTTCTAAAGATTCTTGTTTCGCAGGCACTTGACCTGACACGCCACTATTTAAGCCAGTTTGGCCAATAAACTCTTTCCTTGTCACAAAGAGTTGTTCACGTGTGAGAACTACTGAAAAATGATCATCTGAGGGTGACACTTTGGCTATGCCACAGAGCCTTGTGATGGGGACAGCCCTAGAGAGATGCAGGGGTCAGCACCTACCCCGTCCTTAATCTCCCACTGCCCTGCGACCCTTCCTCTGCTTGGATCCTTGCCATTCCTTCTCCCACTTGGAACCATGGGTTGGTCGCATTTCCTATACAGCAGCCACCTGTCTATTTTTCAAATGTTTAAAAATTGACAAAGATTATATTTATTTATGGTGTACAACATGGTGTTATGAAATATGCAGCCATTGTGGAATGGCTAATGGAAGTCTATCAACACACATACTTATCATTTATTTGTGGTGAGAACATTTCAAATCTATTCTTTTAGCAGTTTTCAAGTATCCATTATTATTAACTGCAGTCATCATGTTGTACAATAGACCTCTTGAACTTACTCCTCTTGTCTAACTGAAATTTTGTATCCTTTGACCAGCATCTCCCCAGTCCCCCAGCCCCTGCCTGGTAACCGCCATTCTACTCTGTTTCTGTGAGTTCGACTTTTTAAGATCCTATATGTAAGTGAGATCATGCGATCTTTGTCCTTCTGTGCCTGGCTTATTTCACTTAATGTAGTGTTCTTCAGTTTCATCCATGCTGTTGCAAATAACAAGATTTCCTTCTTTTTTAAAAGGCTAAATAGTATCCCATTGTGTGTGTACATTTTCTTTGTTCGTCCATTGATGGACAAACCTGCCTGTTTTTTGCATTTTTTTCGTTTCTTCTGTTTTTGGCAATAATGACAGCAAGAATGGAAATAAAGACATCTATAAAACATTGAAAAGCCCTTACACTTCCCTCCCTACCAAGATATTTAACAAATCACAAACTTGAAGTGAAGTTGGCAATCCTAGAGTTGCTGACAATGAGAAGGGGATGCAAAAAAGGCAAAGAAACAGAAGGAAGGAATGGTTACAGGAGGTCCTTGGACAAACGACAAACTGAGCAATGAGGCTCTATTCCCTTAACCAAGAAAAAGGGAGCAGCAGAGGAAAAAAGAGAGAAGTATGGGACTTATATATATATTGTTTATTTCACAAGGCAATTTAATCCAGTGGTTTGGAAGGGGAGGGGATTCTGGGGTATGAGTCCATTCTTGCTAGCCCTGTAACCATCGTCATTTAATTCTCAAAGCCTGTTTTCTCATTTATAATGCGGTATAATAATAGTTACTTTATTCCCAGGGGTGTTGTGATGATTAAATGCAATAATCTCTGTATGGTGTGGTTACAAGTGCTGGCTTTGGAGCCAATCTGTCTTGGTTCAAATCGTGGTTCCATCACATGCTCACCAGCTGTGTGGTTTTGCAAAAGTTACTCTATCTCTCTGTATCTCAGATTTTTTTTTTTTTTTTGAGACAGAGTCTCGCTCTGTCGCCCAGGCTGGAGTGCAGTGGTGCAATCTCGGCTCACTGCAAGCTCCACCTCCTAGGTTCATGCCATTTTCCTGCCTCAGCCTCCGGAGTAGCTGGGTCTACAGGCGCCTGCCACCTCGCCTGGCTAATTTTTTGTATTTTTAGAGAGACGGGGTTTCACCATGTTAGCCAGGATGGTCTTGATCTGCTGACCTCGTGATCCGCCCGCCTCGGCCTCCCAAAGTCCTGGGATTACAGGCGTGAGCCACCGCGCCTGGCCACCTCAGATTCTTATATGTAAAACAGGGATGATAATAACACCTACAGGATAAATATATGGGATCAGTTAAAATATATCTGGCATCTAAAATGTGTTAGATGTTATTCTTCTGCCTTTGGTTGTAGGTACTTGTCCTGATTTTGTAAAGTGCCCAAAGCTTGGCACCTGACACAGTCAAAACTCAATTATTACTATCAATTATGAAGATGCTTATTTTTCTGTCATAAAAGTAATGCACGATCTTTAGAGAAAAGTTAAAGTATGCGGGCTGGGTGCAGTGGCTCACACCTGTAATCCCAGCACTTTGGGAGGTGGAGGTGGGTGGATCACCTGAGGTCAGCAGTTCAAGACCAGCCTGCCCAACATGGTAAAAACCCCTCTGTAGTAAAAATACAAAAATTAGCTGGGCGTGGTGGTGTGCACCTGTAATCCCAGCTACTCGTGAGTCTGAGGCAGGAGAATTGCTTGAACCCCGGAGGTGGAGGTTGCAGTGAACTGAGATGGTGCCACTGTATGCCAGCCTGGGTGATGGATGGAGCAAGACTCTGTCTCAAAAAAAATAAAATAAAATAAGTAAATAAAATATACAGAAAAGTAGACATAATAATTAATGGTTTTGAGCCAAACACAATTAATCTTTTCTGATTTTTTTATCTCATGATTTTGCTCTGCATAATTTTTTTAGCTCAGACAGATACAAAGGGAGGCTCTACATAATTTTATATTGTACATGCATTCATTTCATAGACTGCCTTGTTTACATGCATCATAACAAAAACGTTTCCATGTGTTATCTTAAATTCTTGGCAAGCATCATTTCAGTAATAGGCCATCAAGTACAAATATGTTATCATAATTTGCTTTAACATCTTACCTGAATTCATGCTGTTTTAAATTTTAAGTATTACAAATATATTGAGATGAACATGCTCGTGCATAAAATATTTTTTCCATATCTGAGATTATCTCATTAGGATACATTGTGAGAAGTATTAATACTAGGGCATATTAGTATATTTTAAAGAGTCATCATACATCGCCTAATTACTTTCTAAAAGAGTTTTACCAAGTAAAATAACTAATCAAAACATATAAAAACACTCCCTTTATAGAACTGGATTCTACCATTTAAAAAAACTTGTCTCGATTTATTAGCAATGGCCCTCAGGGTTGCAATAAGTTGTACTTCTTTAATTACTCATGTAATATTTGAATTACTCATGTAAAATATTTGAATGTTTTTCTGTGTTTTTAAATTTTACCTTTTCTAATAACTTGTCTATGTAAGCGTTTTGTCCATTTTTCTCTATGCACCATAAAATGTTTTTGTCGTATTTTGTATTCGTTCTTTATATGTTAAACGATATTAATCTTTGTCTGTCTGTAGATATTTGTCCCCAGGCTGCATTTTAACTTTGGTTGTTGTTTCGACAGAAAGAAACGTTTTAAAAAAATGTGTTGTATAATGTTTGTTTTGTGTATGATTTATTCTATTAAGAAAAACTTAAAAGTAATTATGCTGGGGTGAATGGGTGTGAATGAGGAGAATCTTCTTGTTTTATGGCTTTACCAATATATACTTTTCTAATTCTTTAATCCATTTGGAGTTAAAGTTATGTTGGTGTGTAGTATGAATTAAGCTAGAAATTGATTTTCTCTTCTAATTTGCTAACCAACTGTCCTAATGTTATCTGTTGAATAATTCATCCATTCCCCATTTATCCAAGATGTCTTTTTTATCATAAATTAAGTTTTTATACATTCCAAGGCTATCTGTTCTGTTCTATTGATCTTCCTGTCCATTCCTATGCCAATACCATGGTGTTTTAATTACAGTTAAAGGGTATTTAAGTCCACTATTTCAAGAGAGGGTCCGGCAGAGCCAGAACCATTATGTGAATGTGAGGATGTGGGCAGTAGACGTATGCAAATGCCTGATAGTTTTGTTCTCCTTGCCTGTCTTTGGACCCTGAACAGATCACAGAGTGATTGCTATGTTGAAAAGAGATCCTCAGGGATGTACATGTGACCCTAGAAGGGCTCCCAGGCATTGGGTCCCCTGGACAGGGCCTAGGTGAGCACTGCCATATTTTTCCTCTCTGACTTAGATTTTTCTGTATTCCATATGAAGCCTTACCGCCCACCCAAAAGACATGGTGTTTCTTCACACCTTGGCAGAATGCTATTGTTAATCCATAGTGGTGACTTGTTGAACTCAGGTGGGACCATATGACTGTCTCTGGTCAATGAAAGGTGAGTGGTAGTCACTTGTGTCACTACTGGGAAGGAGCTTGAACAGTAAGCACATGCTTCACCATGCTCCAGATAGAGGCTATTCCATTAGCATGGGCCCCACAGTGGGGACAGTATGGAGCGGAGCTGCAGCTGAGCTTCGATGACTTTCTAGAATGCATGACAAAAAAATCCTTGTCATAAGCCACAATATTTGGGGGTCATTTGCTATAATAGCCAACCTAGGCTATCCTGACTAATAGCAGGAGGCTAGTCAAAATACTTAACAGTTGGTATAACATGAGCATTGACTAAAATCAACATAGATACCAGCTAGGACACCAAGAAGGTGCATCCAGGATGATTTAGCTTTGCACTTTTTTCAAGTCTTATTATCCTATCTCTTTAAGGTGACTTTGCATATCTCAAATCTCATTTACTAGGTATTGATTTTCTAACTTAGATTTTATAGTCCCTAGTGATTCCAGCCTCTATGGTTCCCCTCTTCTCTACTCCCTGTGACATGATTTGCTTGTGCCAGAAAATAGACAATTCATCACGCTTTATTGTGTCAGTCATGCATATGTTTTCTCCTTATTGATATCATAAGTCCTGATAGGCACCATCCATGTTATGAAACTTCTGTCCCTTCACAAGCTATACCACCATTCATCGCACAATATATAAGTGCATTTTGTGTTTAAAAAGTTTATGTGTGACATGCTGCTGTTATACTTTCTCAATTCATCATAAGATCTTATTGCTCCCAACTGAACAGACCTTATATAGATGTTCTGAAATTAGAAGCTTGAGAGGAAATTGGTGTCCTCCCCAACAAGAGAGAGCACTAAAGAGCCAGTGAGTGAGAGGCTGGTTTCTGACCTGGATTCCTAGCTGTCACCTATGAGGTGTGTGACTGGGGGAAGTTATTTAATCTCTCTCTCGGCTTCAGTTTCCTCATCTGTACAATGGGCTTCTTGTGAAGTTTAAATGAGAATATATGTTTAAAATGCCTAAGCACAGGCCGGGCATGGTGGCTCATGTCTGTAATTTTAGCACTTTGGGAAGCCGAGGCAGGTGGACCACCTGAGGTCAGGAGTTCGAGACCAGCCTGTCCAACATGGTGAAACTCTGTCTCTACTAAAAATACAAAAAATTAGCTGGGTGTGGTGGCAGGCACTGGCAATCCCAGCTACTCAGGAGGTTGAGGCAGGATAATTGCTTGAACCCGGCATGCGGAGGTTGCAATGAGCTCAGATCGCGCCACTGCACCCCAGCCTGGGCAACAGAGCAAGACTCTGTCCCAAAAAAAAAAAAAAAATCCTAAGCACAGAATCTGGTCCTTAAAGCAGTTATTGATATTTTTATTTAATTTTATTACTAGTATAGCCCATGGGGTGCCTCCTGTTCTTTGGTTGGTTGGTTGCTTGGTTTGCTTGGACCCCTATTTCAGGGCTCAGAGCAACCCCAGGCTCTCTCTAGGATTCTGATTGAACATTTTACCTCTTTGGAGTGTGATTCTTCACCAGCTCCAGTCCCCATGACTGTGTCATTTCCATCCTAACCAGATGCAAACATGAAGCTCCATGTGTTACTCCCCAAGGGCCCCAGGCTCTGGAGTGGTCCTGGCTCATGGTCTGTCTGGATTACCTTGGAATAGCTACTTAACTTCTCTGTTTCTCAGATTCCTCACTCCTAAAATAGGACAATAATAGTGCCTGCCTAGTAGAGTTGTTGTGAGGATTGATGAGTTAACATATCCAAAGCTCCAAGAACTGCTACTGACATTAGTGAATACATTTTAGCTATGATGATTCTTCATTCCCCCATTTTTGTGATTTTGGCAATTTTTGTTAAAGATTCTGCATCTCTTCCATACTATGGGCTCAATTCCATGACACTCCACTGCCTTCCAAAGCCCATGTGCTCACAGCATGCCCCTCAGTGCACCCTGAACACCCCTGGGACACGAGTTCCAACTCAGCTGTTTCCACTACTTCTCTTCTGGAGAATAACCTTGCCAGGCCAGTCTGCTCCTCAACCTCAAATCTGAGGAAATAAAATTTCTCAGTTTTCCTGTCACTTTTTTGAGTTCTTACCAAGAAAAAATGATAGCAAGAGACTTGCTGCTTTGGGCCAAGGACAGAATGAGCAGGATGAGTGGTTGATGTGACTTCTGCCAGCAATTACTGCCCCATGTGGTAGTCTGCTTGCTTCCGGCAATGTTCCGGTGTCCATTCTATCACGTGATCCTGGAAGTAATTGGAAACATCTGTTGTGAAGTCAGAGAGACCCACGGTCAAATCCTGACTTCTTGCACACGGATGCAGCAAGATCACTTTCTATGATCTTGAACATGTCAAAAAAATATCTGTTTTCTGTTTCCTCATTTGAAAAATGGATTTACTGATACCTACCTTGCAGAGCTCTTGAAAGAATTAAAAAGAGTAACTTATATAATGTTGCATGCAGCTGAGAAGGCAGAGATCCGCAATTCAGCTGGGTATCATCTTGTTAAGCCATGAGATGTTGAGACCGAAACTGCCCAGGAGGGAGTAGGGCAGGGAAAGGGTGAAGATGGGATGGAGGGTTGGAAGCAGGTTACATCCTCTCACCATGCCTTGTGCCTGGCCTTGGAGTCTATGTCTGCCAGGAAGGGGAATCTTTTTTTCTGTTTTCCAAATTGTGCCCTGTAGGTCTGGGGGCAGCGGACTGTCTTTGTAAAATGCCAAAGAATGCCAAGCTTAGAGATGGTGGCCAATAAATTATAGCTGTTATCATCCCTAGCAAGTTCATATCCCAGAACCATGAGTCTAAGTTTCCAGCTTTTTGGGAAAAGGGATGTGGTTGGTTTGTTTTCCATTTAAAAATGATTATTGATCTCTATTCTTTGAAAGACAGGAAATGTCAACCCTTTTGTACTACATACAAAGTTGTGTGGCTTATTAAATTATTAAACCCCATCTTCTTCTAACCCAATGGCTTTACAGGTAGGACCCACAGGTGAAGACTTGGCAAAATGTTTCAAGCTTCGATCAGGAGAATTGCAGAGGCCAGATTCTGGCCCAGTATGAGGGTAAGGGGGAAGTTGCTTCCTAAGGCAGGTGTAGATTAGACAGCTCCTCACCAGATGTGCTGCCTTATGTGCTGGAGGCCAGTGTTGGCAGGAGGAAACCGGAGAGAAACCTGATCCTGAGAATGAGAGAAAGAAGGAAAGGTGTTCTCACCCATGAGTTAATGCAGTTGTTCAATGGCTGTGAGCGGGCACTTGGGGAAGATACCAGGTTTCTGTTATTGATTTTCAGGACTTGGGACAGTTCTGCTCCCCTCGCCTGGGTAAATGGGCCCTGCCTCATGGAAGAGAGTCTCCTGCTGGGATTGTGGTGATGAAAGAAAGAGGACCCTCATTTTTTTCAGTTGTTTTATTTTGGATTAATTTTAGACTTATTAATTTTAGACTTAAAGGAGAGTTATGGTGATAGTATAGTATACTATAGTATACTATCTAACTATAGTATACTGTACTAACTATAGATAGAATAATATATTATACTATCTGACTATAGTATACTAACTGTAGATAGTATACTATACTAACTATATAGTGTAGTTATATACTATATATATAACTAGATAGCTAGATAGTATAGTATATGCTATATATACTATAGTATACTAGTATAGTATCTAACTAGTTAGCTATATAGTATACTATACTCTCTATACTATCTAGTATACTATACTATAGTAACTCTCCTATAAGTCTAAAATTATTCAAACACCAGAGGCTGGGTACAGTGGCTCATGCCTGTAATCCCTTCCACCTCCCAGGTTCAAGCGATTCACCTGCCTCAGCCTCCCGAGTAGCTGGGATTACAGGCACCCACCATGCCTGGCTAATTTTTGTGTTTTTAGTAAAGACGGCATTTCACCATATTGGCCAGGCTGGCTCGAACTCCTGACCTCAGGTGATCTACCCGCATCGGCCTCCCAAAGTGTCAGGATTACAGGCATGAGCCACCATGCTTGCCCTCTGGTGTTTTAATGTGATTCTCTCTTTCCTCAGGAAAGACCCTCAGCGTGGTCACAATAACTCGAAAAAGCCACTCATCTAGCAGTGAGCCAGAGGAATTCTAGAAAGGGCTGCTTTCTGAGAGAATAAACCATGGTTCCTGAGGTTATCTGAGAGAACTTTCTAGAAGGCTGGTTGGAGATGTTATAGTCCATAGTCCTCACTAGGCGTTCCTATGTGGTCATGCTCCAGGCTCATGAGATGGTGAGAATTCATATTAGGGGTAAATATCACCTTGGCTTTTCCCCAGTTGTTCCTCCACACCTTCTTTGGAAAGGTGACCTTGTTCCAGTGCCCTGTCTCCTTCAGCAGACCCCCAACTCCCAGGGTTCTCTGGAGTGAGACATTCTCTTTAGACCTTCAGACTGGGGATGACTGGAACCTGAGCCTGGTCCCAACCAAGACAGGGGTCTGATGTGGAGAGATGACCCCATGCTTGACCCCCTGATTTCTTTTCCCTAGTGGTCTTTGTACCTAGAAGAGAAAATTCAGGTTGAGAGATGCCAGCACAGGTTGATGGGAGGCTGGATACAGTCACAGCAGTAGGGCTAGAAGGAGGACAGGGATTTATTCAGTCAGCCATTTAGTCAATCAGGCAGCAAATACTTATGGAATGCTTATTCAGGGTCGGAAACTGTTGTAGGTGCCAGGAATAAAGAGCGAACACAAAAGTCCCTGCCCTCATGGAGTTGACATTCTACGGGCTATTGGGGGCAACATGGAGAGTCATATCTGGAACACAGAGAGAGGAGGTGTGAACAACACTCCCGGATTTCAGGAGTATGGGGAATGTGGGAGGAGATGGAGATCTGAATGGGGAAGATGATGGGTTCCATCTGGAATGCTTGGCATTTGGGGTGTTTGTTAGCCATCAAGGCTGAAGTATCCAGTTAGATATGCAGAGCATACTTGAAAAGACACATTTAGCAGGTGCCTGGGAACACTATACAAATGGGTGAGATCACCTGGCAGAAAGGGACTCACAGTGGGGCTCAGGCAGGAGCAGGGGCATGTCAGGGCCACCTCAGGAGCTTCTTTAAACTCCATGAAACAGTGCTCTTGACTCAGACATTTAGAGATTGGAAACACTGCCTAGGGGCATCCTCTCCAATTAGGAATTACTGCCATTGAGGTGTCTCCTAAGAGGCTGTCTATGTTGAAGCAACAAGACTTGGGGGTTACTGTATGGATGGAGAACAGGGCCCAGTTAAAATTGGAAGCCATCATGGCAGCGTAAAATTTGGAAGAACATGCTAGGTGGTAGAAAGCACCTGGCTAGGGACTCAATAAATCGAGGTCTTCATTCCAGTTCCTCCCTAACTACTGTTGCCTCACACAAGACACTAGCTTCTCTGAGTTTTAATTTTCCCATCATTAAAATCTGATATTAGACTACACCACTGGTTCAAGAGGCAGCAGTATCAGCATCTCCTCAGAACTTTTTAGAAATGCAAATTCTTGGGACCTCTTCCTGACTTAGTGAAATTAGAAACAGGGTGGGGTCCAGCAGGCAGTTAGTACAAGTCTTTCAGGTGATTCTGATGCTTCCAAAAGAAGCTTGAGAACCACTGGCTTAGATGAATTTGAAACTCCCTGCTAGCATTAAAGCTTCTACACCATAATCTTGTTCAGATGCTTTTGTCAGGTTTCATAGTCTGTGCTTCTTTGTCCTCCTCCAATTGTTAAATGATTGTAAGTCAGTTTCTCCTTGAGGTGGGAGGATGTGTGTGTTGTGCGTATGCCTGTGTATATGTGTGTCTGCATGTGTGCATATGCTTACGTGTGTGTGTGTATATGTGTGGTGATGGGAGGTTGGTGGGTGGAGATGCATAGCTTTCCTGCTTGCCTTCTTAGATGATGTAAGACAGCGGTCCCCAACCTGGGACCCCTCTGGGAGTTGGGGGTCTGCTAAAGGAGACAGGGCTCTGGAGCAAGGTCACCTTTCCAAACAAGGTGTGGAGGAACCACCGGGGAAAGGCCAAGGTGATATTTACCCCTAATATGAATTCTTACCATCTCATGGGCCTGGAGCATGACCACATAGGAACTCCTAGTAAGGACTGTGGACTATAACATCTGCAACAACCCTTCTAGAAAGTTCCCCGACCTTTTTGACACCAGGGGCTGGTTTCCTGGAAGACAGTTTTTTTCCATGGATGAGGGTGGGAGGTGGGATGATTCCAGCATGTTGCAATTATTATGTACTTTATTTCTATTATTATTACATTGTAATATATAATGAAGTAATTATTTCTTATACAACTTACCATAGTGTAGAATCAGTGGGAGCCCTGAGTTTGTTTTCCTACAACTAGACAGTCCCATCTGGGGGTGATGGGAGAAAGTGACAGATCATCAGGCATTAGATTCTCATAAGGAGTGCACAACCTAGATTCCTTACATGCACAGTTCACAATAGGGTTCGTGCTCCTATGAGAATCTAATGCTGCTGATCTGACAGGAGGCGGAACTCAGGCAGTAATGCTAGTAATGGGGACTGACTGTAAATACAGACGAAGCTTGGCTCACTCACCCACCACTCAACTCCTGCTGTGTGTTGCCCGGTTCCTAAAAGGCCACAGAACAGTACTGATCCATGGCCCCTGTGATGTAAGAAGTGAGCTTGAGTTGGTGACAGAAACAGGTCACACTGTGCAGGCTCCCACACAGAGTAGGTACTTGGAAGTGGTTTTGCGCCTTTACCTTCTCTAACATAACTGCATTGACTGACTCTAGTAGGTTGTCAACTCTTTGGTGCTGCCACTGTCTCCAGCGGCTCTTGATCTGTGGCATCTGTGCTCCCCTGGGATTTCCAACTGAGTCTAAACAGGAACCACTGCTAGAGGCTTTCAGCATGGATTGCTCTCTGCCAGAAGTCAACACTTGGGCCAGAAGAATCCGTCGTGAGATCCATTTACAACCCAGCTGAGCCCAGTTTGTGAAGCAGCGTGACACTCAGAGGTGCAGACCTACCCCTGACACTGGTGCATGGAGCACAAGAGTTCCCATAGAAGCCCACGTACATTTGTCTTAAAAACCTACAAGTCGTTAAATAGGCTAACAAATTATTAGACACAATATTTTCTCTCCTTCTAACCTGACAAATATATAGTACACTTTCATAATGACCAGAAAGAGCAGGTTCAAATTCCAATTTCTCAGACTCCTTGAATATCCACTTCAAGAGGAGGCAACTTCTATTTCTACTTGAAGAGAACTGCCCCGCCGAGCCCTGGTCTGCCCCAGGCCTCACCCTGTCCCTCCCTGAAGGATGTTCATATGCACACGCATGGACACCTGCCCATAACCCTAGCTAGTGCTGTCCACTGCCCGTCCTGGAGCACAGCAACCCGTTGGCCACCCTTTTGCCTGAGGGCCCACATGGCTAGCAGCACAGTTCACCCTCAGAAGGACACGCCCAGGGACAAGGCCACTGAGGACCAGGAAAAGGGCTCGGGACTCTCTGGGCAGGGAATTCCAGGGTCATGAGTACCCAAGGAGTGGATGGAGCACAGGCTTTCCATAGGAATGTCCTTTTGGCTTGGGACTCCACACTCCGCTCATGGGGAGAGGTGTGGCTAGAGGAGGATCCAAACTGGTCCTTCTAAAACAGGGCCCACGTTTGCCTGGGTCTGAGGGAGCACTGCCCTGAGGAGCTGTTCCAAGTGGCTGTCTTTCCTGCTCACTGCTAGTACTCTGCAGATACTTCCCCATGAAGTATTTAGGGAGGAACTCTAATTTATGATCATCTAATCCAGTGCATTGACTAGGACATGAGGAAACCGAAGCACTCCACAAAGGTAGATTACTCCCTGGAATTACACTTGGGAATGATGGATTACTCCCTGGAATTACACTCGGGAATGATGGATTACTCTCTGGAGTGGCAAACTACTCTTTGGAATTGCACTCTGGCATGATGAATTTCAAAGGGAAGCATGATTGTGATGTGTAGGGTAACTGCTCCACAGAGAAAAGCCAGCAGGGATCTGGAAAACTCTTCCTGCTGCTCCTTAGTGACTGGCAACTTCTTTAATCCACAGGTAACTAGAACAAACACTGTTCTGTGTCTTAAACCCACATTTTCACTGCTGCCTTGAGGGCATCACCTTGGAAGTAGCTCCAGTGGCCACTTTTTTTTGGGTTACACATTCATAGTGCTGCTTTAATAATAATAGTTGGAACAAGTTTCAAACAGATGGAAATATGGTTTTTGTTTTCCTATTCGGAATTTTCTGACTATTTTTAGTTAGTCTGGGCATTCTCTATTGCATCAGTGAATGTAACTTGGTTCTTTCTGTGAAAATCAAATAACTAAAAAGCTAGCAATGTATTTCTGTCACAGATGATATTTTTGTTTGCATTTTGAAGTGTTTTTATGAATTGGATTACAAAACTAATTGAATCAGAGATGAATTTCGCTCAGAATTTGAAGTATTTTATGAAATAAAATTTCTATAAGAAATTGACCTAATTATTCAGAAGTTTCTAATGCAACAGCCTAATACAGTTTTGAAAGTCCTCCAGAGAAAAAAGCTCAAGCATACTCTCCCTCATAGCAAAGAAGCACCCTTTTTATTTACTTATCTCTTAAGCAGTATAGCTTCTAGTTTACAGGAACACAGCTTCAGGGCATATTGTATAGATGCATTATTTTAGTTTCAAATGCTATGTTTCTTCAAAACTAGTTTTCTATTATGTACCATATTTTTCCATCATTTGTAACCGTTATTGGTGAAACAAGTGTTATTTTTATATTTAACTGCTTAATATTGCTTGTCTCACACATAAGTGGCCTACTACTTAGATTTTTTTTAATATTGAGGAAGCACTAGCATGTTTCTATGTAACAGATAAGATCCCACAAGACTTCAGAATTATAACCATTATAAAAAAAAAATTTGTTTCATTAAGAGTTTTTTCGGCCAGGCACAGTGGCTCATGTCTGTAATCGTAGCACTTTGGGAGGCCAAGGTGGGCGGATCACTTGAGGTCAGGAGTTTGAGATCAGCCTGGCCAATATGGTGAAACGTCATCTCTAGTAAAAAGTTAAGCTGGCGTGGTGGTGCATGCCTGTAATCCCAGCTATTCTGGAGCCTGAGGCAGGAGAATCACTTGAACCCAGGAGGCGGAGGTTGCAGTGAACTGAGATCGTGCCACTACTCTAGCGTGCATGACAGAATGAAACTCCATCTCAAACAAAAAAAAAAAAAAAAAAAAGCTTTACTTGCCCTAGCCAAAGCTTTCCCTGATGATTCAGACATTGCAGAGATGTGAGGAAAGCCTTGGGTGGTTTCCCTCTTATGTTTCTCTCTGGTGGCTGGAAGAGATTTAGAGAATTACTTTGATCTGCTCATTGCAGTTGGGACTATGTCCTAATGTCTCCACGTCTCTTATGGTGATACCAGACCATGTGCTGTGACTTTGCCTGATGGTTTCTCTGGCCTTTCTGGGTTCACCACCTTTCTGTACCTAAAACTTATCTCTAGCCCATAGGCGGTCCCACTGGAGGCTTACTCCTCCCTTTATCCTGCCCCCCTCCACACATACCCCAATAATACAATGTCTATATAATCAGTATGCTTCCTCTGTAAATACAGCTTCAGATGGGCCTGGACTGGGTCCTGCCCTGCCCTCAAGGACACTTCAAACAAATACACAAATAGAAAAATGCTGTCCTCAAAATGCAAATGTCACTTGAGAAAGCCTCTGGTACTTCCTTCTCTCTGCCATTTATAAGCCCTTCTCCACACAGGTTTTAGAGGTTCCAATCCAATGGCCCCAGCCTTTGTGCTGCACTCAACTGCTTTACAGGAAAAAAAAAAAAGTTTCATTTACAAACACACATTCTCCAAAAGAGGCTGCAGAAGCTGTGGAAAGGGAAACCGTATCTCTTAGGCTCGGGGGAAGGCAGTGGGTTCCACTGCATGCACAGCTCTGAACAGTTAATAGTGCTGCTCCAGGTCCAGGGTTGAGCAGGATTCTGAAGCTTCCCTGAAGAAGAGAGGATGGAGACAGTGTGATCAACTTGACGCTGAGGGTGACTTGCAGGTTTCTGGAAGTCATGGTGGATGGTGATGCCACCTACCAGGGTTACAGGAGGGGCTCGGGTCAAAAAGAAAGATGATGAATTCAGTTCTGTTATGTGGAATTTGAGAGGCCCAGTGTCACCTGGGTCCACCTGGCAGTTGGGTACATAGGCCTGCTCCTCTGAAGGGAAGGGCTGGGCTGGAGAAATGGGTGCGGGAGCCACAGGATATATGTGGCAATGACTGGCAGGGAAGAGGGTATAGTGGGAGCTGAGAACAGGGAATCTGGGCAGAGTCACCAGGAACATCAATGTGAAGGGGAGGGGAGAGGAAGAAATTCTCTACCTGGCTCCTCACTGTCCCATTGACAAGATCCTCATTCAACAGACTCTAGACCTCAGTTTCTTCATCTGTAAAGTGGGAATAATATCTTCCTCCACTACCTCTGGCAAACATGGTATGTTGAAGACACATACTTACTACTGGTCCCTTCAGTCCCCACTAAAATGCTTGTAAATTGGGGAGAAGAGTAGTAACCAGCAGGACAAAGGAAACAGACAAAGATGGCAGCAATAACATTTGAGAAACCGAAATGTGCATGGACAAGTGGCGACAGATTTAGCAACCAAAGAAAGATGATTTCTAGGCCAGGAGTGAGGCAAAGATCAGAAGTAGACTAAGGTTTGAGCATTGCTTTAAGATTTACAAAGGCACCTCCCTCTCTCTGTCCTCTCAAATAGATCTTTCTCTTTTTAAAGAAATACAAAATACTCTTTTTAAATAAATTCAAGTGGTAAAGATACTGGCGCACTATATGGGTAAACCATAATTTATCCATCTCTTTACTGATGAGCAGTTAGGTTATTCCAGGAAAAATAAACATGCAGATAAAAGTACATACTTCATGAGGATAAAATCCAGTAACATCAGAATGGTTGTTATCTCTGGAAGAGAGGAAGGAAGAGGAAAGAGATTCAGTATGAAATTTTAGCTGTATTTTATTTACCTTTATTTTCTTTTAAAAAAATACCTGAAAATTAAAATTATAATAATTATAGAACTACATAAATATTATGTTTACGTATATATTAATATGTTTATTTATATAAATATTACAAATATTTATTTGAGGAAGAGAAAAAACTCTTCCACTCAGTTTGTGGTGACAGGTGAGTGTGTGTGAAGACAGCCTGCTGGGAGCACTGGGCTTCCCACAGCTCCGCTCAGAACCTTCATGAGGGCTAGAGCCCTGGTCTTGGGCCTCTCTCCCCTCTCCCAGACACTGTGAGACCTGGCCCACCTTCCTGTGAGGGCCAGTGGTTGTGCCCCTCTGGCTTCCACTGCTATGATGGGGGCCCAAAGGGACATGATGGTGAGACATCATTCAGAATCAGAACTGTCCTCGAGAATCCAGGACATAGAGAGCAAAACATTTTGAAAAATCCTGTTCTAGCTGATGAGCAGCAACCGAAGTAGAGAGGAGCGAATGGCCGCCTGTTCTGTGCTCTTTATAATCAGGTCCTCCCTGATGGCACTTTGGTCACTGTCCACTGACAATTCCCTGTGTCCTTGTTCACAGCACTAACAACCTCCTTCCTGGGCACCTTCGTTTTACTGTGTCTGTTGATAAGGGTTTTTTTTTTTAAGACGGAGTCTCACTCTGTCACCCAGGCTGGAGTGCAGTGGTGCAATCTCAGCTCACTGCAAGCTCTGCCTCCCAGGTTCATGCCATTCTCCTGCCTCCTGAGTATCTGGGACTACAGGCACCTGCCACCACGCCTGGCGTTTTTTTGTATTTTTTAGTAGAGATGGGGTTTCACCATGTTAGCCAGGATGGTCTCGATCTCCTGACCTCCTGATCTGCCCAACTTGGCCTCCCAAAGTGCTGGGATTACAGGCGTGAGCCACCGCGCCTGGCCCGTAAGGGTATTTTTTTTTTTTTTTGAGACAGAGTTTTGCTCTGTCACCCAGGCTGGCGTTCAATGGCGCAATCTCGGCTCACAGCAACCTCCGCCTCCCAGGTTCAAGCGATTCTCCTGCCTCAGCCTCCCAAGTAGCTGGGATTACAGACATGCGACACCACGCCTGGCTAATTTTGTATTTTTAGTAGAGACGGGGTTTTACCATGTTGGCCAGGCTGGTTTCAAACCCCTGACCTCAGGTGATCCACCCACCTCAGCCTCCCAAACTGTTGGGATTACAGGTGTGAGCCACCGCACCTGGCCAATAAGGGTATTTTACGCGGGTATATTACCTTTTGTTATTGACAGCTAAAAGATCTGCATCATTCATCACAAACTATTTTTAGCCTTACCCTGAAATGCAGAGAAACAGACTGCAAACATGAGACAGCACCATTTGCTCCAACCCAACTGGTGCAAACTTCACGAAGCAGTGTTATTTCGCAGATTTCCTTTAGTAACCAAGGAGTGTGGTTATACCCACACCCACATGTCTTTTGATCTTTGGATGTAAAAATATTTTTGAAAGTGAACTTTTAAAATTGGGAAAACAATATAACATTCTGGAAAGCTTGCCAAATAGAAGAATATGGGAGAAAAATTGTCCTTCATCTCTGCCACCCTAATGTATCAATTAGCTTTCTTCTCTTGCCTTCAAGTTATTTTTCAAATGAACATATTAAATAACTGTAATAATAGTATTGGTGGCAATTGAGTATGCTTTTCTGTTTAATACTACATCATAATTTGCCACAGTGTCATACAAGCCTCTTTTTTTAATAGATTTTTTATTTTGAAATACATTTAGATTTATAGAAGGGTTGGGTAGTCACTAGAGAGAATGCCTATCCACCTTATACCAATTTCTCCTCATGTTAACATCTTACATAACCATGGCACATTTGTCAAATCTAAACAATGAATTAGTGATAGTACTAACTAGTGATAGTACAGTGCTGTCAACTGAACCACAGACTTTATTTAATTTTACTGGTTTTCCCACTACTGTTCTTTTTCTGCTCCAGGGTCCAATTCAAGATACCACAAGTACATATTGTGTTTATTGTGTGTATACCAGTAGATTCAGGTGATACACCATACTTGGCCTAACTACTGCCCTTTCTAAATATTTAGATTGCTTATAGTTTTTCCGTATCACACGTAGTACTGTGAAGAACATCTGCATGTGGGTAGTTGTATTAGTCCGTTCTCGCACTGCTGTAAAGATACACTCGAGATTGGGTAATTTAGAAATAGAGAAGTTTAATTGGCTCATGGTTCTGCAGGCTGTGCAAGAAGCATGGCTGGGGAGGCTCGGGAATTTCAATCATGGCAGAAGGCAAAGGGGAAAGCAGGCAATGTCTTACGTGGCCAGAGCAGGAGGAACACAGGGGGAAGTGCCTTACACTTTTATTAAAGAACCAGATCTTACGAGAACTCGCTCACTATCACGAGAACAACAAGGGAGAAATCCTTCCCCATGATCCAGTCACCTTCCACCAGGCCCTTCCTCCAACACTGGGGATTGCAATTCGACATGCGGGGACACAGATCCAAACCATATTAGTAGCCTTCTCTTCTTTTAAGATTCCTTCCTTATGGCTGCCTATAATCAGATTTCTGGAGGCCCAAGGATAAGAACGGATTTATGGCCCTGGATATCATTGCATATTGCCGCCAAAGTGTCTTCCACAATGTCTGAATACTCATTTATACTGTCACAAGCAATTTTTCGAGAGTAGTGCATTCATGTACCCTTGTCAGTGTTACTCTCGTTTTAATATTTTCGTTAATTTAATAGGTGAAAACATCTCAATTTTTGAAATGTGTATTTCTTCGGTAACTAGCAAATTTGAATATTTCCCCATGTGTGTTTACTAGCTATACTTGTTTTTTTTTTTTTTTTTTTTTGCAAATTGTCTCTTCATATTTTATTTATTAGGGTCTGAATTTTCTTATTAATATGCATAAGTTTTATAATAAAGATATCCTTTGGCCTCTCATTTTGCTGCAATTTTTTACCCCTCCATCTGTTGTTTGAATTTTTTCTTTTGTAATTTTCAAAGAGCATGATGGAAGTTTTATGATGTAGATTCCATTATTTTTTAAAAATTTATATATTTTTAGTCTCTTTTAAGCTTAGAAAGGTTCTTCCTCTAAGTCTGGTTTTAAGATCGGGCACAGTGGCTCATGCCGTAATCCCACACTTTTAGGGTCAAGGCGGGAGGATTGATTGAGCCCAGGATTTTAAGACCAGCCTGGGTAACATAGTGAGACCCTGTTTCTACAATAATAAGGAGAAGTAGTTAGCTAGATGTGGTGGCACGTGACTGTAGTCCCAGCTACTCAGTTGGCTGAGGTGAGAGGATCAACTGAGCCTGGGAGATGGAAGCTGCAGTGAGCTGAGATCACACCACTGCACTCCAGCCTGGGTGACAGAGGGAGACCCTATCTCAAAGATAAATAAATAAATAAATAAATAAATAAATAAATAAATAAATAAATTTTAAAAGTCTGATTTTTAAAATTCAATTATTTTCTATAATTTGAGATCCCATATTTAACTGATGCATCTGGAATATTTTTGTTATTGGGTCCAAGTGTCTGACTGGGCCACCTCTCACTCACCAGCTGCCGGCAACCACACCTCCAACTTCGTGGGTGGTCAAGCTGAGTCACTTCCAGCTGAGTGACTGGCATCCTCCTTCTCTGTGTTGCCCAAGCTAGAATCCTTGGAGTCACCTGATTTCCACTTTTGTTCTGTCTTTCACTACCCCCATCCACCCAGCCATGGAGTCCCAGTAGTTGTATATTCGTGGTTCGTCCCCCAGTTCTTTGGGGAAGAGTATATGCTGCTCTCTCTGCCTGGGACCCTTTTCCCATTCCCACTCTGTCTGCCTCGTTCCTATGGGTCTATTGCACAGAGCCTGGTATGTCCTTGCTATGGGCCACTAAAGTGCTCCAACTTTCCAACCCTAATTATCACACCCAATTGTAATATCCTGCTAATTTGTGTCCCTATGTCTCTCTTCATCATTAACGTAGAGACTGACAGTGCCTGGTATGTATAGGGTGCTCAATATGTTAGGTGTGTGAAAGAGCAAATAAATGAGTGAAAATGCCAATAAAATAGGAGTCATACCTAACCAGGTCCCAGCAGGGTCCGATTTAAATACTTTCCTACAGAATATGAAGGTAAAGGGGATAGCACATTACAATTCACGCTTTTTATGGGTGCCAAGAGGTCATGGATACCTTAGATTGGCTTGTTCACCTTCTGGTGACTGTTTTACCCTCCTTCTAGATGCCATTACTATAATGCAAAGGCTGGAAAAATAAAAACTACATTTTCCAGACTATCTTGTAGCCAATATTCTGGATGTCAATATTCTGGATGTCAATTAGGTCTCACCAATTGGATATACTCTTGAGAGACAGGGAAGGCCGGAGTGAGGTGGAGGCCATTTTCCTGCTGCTATTTCTCCAGCCAAGCAAGGCCATCAAAACATGAGAACTCATCATTCCAGGACCCATCGCCAGTCTTGCGGGTGTCTGGAAGCAGTTGTGGCAGCAGTAATGCCAGTAGTGGGGGTGAAGGCAGAGGCTTCCTGGTTCTGAATCATCACTATAGCATTCTCTCATTCATTCTCTCTCTCCCTGTCTCTCTCTAATAGAGCCATTGGAGACTCCTGAATTAATTTCTTCAGTCTTTCTACCAATTTCCATAACCCCATCTTCCTGTTTAAAATACCTAGAGCGTTTCTATTTTCTGTACTGAACCACTGCAGATACACAAGGGATACAAGAACTGGTTCCCCTGTTAGTGACCCAAGGAGCCTGCCTTGATCACTTGCAATTTTTCCCAGAGCAAAGGAAGCAAGAAATATTCCTAAGACTATGGGTGAGGCTGTGCTTACTGGTTATTTTATGGTTCTACAAGGGACTGATAAATCATTTCCATTATCTTTCTCCCCCACTTTTCAGCCACCTTTAAGACTATGTTAGAATAGGCCTCTTCGCTTAGCAATAAATGTGGCCAGTACTGGATAATTACACAGGGGGAAGCAAACATAAAACTACCTAGAGAAAATATAGGTGAATAATTCAGATCTTTCACAAATTAAGGGTACTTACAGATCAGTGAGAAAAAAACTAAAACCCGATTAAATATGTGCAAAATACTTGAAAATAGGAAGAAAAATAGCCAAAAAAAGATGCTAAAATATTTAACCTATTTTTTATCAAATTTGCCAAGGTTTTAAAAGACTATTTAGAGTTTCAAATTCATAGTAAAATTAAGAGGAAGGTAGAGAGATTTCCCATATACTCCCTGTCCCCATGCATGCATAGACTCCCCCGTCATCAGCATCCCCTATCAGAGTGGTACATTTGTTGGTGAACCTACATTGACACATCATTCTCACCCAAAGGCCATAGTTTACATTAGGGTTCACTTTTTCTGTTGTACATTCTATGGGTTTAAACAAATGTATGACATGTATCTACCATTATGGTATCATATAGAATAGTTTCACTGCCCTAAGAACCCTCTGAACTCTGCCTATTCATCCCTTGCTCTCTCCTAATACCTGGCAACCACTGGTCTTTTTTACTGTTTCCTTTTCCAGAATGTCATAGAGTTAGAATCATACAGTATGTAGCCTCTTCAGATTGGCTTCTTTCACTTAGGAATACCCACTGAAGTTTCCTCGATGTGGAAACTTTGAGGATTGAGACTATGGATGAGGCTGTGCTTACTGGTTATTTTATGGTTCTATTTTATGGGACTGATATATCATTTCCATTATCTCTATTTCCACTTTTCAGCCACCTTTAAGACTATGTTAGAATAGGCCTCTTCACTTAGCCTATTCTAAGGCTAAGTGAAGGAAAAAGGAAAAGCTTCCTTTTCGTGGCTTGATAGCTCATTTCTTTTTAGCACTGAATAATACTCTGTTGTCTGGAAGTACCACAATTTATTTATCCATTCACCTACTATAGAACTTCTTGTTTACTTCCAAGTTTTGGCAATTATGAATAAAGCTGCTGTATATATCCATGTGCAGTTTTTTGTGTGGACGTAAGTTTTTGACTCCTTTGGGTAAATACTAACGAGTGCACATGCCAGTGGTATGATGAGCATGTTTGATTTTGTAAGAAACTGCCAAACTGCCTTCCAAAGGGGCTGTACCATTTTGCATTCCCACCAGTGATGAATGAGAGTCCTGTTGCTCCACATCCTTGCCAAAATTTTGTGTTGTCAGTGCTCTGGATTTTGGCCATTCTAACAGGCATACAGGGATGGTATCTCATTGGTGTTATAATTTGCATTTCCCTGATGACGTATGATGTGGAGCATGTTTTCATATGCTTACTTGCCATTGTGGTATCTTTTTTGGTGAGATGTCTGTTAAGGTCTTGGTCCATCTTTCTTTTTTGGTTTGTTTTCTTTTTTTATTTTTATTTTAGGTTTGGGGGTACATGTGAAGGTTTGTTACATAGGTAAATACATGCCATGGGAGTTTGTTGTACATATTATTACCTGACCCAGGTATTAAGCCCAGTACCCAGAAAAGTTATATTTTTACTCATCTCCCTCCACCCACTCTCCCCCATCAAGTAGACCCCAGTGCCGAGACCAGCTTGGTTGGGGAGACCCTAACCCAGCAGCGCTAGATGAATTAAATACACGCACACAGAAGTATAGCGTGTGGAGTGGGAAATCAGGGGACTCACAGCCTTCAGAGCTGAAAGCCCCAAACAGAGATTTACCCACATATTTACTGACAGCAAGCCAGTGATAAGCATTATTTCTATAGATTATAGATTAACTGAAAGTGTTCCTTATGGGAAACAAAGGGATGGGCCAAAATAAAGGGATGGGTTGGGCTAGTTATCTGCAGCAGGAGCATGTCCTTAAGACACAGATCACTCATGCTATTGTTTGTGGTTCAGGAGTGCCTTTAAGCGGTTTTCCACCCTGGGTGGGCCAGGTGTTCCTTGCCCTCATTCCGGTAAACCCACAACCTTCAGTGTGCGCGTCATAGCCATCATGAACATGTCACAGTGCTACAGAGATTTTGTTTATGGCCGGTTTTGGGGCCAGTTTATGGCCAGATTTGGAGGCCTGTTCCCAACACCCCAGCGTCTGTTGTTTCCTTCTTTGTGTTCATAAGTTCTTATTATTCAGCTCCCACTTATAAGTGAGAACATAGGGTAGTTGGTTTTCTGTTCCTGCATTAGTTTGCTCAGGATGATATCCTCCAGCTCCATTCATGTTCCCACAAAAGACATGATCTCTTTCTTTCTATGGCTGCATAATATTCCATGGTGTATAGGTACCACATTTTCTTTATCCAGTCTGTCATTGATGGGCATTTAGGTTGATTCCACATCTTTGCTATTGCCAACAGTGCTGCAATGAACATTCACATGCATGTGTCTTTATGGTAGAATGCTTTATATTCCTCTGGGTGTATATCCAGTAATGGGATTGCTGGGTCGAATGGTACTTCTGCTTTTAGCTCTTCGAGGAATTGCCATACTGCTTTTCACAATGATTAAGCTAATTTATACTCCCACCAACAGCGTATAAGAGTTCCCTTTTCTCCACAATCTTGAAAGCATCTGTTATTTTTTGACTTTTTAATAATAGCCATTCTGACTGGTGTGAGACGGTATCTCATTATGGTTTTGATTTGCATTTTTCTAATGATCAGTGATGTTGAGCTTTTTTTCATATGCTTGTTGGTCGCATGTGTGTTTTCTTTTGAGATGTGTGTTCGTGTCCTTTGCCCACTTTTTAATAGGGTTGTTTATTTTTCTCTTGTAAATTTGTTTAAGTTCCCTACAAATGCTGGATGTTAGACCTTTGTCAGATGCATAGACTGCAAATATTTTCTCCCACTCTGTAGGTTGTCTGTTTACTCTGTTGATAGTTTCTTTTGCTGTGCAGAAGCTCTTAAGTTTAATGAGATTCCATTTGTCAATTTTTGCTTTTGTTGTGATTGCTTTTGGTGTCTTTGTCATGAAATCTTTTGGTCCACTTTTCACTCATTGTCTGTTTATTTTTATTGTTGAGGGTTTTTTTTTTTTTTTTTTTTTTTTGAGATGGAGTTTTGCTCTTTTCACCTAGGCTGGAATGCAGTGGTGAGATCTCATCTCATTGCAACCTCCGCCTCCTGGGTTCAAGCGATTCTCCTGCTTCAGCCTCCCAAGTAGCTGGGATTACAGACTCCTGCCACCACGCCCAGCTAATTTTTGTATCTTTAGTAGAGATGGGGTTTTGCCATGTTGGCCAGGCTAGTCTCGAACTCCTGACCTCAGGTGATCCACCTGCCTTGACCTCCCAAAGTGCTGGGATTACAGGCGTGAGCCACCATGCCCGGCCTGTTGAGTTTTAAGAGTTCTTTGTTATCTTAGTTTGTTTGGCTGCTATATCAAAATACTATAGATTGGGTGGCTTATAAACAAGAGAAATCTATTTTTCACAGTTCTGGAGGCAGACAAGTCTAAGACCAAGGCACCAACAGATTTGGTGTCTGGTGAAGGCTCACTTTCTGGCCCATAGACAGCTGTCTTCTTGCTGTGTCTTCACATAGCAGAAGGGGAGGGGGAGCTCTCTAGGATATCTTTTGGGGAACTAATCCTGTTCATGAGGGCTCTACCCTCATGACTTAATCACCTCCCAAAGGCCACATCTACAAATATGATTACATTAGGAATTAGAGTTTAACATATGAATTTTGGAAGGACACAAATGTTTTCTCTATAGCATTTGCATATTTTGGATAACAGACCTTTATCAGATATTTCTTTTGCAAATATTTTCTCCTAGTCTGTGGCTTTTTAAACAAATTTTTTCATTCTCTGAGCAAAAATTCTTTAAAAAGTGGTAGTAGTAAGAGCTGGTGGGGCTGTGTTACTTTATACTGTTACTTATACATCTCATGTACACCACTATAAACTTCTAAATTGGTTAATTTTCTAAATGTAAGTTTGATGATATTTATTAGAAATCTTTAAAATATTCATTCCCTTAAATCAACGGTTCTCAACGGGGAGCAGTTTTGCCCCTTGGGGAGCATTTGGTAATGTGTGGACATGTTACTAGTTTTCACGACGGGTTGGGGAGTACTACTGTCATTTAGTGGGTAGAGACCAGGGATGCTGCTCAACATCCTGTAATGCAAAAGGGCAGCCCCCACAAAAACTAGGCAGCCCCAAATGTCAATAGTGTCAAGGTCGAGATACCATCTTGGACACAAGAGCTCTGTTTTAAGAATTTACCCAAATAAATAATTGAATGCACCTAAAGATTTATGCATTTACTCTTTTGGGGAGAGCAATAAGTCATCAGTAGTAAAAATGAAAATGTATGTACTCGATAAATTTTATAGGTATCCATCCTAGAAACACTGGCACATGTGTGCAAAAAGGCACAGATATAGATGTTCTTTTCAGCATTATTTTTACCAGCGATATTTTGATAATAACTGCAATGTCAATCAATGGAGTAATAGTTAATGTACATGCGTGCTCTGAAAAGCAGAGTTTTGGCCATCCAACTTCCCACTACTCTTTTCTATGATCCTATCCTCCTGTGGGGTTCCTTCTTTACTGTGGATGGGCTTGGTGGAAGAACAATTCCCAGAACTCGTCTCATCCTGTGATTTCCCAGTTTAGAAACCAGAAAGGACTGATCCTTCCTCTACTGCCTCTTGGTTGAGCCAAGAGGAAGCCACATGGCCTAAGTCTAGCCAATCAGATGAGACATTAAATCTGGAACAGATTTAATGGCAGAGTCAGAGAGATCATTAAGAATTAAATCTCTGAGTGGTGACAATCGTAGGTGTATATGGGGCAGAGGGGAGCTGACTTTTGACCTCATGGTTCCTGCTGACAGCACTGGGCTTCTATCACTTGATCCACTAGAAAAACTTTGGGTTCTGTTATTAAAAACATTGATGACAAGCCCTAGAAGCAGTCCATTAAATAGATACATTAGATCTCTGTGAGTTGCAAAGTATCCTAACTGATATGCTGGAGAATTACATGCAATAGTTAAAAAGAAATCTCACCAGGACATATTAGTAAGTGGAAAATCAAGTTGCAGAATGTTCATTCACTTAAGGAATGTTTATTGTGCTTTTACCATTACTCGTTTCTGTACTCTGAACAAGATAGACCTGGTCCCTGCCCTCATGGAGCATTACTTAAGATAGCAAAATATTGGGAATAAATTGCCTAGCAATAGCGGGATGACAAATGCTGTTTATTATGGCACATGTGTTATATGGAAAAATTTACAGCCGTTAAAAATAATGATTTTAATGATTGTAAATATGCTATTTGTACTATATATATACTAAGTGAAATAAGACTTAAAATTATTAACATGTATGTATATATACATAATCACTATATATAACAAAACAATTTAAAAATTACATACACATGGCTGGGTGCGGTGGCTCACGCCTGTAATCCCAGCACTTTGGGAGGCCAAGGCGGGCAGGTCACAAGGTCAGGAGATCGAGACCATCTTGGCTAACACAGTGAAACCCCGTCTCTACTAGAAAATACAAAAGATTAGCCGGGCATGGTGGCGAGCTCCTGTAGTCCCAGCTACTCCGGAGGCTGAGGCAGGAGAATGGCGTGAACCCGGGAGGCGGGGCTTGCAGTGAGCCGAGATGGCGCCTCTGTACTCCAGCCTGGGCGACAGAGTGAGACTCCGTACACACACACACACACACACACACACACAGACACACAGACACACACAAAGCTGAGCTTCCCAAATCCAAAAATCTGAAACCCTAAATGCTCCAGAATCCAACTTTTTGAGCACCAATATGACGCTCAAGGGAACTGCCCATTGAAGCATTTTGGATTTGAGATGCTCAACAGCTAAGTATATTGCAAATATTCCAAAATCCAAAAAAATCTGAAATTTCAGATAAGGGATGTCAACTGTATAGAAACACACACACGTACACACACACACAAACACTTTTTTTTAAATTGCATGTGACCAACAAGAGATATACCACAATGCTAACAAGACTCATTTCTGAATGTTAGAATTAGAGATAATTTTTTATGTTTTCTAAATTGTGGCAACCTGTATATATTATTTGATGATTATAAATCTTATCATCTGTAACTATGAAGTTACTTAAGATAGATAGTAAAGCATTTGAAATTTTTAAACTTCATTTTATACATAACTATATTTTTTAAATGTCCCACAATAGGAATATCCTAGCTATATAAGCAAACACATCTATGTAATGTATACATAAAACATATATGCTATTGAGTAAATACAAATGTGCCTGTCATCTTACTTTAATACATTTAAAACTTTTAGAGTCAAGTCAGAAGTGTTTGTGGTCTATGCTACCCTGAATCTCCCTTTGCTGGTCCCTGACCTATTAGAAGTTACCCGAGAGAATAAGGGCAATAGTTGGACTGATTTATCTACTGATGCCAGGTTGGGAAGGGATAGCAAAGTGAGTGAGGTCAGCTGAGATAGGTGTGGTGTATCAGAAATTGACTGCATTTCTGGAATTATCTTTAAGTATGCTTTTCATCTGTTAGATAATGCACTCTTAAATCTTGTGTAAGTATACTCAAGGTGGGATGTGTGGAGCCTCTAACACAATCTCTTTTGTTTGGGGGCAGGCAAGGTAGGGCCTCCTCTTGACATCAAGCTGGGCGCATTGAACTGTACGGCTTTCAGCATCCAGTGGAAAATGCCAAGGCATCCTGGAAGTCCCATCCTTGGGTACACTGTGAGTACACGGGCATGGGAGTTTCCTCGGTGGGTGTGTCGTGTGACTGTATGTCTTTCTCATCCTTGCTTTTTCTAGATATCTGTCCTTCCATATCAATAACTGCCCCATTCTCCCTCCATAAAGCTAGAAGAAATGTCCCGCTTTGGAGGGTATTTGTAAATGCCCTGAATGTCACATCACATCTGCATTACTCACTTAGGATCTATCCAGTCCTTCCTCTGTTCAGCTGTGGGAAAATATAAACTAAAAGGACATGGTTTTTGCTATTCAGTTGCCTATAGTCAAATCTGGAGAATAAAGTAGGAACACGGGAAACAGGAAATCACTGTGGAATGTTGTCAACAAGTACAAAATAATGTAAAGTAAGAAGGTGGGGAGGCAAAATGGAGGAAGCACCAGAGAATGCATTCTTATCTATCAGAGGCTGCAAGTTGGGCTGATATCATTTCACCAAAATGTTTTCTTTGAATAGTGTTTTTAGAAATGAGTCAACTTTGAGAAGTCAAGACATTTCACATAATTGTTTGGAGTTGTGCACTCTCTGGGATATGGGGAGAGCTGGCCACACGGGGTCCACATTCCTCTCCACCTGCTGGAACTGAGCTGCTTATTTTAGCTGAAATGTAAGACCCCGGTACCACCCCAATCCCACCACCTGCTACTGTCTCCATTTCACCAAGGGACAGTAGCCGTTGATCATGGCCCTCATCCTATTGTTTTCTGAAAGTAGAGGAATATATCTCTGGGCTCATGTCTTATCAAAAGTGAGAAAATGAAAGATTACCCAGGAGGCTCATGCATTTTGGGAAAAATAACACGAGCCATGTGCAGACCTCTGCATTTCACTTCATTGATATGTGTCTTCCTCCTGGACTCCTCAGGCTTCTGAGTTTGCAACACCCCCCACCCAACCCAAGTAGGTCTGATGTGTGTTCCCGCAGAACTAGTGCACGTGATGTTAGGCAACGCACCTCAGAGCCTGCTGCCACTGTGAGTGCAATTACAACCTTTGATCTTACACAAGCACGGGCTCTGCTCTCACCAGGGTGTCTGCATCTTTTCAAGGTCTTTTACTCTGAGGTTGGCGCAGATAAATCCCTGCAGGAGCAGTTGCACAGCGTGCCTCTCAGCCGGGACATCCCGACCACGGTGAGTCTTTCCATCCTGGCAGCCCACTCAAAAGCATGTGGGCACTATTCGGGCGGATTGCTGATTTGGTGTGTGTGCTACTGTACATGTAATAATAATAACTAATGCTTGTAATAGTCCTTTAGGATTTCCAAATGTCATTCATGTACATTTCCTCTGAACCATGCCATCTACATCTCTGGAAAACAGGCATCTGACGAAAGAGTCCTGGCGTAAACGCTTCCATCCTGGACTCAACCCCATTTTATCATGCAAGAAAACTGCCACCTTACAGCTGGTTTTTCCCCTTCTTTTCTTCATAAAGTTCAGTTCTGTTTTTTTTAATCCCAATAAAAGCTTTATAAATAAATGTGATACATTTGTATCTTCCCAGCTGCCTGAAGACACAATGCAGAAGAAGAAGATGTAATTTGAAATGTATATTTAAAAGGTCCAAATTGTTTATTTTTTTTTCAAGCCCAGTGCCCCATCCTTCCACTAACCGATTGTTGGGTCCTCATCTATTTTCTTTTCTGTTTCTCATCAAGGTCTCTTGAGTGAATTTTTGGCCTTAGGCATCTTGAATTTTCTTTTCTTTCACTCCCCTCCTCCTTCCTAATTCTGCCACTACTCCAGGCTAGAGCCTTTTGAATTGCTCTACAAGGAGTTAGCACCAGTGCTCATAACACTATTATAATGGTGGTGGTGGTGCTAACTCCTGTTTGATCCGTGCCTTCTGGCAGCAGCACCTGAGAGAAACCTGTTTGTCATCCATGATAAGGAACTATCACTTATTGAGCATCTGTTACCTGGCAGCCACCACCCTCTGTTTTACATTTGCTTTGCCACTTAATCTTCACAACTATCCTATGACCTCATTTTACTGACAAGGATGCTGAGACTCGGAGAGGTGAAGTAACTTTTTTCAAGTCATACATTAGCGAGTAACAGCATCAACTGTAAACTCAGAGCTGACTGACCTCTGAGCCCCTGCCCTTGCTGGTTCTACCAAAGCTCTCATGACTCAGAAGGAATAGATGCACATTTCCAGCTTGCTTTTATTTTGTATGACATGCTTTTAAGCTCAAAATAGACTTTTGCTTCGGCACCCAGCATTGGCCGCAGAAGCTGTCAACCCCAGCCTCTGTAGTTTACTCTCTCAAGAAAGGGTGATGTGTTGGGTTGGAACTTTCAATAAGCTCATTGAACTCACCAAGGAGTCTGATTGTCCCTAGTAGTATCCCCAGCCACCCCAGCCTGGTGTCCTGCAGGGCTCACTGCTTGGCCTGGAACCCAGTCCAGGTATCAAGAGTGATACATGCCTTTGAGTCTAGACAGTGCCTCTGAAATTGATATCCTGCCCATCACAGAACCTGGGCTGAATATTGGCATCTCTCTGAAGGTCACTGCTGTATATACCTAAACAAGGCTGGGAGGGAGACCAGCATTCTGGACTTTTAGGCCTGTTTCTTCCATTTACAGGTTGGGTAATGTTGGTCAGAGTCACTTAACCTGTCTAAACCTCAACTTTTTTTCCTTGAAAGGGGTGTAATAATTATTCTCTTGTGAGGATCAAATAAAAGCCATGTGGATGGTAGTTATCATTCCCAATGATTTATTTGTTAAATATATTCTCTCCATTATCAACATCTAGGCATTAGAGTATGCTATCAAATTCTGCATTTGATCATCTTGCCAATTTTGACAAACTTGCATAGGGGCTACTCTATGCCCAACACAAGACAACACACAGTCCCTGTTTGGAGGCAGCTTTCAGTCTTCTGAAAACCACATCCACACAGATAAAACAATTAGGGAGCAAAGTAAGATCAGATGTCGTTATTAACATGCTGCTTAGTAGACAGGGTTTGAAGAGGGATAGGTAGGTGAGTGTGAGAACAAATGGTCAAGAGGTGAAAGTTGGGACTGAGGACCAAAGCAGGAACTTTCTGCAAAGGCAGACTCAAGGGAGGGACATCCCAGTTGGAATGGTTTGAGCCCAGGGAATGAATGAGCATGAATGTGTCCACACATGCCTCTCTCTCTCTCAATCTCTGTGTGTGTGTGTGTTTGTATGTGTGTGTTTGGGGGGGTGGGGGGTGGGGGGTGGGGAGAGTTGCAGAATAAAGAGAATGAAAAGAGGAAATCAAGACTAGACATAAAGGCAGTGATTCAGCAATGCAATGGGAGGAGTCTGATATAGCAGAATGGGTCCTGGATTCTGATGACTTGTGTTCAGATTTCTGCATTTCAACAAAACAGCTGCTTAACCTTACTAGGTCTCAGTTTCCTCAGTGACATATATCATAGTGTGTCTTTGATTCCCAAACTGTGTGCCAGGGTGCTCCAGGGCTCTGCAGCAGGCTCACATGGGCACAGTAGAATAGTTAACATTTTTTAGGAAAACAGCAACATCTGTGTGAACTACTGTATTAGTCCGTTCTCACGCTGCTAATAAAGGCATACTTGGCACTGGGTAATTTATAAAGAAAAGAGGTTTAAATGACTCACAGTTCTGCATGGCTGGGGAGGCCTCAGGAGACGTACAACCATGGCGGAAGGCACCTCTTCACAGGGCAGCAGGAGAGGGAATGAGTGCTGAGTGAAGGGGGAAGCCCCTTATAAAATCATCAGCTCTTGTGAGAACTCACTCACTATCACGAGAACAGCATGGGATAAACCACTTCCATGATTCAATTACCTCCAGCTGGTCCCACCCTTGACACATGGGGATTATTACAATTCAAGGTGAGATTTGGGTGGAGACATAGAGCCAAACCATATCAACTATTATTACCAAGTTGTTTGGATATAACTACTTAATAAATGGAACAGTTAGACATTTCTTTTGGCATAGAGATGCTATAAATATTACTGACACACTAAGGGTGGAAAGAACAGAGAAAGTTTTAGGAACTCTACTATATCATATCATTCTATAGATAAAGATGTGAGTTATTATATCGTATCATTCTGTAAATGAAGATGTGAGTTATAAGGTAATGATTGTAGAAACTTCAGCACGATACCTGGCAGAGAATGAGAGCTTAGTAAGTGGTTAGTATGATTCGTATTGCAAAGATGTGTGTTTGCTGCCCTTGGCTGTGCATGGCAAAAGGGCAGGTGCTGTACAGATTTATTTTACTCATGCAAGTTTTTTTTTTTTTTTACTCTTCATGTTGCCTCTGTTTTTTCCTCTCTCCAGGGACAACCTGATCATCAGGCAATTTTTGTAAGCATGTTTTAGAAAAGTTAAACCCCTGTCCCAATCCAGGATTCAAGGGATCTCTTTTCATCAAAATGTTGATTCTCCTGCATCTCCCTCTTGCTGATTAAGGCTCAGTGAAGAGTGCCTAGTTCTAGTGTAAGCACAGACAGCTGAATCTACAAGGTGAATTTTTAATCGTTTAGAGGAAGCCACTTTTATCCCTGCATGTACTCCTTCATCTCACATGGCAGAGTAGGGTTAAGGGGAACCTCTCTGAAGGTTGAAGTAATTTAAGCTCTGGTTCAAGAGTAGGTAAAACAGATTGAAAAGGAGAGAAAATATTTAACATGTGAGCACCTCTGTGGAGGTAGCTCCCCCTCCTTTTACCTCCTCTTTTATCAATCCCTTATTTCCCCTAACAATTACAGATTGTGTTTTCAGTAAGATAGGACCGATTACCTTAAAAGGTAGATTTGGTTTTCTGGATTGAATGCTAAACCGGGGAGTGGGTTGACAAATGGTTAATCTGATTTAACTGATAAAATGACCAAAATACCCTGGCTGATAATGTGGAGTTGGGCTGCATTGTTTGATAATCTGCCTTATAGTAGCTTTCAATTTGGCAGCATTTCAAGCCCACCTTATCTTTTTCTTAAAATAATACCCTCCAGATTTCCTCCTGGAAAACAGAATAGTAAAACAAATCAGGGCAATTTGGTAAATTTTTTAGAGTTAGAAATAGAAAAGAATGTTTAGGGTGGTGGTCTTTACACTTTTTGATCATGCATGCCATCAGTTAAAAAATATTTGAACATGCACCAGTATACGAATATTTATGTATTTATAAATTATACATATGCTACGGTACTAATATATTATGTACATTATAAAATCTCACAGAATTTTAAAGGAGGAGATAAAACAGAAATAGAGTTCATGTGTTTTCTTCTGGCATCTCAGTGGATTGTCTTGCTGTCCCCGGCGATGCACCACCACCCTGCTTTAGAGTCCACTGGTTGACCCAGAACTTAGAGAGAGAAAACTTACAGGAATCAGAAGACGTGTTCCTGCTCTCTCATCAGAGCAAGGGTGACCAGGGGCGAAGTCACTGATCTTTTCTGAATTTCTCTTCAACTATAAAATGAAGGGATGGGGCCAGGCACAGTGGCTCAAGCCTGTAATCCCAGCACTTTGGGAGGCTGAGGCGGGTGGATCAACTGAGGTCAGGAGTTCGAGACCAGCCTGGCCAACATAGTGAAACCCCATCTCTACTAAAACTACAAAAAAATTAGCCAGGTTTGGTGGTAGGCGCCTGTAATCCCAGCTACTTGGGAGTCTGAGGCAGGAGAATTGCTTGAACCCTGGAGGCGGAGGTTACAGTGAGCCGAGATCGCGCCATTGCACTCTAGCCTGGGCAACAAGAGTGAAACTCCATCTCAAAAAAAAAAAAAAAAAAAATGAGGGGATGGACTAGCAATGGTTCTCAACTGGGGGTACCTTTGTCCCCTCCTGGGCGTTTTGGTAGACAAGCATCAGGTATGCTAACTTTCCTGCAGTACGCAGGACAGATCCACATAAGGAAGATTTGTCCAGCCTCCAAAGCCAATGCTGCCCCTGTAACAAAACTCTGGAAAATAACTTCCTGTGACCAGGGAATAGAAATCCTTACAACTCCTCCCTCCACCCTGCTCTGCACAGCCGTCCTCAGTGCATTGGAGGAAGGATGCTTGGAAGATAGCACTTTTCTGTTTCTCTGGTGCCTTCCACTGGACAATGCTAGGTGGTCCCAACTGCCACTAAGGCAACTGAGGCCCAGCCTTGACTTGTGCGGTCAACTGTGAGGTTGAATCCAAGTTTACTAGCTATTAATGAAGGTTGTTTTAGAAGAATCATAGACTTTCAGTGTTGAATCTTTGGCCCAGAGAAGCTAAGTGGCATCCCCAAGACCACACAGCTAGGTTAGCAGCAGAACCTGGCTCTCCTGGCTCACAGTCAAGTGCTCTATTCAATTCATGCCTCCTCTCAGCTGTGCTCATCTGAACTAGTGAATAGGACAGCCTCTAGCCTTATTTCTGAAGCCAAATGATCTGTATTTCTAGCAGTAGGAGGAGAAAGAACAGCATCATGTAAGGAGGTAAAGGCAAGGTCTGAAATCAGAGTCAGAGACTTCAGTTCGGAACAATTCAACATGATTTTGTCAATGCAGAGTGAAAAGTATGCAGTAAAGAATAGTCTTGCTGGGCACGGTGGCCCACGCCTGTAATCCCAGCACTTTGGGAGGCTGAGGTGGGCAGATCACCTGAGGTCAGGAGTTTGAGACCAGCCTGGCCAATGTGGTGAAACCCCATCTCTACTAAAAATACAAAAATTAGCCAGGCATGGTGGTGCACGCTTGTAATCCCAGCTACTCAGGAGGCTGAGGCAAGAGAATCACTTGAACCTGGGAGGCAGTTGCAGTGAGCTGGGATCGCATCATTGCACTCCAGCCTGGGCAACAAGAGTGAAACTCTGTTTCAAAAAAAAAAAAAAAAAGAAGAGTCTCATCTTTTCTTGGGCTCTTCTTACATGGTAACCCAGGTTGCTTTTGTATATTGTGTCATGTATTTGATAGATATAAGTCTAACAGGCCAGAAACTCAAATTAACAGTGTTTCTAATGAGATGTGCATTTACATTCCTCCCATGGAACTGTCTGGATGTCACCTTCTGTTGGCTTCACTTGATCAGAGGGCCAGGCTCCTTCCAACCCATTGTTCTGCCAACCCCTTGTGTCCTCCTGCCCATGGTCCAGAATGGCTTAAGCTGCCACATCCACACTCTAGCCAATAGATGAGGAAAAGAGGAAAGGAAACACACTCCTTCCTTTTAAGGGATATCTCAAAAGTTGGCCTCAGCATTCTCACTCACAACCTATTGGACAGAATCTAGCCATAGGACCACACTTGGAAAGGAGGCTGAGAATGTAGTCTTTGAGTGGCCCAACTGAAATATGGGGATTCTATTATGAGAAAGGAGAGAATGGATACTGAGAGACGAGTCATCCAGGTGACAGACTGTGAATGGAGGGAATGGAAAAGGCAGTTGAACATCTGAAAAACCAGGTGCTCATTTCAGAACTAGTTAGTGATGCTGTGTCTACGAGTCAGATAATTAGAACCGTATAAAGTCATGGTGTGTTTCATGAGGGAAATCAGACCAACTGTTGCCCACAAGGGCAGTTACAGAAACTCTCTGAATCCAGTCTCATTGTCTGTAAAATGGAGATAATAGGACTGACCTCTTAGAGTTGTTGTGAAGATTAAAGGAAATGATGGCGTACAGAGATTTTATAAATTCCAAAATGCTATATAAATGAAAACTATAATGATGATACCAATTGTAAGATGAAAGTTTATTGTTCTGGCAATCTGTGAAGAAGGCAAGAGTCCTGAAAGTCGCCTGAGCTTTCTCACCGGGCTCAGTGACCAGCCTTGATTTTCTCTTCTATAGATGTGAATTCACTGCTCGCATAAAGCCACCAGCGGTGTTGAGCAGACAAAGGGGTTTTACATTCCAGAAAGAACCAGGCAAACACCAAGTAGGGGGTATTTTGCAGCAAAGCACTCAGCTTCACCCAAAAAATGGTGGAGGAAGGGCCTAGGGGAGACTGTTGAGGTCACTCTGGCCTCTACTCCAAGAAAGCAATTCCCACGACTCTGTTTCTCACTAACTTGTGTAGAAATGAAGTGCAGGAGAGATAAACATCTTGACTTGTCTTCAGACTTCCACAAGGCAACAAAACAAAGCAAAAGACTGTTTCTCTACTTTGAAAAGAGCATGTTCAGCATCTGCCCTAGTTTGATGCCAGGCTGAAGTGGTGATGGTAAGACCTTTAAGGACAGAAATACAAAGATTTATGCTGTGTGGTATTTTACTACAAATTGCAAGGGTTATCACAAGTTACAATACATTGAGGATTCCATTTGAGAGGAGAGATGTCAGGGGAGGAAGTGAAGGTGAAATCACTGAATTCAACACGTTTCTGTGGCCCTGACCACTCAGCCCCCTTGATTTTTACCATTATGCCACTTTCCGGAGTGTCAGTGCAGGAAAAGAGACAGACGGGAAACAGCCAGCTTCAGGGAAGGTCACCCTCTACCCCTCAGAATGCACCCAAGCTGAAGGTAGCACTAATCTTCCATATCCAGTAAAGAGTTCCAGAATTTTTTGATCTATATATGGAACTACAAATACGATTTTGCTTGGTTTTCAGTGGTAACATTTAAATTTCTAATACGTTAACTTCCATGGTCGTAAAGTAATAATAATCTAGTTTCCAGTGATTATGGTAAATATTGTTTGTTGTTGATTTAAACATTATTTAATATTTTTTGTACATGTACTGGCCAATTAGAACTTGGGCATTGGTGTCAAACGGAGAAAGGCTCAAATCCCTATTTTGCCACTGACTAAATCTTGAGCAAATTGTGAACTTTTCAGGGCTTAGGTTTTCTCCTCTGTAAATGAAAATAAGAGTGATACCTACCTCACGGAACTGAAGGAAGAATTAAATAAAGCTATACATAGCCTTCTTTCCCTTTGTTCATGAAACAGAGGAAACACCCATCACTGGTAATTAATGGTAGCTGTGTTTGGTATTAAGTGATATCTACAATACTGTCTGAATCCATATCACCACCTATACTTCATCCAGCATCATGACTTCCCAGGAGTAAAGGATCCTAAAGCAAAACTGGGAGAGTGCTGTGTTGGTTTGAAAGTGTTTCTGCTTCCTTGAGGAAAGCCTGGAGTGTTAGTCGGGAGAGGAGTGAGAACAGAGGGTTGGATCCACCTGTTGCCTCCAGTCTCTTAACCACCAAACTTGACGTGAAACCTGGAGACAGAAGGTGAAGCTCAGGAGCACAGATGTGAGGAAGTAGAGCTGGAGAGGGGATCTGAAGGCAGGTCCACATGTGCAGCAAAGGCCCCTTGTGAAGCCACATGTAGGGTGGAGTGGAGGTGGGTGGGAGGGAGGGGCAGACTGAAGACCCAGGCAAAGAGTCAAAGGGGCCGTAACTTGGGCACCAAGGTGGAAATGGGATGAGGGAACAGGTCTGAAAGGCATGGTGGGGTGGCTGGAGGGAGGTGGGCAGGAGAGTCAGTCCTGTCCCTGGAGGTGCTAATCCAAGGCCTGGGGCAGGAGTACTGATGCTGTGAGTCAAGATGCAGGGCTCAGTAGTATCGGCTGGCTTCTTGATGAGGTCATCTGTTTACATGAGACATCTTGGCTTGATTTCTTTCTTTAATCATTCATTAGTTCATTTATTCATTCATCAAGAAGCATTGCTTGAGCATTTGCTAGATGTCTGGTAATACTATGCTAAGCTTTGGGATGCCAGGGGAATAAGAACTTGCTTACTGGCTTCAAGTGGGTGGGGACAAGGTGACAAATCAACTGATAATTAAAATACAAGGTGAGCATTGCTCAGATTGGGGTGCACCAAGGACACCAGGGCAGCCTAGAGGAGGGGCACCTAACCAGACTGGGGCGGGGCCAGAGAAATGAGGTAACGTCTCAGCTGATCTGAGTCATGAAGAATGAGTAGGGGTGAGCCAGGCAGGAGTAGGGAGAAGGACATTTCATGTAGAGGGAGCAGCAGGTTCAAAGGCCCAGAGGCATTGAATGGCATAAATTTGAGCCCTGCCAAGTTCTTAAGTATGACTGGAATGTAGAATGTAAGGAGGGGACACGGTACGGGATGATGCTGGAAGGATAAACAGGGGGACAAAAACACGCTCTTCTAAGGGGTTTTAAAGTGTGAAGTACGTGATCAGATTGCATATTTAGAAAGATAAGTAGTATAGCACTGTGGAGTCCAGACTGGAGGTACAGGCAGTGCAGCATTGGTGGCAGGGGAATCAGAGCCCATTGTCATATTTATGAGGACTTGGTCTTCAAGGGCTGTAAGGATGAAATGACAGAAACACATTCAAGTGATATGAAAGAGGTGGAATCTGCTGCATAGGTAACTGATGAGATGGTGGTGAGGGGTGTAGAGTGAACTCATAGAGGAAAGCATCAAGAATTCTGGCCTTGGGTAATGAGAGAGAGAGAGAGAGAGAGAAGGCAAGCAGTGAAGCTATGTTTTGGTTTGGTTTTGGCAGTAGGAGGAGGAATGATTCATTGAGCTTTGGTTATGTTACACTTGGGGTGCTTGGTAGTCACTGGGTAGATGTTCAAGAGGCCCTCACAAATCCATGCCTGGAGACCAGGAGGCAGGCCAGAGCTAGAGGTGCAGAGTCACGAGGTGTCACCCTGAAGGTGGTGCCAGAAGCTAAGGGAGTGGGAGATGAGTTTACCCAAGCAAGACTACGAGGGAGAAGAGAAGATGGTGACAGGGCGAAATCCTGGGAAAGACCAATCCTTAGACGTAGCAGAGAAAGGGGGGTGGATGGAGGGTATTGGAAAGGAGGAACACGAGAAGTAGAAGGTGACCATGGAAGAGCAGAGTCATGATTTTCAACGGAGCCAAGAGATTGAAGAAGCAAGGGTGGACAATGGTATTGAAAGCTGCAGAGAGTCATTAAAGACTGAGATGCACTCACTGGATTCATTACAAAGTTGTTACGGTGCCTTGGTAAGAACATCTCAATAGGTTTGTAGTGAGAGTGGCCAGGTGGGCGTAAGTTCAGGAGTAAATAGGAGGTGAGGCAGCAAAGAGAACTTCAAGGAGGTTGCCTCTAAGGAGAGGAGCTAGGGGTGCAGGTATGGTAGGGAATTACTGTTTTTAAGGTGTGTGAGTCTTGAGCATAGTAAATACAGAAGGATCTGGTAGATACTGGATCTAGGGGGATCAGGACAATGAGAGGAGGGGGAACAGATGGGGCAGTTCAGGGCCTGAGAGATGAGCCAAGCTCTGGAACAGCAGTTCACAAACCTGGCTGCACATTAGAATCACCTGGAGGGCTTTAAACAAATAGACTCCTGGTTCTGTCCCCTGTAGATTCTGATTTAAGTGGTCTGGAGTGGAGTTCGGGCCTCAGTCGTTTAGATCACCGAGTGATTCTAATGTGTAATCAGGGTTTGAGAACTACTGTATTAAGTATTCATTAATTATTTGTTGAATGCTTTAAAAAATTGTAGGGATGCCCTTAATTCTTCTTAGAAACAATGGACGTTCAAACATCTGCAAAAGAGCTTGTGAAGAAAGTATAAGACATGGTCCCTGCTTTCAAGTTGCTTATAATCCCATAAGAGAAATAGTAACAGTTTTTAATAAATACAATGTAAATGTGTTAAAGTAGTGGCACAATTTTCATTAGGGTAAGATCACCAGACCTGCATGGTCAGGGAAGGTGTCAAAGGGAGGGCTTGGCCTTTGGAGTAGTCAGGGAGCCTAGGTAAGCAGAGAAGAGGAAGGTTCCCACATGCCCAAGACAATATCATGACCACTCATTTCCTGAGCACATCTTCCATACTGGCTGCTTTACACACAGTATCTCAAATGTTACAATCATGCAAGATGGTTATATGTCATGCCTGTTTTACAGAGGAAGAAACTGAGGCTTAATGAATTTAATATCAGCGACACAGCTAACAATAAGTGGCAGAATCAGGATTCAAGCCCAGGGCTGGTTGACTACAATGCCAGTGCCCTTTCCACTACAATGGGCTGCTGCTTCCCACCGATCAGACCCAGGCTCCCAATTACTATTTAGTGCTGTAGCTTTGGGGACACACCACTTTTGCCAAAGCTCAAGGTGGAGAAAGCCCTCTTCCGCTGGGGCTTCCTGCTCAGGGCCCTTTGTGCAGGGGAAGTACACACGCACACACACACACACACACACACACACACACACACACTTTTAAGAAAGTCTTCCTGGTGATTCTGATACTGTTTAAAATTTGAGAACTAAAATTTCAGTCCCTACTTTGTAGGTACAAATCAAGACCTCAGTTTCTTCAGCTGGGGCTTCCTGCTCAGGGCCGTTTGTGCAGGGGAAGTACACACACACACACACACACACACACACACACACAGACAGACACACAGACATACTTTTAAGAAAGTCTTCCTGGTAGTTCTAATGCTGTTTAAAATTTGAGAACTAAAATTCCAGTCCCTACTTTCTAGGTACAAATCAAGACCTCAGTGTGCAGCTGCAGCTATTCTCTGAGCATCTGAAATCTGCAAATGGAAAGAAGGAACTGGGGAATTACAGCCTTAGAAAGAATCATTACCTGCCTTCCAGCAACGTAGTACTTTGATCAAAGAGTTCTGATGTTCACAGTAACATTTGCTAGTGTGAATGTATCTAGTTCTAGGACCATGGATAGATTTCAATAAAGGGCCATCCTCCAGTCTTGGAAAATATGTCATGGCTATTTTTTTCTTGGCAAAGTTTAAAACTGGGCCAGTCCTAGACAAAGCAAAACATTCTCTGTGCCAAGCAGTTTCACAGGGGCCTCGAGATATAAACCTCATGGAAATTGTACAATTTGCCCAAACAGATGTACTGATTGTTAGCATCTTTCTTGTTTGGTCATTGACAGGAGGAAGTGATTGGAGATTTGAAACCAGGCACTGAATATCGTGTGAGCATAGCAGCTTACAGCCAGGCTGGCAAAGGGCGGCTGAGCTCTCCTCGGCATGTCACCACTTTGTCCCAAGGTAAAGTAGGTTCAAATTCATTAATAGGTGGCAGGCTGCTATCCATGCATCCTTCATTCAGCAAATATCAATAGGGACTTACTATGTGCCAAGCACTGTGCTAGGCTCTGGGAATTCAGTAGAGAACAAAAGTAAGCACAGCTCCCGCCCTCTCAGAACTTAGTGGGGTGAGTCTAGACATTCCCTCATTAGTGTGTAGTTGCAGAGTGTGATAGATGCTCCAGCACTGTAGGAATGTACAACACAGGGGTAAGGGAAGAATTCCCTGAAGAGATGACAACTAGTGGAGATCCTACAGGTAAGTAGGAATTAAGAAGGTGAGGAAGGGGAGTGGGAGAAGAGATTTATAGGCAAAGAGAATGCAACTAATGTTTATTGAGGTGACACCAAGTGGACAGTAGGCTACAAAGTTGGGTTGATGCTGGTCACTGCTGGCAAGGAGCTTTTTGTGGAAGGAGAAGCCAATGACAAATGAGTGACAGCAGCACTTCTTTTTTTTTTTTTTTTTGAGACAGAGTCTCACTCTGTCACCCAGGCTGGAGTGTAGTGGCGCGACCTTGGCTCACTGCAACCTCCACCTCCTGGGTTCAAGCGATTCTTCTGCCTCAGCCTCCCGAGTAGCTGGAACTATAGTCACATGCCATCACACCTGGCTAATTTTTGCATTTTTAGTAGAGATGGGGTTTCACCATATTGGCCAGGCTGGTCTCGAACTCCTGACCTCGTGATCCACCTGCCTCTGCCTCCCAAAGTACTGGGATTACAGGCGTAAGCCACCGCGCCTGGTGACAGCAGCACTTCTAAGGACTGCACCGGAAGCTGTGGAGCACACAGGAGGGCGCACTTCCTCTGCCCCAGCCTCGGAGGCTTTCAGAAAAGTCCTACCTTTGGCCCGAGTTACAAAAAATGCATAGGATTTTGCTAGGAAGAAAAGACAGGAAAGGTCTCCCAGGCAGATGGAGTAGTGTGAACAAAGGCTGGGAGATGTGTGTGTCTGGAGGTGATCAGAAACAGCGGTCACTTGAAGTGATGGGATCATGGGTGACTCCTGCATCTTTACATAGAAGGGCATTTCCCAAATGACCTACCATTACTATGTATTCTGATTGTCAGGGGCAAAACACACAGAGAAAAGAATGATTGGCAGTGATCCTAAGCATTCAATTTTCCTTGAAGGTAAATATCAGTTCTGACAATGCAAACAGATGGAATGCTATTAGGAGTTGAGAATGTGACAGAAGGTTTTCCAGGGAACTTACCACTGTGTGTCCCAGGATCAGTGGCTGGGACATAATTAATTGGATTTGCAGTCAGGGGTGCAACGGGGAGAAGGGGAGACCAGCTCTCATTGACTCGAACCTCACATGGTGATCAAGTTGTGATTATGTTTTTATATTTGTTTGGTTTGGGTTTTGAGGCTGTTCTGAACAGAGATATTTTGGGTATAGGAAGCACTCGAGCTGTTTATGTATTATATTAAACGTCTCCAATGGCTGAGACCACCAGCCTAGCCCATTAAACCTCTCCAACGGCTGAGACCACCAGCCTAGTCTAGTTGTGTTTGTCATCCCACCTAGATTCCTGCCTGCCTCCTGCAGCTCCCCAGCAGCCACATGTCATTGTGGTTTCGGATTCTGAGGTGGCCCTGTCTTGGAAACCTGGAGCGAGTGAAGGAAGCGCCCCTATTCAGTACTATTCTGTGGAATTCATCAGGTAAGTCTGTATGTCACATTCAAAAGCCAAATGTGTGCTGGGCGCGGTGGCTCACACCTGTAATCCCAGCACTTTGGCAGGCTGAGGCGGGCAGATCACAAGGTCAGGAGTTCGAGACCAGCCTGACCAACATGGTGAAACCCCGTCTCTACTAAAAATACAAAAATTAGCTGGGCGTGATGGCACGTGCCTGTAGTCTCAGCTACTCAGGAGGCTGAGGCAGGAGAAATGCTTGAACCCAGGAGGTGGAGGTTGCAGTGAGCCGAGATCATGCCATTGCACTCCAGCCTGGGTGACAGAGCAAGACTCCATCCCAAAAAAAAAAAAAAAGCCAAATGTGTAGATGTCAGAATTCCAAGCCTGACGTAAGACAATGAGGAGAGTCACCTCCAGGTCTCTACCATATATATATTTAAGAGCGAACAGAGGCTTGGAAGCCCATGTATATACTTAGGCCAGTAATGATCTCCACACATCTTTGTTGGTGGGTCATCTGGTAAACCTATCTGTATCACATACCTCTTCCTCATTTCCCTGGCACAATCAGAGACTATTCTAGGCTCTGAAAACTCCTGAGGTACCATTTCTGATAAGCCTGCCTACATTTCAAGCATGAGCCTTGCCCTCCTGGCTTTGAAATATTATATATGAAAGTAAATATTTGATGATGCTGTTTCTTAGGAGCAGGGGAAAAATCTTTTAACAACAAGGACAACCCATTGTTTCTTTCACGTCCGTATTGCCTTGGGACAAGTGTCTTGGTTTGGCCTCAATGTTTTTCTTTCATCTACCTCTCCATTTCTTATTATTCAGCTTAGCAGAGGGTAGAGAGTGATTGGAAATTCTTTACAGATATTAAAGCATTGATTCTCAATTGAGTGCTGCTATGTAATTTTAAAGAAAGAGAGAAAGGAAAACAAAGGTCAACAAAAAGAATTCCCAATCTAAGATATTTCCTCTGGACTCTAGTTGCTGTTTGATTTTGAATGGAAGCGGTGGCTGGTGAGTGAGTCTGAAAACAATGTTTGTGGAGTTGGGATTCTCCACGTTAAAGGTGATGGGGCTTGTCTGAGGCCTGCTGCTTTCTGCATTCATAAAGAGACTGGTTCGGGACCTCATTCCTAAGGCTCTCTGAAGCTGGGACAAAGGATTCTCCCAAGATTTGATTAGCTCTGCTTCTGTGTCTTGACTTCCTAGCCTATTCCTTGGTAATGGAAAGCAGATATGTGTTTCTTCAGAGGTGAGGTACTGCACAGAATCTCTTTAATGCTTCAGTACAGAGTGTTTCACACAGGACTTGGTAAATTGCAAGTGTCAGAAGTGTGAAAGGAGAAGATGAGGCAGTAATGCATCAGCTCCTGTAACTGAAAAGTCCAGCAGCAAATCTAAATTCAGGGGAGGCTAGATCCGTGTCAATTCAGCAGTCTGACTCCATGCGCCTCTCTGTTTTAGTGGCTTCATTTTAGATGGGCTTTTCCCATAGGGTGGCAAAATGGCCAGCAGGCAGTCAAGACCTACAGTGACCAGCCTAGCTCCCTAGGAAAGAGAGTGGCTTTCTCCATGGACCCAGCAAAATCTCAATATTTATTCTCATTGGCCAAGCTGAAGTCTCTTTCCATCCTTTGCACAAGTCACTGTGACCCGAGTGGGAGAATTCATTGATTGGTCAGGCACTGGTCATATTCCAAGCTCTGGAATTAACAACTGGTTGTTCACTCAAACCTGGTGTATGTGGATTGAGTATTCAAGAGGATTGGACCCTCAAAGGAAAATTGTGGTACAATTACTGGAAAAGAGGGGAACAGAGTCTAAGATTTTTTTTTATAATGCCCACTGCAAAGCCCCAGAACAATGCTTTGCATTGAAGATAATCTACGCCCCTGCCATTGAACAGATTTTGTAGGCAAAACCTGGAATATCCCTAAAAAAAAAAGATTCTAATCCTGGTTCCAATACTGGTAAAATGTGCTACACTGAAAATCCTAAAACTTCAGCTTTCTCATCTGTAAAACTTGGGGCAAAACTTAACATTTATAATTTACTTCCACAGATACATTAGACAACACCAGCAAAGCAAGATGTAATACTTTAAAATTTTGAAAAATGCACACTTCTGGCCAGGCGCGGTGGCTCACGCCTGTAATCCCAGCACTTTGGGAGGTCAAGGCAGGCAGGTCACCTGAGGTCAGGAGTTCGAGACCAGCCTGACCAACATGGTGAAACCCCATCTCTACTAAAAATATAAAAAATTAGCTGGGCATGGTGGCGGGTACCTGTAATCCCACCTACTCAGGAGGCTGAGGCGTGAGAATTGCTTGAACCTGGGAGGCAGAGGTTGCAGTGAGCCGAGATTACACCACTGCACTCTAGCCTGGAGGACAGAGCGAGATTCTGTCTCCCAAAAAAAAATCCCAGTTTTTTATGTTTTTATGGTAGCCTGGCAGATAATCTGTGTAACCCTGAGCAAAGGTAAGCATTATTTACTATTAATTTTTTGTTCAAACACATATTTTAAAATTTTCTCTATATCTATGTAAGGTAGAAATGGCAGTTTCTTAACCTTGTGTGCACACCTGAAAGTAGAAGATGAAAGAGTCACTGGATTCAGACAGAAGAACTGGGAGAGAGTGCTGCCTTCTCTATTGGCAGCCGTGTGGCCCAGTGCAGGTTACTTCCCCTACTGAGCCTTGATGCCTCTCATAGTGTGGGGTCCCCTCAAAAGAGAGCCGGAGATAAGGACTTGGGTGCAAATAGTTTATTTGGAAGTGGGAATGAGAGAGTGGGGAGAATGAGACAGGAAAGGAGGATATATATATAAGGGTGTGTTAGTGAAGTCACTGCTGTAGGCAACCGGGTCTTCACTGGGGTCTTGATTCCATTGAGATCTCTCTGAAACCCACAGAATTCTTCTCACATTGCCCATGAAAAAGACAGGAGACATGGATCCACTGGCTTCTTCCTCCTCTGTCCTTTCAACATTGCTCCTGAGGGTATAACTCCTCCACATTTTATGATGAAGGGGGGAGTCTGGAGAGGTGAGAAGTGACAGGAGCACAGCATGTGTCTGAGGTCACATGCTGGTTGCAAGAGGTGAGTGAGCCCTCCAAGAACTGTCCATGCCACAGCTGCTGCTGAAATCAGGGGACAAGGGGAGGTGAAATGGCCCCAGAGGCATCGGCTACAATCTCCTTGTCTGTAAAACGTGGGCGATGACTTCTTCCAGCCTTATAGTGTATGGTTAGGAGGATCAAGTGATATTCTTGAAAATATGGGAAAGAGAAGAGCTTTGAGTAAGAAAAAGCTGTGTTGATGTTAAAAACCTACAAAAGTATAAGGTATATGTGGGTATTATGTACAAGTACAATTCCAATTAAAATGCGTTTTAACATTTAGAGCTGTCTAATATCTAAGGGGCTCAAGGTCTCAAATTCATATGTATATATTTTGAGGCAGAGTTTCACTCTTGTTGCCCAGGCTGGAGTGCAACAGCATGATCTCAGCTCACTGCAACCTCTGCCTCCCAAGTTCAAGTGATTCTCCTGTCTCAGCCTCCCGAGTAGCTGGGGTTACAGGCACCCACCACGATGCCTGGCTAATTTATGTATTTTTAGTAAGATGGGGTTTCACCGTGTTGGTCAGGCTGGTCTCAAACTCCTGACCTCAAGTGATCCACCTGCCTCAGCCTCCCAAAGTGCTGGGATTACAGGCATGAGCCACTGCGCCTGGCTTCTTATGTATATTTTAAAATTATATGCCATTCCAACCAACTGCTAATATATATTTATCTCTTTACCTTGACAAAATACCTTCACAGTGTCTGGAAGGTTAGTTTCAAATTTAGAATTCTTATAGTCGTTGAATTCCAAATGGAACATGGGAATATGGGAAGGCCCAGTCACTTGTTACATCCCCTGTGCTAGGAATTCTGCCTCTATCTCTTCCAGAATATGTGACTTCAGTCAAGTTATCCTTTCTCAGAACCCCTATTTCCTCTTCTGTAATATCGAGCAAATGCAACCCTCATTGCAGAGCTCTTGCTCATACTCCTCATAAAGTATCTATACACGTAGACACTCAGCGTGTATCTGTTTCCATCCTACAGTACCACCATTTCCCTTTCACAAAAGTAGAAATTGAGACTCCATTGCATAAGTTACTTTGCCAAGATAAAATGACTGGTTGGGGACAGAATAAAATTAGAACCGAATTCTCCTGACTTCCGGCCCGGTGCTCTTTTTATGAATCCCCATGTCCTTTCATGTTTGTGACCCACCTTCAGAGATGGAAGCTTAGACCCAGCCTGCCCAGAGCCCTGCTGGCTGAGGAAATGAGAAACCTCATCTTAGGCTGCTGTTTGATGTATTCCTGAAAGAAAGCCTCCACAGCTTGTTGCAGCATTTAATGTTTGGCTGCAAAATCAATCCATTTGTAAACATCTCAGAGCCTATCCCATTATAGGTGAGTGAATGTATGTTCAGAGAGAGCTTTCCTGGGCTCTAATGCTGAAACTGCAGTTTGTGTGTGCTACGTATGGTCTCAATGTTTATGTCCTCCACAAAACTCATACGTTAAATTCGAACACCCAAGGCGATGGTATTAGGATGAGGTCTTTGGAACGTGGTTAGGTCATGAGGGCAGAGCCCTCAGGAATAAGATTAGTGCCATTATAAAAAAAGCCCAGGAGGTCTCTCACCCCTTTCACCATGTAAGAACACAGTGATAAGATGCCATCTATGAACCAGAAAGGAGACCCTCAGCCTGGGCAACATAAAAAAATTAGCTAGGTGTGATATTGCACACTGTAGTTCCAGCTGCTCAGGTGGCTGAGGCAGGAGGATCACTTGAGCTTGGGAGATCAAGGCTGCAGTGAGCCATGATCATGTCACTACACTCTAGCCTGGGCATCACAGTGAGACCCTGTCTCATAAAGAAAAGAAGGCAGACCCTCACCAGGCAATGGACCCTCACCAGGCAATGGACCCTCATCACACACTGAATCTGCTGGCACTTTGATCTTGGACTTCCTGGCCTCCAGAACTGTGAGCAATCAATTTTTGTTGTTTATAAGTTACCTAGTTTATGGTATTCATTATAACAGCCCAAAGAGACTAAGACAGTAAGAAAGGATGAAAGGCTTTGGGTGGGGGAGGGGGTTGTCTGCAGTTATTTTATTTTCCCCAGAGAGGTCCATTTAATGTTTAATAGTGAATTCCTTTTTCTACTTCCTGTGTACAGAAGCACACGTGACAGGTTTCTGTGTGAGCCAAAAGGTCCTTATTATTATACATCTAAGGGGCAGGACTCTGGCAGGCCAAGGCTAGGAAATTGTAGAAATTGGTTTATCCCCAGAAGTGATCCTCAGATTCAGATATCTTAATGTGAAGTTCTTGTCTACATTCTGTCACTGGAAGGTAAGGTTCCAGTTCTCTCTCTGTCCTCATGGGCACTTCTGCATCATTTACTCTTCTTATTTGCTATTCAATGGAGATAAAGATTTCAAAGGCATTGTTAGGAGATAGTCTAACAAATTTTCTTTTTTTTTTTTTTTTGATATTGAGTCTTGCTCTGTCACCCAGGCTGGAGTGTAGTGGCACGATCTTGGCTCACTGCAACCTCTGCCTCACGGGTTAAGTGAATTTTTTTTTTTTTTTTTTTTTAATATTTAGCTAAGCCAGGAATGGTAGCTCACATTTGAAATCCCAGCTACTCAGGAGGCTGAGGCAGGAAGACCACTTGAGCCCAAGAGTTCTAGGCTACAATGAGCTATAATTGTGCCACTGTATTCCAGCTCAGGCAACAAAGTGAGACCTCTGGTTAAAAAAAGATTAACCTGGCCGGGCGTGGTGGCTCATGCCTGTAATCCCAGCACTTTGGGAGGCCGAGGTGGGTGGATCACGAGGTCAGGAGATCAAGACCAGCCTGGCTAACACGATGAAACCCCGTCTCTACTAAAAAATTCAAAAAAGTTGGCCGGGCGAGGTGGCGGGCACCTGTAGTCCCAGCTACTCGGGAGGCTGAGGCAGAAGAATTGTGTGAACCCGGGAGGCGGAGCTTGCAGTGAGCCCAGATCGCGCCACTGCACTCCAGCCTGGGCGACAGAGCAAGACTCCGTCTCAAAAAAAAAAAAAAAAAAAAAAGATTAACCTGAAAAATTGTGAGACCAGGGTATGCTGACTACTTATTTGCTAGTTTTGATGATATTTCAAGTAGACGTTATGCATAATATGATGATGTCTTGAGTCAGGGGCTTAGGACCAAGCAAATTTTTGTTCTTCATCCAACTTCTATTACCCCCAAAATAGAGGACACCTCTAGTGTGAGCACTCTGAAGGCGCTCTCAGTAACTGCATCAGAGAAGAGCTTGGTCTCAGGACCAGGCAGAATAAAAGCTTTTAGGTGGCAGGAATCTTCATGATCCCCCCCAAAGTTGGTCTGGAGGCTATTTGTTAGCTTTCTTTATAGCCATAGATTTTTATTTTTTAAGCAGTGTAGAAAAGATCTGAAGAGGCAAGTTCTGAGTAAGCCTTCAGGCTGTAACATATTTTGCAGTGTTTTAAACACTTTTACTTGCTTTTTTAAAACACAAAAGCCATGTGTTTGAGGTGAGGGAGAATATTTCTTTTCTAAAGTGACACTAAAAATTTCTTTGGGGGCAGCAATTCTTAGTGTTTATTAAAATAAGAACCAAGCATAAATATAGCTACCTATGTTTTGAAATATCTTGGCTATAAATATCTGAGAAACCTTCCCCCTTCTGCCTAAGAATTTCCCCAGGGTAAGTGCCTTTCTCATAAGCAAATAATATATAGTATGGTGGCAATGAAAACCAAAAGCCTGGAAAAACGTTCCTCATCACTGAAGTTCCAATCGGGGTGCCATGCCTGTCGTATGCTGTCTATCGAGTTGGATAAACATGAAAAATAGTTTTCATTTAACTTACCTAGAGTTTTTCTAAAGGTGTCACCTTATTGGCTAAAACTGCTTCAGAGCTTTGCATTGTCACCTTCTGGAAGGGGCAGGCTAAAGCTCAGCAATGGCTGTTTTTAGTTAAAAGTCCACCATTGGCCGCGCGCAGTGGCTCACGCCTGTAATCCTAGTAATCCCAGTCCCAAAGAGGCAGATAACTTGAGGCCAGGAGTTTGAGACCAGCCTTGCCAACATGGTGAAACCCTATCTCTGCTAAAAATACAAAAATTAGCCGGGTGTGGTGGCACACACCTGTAATCCCAGCTACTTGGGAGGTTGAGGCACAAGAATTACTTGAACCCAGGAGGTGGAGTTTGCAGTGAACCTAGATCATGCCACTGCGCTCCAGTCTGGGCGACAGAGTGAGACTCTCTCAAACACACACACACAAAGTCTACTATTGGCTTATTTTGGGTACATGTGAAAGTTCAGAATATGTCTGTGTATGTTTTAGGGACTCGGGTCAAGAAACGTTCTCTAAATCTCAACGTAAGATATTTATATTAATAAGTGAGAAGGAGCAAAGCTTCCCATCTTCTTCCTTTCTGACTTTTCTGCCTAAATATTCCTCTAGTCCCTGGCAGATGCCTTCCATAATAAGACTTGAAGAATTCATCTTCACACGGGGCTGCTTCTAGGTGGACTGCAGTACCTACATATTGGTTTCATTTGAGACTTTCAAGGTCATGCAACCTGGGTGGGTTTTTTAAAGTATTACTCGCAAATTGATATTTTTGTCAAAAGTCATCTCTCCTTCCATCTCATCATAGACTTCCATATTCTGTAAGTAACAAAGGAACTTAATTAGTTTCCTCACAGGAAGTGACCCTGCAAAGGCTGTTACTGAAATGAAGATCAAGTCTGGGATTCAGAATGGAAGCTGAACAGAGGATGGATTTTCTTTGAACTGTTCTAAGAGATGATGTGATTTGACTCATGGTCAAGGTCAAAAGCTGTGAAGGTTAAAGGCATTTCTCATTCAGAATTGAGGCTTATACCCTGATTCATAGTATCATCTCTTGAGGTTTAAGTGTGTCCAAATGTGGAATCAGGAGAGATGGTTCTGAACCAGCCTCTAAGCCTGGTGAAGTTGCTTGATTCCAGTCCTCAGTTTCTTTCTCTGCAAATTAAGGCATGCTGGATACGTGACATCTAAAATCCTGTGACTCTGCTCGTCTAGTATCAAGACGTAGGGGAGGCAGTATCGATGGATTGCGTAACACACAGGCTCTGGGCTGGACTCCCTAGTGCAAACCTTGTCTCTACCACTTCTAAGCTGTGTGATCTTTGGTGGGTTATTTAACTTCTCTGGCCTCAGACAACAGAATGGGGATAATAATTTACTTGCTTCATGGGGTTATTATGAAATTACATGAGTTGACACACATAAAATGCCTAGAACAGCGCCTAGCCCTTAGTAAGTGCTCAATCAATGCAAACTATTCCTACATGGCTTACTCGATGGGTCTTTTCTGCTTTCCTACATAGCCTGCTTCTTCCTGGCTACAAGTGTGTTTTGAAATTATTTATTTATTTATTTATTTATTTATTTATTTATTTATTTATTTTTGAGATAGAATCTAGTCTTGCTCTGTCACTTAGGCCGGAGTGCAGTGGTGTGATCTTGGCTCACTGCAACCTCCACTTCCCAGGTTCAAGCAATCCTCCTACCTCAGCCTCCCGAGTAGCTAGGATTACAGGCATGTGCCACCACGCCCAGCTAATTTTTTTTTTTTTTTTGTATTTTTAGTAGACACGGGGTTTCACCATGTTAGCCAGGCTGGTCTTGAACTCCTGACCTCAAGTGATCCACCCACCTCAGCCTCCCAAACTGCTGGGATTGTAGGCATGAGCCACCGCACCCTCCCTGGCCACAAGTCTTTATGCTTGCTATCCTGTCAGGACAGCTATTCTACCTCCTTACTTAGCTTACTCTTGTTCATCCTTCAGGACTCCTCTTTAAGTGTCACTTCCTCCAGGAAGCCCTGCCTGACTACGTTCCTCTACTCCCAGATTAGGTTAGCTATACCTCCAACATTTACTTGCAATACTCAGCACACTTGTAGTTAATTACTTCTTCAAGGTCTGTCTTCCTCTTGGAACATGAATGCAACGTCTACCTTGCTCCTTTGTGTGGAATATAGGACATAGCACTGTGAACACACCACATGTCAAATAGGTGCTGGTAAGCATTTGGACACAGGCAGTCATGGGATTGATCTAGAGCAGGGGTGTCCAATTTTTTGGCTTCCCTGGGCCACATTGGAAGAGGAAGAATTGTCTTGGGCCACACGTAAAACACACTAACGATAGCTGATGAACTTAAAAAAAAAAAATCACCTCATAGTGTGTGAAGAAAGTTTACAAATTTATTTTGGGCCACATTCAAAGCTGTCCTAGGCCGCATGTGGCCCTCAAACAGTGAGTTGGACAAGCTTGATCTAGAGGATGCCAGCAACTAGCTGGATCCCTGAGCAAGCTGCTTAGTCCTGCTAAGCCTTACTTTCCTCTGCTGTAAAATACGGATGGTAATAGTGGCTACCTCAGAAGAGTTGCAGAGATGAACAGGTCTGTACAGCACTTAGAAGAATGGCTCATGGAGGATTTTTGATTTTTTTTTTTTTAACTTGAGCCACATGCAAATATATTTTCACACTAGCGGTTACTTATTTTTGAGTAAATAATGTAAAAAGCATTACCCACAAGTAATTCAATGAATCCTTTACCACCAATATCAGAGGCCACAACAGTAACCAACATCTGACCTCACCCACTACAGAAATAAAAACCATACAAAAGCCAACGAGGATCTGCACATATGCATCCCCCGACCCCCGCAATGCCCCACTTCAATCCCAACTGAAAGTTTATTTATTGCTATCGTTTTCTCATCATAAAAGTAATCTCAAGATGTGGTAAAGCTTCAAATAATACCTAAATGGATATGACTAACTTGAAAGTTCCTACTGTGATTTTATTTCATGTGGAATGCAAATTCATGTCTTAGAGCTCGTCATCATAACTAAGTGAACTGCCACCGTTCTTCAGAGCATTTTACTGGAATATATAGCAAAACTTGGACATATGACTGCAATATTTAAGAGTGATGTAGTCTGGTGTTGGCTTGCTAGCCCCCAAAAGTTAGAATTGAAAATATTTAAAGAATTATTCTTAAACAGTTAATTTTGGGAGGAAATGGGAAAAAACAACCCTCCCTAATCTCCCTTTCTTTTCAAAAAAAAGTGTTAGAAGTTTTGCTATTTAAGTATGAGCTTTCATTACCATCAGCAATAGAATTAGATATAAGCAAGAATGAGCTTGCTTGGATGTCAGCTGGGATTTCATATGACAGGCGACAAGTGCTGCTTCACAAAGAATTCTTTTCCTTACCTTTAGTTTTGAAACTGAAAATCTCAGAGCCACCTACTAGACTAGCACCTGGTCCTAGAAATTCCAGAAGCTGTCAAGTCCCTTTGCTCAGGCCCTAATGGAAGGGCTACTCTAAAGGATTTAAAGAAGTCCGACCTGTAGTTCGGCAAATTGATCCCGTAAAGCTTCAATTCCTCCTACCCTAAACATTCCTGATATAATTCCTGCTTAGACTGATGGCAATTGACATACATTGAATTATGAAACAGCTTTGGGAGCCATTTGTAAACTGTAAATGAAGTGTGCTCTCCTATTGCCCCACCTGGGACAAATTGCCAGGTGAGTTTATCATAACACCATTGTATCCATGTGTTTGTCATTTGGTTAGGTTAAACCAATTTGTAAATAAAGAAAGAAGGCTGAAAGCTGAAGGTCAAATACTACATCTTTTTTTTTTCCATCTTTGACTACTGAGTGGTTTTGGACCTTTCTCTGCAATTCATTTAGTGTAGAGCAAATCCTGCATAAAACCAGTATGTAAAATTGACTGATTCGGAGGCTCTTCTGAGCATGAGGTTTCCTCTCACCCCTGTTGTGTTTGCCCTGGGTAATGTATGGGATCACATCTCTTCTCTTAGAGCAGGGTGTTTAACTGGCAGTCCATAGATCCCCAAGGGTTTCCTGGATAGAATTCAGGAAATATAATTCAAGGGGTCCCTGGACTTGGATTGGAAAAAAAATTATATCCCTAGTTTTACCAATGGAAATTTAGCATTTTCTTCAAAAATGAATGTAGACAACAAATCACAATGGTATTAACAATTCTTGTGACCCTGTCAACATTAGAATCACAAGTATTTTCTTATCTGGTTACAATGGTTGCACATATCTCAAAATACCAGTTATGTTTATCACTACTTTGAAATTAGCATAGTTACTGAATCCATTGCTAGGTTTTTTATTTAATGTATTAATAAAGTATATTATTTCATGATTTTTATTATTTTGATGATCCTTTTCAATATAATTGATTTCCTTTGTGAACCTATATATTTGATGCCTTTAAAAACATCATTCCGAGAAGGCGTTCATAGGCTTCATTGGACTGTCAAAGTGGCACAAGCCAAGTTAAACCATGCTGTTGTCTTAGATCAGGGGTTGCTAAACTTTTTCTCACAGGATCAGATAGTAAATATTCTGTGCTTTGCCAGCTGTATGAACTCTGTCTCAACTGCTCAACTCTGCCACTGTGGTAGGAAAGCAGCCATAAACAGTACCTAAATGGGTGAGGTTAAACAGTACCTAAATGGGTGTCGTTGTGTTCCAGTAAAACTTTATTTACTAAGACTGGCAGCTGGCTGAAATTTGCCAACCCTGATTTAAGGCATCATGCTATTTCTAAGTTGAATTCTGAAGATATTTTAATTCAGCTCAATCACCCTTTATTGGATACCTCCTATGAGCATATGTTCATACAAACATGTATGTATGGAGTATCTCATGTGAAAAACATGCAAGAGATTTAGGGATGAATAAATAAGCTGTAGACTCCACCCTTGGACAGTCTACTGGGGAATGCAGATGGACAGAGTTCAGAGGAGTAGTGAGTGTTGTAGGCAGGCATGGCGATCAGGAACCTGGAGAAACATAAGCTTGATCTGACCTAGTTTTGAAGGAAAGAAGGCTTCTTATGGGAGCAAAGAAGGACACATCAGAGATTACCAGGCAAAAGGGGAGGGAGGAAGCAACATGAAAAGCTTAGACTGAGGAAGCCACTTAAGCAGTGGCTTGGAGGCAAGAAGAAAATGTTCCTGGAATTGCTTAGAAAGCCTGGAGCTCTGTGGGGTGAGAGATGGGTCGGTGAGGGTCACACCAAAAAAAGGCCTTATAAAGGTGCCCATCTATATCCTGAAGGGAATAGGGAGCTATGGAAAGTTGTAAGCAGGAAAGAGACTGGTAGCATTCCCGTCTTTGAAAGATCGTGCAGACATCTCAAGGAACACGTAGATGAAGAAGACAAAGTCACCATGCTTAATGAGCTCCCAGCCCAGGAGGAAAGACAGAAGTCTAAAATTATACTGGAAGGTGATCTAATCAGTGTGATAGTAGAATCAGATTCAAGGCATGGGATTGTCTGGAGGAAAGTATTTTTAATTCTGTTTATGAGATGATGTTTAGAAGGAATAATGTGAGAGAAAATACTTAGGGAGGGAGCCATCAAGTAACCCAGCGTCCTCCAGAAAGCATCCCATTGTGGGTTGGTAGGTTTGATGTGGAAAGAAGGAGGCCACAGGTGTCTGTCTGTGCTGTAATTAGGCTTCTGGTCCCCTCCCTCTAAGGCCAGTAGAGTGGCCTCTATGGTCAAGGCTATTCTGGATGTTCTGTTGTATCCCCTAGAGGACAGTTGGCTGCTCCAACAAATTCCACTCTCAAAAGTATTTTCCTAGCAGGATTTAACCAGTTTTAGCCATTTCCTAGTTAACGTCCATGACATGCTTTAGCTTCACTCTTCATCTCAGCTCTGTCTTTCTGGAACAGGAGTTCTCAAACTGAGAGGTGAAATAGAATAGAAAAGAGAATACCACAGGCTCTCACGCATAGTAAAAAGGAGAATCGGTTTGTGAAACTTGTTTCAGGTGTATGTATGTGTGTGTGGTGTTTACTGGGTCACAATGTCCAGTGTATATCTTACCGTGGATCATTCAAAAACACAGCTCTGATATGTGATGAATCCAGAGCATATTTGAGGTTGAACAGGCTTCATTTGCCATGTGTTGGTGTTGAATTCAAGTTCAAGAAACAGATTCCTCTCAGGGGCTAATGACACCTGCTTTATTTTTGAAATTGTAGAATTGGAAATGCCATCTAAGGTATTCTAGGGGGAAAAGTTCAGTGCAGTGTGTTTCAAATTATGGGCCACAGCACTTCAGTGAGTGGCAAGATCAATTTAATGGTCTTTTACCAGCATTTTGTTTTTTAAAAGGAGAAGTAGAAAAGAAAGGAAAAGGAGAGAAAGAAAGGAGAAACATGAATAAGGTAGTAAAGCTAAGTATTTTTTCTTGAAACTTTTTTCAGCTTTGTATTCATATATAATATACATATTTATGTGCATAGGTATATTTACTATGGAAAAATGTTTACTTACTGTGAGTCAAGGTCAGAGATACTGAATTAAGTAGCTCCCACCCTGATCAGGAAGTCACTTGTTACATTATGGTCCCTGATTGAGGACCACCCAGTTTTGCTTTAATATAGTCAACGAGGCCCAGTTCATCCCTTCCAAGGCAGTCAGCTTCATTGTCTGTCATTCCTAATTGACATCAAAAGGTTTTCCTGCCATTGGCTTCTCTGTAAGAAACCACTGGGCCTCTTAGTCCAACATGGAAAACACAGAAGCTTTCCACACCATCTTTATTTGTCTGTCTCTTATGTAAAGACACCACCCTATCCTCACTAAGTTTCCTCCACCTAAGCCAGCAGTACCCACTCTTTGGATCCTGCATCAAGCGGAGATGGGTCTAGAGCAACTTCTGCCCAGTGATCAACATAGAGAACCATGTCTTCCTAGGATATGGATTCTGGGACTTAGACTTTCCTCAGGATTCTAGTTCACAGTGACCTATTCAAATACAGTTCTTGAAATGTGCTATTTTGCGCTGGCTTCCTACTGGTCCTTAGAGGTGCTGTTTCTGCACTGATGCTCAGATGTATTTTATCCCCAGCTTATTAGGTTATAAACTCCCTGAAAATGGAACTGTGCTTACACTTCCGTGGAGCCTCCTGGAATATAACTTTTGTGATGGATGCCTGGTTGATAATCATTCATCATTTGCCAATGGACTAGCCCATGGCAGCCACCTATGGGGTTTGATAGTATCAAGAAAAGTGATTGTTCACTAAGATTGAGATTGGCAATGGGCAAGGTAGTCAAAACACCACAAGAAAGAATTAAAACAGAAAGGTATACCACCCAGTGGTTCTGTGACTTTGGGTAAATTATTTTCCTTCAGTGACCATGTAGGTAGAATGAGAGACTGGATCAGATCAGTGACTCTCAAAGCTTTTGGGATCATTATTTTATCTTTGAGAATCTAATAAAAGTGAAGGACCCTTTACTTAGAAAAATGAAATGTGTTCATGTATAAAATCCTGCATACAATTTCTGAGAGTCCTCAGACACTTGGACCAAATGATCTCTAAGATTTCACCCAGCCCTGATAGCCAGGCTGGATTCTAACAATGCCAATGGTAAGTGGCAAAATGAACCAGTTAGTGAGCCCTGATTAAGTGAATTGATGAATTGGGTTTTGATTACCCACTGCTGGCCGCATTCTCTATTCCCCACCTGAATTCACCTGCCCAGCAACCTTCCAAAGCTGAGCCACTGATCTCCTGAGGTATAGGGTGCCTGGCCCAACCCTATCTCACTACTTGGCAAAATGCTTGCAGTGTATGCCCTGCTGGTGGCTGCCCATGTTTTTGTTGTTGTTGTTGTTTTTGAGACAGGGTCTCATTTTGTCACTAGGCTGGAGTACATTGGTGCAATCATAGCTCGCAGCAGCCTCAACCTCCCAAGCTCAAGCAATCCTCCCACCCCAGACTTTTTTTTTTTTTTTTAAGTTTTTTGCAGAGACAAGGTCTTACTATGTTGCCCAGGCTGGTCTTGAACTACTGGGCTCAAGCAATCCACCCACCTCAGCCTCCTTAGTAGCTGAGATTATAGGCATGCACAACCATGCTGGCTAATTTTTTTTTTATTAAACATAGTGAGACGAGGTCTCACTATGTTGCCCAGGCTGGTCTTGAACCCCTGGGCTCAAGCTATCCTCCCACCTCGGCCTTCCAAAGTGCTGGGATTACAGGCTTGAGCCACCCCACCAGATGGCCAGATGTTCTTCTGTTCCTGTGGGGTGGCAGCCCATTCTCAGTCAACTTCTCACCCTCTGGCCTTTTCATTGTTGAATACATTGCCAAGATAGCGTTGCTATGGTGATCTGACCAACAACTTTGTAGTTAGGATAAAGTGATTTTCTTCAGTCAAAAAAAAGATACAGGTGTTTTGGAGGATGATTTAAGACAATACTTTTGCCTGGTCATCTCTTTCTCAGCCTCACCTTTGTACTTTTGTACCTGAAGAGACTCTAAAAACACTCAAATAAAAAACTCATGACAAAATCAGAGGCAAAATGTTAAAGGTTTTGAACAGGCATTCAATCTGCATGAGCTTGTCTCTCTCACTCTATAGAATAAAAATAAATGCTAATGATTTAATCTCTTGTTTGCTGGAAATAAGAGTTTTTCTTTTCTGCATTAAATGGACAACATGTACAAAATCATCTTTTTGTTTTGCTGTAGTTTTTACATAAAGATTGTTGCAGGTCTTTGCAGGTAGTCCTCGGTAAATAACAGCAGACTGTGAGAATAGATATGGGTTATTTCCTCTATAAATATCACAAGGGAAGCTTAGCAAACGATAGCAGAGAGTTTTATCTAAAGATCACATCTTTTCTGACTTTACTTTTAGGTATCCCCTGTGGTTTTCCTCTGCGAAGTGATTTTGTTCTAATTTGAGTTTGTAAATGTGTTTCCTTCCACTCACCGAGGTTTTCTCTTCGATGATAAAGTTAGTTTACATGAGAATTCCATCTTTGGGAAAAGAATATCAGGAAAGAGAAACCAGCCCTGCTTCCTCCATGGGCATACCCTGTGAACTGTGCTTTTCCAAACACGTTAACACACTACCCCCAGCTTGGTGAGCTTGAGGAAGCATCATTTATTGGGCATAAGGACTCCATCTGGCTTTCAATCATTCCTGCTAATGAAAAACTGGGCGAGCTCACATTAAGGAAATCCGCTGTTCACCCCGGCATCTTCTTTTAGCAAAATGACTCTCTATTTCCTTGCCTGGTAAGTTGCTCCTCAAAGACAAACAGAACTTTTTTGTTTCCTGCCTTCCTCTAAATATCTGTGAGCAGAGGTGTTTAACAACAGAACACCTGAGAGGTGGCCAGGGAGCAAGCAAAGGGATGGGGAATCGTCTGCCGCCCACCGTCACTCCCCCTTTTCATCCAGTATTAAGGGTCTTGTAAATCTAACCTCATCCTACCAATCCAAGTGGGCCTCACCATTTATCAGCTATGTGACCTTGGGCAAGTTACTTACCTGTTCAGTGCCTTAGTTCCCTTCTCTGTCAAAGAAAAAAAAAAGGTGGAGTGTTTAATATTAGTACCTACTGCATAGGGCATTTTTGAGAAGTAAATGAGTTAAGGTATTAGAATGGTGCTTGGTAGATGGAAAGCCCTTGACGTTATTAGCCATTAACACAAAGCCTCTCCTCCCCTTAGGCCATTCACACTGTCTGCAGGCCATGCACAATTATTTCCAACTTTTATCTTGTAGTTCTTATTACCTGGAATGTTCTTTTTTTCTCCCCTCCAGCTAGGATGTCCACATAGAGCAGTGCTATCCAGTAGAAATACAACGCCAGCCTATTTGAAAGTTTACGTTTTCTAAGAGTGGCATTTAAAGGGCAAGAAGAAAGAAATGAAATTAATTTCAATAATATATTTTAACCCACTGTATCCAAAATATACTCGTTTGAACATATAACCCATATAAAAACTATTGAGATATTTCACATTCTTTTTTATTTTTCTTTAAAATCCAGTGTACATTTTACACAATAGCACATCTCAATTCAGACACATTTGAAGTGATGACTGACTACCACATAGGGTAGTGGTACCATATTGGATCATGCAGGTATAGAGTAAGCAGGCAGCTATAAGTTACTAGTTCTGTGAAGAAGTCCCTTGAATAATGTCTGGTACCTGCTGAGTGTTTACAATTTGATGCCAGGTACTAGGCTGGAGATATATATCTTATTTAATCTTTATGGCAGTCCTCTTAGGTAGATCCTTTTATTATTCTCATTTTACAGATGGGAAAACTGAGTCTTAAAGGAATTAAGTAGCAGCTAGTAAGTAGGAGAGTCAGGATTTGAACTCCAGAGCTCATCCTCCCGCCTTCTGTGTATTACCTCCCAGATGGGAGCTCTAAGCAAAGGTCTGCCTTCTCTGAAGGGCCCTCCAAAGGACATGTAAAAATTCAGCACATTGGCGTAGCTGTATAATTAAGACTAAGAATGTCCGTGAACAGATTCTTCTTGGGTTTTCCCATGACAATTCATGCAATTAGTCACCCTATAAAACTTATATTTATTTTGTGAACAGATTGTGAATAGACGGAATCTGTGTTCTTCTGACCTCTGGGGATGGGGACTGCCAAAGGGAGGATTGTTTGTGAACATCTGGAAGGCAGAGTCCTTGAAAGCGAATTCCTATGTGAAGATCTTTTCATCATAGTGAGGGCCTTGCAAGGAAAAACGGATTGTCTTTAAGTAGTGTTTACAACTGACCCTAAAAATAATCTACTTGTTTTTATCGGCAGGGACTTGCAAATGATGACTTGTGATTTCAAATCAGGATTACTTTCAGATAGGAAATGTTAACTTACTTTTACAAGTATTGCTTCCAGAGTTCAAATGCTATTAGTTTACATAGCCAGCTAGCTTCCCTTCCCTCTGGTATTTCTGAACTACTGCTTCTTCTGTTTTTCTAATCAATAAAGGCCAGATTTCGACAAGAAGTGGACCTCAATCCATGAGCGGATCCAGATGGACTCCATGGTTATCAAGGGCCTCGATCCAGATACCAACTACCAGTTTGCCGTGAGGGCAATGAATTCCCATGGCCCCAGCCCCCGCAGCTGGCCCAGTGACATCATCCGGACCCTCTGTGAGTACCAGGGTCCTTCTGAGGGACCAAGGGAGCTGCATATCTGGGCTTGCCTCATGAAGACTCACTTGACCTGGATGCCGTGCAGAAGGACAGCCTGGAAAAGGGCTAACCCCAGGCTTTCCTCCTGTGGTTTTCCCAGCCCTTTGGAAGTTAGAGGCTGTCAACAGGGACACGGGCTGTTTCTATGTCCTGGAGGTCAGCAGAGGATTTATTTTTGCATCATCCTTGGGAAGTTTGAGGTCAGTTTTCTTTCACAGTCACACAACAGACCACATAGCAAAATGATATGCAGCCTTCCCCCTCCTTTTCATATTTTGAGAAAATGAGTTAATCTTAGAACCATAGGAGAAAAAACTAAGGCCCCTGGAGGCTTCAGCGTTCGTGTTCGCCTGAAAATAAAGGATATTCAAACAACATCAACTCCTCTGAATGATGGTCGAGGAGTATCAAAGAAGTTGAGCGCTGACATGGAGCTGGGGCTGTAGCCAATGGTGTATGTTCTCATAGTGCCTAGGAACACTTGGGCCAGTGTTCATCAAATCACCTGGGGGTTTTGTTAAAGTCAGATTCTGTTTTTGGTGTGGGTTTTAACAAAATCCCCCACAATGCCAAGAACCATTCTTGGATTGGCAAAAGCTTAGAACACTTTGTCAAGTCCAGCCCATTTTAGACGTTTTTTGTATTTGGGGAGTGGAGGGTATATTTCTGTAAACTCAGAACCCTGTGTAGCAGGGAGAGTTGAGAATGAAAATGTTGGCACTTTTTTGTTTGAAGATTCTGATCTTTTCAGTATTGCCAATACATTCCTCCGGTAGAGCCCGGCTGCTCCTTTGGGTCCTCTTTACCCAGAAAATGTGCTGTCAGAAAGGAAGCAGCACTGGTAACTGGCTTAACCAGCCAACATGAAGCCCTGTTTTTATTGGTTAGCAGAGCTGAATAATCTCCTCTCCTCACAAAGCACCCACACAGCTGACATCCAAGGCCACTGCTGTGTTCAGGGGTAGAGATTCAGGAGGTTCCCCAAATCTGAGGAATTTTGGCTCCTTTGAAAACAACCTCTACCCTAACCTTGAATGTCGGGTCGCCTTTTGTCAAATTAAATTGTTGGGTTATATAGGGAGGCTATACTCCAAAACACACACATGCGCACACACACATACACACACACACACGCACACACATATGCACATGCTCGTGCACCCTATAAGTACTATTGATCACCCAGGAAAAAAAAATGTTTTCACTCTTCTTCTTTAGAATTTAGAAGCTTAAACTTCCCAGACACATTCCAAAGGCTGACGGCATTCTTCCTAGAAGAAATGTTGATGATTCGATTTAAAGGAAGGCCTTGTTTGATTACTCTTTGGCTGAACTTTATGGAATAGCAGGAGCTAGGGGCCGACAGTACTTTGAAACACTGAGTTCGTCTTTTTGCACTACAAAGTGAGCAGCCACTTGGTGCTGTGTCCCCATCCACCCTCCCCATGGAACTCCTGCTCCCATTTCGTGAGCTGCTCCAGGCTCACCTCTTTCAGTCTGTCCCTTAGCTTTCCCTTCTCCGTAGAGTCAAGAATGTAGAATAAAGATGAGATATAACAAGCACATGCTGATTTAGATGTGCGCATAGAGACTGGAGTCAGGGAAGGATGGGTGGGTTGGGGCACCTCTCATACTGCTCCTTTTTTTTTTTTTCTTGACTCAGAGACTCACTCTGTCACCCAGGTTGGAGTGCAATGGCGCGATCTCGGCTCACTGCAACCTCCGCCTCCCAGGTTCAAGCAATTCTCCTGCCTCGGCCTTCCGAGTAGCTGGTATTGCAGGTGCCCACCACCATGCCTGGCTAATTTTTGTATTTTTAGTAGAGACGGGGTTTCACCACGTTGGCCAGGCTGGTCTCTTTGGCCAGGATGGTCTCGAACTCCTGACCTTGTGATCCACCCTCCTTGGCCTCCCAAAGTGCTGGGATTACAGGCATGAGCCATGACGCCCGGCCTCATACTGCTTCTTTTTTAACGGAAACACTGATCTGGTCTTAGAGTTTCTGATTATAATTTCCCCATTGCTGGATCCTGCTTTTCTGGATTGAGTGGATAAGTTATATGAAAGTGTTTTACAGATCTGTGAGATTTTATTATAATTGGCCTGTTATGTGAAGTAAAATTTTAAAATTTCAAAGTAATTGTGGGTAGGGAAGGTGGACAAAACCATGCTAAGTCAATGAAAATTCTCAGTTATGAAACATTCTTAAATAGACATAATTTTACACTTCTAGGTATACACAGTTACTCAGATCAGAATAACAAAATTTATTAGATGACCTGTTTCATGAATACAAAAGCATGTGCTATAATTAGTATTTCAATCGTGGTTTTTCTCCTTGATCACTTCTGACATTTTGGAAAACCCTTTATTCTAGGATACATTTATATTTTTTATTTTGGTATTGGTTTAGACTATTATTTTGCTTCCAAAACATGATTTTCCCATACATAAAATTACCTAATTATCAAATAGCACTATCTGAATTAAATTAAAACTGTTAAATTTTAATTTAACAAATTAACAAATTACTTCAAATTAATAAATTTCAAATAATACAAAATACTTCAAATTAATACATTTGAAGTATCAGAGCTACCATTGGGAAGATGTACTATGAGCCAGGCAATGTGCTGGGCACTTTACCTACAAAACCCATTTAATCCTCACAGAAACACTGTGCTGGAGGAATAGTGTCCCCTTTTTACAGATTAAAAAAAATGAGTTTTTAAAAGGTAATGTATTTTTGGCAAGGTTGATCATTGTAAAGACAGGATTTGAACGTGGGTTTGGCTGACTGTGAAGCTGCTTCCCTGAGTGAGATGTATGTGGCTTCTAGTGTACCCATCACCCAAATAGTGACCATTGTACCTAAGAAGTAATTTTTCAGCCCCCACCTCCCTCCCAACCTCCCCGCTGCCTTTTGGAGTCCCCATTGTCTCTCATTTCCATCTTTATGTCCCCATGTACCAATTGGTTAGTTCCCACTTGTAAGTGAGAGCATGCAGTATTTGATTTTCTGTTTGTGAGTTATTTCACTTAGGATAATGACCTCCAGTTTCATTCATGTTGCTTAAAAGACGTGGGTTTGTTCTTTGTTATGGCTGCATAATATTCTGTAGTGTATATATACCACATTTTCTTTATTCAGTCAACTTTTGATAGATACTTAGGTTGATTCTGTGACTTTGCTATTGTGAATAGTGCTTCATAAACATGCGAGTGCAGGAGTCTTTTTCATATAATGATTTCTTTTCTTTTGGGTAGATGCCCAGTAGTGGGATTGCTGGCTCAGTGGTAGTTATATTTTTAGTTCTTTGAGAAGTCTCCATAGTGTTTTCCACAGAGGTTGTACTAATTTGCATTCCCATGAACAGCGTATAAGCCTACCCTTTTCTCCACAGTCATGCCGACATCTGGTAGCAAAGTTGGCATCAAATCAAGTAAACATTCATGTAGATGGTGGGAAGTGGGAGGACTGAGGATGGGATAAGCCCAGCGTGTAGAAATACCATACTGGCCTCACAAATTTATTCAGAGTAGGGTTTTTTTGACTAGTCATTCTGATTGGTGTAAGACATCTCATTGTGGTTTTAATTTGCATTTCTCTGATGATTAGTGATGCTGACTATTTTTTCTTGAGTTTTTGGCCACTTGTATATCATTTTTTGAGAAATGTCTGTTCATGCTGTAACCACCCAACAGTTCACCTTACCCGCTGCCTAGACAGAGCCTATTTATCAAGACAGGGGAATTGCAATGGAGAAAGAATCGTTCACACAAAGCCAGCTATGCAGGAGATCAGATTTTATTACTGCTCAATCAGTCTCCCTGAGCATTCGGGGATCAGAATTTTTAAAGATAATTTGTTGGGCAGGGGCTTGGGAAATGTGGAGTGCTGATTGGTCAGGTTGGAGATGGACTCCTAGGGGGTCGAAGTGAGGTTTTCTTGCTGTCTTCTGTTCCTGGATGGGATCACAGAACTGGTTGAGCCAGATTACCGGTCTGGGTGGTGTCAGCCTATCCATCCAGTAAAAGGTCTGCAAAATATCTCAAGCACTGATTTTAGGTATTACAATAGTGATGTTATCCCCAGGAGCAATTTGGGGAGGCTCAGACTCTTAGAGCCAGAGGCTGCATGATTCCTAAACCGTAATTTCTAATCCTGTAGCTAGTTTGTTAGTCCTACAAAGGCTGACTGGTCCCCAGTCAAGAAGGGGATCTTTATGGGAAAAGGCTGTTAGTTTTGTTTCAGAGTCAAACCATAAACTGAATTCCTTCCCAAGGTTAGTTCGGCCTACGCCCAGGAATGAATAAAGACAGCTTAAAGGTTAAAAGCAAGATGGAGTCAGTTAAGTCTGATCTCTTTCACTGTCATAATTTCCTCTGTCATAATTTTTGCAAAGGTGGTTTCATTGTCCTTTGCCCACTTTTTAATGGGGTTGTTTCTTGCTTGAGTTGACTTCCTTGTAGATTCTGGATATTAGTTCTTTTTCAGAGGCGTGATTTGAAAATATTTCTCCCATTTGGTAGATTGTCTGTTTACTCTGTTGTTGTTTTTTTTTTTTTTTTTTGGCTGTGCAGAAACTTTTTAGTTTAAGTCCCATTTGTCTATTTTTGTTCTTGTTGCATTTGCTTTTGGTTTTAAAACTCGTAAGGCATATTGCACATACAGAAATGTGGGTAAAACATATATGTGCACTGAAAGTCAACCCGTATATTTCGGTATAGCCCTAGTATTTTACAGCTGGCAGCCCCTTAGATTAGTTAGACCCAAACCAAGACACAGAAATGTTTTGAACACTACTCTCCACTTGTGAGGTCAGAATTTCCACATGTCGGGCTTACCCCATTCTCGTCCCTCTCACTCCTCTCTGTCTCCATGAATATTGGCTTGATTTAATGCCCACTTTGCTCCTTGAACAGCCACCTTCACAACACAATGTTCAAGGAGATCCTTGAGGCTAAGTGCCCAGTGGGAACCTTGAGATCCCACCAAGGACACAGGCCACTCCCTGGGGTCCTCTGTGGCCTGTTTATCTTAGGGCTAAACTCTTTTGTAAGAAAAGATAACACTTCAGCCCTACTAACTGGGGAAGCTTTCACTTCCCACTGGGCCTATTAATGCCAGACACTATTAGCAACTTAATTGCTTAATGGGGCAATTGGAAGATCTTAGTTGCTCTTGTGCTGGTAGTTAATGAAAGCCAGGCCCAGTGTTTTCATTAACTGGCACTTAGCTGAAGTGAGAAAGGAGGATGGTGTTGGTGGTTCCACTGCAATGTTGAGAAGTTCGTGCAGTGTCCACATCTAATTCCAGCTCCACAACATTATAAGTAGAACAGGAAGAAAAAAAAATGACTTTAGTGTCTAGGTCCTCTAATGAGAGCTAGGATCATTTTGGTGACCTTGAATAATAATGGTGCATCTACATGTACTTCTGTCTTCTCCTGGGAGGCGTTCCACACAAATCAGCACCTGTTTTGTTTCCAAGAGGAAATTCAAAGAAGACCCAAATCATGATCTCTCATTCTTTATCCCCATCCTGCTGTATTTTTTTTTTCCCTGCAAGAAAGAAACACCAGCAGCATTATAGTTTCCTTTTGACCTGGTAAATCAGGCAGTTGGAGTGCAGAACTGGGGGCTTTGTAAAAAATGTATTCACTGCCTCCACTGGCCACCAACTACTGAGCTTGAAGCTTAATGAGTACATTCTTTCATCAAGTAGAATGAAAGCCAGTAAAAAGGACATGAATGGTAAATAATAGAAATGGCAGAAGTAAAAAAGTCACTTGCCTTTCTTCTTTTTTCCAAAAACGGGAATTTAATTAAAAATAAGTTACATGTGTAATCAACTCTAGGGTTATATAACTTCCCCTAGGAATAGAACTTGGTCTTAACCACCAAAACCACTTAATTTCTAGGATACTATCCTCATGATATGAGCAGAGAAAGAACAAATACATTCTTCACTGAAGTGAATTGGTGTCCTTAGATCAGTTCCTAGTAGATGGTACTGTTTCTGTTCCTAGCAAAAGCCGTTTTGCTCTTTTCTGCTTCAGAACTTTAGCACCTGCTGTTTCCTGGGCTTTGAACTCTCTTCCCTCAGATCTTTCTATGATCATGCCACCAGCCTCCTCCCTTTCTCCTTTCAGATCCTAGCTCAAATGTCACTTTCTCAGATAGGCTTCTGGTTTTCTTGAGACAGGGTCTTGGAGTGCAGTGCCATGATCTCAGTTCACTGCAACCTCCACCTCCCGGGCTCAAGTGATCCTCCCACCTCAGCCTCCTGAGTAGCTGGGACTATAGGCACATACCATCACGCCTGACTAATTTTTGTATTTTTTGTAGAGACAAGGTTTCACCATGTTGCCCAGGCTGGTCTCGAATTCTTGGGCTCAAGTGATCTGCCTGCCTTGGCTCCCAAAGTGCTGGGATTACAGTCCTGAGCCACTGTGCTCGACCCCAGGCTTCTGTGGTCTCAGCCTAATGCCCTGCTTTATTTTCTCCATAGCACTTTCACTGCCTGAATCTATATTATGCATCATATTGTCTGTCTGTATCTCCTCTCTAGGATAAGGTCCATATTGGAGCTGGAATAACTTGTTCAACGTTGTGTTCTCTTTTTTTTTTTTGAGACAGAGTCTCGCTCTGTCACCCAGGCTGGAGTGCAGTCGTGCGATCTCAGTTCACTGCAACCTCAGTTCACTGCAACCTCCGCCCCCCAGGTTCAAGCGCTTCTCCTGCCTCAGCCTCCCGAGTAGCTGGGATTACAAGCACCTGCCACCATGCCCTGCTAATTTTTTTATTATGATTTTTAGTAGAGATGAGGTTTCACCATGTTGGCCAGGGTGGTCTGGAGCTCCTGACCTCAGGTGATCCTCCTGCCTCCGCCTCCCAAAGTGCTGGGATTACAGGCGTGAGCCACCACTCCCAGCCATCAAATGTTGTGTTCTCAACACCCTATGCAAGGTCTGCGCTCAATAAGTATTTATTGAGTATGTAAATGAGTGAATGTGACTTAACAAGCTAAGAGTCTGTGACTACTTTGGTGATTGGATAACTCCCTACTGCTACTGTATGGGAACTTCAAAGACAAGATGAAAGGAAACAGTTGTTCTAGAAACCCACATAGGCCAAAAGTGAATTTCCCATTGGCAAGGTTCGCAGGCAAAAGTGAACTCCCAGAATTGCAATGTGGTATAAATAAGGAAAAGGTAAACAAATAGAGTAAAAGAGGGAGGAAGGAAAGAAGGAAGGAAGAGAGCAAACCCAGTGAATTTAAATTCAAGGCTGTAAGGATGAGATTCTAATGCTAAAAAGAGTACAGTTTGCTGATAGCGGGTTGGTGAAAGGAGAGACATTTTCTAACTCTCTTTCAAACCAAGCCCTCATTTTACCCCTGGGTTCTTACTTGATCATTATAATAAGCATTAACATTTCTAGACTACCTTTTCCTCCTTTTCCTAATAAGGCTAATTATGGTCTCAGATCCTCAGGGATTACATAGAGAAGTATGAGAGATGTTTTGTTTTGGTTTGATTTTTGCCATACTGTTCTCTCCATAAACTGTTTTCTTCCACAGTTTCAGAAACATACTCTTCCACTGAGCTGAGACAAACTCCCTCTGGCTCAAATCAGATTTCTACAATAAATCTGATTCCATGCTGTTCCCCAGCACCCTCTCATCTCACCCCTCTTTTCTTCTCTACACCTTCCTGCTTGCTTAGTACAGCTGTCGTTGGTTGTGTAAACCTGTTGTCCCATAAGTGTCTGTGTGTGAGTCTGGCTTTTGCCCAGTTTTGCTCTGAGATTTGGGCCGCTGTGTTTTTCATTGCCCATCTGCCTGGAGACCAGTTACAGCATGCGAGGATCCCGGGGTACATGTTGTCATAGAGCCACAGAATAGATTTCCCTTATCCCTGTTCGCAAGTGAGGACTCTTCTTTGGCGGCAATGCCCCTGAATAGGCTGCAGCAGTGAGCAGAGAGGAAGCAATGGAGACAGAAGGTAGTGGCATGTTCTGGGGATGGCTACAAAGCAATCAGGAAGTGCTCCAAAGTCCCTGTGACTTATTAGCACTCTCTAGCAGCTTCCTTACAGCTGCAGCCTCTTTCAATCCATGCCTATGAAAGTTCTTGCCAACCTTTACACTATTCACTGCCCCCAAGCATCTGTACCTTTGAACAGAGCAGAATCTGGCCGGCAAGTCTGGGTCTGAGGTCCAGGAAAACTGTCCTCTTACTACCTTGCTGTGGGACCTCCTCAGAAAAGACACTTAGTATCTCTGGGTCTCAGCTTCCTCATCTCTAAGATGGGTACAGTAATCCTGAGACAGGTGATATTTTCTACTTCTCAGGGTTATTTTAAGAAAACACAAGTGGAACAGAGGTTAAGGTATCTGACCACTCTTCAAGATGAAGGAGATGTTAATAGATGTTCCCTCCATGCCTAGTTACTAAAGGATGGTGTAGCTGACAGGGGCAGCCACTGGGGGTTCTGTAGCTTTTTCATTAGACTCCAGGCTCTGAGCTCTGTTCTGGGAATGGGAAGACATCAGAATGCCAGAATTCAGAAACAGAAGTACAAGAACAAAAAGTTTCCTCTCTGGGAAGTGGAAGAATGGAGGAAGCCCTCTGAGTGAGGTCCACCGGAATCATTAGGATGGGACTTGGTTGTGTCGGGGAGGGAAGACTTTCCCTTTACCCACAGAGGGGTTAATAACTGAGTGTATGAAATAAACGGACAGCAGGCAGATTAAGAGGAGAAAAGGTACACACATTTTGTATATGCACAGGGGGCATCCAAGGAAAAAAAGTGAATACCCCCAAACCCAGTGGGATCTAGAAGCTTATAGACAGGGGAGGAAGGACGCAGAGAACACAGGAGAGAGTAAATGATGCATGGAACCTCCAAAGAATAGGTGACAGATAGCCCATGACAGTCTGTCTCGGTGTGGCGTTAACCCCCAGTCTCCCCTCCTGAGATAGGAGTTAATCTTCCCTGGTAATGAGATTCCGGGGAGGGGATCCGTTGGCAGTTGCATTCCTTTTGGAGGATCAGTCTTCAGGCAGATAAGAGAAGTTCAGAGAAAGCCCCTCCCTGAATGTGCTGCTCCCCGGGTGCCCTCAGTGTGAAGCAATCAGCCACAGCAAAGCGGCTTGTGTTGGGGGGACATTTCCTGAACTCCTTCAGTTGGCTGCTTAGATTTAAAAGACTGCAGTGATCAGATGTCAGAGAATTAAAACTGCAAGTCACAAGCTCTGATAACAATAAAATTTCATGTCTCTTACCACTTAAGCACATTCTAGACTCAGGCAAAAGGAAAAAAAAAAAAAAGAAGAAAAGCTCTAGAGTTACAGTATCATGCTGCTAGCTTTGTTTGCTTTTAGTCTTCCCAAAAATAACCATTTACTGAGACAATGGTCAGCAAATTTTTCTATAAAGGGCAAGATAGTAAATATTTTAGGATTTTTAGGCCAACTTTGTTGTCATAGCAGGAAAGCAGTCATACAGTAAATAATTATACATGGCTGTATTCCAATAAAACTATTTATGCACACTGAGATTTGAATTTAAGTTTTATGTGTCACAAGAAATTATTATTCTTAAACTTTTTCCCCAGCCCCTAAAAATGTAAAAACCATTGTTACAGCAGGCTGGATTTGGCCCACGGGCCACAGTTTGCTGACCTCTGTACTATACTGTTTGGGCATTTTTCCTTAAATTTTCAAGAAATTTGTCAGGAAATTTGGTAAATCCCCTTTTAGATAGCAATTTTGTCAAGCTTTTAAGGAATCAATTAGCACATACTAATGAACTTGTTCCCTTGATAGAGCTGTCTGTGATTTAATTTTCACATACATGTTCTTAAAGAAGAGACCTGGAGAGCCTGCAATCCAACTGCTTTGGAACAGGTTTGTGCTGGTGACATTGGAGAAAGACAAAAAGCAAACTGAGGAAGAGGTTCCTTTGCTAGGCATTATTCCAGGAGCATGGGAAAGGCCAATGAGTCAGTGAGCTTCATGGATTTGTAAATCTTTAGAACGTGAGATGAAAAAGGGAACAGTAGGAGCGATAAATAATTTGTTTTACTCATAGCCTAGACAAACCTGCATTTTCAGTTTGCATTTGAGCGTGAATATAACTTCAGATGTAATTTTACATTCAGGGTGTCCTCCATGGCAATCGCTCTATTGATTTGCTGATGACTCCATGCATGTAAATCTGAGCAACATTCATTTGCACAACTTTATTGGCTCTACAGGGAATGATTCACTTTGCTGTTTAAATACCTATTAATTGCTCTTCTGAGGCCTTTGTGCATCTTACATTATCATACATTTACTAATAATCAGGACACCAATATTTTACCCCCTCTGGCTAGGTAGAGAAGAGAGACTAAAGCAAATGATAAGGAAATATAAATTTTCAAAGGAAAGGAACTCACGATGCTCTGATTTCAACTGGAGCATCTGCTCAGTCGGTCGGCTGATATTTCATGGCCTCAGAATGTGCAACTATATACTGTTTATTCCACTCAATGGATTTTTAAACATTAATATATTGAGGTGATATCCACATACATATCCACACACAATTATCTTACCCATTTTCACTTTGTTTCCTTTTATTTACTTAATTATCCATTTTGTTCTCTTTCCTTCACATTCATCATAATGTCATGGCTAATCTTTTCTGTTCTTTCCTTTGGAGCATTTCTTGCTTTTATATAGTTCTTCATTGGGATCATTTCTTAGCATCTAAATTCTTGAATCGTTTCAGTTCTTTGATGGGAGTAGGGCCACAGTTGTTGTTCAGCACAAAGAGAGGAGGTCTGTGAAATCAGCTTAACACAGACACATAGGAGGGACGCGGTGCATGCTGGCTGAGTTTGATGGATCTCATCTGATAATGCAACCGAATACGAAACACTTATGTACAAATATAAATGAGAAGCAACTGCAGGAGAAAAGATGACTTTTCTAGGGATCTCAGTAGTCATCAGGCTCCTGGCACGAAATAGAGGCATAAGTACTTGGATGATTTGAAACAAGTTTAATGAGGGGACTGTTTGCAACAGCTTAGTCATGTGCTAATTGGGACCAGTATCCAGATGGAAAGGGAGGGCCATCCAGCAAGAGCTATGACCTTCAGACATGTGTCCCATGATAACCTCATAGGGTAAAATTTAGGGGAACACTCTGACTCTTTTTCCTCTCTCTTCTTTCTTGTTGGTGCTTCCTAATGGGCAGCACACAAGTGGAAGCCAGGCAGGTCAGCTTCCCAGGGCACAGGGCAGGGTGGAGAAGGACAGAGGAATTTAGGAATCAAGTCTGAAAAGGTAATCGCCAAACTGGGTTTTGGTCCAGGATCTGCCACTTGATTCCTAAAATTAGTGAGATTCCTTTTGTCTAAAGATTCGATTCCTCAAGCGTGTTCAGAGAAGAACAAGAAGGTCAGTGTAGCTGGAGAAGGGAGTTCTGGGGCAGAAAAGTCGAAGGAGATGACGTTAGAGAAACCATTGCAGTAATTGCAAAACAGAAATAGTATTTGTGTTATCGCCAAATAGAAAAGAATATTGTGCTCTATAATGCTTATTGTTAGTGAAAAAAATTCAGGCAACATAAAAAATATTAAAAGGTCAAAATGAAAATTATCTCTAAACTCAGCATCTAGGTATAGCCACTATTAATATTTTGGCAGATAATATCTTCCAGAATTTTTTTTAATCCAATGATGAAATCATAGTACATACACTTTTTCTGTACAACAAAATACTTTATACATATATAAATGCAAATGAATGTAGGTATACATCACAAAATTTAATAACAATGTATTCCATTATAAAGGTGTGCCACATTTATTGAACTAATTCCTCATTGATGGACATTTGGATTGCTTCACTGGTGTAAACAAAGCTGGGCCTCTTGATGGTAACCTTACTTGTCTTTTGGTTGTCCAAGTTCATCTTCCCTTCTGGTATCTTTTTGAAGCAGAGTGGGCCAGCACCATTATTTCTCCATTAGTTTCTAGTTGGATAGACTGACATGCACAGCTGATCAGCAAGTGGATGGTATTCTGAACCCAAGTCTCTTATCTGCTATTTCACAAATTTAACCAATAGCCTATGTTGCACTAATCTCTTATTAACACATAATATTCATATATACCTTTTGAGATAAAAATGTTTTTTCAAAAGGAAAAATAAGTCAGCTGCTGTAAGGATCTATCTCTAAATCTGAGCCCCAATTGGAAATTTTTGGTGGTACCAGCTTCTTATTCCCACTGATATGAGGAGCCAAGAGGCCTGTCTTAGAACATAGATTAGTGCTGCTTTTGAACTCTAATCCCAGCATCTACCATATTTTAAAATGTGATTGTGTCTCCATTTTGGCCCAGTGGAATGTATCTCCCATCACTGATGTTGATCACAGGATCCTTAGGGAGTGCAGGGGCATGCCAGCCACAGCTGCTCAGGAGGAAGTATCAACAGTCATCCAGCAGATGGCAGTAGTTCCCACACTTACAGAGCCGGACGAGCCCTTGCGACTCAGTCTGGAGTCACCTGAAGTGGTTGACCTTGAGAGCAGCTCCATTAGATTGCGTCAGATAGAGGGCACCTTCTATGGTTCAAAGTCCCAACCAACATGGGAGAAGGCAACTAATTTTAGATTTTTTTCTGGTGCAACCAAACGTCCACAAACAAAAACAGATATTTCTTCAGCGTTCTTTGGCGTTTATAACATTTTATTTACAATGCTGTGTCAAAATGATGCAAACAACTGGTACATACATTTCTTTCCAAAATAAAATGAAATAAAAAGCTGGCAAATTCAGAAAGAATTACAACAATGAAAATTAGAGGAGTGGGTGATGAGAAAGGCTACAAACAAATTTGTCAGGCCTTTTTTTTTTTTTTTAACATTACCCCTGAAAACTGTTTGGGTGATGTTCAAGAAAGTAAAGAACCTAATTTCTGACTCTACATTGATTATTTTGCTTGTTTAAGCACTTATTCACACAGTTTCCAAAATGTGTATTTGATGTCTGTTTATGCCCAGGTAATTTCTGGATGCTGGGGTTTTAGCAGTAAACAAGATCAATAGTGTCTCCGCCCTCATGAGGTATATCTGTGGGAGAGTCTGTGAAATAAGTCTGTATCACATTATATTACATAAATAATATCATCAGTAATGATAAGTGTCAAGAGGAAAAGTGAAGGGCTAAGAGGGTGTAGAGGATGGTGGGAGCTGCTGCTTGGGATAGGCTATCAGGGAAGGCTTCTCTCAAAGAGAGATTTGAGCAGAATCCCTCCACGTGGAGGGAGTGACAAATGCAGAGGTCCTGGGGTGACAGCCCACAGGACACTGGAAGCTCACAGAAAGAGGCCCACGTGGTGGGAATGTGGTGAGTGAGAAAAATGATAGGAAGTGAGGTCAGAAAGTTTGCCAGGGGTCAGAGCGTGTCAAATCTTATAGGTCCTGATGAAGACTTTGAATCTTATTCAAAGTTAAAGGCCAAGATATTGAAATTTTGAGCAGCAAAATGACATGGCCTGACTTATATTTTAAGCAGGATTGCTGTGGCTGCAGTGGTGGAGCTCACTGGAGAGGAAGGAGAAGGAATAAGGAGGCAATTTTATATTGCTTTAAGGAGAACAGACATGAAAAGAAAAAAGAGGTAGAGTGCCAAATGGAAATCATAGAATTTTGAAACTGGCGAGTCATTGAAGAACCTAGCCAGACTTCCACAATTTTCGGATAAGGAACTGACACCACCAGATTATGTGACTCTCTGAAGGTCTTACAGTCATCTGGGACTCTCTAGCCAGTGATCCTTGCGCTTCCTGTCCTCTTCTCTGTTGCAGAGACCCCACTTACATGCGTGGTTACACCGCTCCATTCTCACCCATATTCTGTTGGTTCCTCTTGAGAGCAGTGTGAGTGTTGCTCCCATGCTCCCAAGTGGGGAGTTTCTACATCAGTTCCCTGAGCTATTTCCTTATATAAGCCAGAAGTACTGGGATGCCTTTGCCTTTCTTAGTGTCTCAGGAACACTTTCTGACCGGGAACACCTGCTGTGTCCTGCTGCATGTCCCAGCCACATGTGGGAAAATCCTGCGGTTAGACTGAAGGCAGTCTGTGCAGTGACAGAGTGGCCCATAGGGACCTGGCTGTAAACCCAACAGAGGTTAAGAAAGTTTGGGGATCTGTATCCCAGGCTCATTCTACTGCACTTGGCTCCCACAGGCTCTTTGCTTCATGTCTGTTACTACTCTATTGTGCCCCCAAATGCTCAAAAGTATTTGGGGGCACAATAGAGTGGTAGATTTCAACTGGGGGTGATTTTGGTCCCCAAAGAATATTTGGCAATGCCTGGAGACATTTTTGGCTGTCACAACTGGGGGGAAAGTGCTACTGGCATTTAGTCAGTAGAGACTAGAGATGTTGCTAAATATGAATACCTTGCAATGCACAGAACAGCCCCCTACAATGGAGAATTATCTAGCTCTAAATGTCAATAGTACTGAAGTTGAGGAACCCTGCTATAGAACAAAATCAAAGTTAAAAACCTAACCCCTGTTCAAAGTAAAGTGGCAATCAGCTGGGAAATTAACTGACATTTAAAAAAACAACTATTTATCAAACTTTTTTGGACTACCACTTATAATAAGTGTATGCAATTTACATTGCAACCTAGTACACACAAACATAAACAGTCATTTCTCTGTATTCATGGAGAATTGATTCAAGGACTGTTTCCCACCCACCCCCCCCCCCCGCCCCCGCCACCGCCAACAAACACCAACATCCAAAGATGCTCAAGTCTCTTATATAAAATAGAGTAGTATTTTCATATAACCTGTGTACACTCTCCTGTATCCTTTAAATATTTATCTCTAGATTACTTATAATACCTAATACAATGCAAATGCTATGTAAATCATTTATATACTGTATTGTTTAGGGAATAATGACAATAAAATAAAGCCTGTACATGTTTAGTATAGACATAACCATCCATATTTTTTTCCAAATATTTTGGATGTGGGTTAGTTGAATCTGCAGCTGCAGAACCCACTGATACTGATGTGGAGGGTCAATTGTATAGAAGTACATGTGCATATGTGCAAATGTGTCACAGACACTCACAGTACTCACCATTGCTAAATGCAGGACTTTGTATTTTCTCATACCCTTCAGTTCCAATTTTTAAAGTGTGGTCATGTCCCATTGAATTATTTTTATAATTCACTAATGGGCTTAAAATCTGTAATACTGAACTAAATACAGTAATGCGTTGCTTAACAACAGGGATACATTCTGAGAAATGCACCATTAGGTGATTTCCTTGTTGTGCGAACATCCTAGAGTTGTACTTAGACAAACCTAGACGGTATAGCCTACAGCACGCCTAGGATCTATGGTATAGCTTATTGCTCCTGGGCTACAAACCTGAACAGAATGTTATAGTACTGAATACCACAAGCAAATGTAAGCAGTGGTAAGTGTTTGTACAATTACACATGGAAAAGGTACAGTCAAACTATGGTATTATAATCTTACGGGCCTACCATTGTACATGGGTTCCATCATTGACCAGAATGTCACTATGTGATGCATGACTATATGTAAGGATACTGAATAAAGTAAGGGTGTATTAGGTATGCAAGTTACCAAAAGGATCAGCCATTCATTTCACAAATACTTTGTTGTTGTTGTTGTTGCCCAGGCTGGAGTGCAATGGCGCCATCTTGGCTCACTGCAACCTCCACCTCCCGAGTTCAAGCAATGTCTCCTGCCTCTCCCAAGTAGCTGGGATTACAGGTGCACACCACCACGCCTGGCTAATTTTGTATTTTTAGTAGAAACAGAGTTTCACCATGTTGGTCAGACTAGTCTCGAACTCCTGACCTCATGTGACCCACCCGCTTTGACCTCACAAAGTGCTGAGATTACAGGCGTGAGCCACTGCGCCCAGCCCACAAATACTTATTTTTTTTATTTTTATTTTTTAAGAAGGAGTCTCGCTCTGTTGCCAGGCTGGAGTGCAGTGGCACAGTCTTGGCTCACTGCAACCTCTGCTTCCTGGGCTCAAGTGATTGTCCTGCCTCAGCCTCCCAAGTAGCTGGGACTACAGGCATGTACCACCACTCCCAGCTAATTTTTGTATTTTTAGTAGAGACGGGGTTTCACCGTGTTGGCCAGGATGGTCTGGATCTCTTGACCTTGTGATCTGCCCGCCTCGGCCTCTCAAAGGTCTGGGATTACAGGAGTGAGCCACTGTGCCCAGCCCGAGTACTTATTTTTGCCAAACCCTTTTTGAAAAGAGCTGAGACAGCCCTTGCCCTCCAGGGGTCATAATCCAGTCCAGTGCATAGACACACATACACAGTTACCCATATGGTGACGCACAGATATCAAGAAAATGCTCTGCAGCACGGAGGAGGGGTAATGCTGGTTTTGTGGGTCAGGGAACTGGGAGGTAGCGTGGCCAAGTTTTCACATCACGGTGACTTTGGGGATCACTGGTAAAAGTTAAGTGGAATTTCTCCAAAGGGGCAGGCGATGAGAAACAAGAGAATTGGGCAGAAGGTTTTCTGGGCTGAGTGTGGAGGGAGGTGTTGGAGAATAGCCACAGATATTGTCCAGACACCAAAAGGCATAGGGGCATAGAGGCAGAAAGTAGAAACCCATCCTGCAGCTCACTGTTGGGCTAATATAAAACCACCTCCACTGGCTTGTTGCTCTCCTGCTCCTCCTTGCTCAGGATAAAGGCCGTATGATGGCCTGACATTCCCAATCTTTCACAATCCACTCCCTGCCAACCCCTTGATTTATTGCTCCTGGCTTCATAGCATGAGCCCTCCATGCCAGCAGATGGTATACCAGCTATCCCAACTGTCTCCAGGAGCCTTTTTGGCTATTCCATCTCCTCATCTTTTCTCTGATCAGTAAGTTCCAGGTAGTTGGTGTTTTCTCAAGGTGTAGGTTTCAAATCACTGCAGAAACTCTTCCATTGGAAAGCAACCCGTGGTGAGCTCACCCACCACACAATTCTGTTTGTTATTCTGACAGTGAATTCTCAGTCTTAGCATTTCATGATTCCCTCTCTGATGGAGAATGACTTTGCGATGCTTCAATGCTTGGAAGCCCTGAGCTGCGCTCCTGGTTCCTCCTCTTTCTTTGTCTTGCTTTAGTCAATATGCCAATACCAATTTGAAAATGAGAACCAGTTACTCTTGCTTGTATTTATTTCGAAAACGTTTCTTGGACACAGATTAATTGTATGACCTAGAGAGAGGCTGTCTTGCTCCTGTCACAGGCTGTCTATGAGGTTTTCTTCTAATGTCGCGAATGGTTATGGGTCAGTGAAGACTCAAGCCAGGCTTCTTTCCCTGATTTAAGACTGACTGTCTTTGCCTGACCTTATATACAAAGTAAGGGAGGTTTTCTTTACTGTGGGACACTGATGGGACCCTCCCCAGCTTAGTTACCACTGATTTTCTCTGCCCACAATGAAGCCTGTCTACCAGAGCCAGGCTTTTGGAATGTGAGTTTACTCAAGAGATTTGAATATATTTTTAAATCATGGATATTCATTTCCAGTCATGTACAAACATGATTTGAGACAGTTCCACCTGACACACCTTTTTAATTAAAAGAAGTATGATAACATAATCAGAAATTAAATAGAGATAGCAGACGTGATTATATCAAGACTAGAGATGAGATAGTTACTTAAGCCCTTGAAGTCACTCAACTTTGAGCTTCCCAGAAATCAAGGTCTTACAGAACTCTTAATGTCCGATCAAAAAATGCAAACCAGGCCAGGTGTGGTGGCTCACACCTGCAATCCCAGCATGCTGGGAGGCCAAGGTGAGAGGATTGCTTGAGCCCGGAAATTCAAGACCAGCCTGGGCAATGTGGTGAAACCCTGTCTGTCTCTACAAAAAACAAAAAGTTAGCTGGTGCCTGTAATCCTACACTTTGGAAGGCCAAGGCAGGTGGATCACTTGAGGTCAGGGGTTTGAGACCAGCCTGGCCAACATGGTGAAAGCCCATCTCTACTAAAAAAATATATATATATGTATATATAAATTAGCCCGGCATGGTGGCACATGCCTGTAATCCCAGCTACTTGGGAGTCTGAGGCAGGAGAATTGCTTGAACCTAGGAGGGAGAGGTTGCAGGGAGCCGAGATTGGGCCACTACCCTCCAGCCTGGGCAACAGAGTGAGACTCTGTCACAAAAAAAAAAAAAAAAAAGTTAGCTGGGCTCAGTGGTGCACACCTGTAGTCCCAGCTACTCAGGAGGATCATTTGAGCCTGGGAGGTCGAGGCTGCCGTGAGCCCTGGTTGTGCCCCTGGACTCCAGTGTGGGTGACAGAGCAAGACCCTGTCTCAAGAAAAAAAAAAAAAAACAAAAAAAAATGCAAATGAGTTTTTCAGTGAAAATAATTTTTTTTCTGGATACATAAGAAGAAATTACCAAATGAATCATTGTATAAAGAATATTGAGTGTTATGATGAATAGTGACTTTCAAAGCAGTTTTATAGTAGATGAGAAAATATTTTTTGCATGGCTAGATTTTTACTGATCCTCATTAAAAATTAAGGGTGTTAATTTGAATTGTAGTTGAGTGAATGGCATTTCTACAGGGATGATCGAACTTGACAGAAGGAAAACCCTTAGAAAATTAGAAGCATTGATGATTTACATGCCCTTTATAATTATTCAGCAACTTCTCATGTATAGTTTAGAGTCCATCACCTAATATACATTCTTCTGTTGAATACCAGAGTTTTTCTTTTAAACCACAGCTCAACGTGATTTTTCTAAAGCATCTTAATTATTTTTAGTTCAGACACTCTCTCTGAAGGTAGTAAAACTTCCTTTTCCTTTCTAATTTGTCTAGACTGTCAGATACAATCTAGATAAATCACCTCTTGGATTTTGTATTTCAGTATCAAGTATTCGTTTATTTGCCTAATTGCTTGTCTATGTAGAAATCACCATGTTGAGTCCTAAAGTTTTTTCTTTATACTATAAAAATTTTGTCAGTTTATATGTAGGGGTAGGTCTCTAAGCTGAAACATTAGTCCTTCCAAACTATTCTCAAGGTTTTGTTATGGCTGTTTTTTGTTTCCCCAGCCTGGATAAGTTTTATTTTTATGTTTTTCATTCATATTTTTGTTTCCATTATTCTGGTAAATATCAAAGAAACACTCATAATCTCTTAGTTTGGATTTTGTTTTCTATATTCACATCCATACACATAATTTTCCCTCCTATTTTTATCTCTTTGACATTTTACTTAGCATTCTGACAGAACTTCTCAAGTTCATCCACTACATCACTGATTCAAGTTTCTACAGTATTCATTTTGTTTCTTATTATTGTAGGTATGGATTTTTATTCTCCTAATAAAATTTAGGCTTTGTTACATTGTTTTGTATTGTGAGTTATTTTAAGTGTGGTGAAAAATATCAGGAACAACTGTATATTCATGACCCAGGTTTATAAAATCTTAATAGGTGCCACATTTTTTTCAGTGGTAGAGAAAAAAATTACAGGTACAGGGGCAGCCCCTGAGTACTTCCCAACACTATTCCCTTCCCGCTTCCTGAGGGGTTCTTGAATCTGGTATTTATGATTCCCCCCATCACTTTTAATTCTTGTACCAACATGCATATATTTATTTGCAAACTTTATGATACTGTTTAGAATGTTTTAGCATTTTTTATAAATGCTATGACATGGCAAGTATCCTTTTGCAAGTAATTTTTCTCTACAATCTTATGTTTTTGACTTTTATGCACGTTGAATTATAACATTCTAGTGGATTCAGTGTTAGTGTTGTATAACATTCTACTATATGAGTATACTGTAGTTGGACATTTAAGTTGCTTCAAATTTTTTTCATTAGAAACCATATTACAATGAACAGTCTTGTGTATGTTTCCTTGTATGTGTGTACAAGAGCTTTCTTCAGCATGTGCTTTGAAGTGCAACTGCTATATTGTAGTGCATGCATATCTTCAGCTCTACTACCTATTATAAAATTCTTCCTCAGTTTCACTGCTATCTTCACTCCTGCTGACAGTATATTCGAAGTTCTTACTCCACATCCTTGTCAACACTTGGTATTATCAGACTTTGAAATACCAATCTGATGAATGTAAAATGATATATCATTATTATTTTGAATTGTACTTCTCCATTTCTAATGAAGTTAAGCATAACTTTATAATCTTATTAGTCATCCTATGAATGGACTGTTTATATGCTTTGTCCATTTTATTGGTATAAATACCCATGTATATCAATTATATATTTAGCATATAATTTTATATATGTAGTAAATATTAAATATATGTTTAAATACTAATCCTTAGCCAATCATGTGTTGCAGGTATCTCCTGTAAGTCTGTGACTTATCTTTCATTTCAGTTATGGTATCCATTAGGAAGAAGTGTTTTAATTCAATGTAATTAAACATCTTAAGTTTTTTCTTTTTGATTTATGCTTTCTGGCTAAAAACAACTTCTTTTTTCCAAGGTCATTAGGCAATATCTTATATTTTATTCTAAAAGTTTAAAAATTTTGCTTTTCATATTTAGGGTGTTAATCCACCTAGAATTCACTTTTATATGGAGAGCCTACTTTAATAATTTTTTTCCCCATATAGATAACCAGTTTCCCCAGCACCAAGTATTAAATGATTCAGCCTTTCCCCTATTAATTCGTAATGACATCTTTCTGGTATATCAGGTCTTCATACATTTCTGGATCTGTTTCTGAGTTCTATATGCTGTCAGTTTCTTTATCCCTACTTTAATACCACAGTGTTTTAATTTCTTTTTTCTTTTCTTTGTGTGTGTGTGTGTGTGTGTGTGTGTGTGTGTGATGGAGTCTCACTCTGTCACCCAGGCTGGAGTACAGTGGCCTGATCTCGGCTCATTGCAACCTCAAACCTCCTGGGTTCAAGTGATTCTCCTGCCTCAGCCTCCCGAGTAGCTGGGATTACAGGCGCCTACTACCACGTCTGGCTGATTTTTATATTTTTAGTAGAGATGGGGTTTCACCATGTTGGCCAGGCTGGTCTCGAACTCGACTTCAAGTGATCCGCCCACCTCGGCCTCCCAAAGTGCTAGGATTACAGGCATGAGCCACTGCGCCCGGCCTTACACAGTGTTTTAATTTCTACCACTTTATGAAGTCATGATATCTGGTAGATGATTTCAGTCCTCATTGTCCTTCACAATGCCTTTTCTTTTTTTTGCAGACACAGTTTTACTCTGCCGCCCAGGCTGGACTGCAGTGGCGCAACCTTGGCTCACTGCAAACTCTACCTCCCAGGTTCAAGTGATTCTTGTCCCTCAGCCTCCCGAGTAGCTGGGATTACAGGCGCCCACCACCACACTCGGCTAATTTTTTTTTCTTTTTTAACTTTTATTTTAGGTTCAGAGGTACATGTGAAGGTTTGTTACACAGATAAACCCATGTCATGGGAATTTGTTGTACAGATTATTCAATCACCCAGGTATGAAGTCCAGTACCCAATAGTTATCTTTTCTGCTCCTCTCCCTATTCCCACCCTCCATCCTCAGGTAGACCCCAGTGTCTATTGTTTTTCTTCTTCGTGTTCATAAGTTCTCATCATTTAGCTTCCACTTATAAGTGAGAACATGAAGTATTTGGTTTTCTGTTTCTACATTAGTTTACTAGGGATAATGGCCTCCAGCTCCATCCACATTTCTGCAAAAGACATGATCTTATTCTTTTTTAGGACTGCATAGTATTCCATGATGTATATGTACCAGATTTTCTTTATCCACTCTGTCATTGATGGGCATTCGGGTTGATTCCATATCTTTGCTATTGTGAACAGTGCTGCAATGAACATCCGCATGTATGTGTCTTTATGGTAGAATGATTTATATTCCTCTGGGTCTATACCCACTAATGGCATTGCTGGGTTGAATGGTAGTTCTACTTTTAGCTCTTTGAGGAATGTCATAAAGATTTCCAGAATGGTTGAACTAATATACACTCCCACCAACAGTGTATGTGTTCCCTTTTCTCCACAACCTCACCAGAATCTATTCTTTTTTTTTGGGGGGGCGGTTCTCACTGGGATTTAATATCATGGTTTAGTGTTCATCATCTTCATTTTTTTAAAAAATTATACTTTAAGTTCTAGGGTACATGTGCACAACGTGCAGGTTTGTTACATATGTATACATGTGCCATGTTGGTGTGCTGCACCCATTAACTCATCATTTACATTAGGTATATCTCTTAGTGCTATCCCTCCCTGCTCCCCCTACCCCACGACAGGCCCCGGTGTGTGATGTTCCCCATCCTGTGTCCAAGTGTTCTCATTATTCAATTCCTGGCTAATTTTTGTATTTTAGTAGAGACCATGTTGGCCAGGCTGGTCTCAAACTCCTGACCTCAAGTGATCTGCCCACCTCAGCCTCCCAATGTGCTGGGATTACAAGCGTGAGCCACCGCACCTGGCCCACAATGCCTTTTCTTTTCTTGATTTTTTGCTTTTCAATAGAAATTTTAGAATCAGTTTTTCAATTCCATGAAAAATTCTGTTGGATTTTAAAAATGAAAATATATTGAATTTTAAAAATGAAAATTAGATTGTATTTATAAACTAATTTTGGAAGAACTGACATCTTTATGATATAGAATCATTGATTTAATCACCACCTTATATCTCATCTAGATTTTCTTCAGAGTCTTTTAGTGTACTTTAGTAATTTTTCTCCATTATGGAGAAAATTCTGAAACTTGAACAGTCTAAAATTCATCAAATCTATTACCCTCCTCTCAAACAATAATAACACAATAGTGATGAGACAGGTTAGTTCCCTCAACCCCTTTCATGGTAGGGAACTGGAGTGGTTCGTTTTACTCAGCCCATCACTGGCCACTCCTCATGGCAGGAAGAGTGCAGGCACCAGAAGTTCTTTATAGCTTTTGTTAGATTTATTCCCTCTAAAGTTCATCACAATCTATTACCCTCCTCTCAAACAATAATAAAACAGTAATGATGAGACAGATTCGTTCCCTTGACCCCCTTCGTGGGCTGGAACTGGAGTGGCTGGTTTCACTCAGCCCACCGCTGGCCAGTCCTTGCGGGAGGAAGAGTTGGGGAACCAGAGCGAACGAATGCTGGCACTGGCTGGTCACTCCTCTCTGGCGGAGCAGGCTCTGTGAGGGGCCCCGCAGCAGCGTCCAAGCATGTTACCACCAATGCTCTTTCAGCTGTGCCATCCAGGGACAGCCAATAGCCAACCAGCTTAGTAGAGGGTCAGGGTGGCGGCCCCGGCCCTCTCGGCACCCGGGTTCTTGTCCGGTGTCCAGGAAGAATCAGGTCACACAAACTGTTTGAAAGGTGATGAATACAGAAGACTTCATTGAGCGGTGGGTGGCTCTCAGCGGAAAGGGAGGCTGGAAAGGAGATGGGAAGGTGATCTTTCCCTGAAGCCCAGCCATCTCCGGCTAGGCCCATCTCCGAAGCCGCACCGTCTGAAGTTAGCCATCTATCTATCCATCTATTTGTAGTCTCCAGCACTCAGTTGCTTCTCTGCTCACCGTTCAGCTGCTTGTATCCTCGCTGCTCAGCCACTCGTGTTGCTCTGCCAGCTGAAGTTTATGGGCACAGGACAGGGGTGAGGCAAGCCAAAAAGGCAACATTTGGTTGGAAAAACGGGGTCAGCTGTTTTCACTTAGGGCTGTGGTTCCAGGCCTAAGGGTACGGTTTAGCCAGGAGCCTAGCCCTTCTGTATCAATAGGGCCTTGGCAGCTTCAGTCCAAATCAATTCCTTCTTGTGTTACGTGTTACTTTTTGGTATTTTTGTTCTATCTTGTTTAGTAACCACATTTTTTTTTTTTAATGAGACGGAGTCCCGCTCTGTCTCCCAGGCTGGAGTGCAGTGGCACGATCTCGGCTCACTGCAAGCTGCGCCTCCCGGGTTCACGCCATTCTCCTGCCTCAGCCTCCCGAGTAGCTGGGACTACAGGCACCCGCCACCACGCCCGGCTAATTTTTTGTATTTTTAGTAGAGACGGGGTTTCACCGTGTTAGCCAGGATGGTCTCGATCTCCTGACCTCGTGATCCACCCGCCTCGGCCTCCCAAAGTGCTGGGATTACAGGCGTGAGCCACCGCGCCGGGCCCACTTTTTTTTTTTTTTTTTTTTAACTCTAATGCTTGTTTAGATTTATTTACAGATTTACCACTTTCTGTGCCCACAACTCTTCGCATCTTACTCTTTCCTTCTTTTTCTTGAAATATACTTTTGAATAAATGTTTAAAGATCTGTTAGTGATAAACTGTCTCAGGCTTTATGATCATGTCTTTGTTTCACTGTTACTGTTGAACAACCATTTAATTGAATATAGGGTTTTTTTAATTTTTATTTTTTTGAGACAGAGTTTTGCTCTTGTTGCCCAGGTGGGAGTGCAGTGGCACGATCTCGGCTCACTACAACCTTCGCCTCCCGGATTCAAGCGATTTTCCTGTCTCAGCCTCCTGAGTAGCTGGGATTACAGGTCTGTGCCACCATGCCCAGCCAATTTTGTATATTTAGTAGAGGCGGGATTTTTCCATGTTGGTCAGGCTGGTCTTGAACTCCCAACCTTAGGCAATCTGCCCGCCTTGGCCTCCCAAAGTGCTGGGATTATAGGTGTGAGCCACCATGCCTAGCCTTTTTTTTTTTTTTTTTTTTTAGAGACTGGGTCTCGGTCTGTCACCCAGGCTGGAGGGCAGTGGTGCAATCATAGATCACTACAGCCTGGAACTCCTGAGCTAATGGGATTCTCCTGCCTCAGCTCCCCCACCAAGTAGCTGGGACTACAAGTGTGAGCTACTGTGCCTGACTAATTAAAAATTTTTTTTTCTGAGAGACAGGGTCTTACCATCTTGCCCAGGCTAGATATAGGATTTTGTCTGGACGATTATTATCTCCTAGCACTTTGTCTTTAAAGAGTGAGAAGAGAGGGTCTAAGTGTCTCTGGTTTGAACAACTTGCCCATCTGAATACCTAAAGGAGAATTGAACCATGGTTGGTACTCAAATGTGAAGCCACTTTAAGGAACAGAGAAGCTACACAGACTCAGGTGCTCACATCTTAGCTTCAGCCCTCTTGCTGTGCAGCTGTAGGCGTGTAAGTCTCCCTCCCCACTGGACTGTGAGCCACCGACAAGCTACATCTGCTCTCTTTGCCATCTCACTCTCCCTGATGTAGCTCCTGATTTCTCAGTGCAAGATGTGAATTGAGCCCCCTTTTTCAGGGAGCCAACTGGAGACCATACTATGTATGTCAATTTTCGGTTAGTTACCCTGTCTCTCCAAATGATTTATCTTTTCATCTTTGCTTTTCTAGCAGATCATCCCCATAAGGACACAAACGTGTGTTCTCTACTCATAGAAAAGCCTCTCCTTATGCTCACAACCCACCACCTACCACTCCATCTCCCTGCTTTCCTTCAAGCTAGAGTTGTTGTGTTCACATTCACTGTACCCACTCTTTAAAAGCCTCCTATTCATTCTTCAACCCATCCCAACCTGCTCCCACCCCCAACTACTCATATGAAAACACCAATGATCCACATTTTTTCTGAACATAATGTTGTCCCATAAACATATCACATGCCATTAAATTTCTTTTCAAAAAGTGTAAATGATAAGGAATGTGATATGTACTGCCAGATTATCCCACAGAAGGAGAGAGAGAGAGAGAGAGAGAACCCACCAAAGTGCAAGCTTCCTTTCAAAAGCCATATCCTTCTGATGCTATGGGTAATAGTTTTCTCCCATTAACAGTCAGTTTACAATTGCTACCAAACTACCAAACTTCCAGTGAAAATGACTGACTAGATACATAGATCGTATCAGATTATAACTGGGGTCTTTCAACTAACATTTATTTTGCATTTACCATGTGCAGAGCACCCTGCAAGATTTGGCTCGTATAGAAAACATTCACTCACTCATTTACTCACTCACTCATCTAACAAATACGTATTGGGTGCCTGCTGTGTACATAGCACTGAATTTTAATGTCAGCCACCATTTCAGATGTTTAGAAATGTTTTAATCACCTGTCTGAATTTTACACTGCGCACCCCACCTCCAGTCCTGAAGTATTGCCACAGAAGGTTGCCAGGAAATTATTATTCATTATTCTCTAAACTTACAGAGGCTCCAAGCCTGAAATTTCTCACACACCATGATGGAAAGATGGCCTTGGGTTTTCCTGCTGTGTTCACAGCCGCTTCTCCCATTATGCTTTGCCTATGTATCTCCTCCATCAGCAGGTGGCAGAGAAGCAGGTGCATAACACCTTGGTCTCTGGCCATCTGCTTGACTTTCCACGGCCCCGTTATCTTTAGAAAGGGAGACTCCGAGAGAGAAAGACACAGTGGCATGTGTTTGGTTGACTGGCTTATGTACTTCAAAAGGCAACACCCCACAGGGGTTATGCACCATTTGCGCTTCTGCTGTGTGGATGTGCATAAAGATAAAGGCATCTGAGAAGCTTTGAGGTGAGGCCTCTGGAAGTCACTGGATGCCTGAGGTGCCATTCTTAAGCTGTGGTCAAATAAGAGTTTCATGAAACGTGCTGAGCATAAAAGAACAACATATCTGCCTATGGCCAGTACTTAGAGCTACTTTTCCCCACCAGTCAAACCACTGCATTCATTAGACTCATTCAGATTTGAAGGGACTGGTTCCAGCAGATTATTTGGGGGAAAGGGAGAGCAAGAGAAGCCATCCACATCTTTGCAGTCCCTGAGTTCCTGTGCTGGCTGGTGTTGAGCAGGCCTTCTTCATGCAGAACCCAGCTACTAGGTAAGTCACCCAGTCGCTCTTGTGACTCACTCACACAGCAAGTACTCAGTTGCAATTTTTTTTAATTAAAATTTTTATCTTTATTTTTATAGAGATGAAGTGTTGCTATGTTGCCCAGGCTGGTCTTGAACTCCAGGGCTCAAGCAATCTTCCCACCTCAACTTCCCAAAGTGCTGGGATCACAGGTGTAAGCTACCACGTCCAGCATCAGATTCAATATTTTCTAAGATAGGGTCTACCTGAGCTGTTTGCTCACCATGTTTCAATTAGGAATGCATTAGCTGCTGCAGCTCCAGCTATCACAAGCACCTTCACTGCCTAAGCAAATGTAGAAAGCTGGGAGGTTCCAACAGGTGTCCACATGCATCTTAGTGACCCAAACTGTCATTTGACTCTCCCTACCCCCACCCCATGAGCAAAGGGGACTTAAAAATCCAGTATTTAGCTTCTGTAATATCTACAGCAGAAGCAGGTGAGAGAGGAGGGAGCTGAGGTTAAAATATCTACCTTATCTTCCAATGTGAAGCACAGATTGTCACATCAAGGACCCTCAGAGATGGCTGGTCGGAATGTGGTCATTATAAGATCAGGCATAGATCCTGGTTCAGTCATTTTTTTGGCCAGGGTAGCAGGACTGACTTTACTTAAAGCGTATAACCCAAGCCAAAGTGACTTAATGCAGAAGAGCCACTGGGAACATCAACTCCAGAGGGGCTCTGGGTGTGGATTGTTTTCCAGGAACACTCTGCAGAATGACATCCTTAAGATCCTGGAAAGGTGTGGCTCCCCTTGGGCCTGAACTTTTGCTGTTAAGAACCTAGATGAATGCTGCTGTCATATATTTTTATTATGGCTAAACTACTCCAAAAGTTCACTGTTTCTATTTTCCATACATTCTGTAAGTTTCTAAAATGTGTCAGGACTGAGTGAGGTTTGGGTGGTACAACAGAAACCAAAATAGATAGTGTTGATTTCCTCAAGGATTTTACAGTCTGGTGGGAGAATTACATTTATGAAATCATCACATAAATAAGCATAAAATTACAAACTCATAATGCCACTAAAGAGGAGAGCTATGAGAACATACCTTGTCTGGGATACAGGGAAGACATCCCTAAGAAAGTGATTTTGCACAGAAATATAAAAGAATTAAAAAGGTAAAGGGATGGGCAGTGAGGGATAAGATTTCTAAGCATAGAGAACAGCATTTGCAAAGGCCTTGAGTCAGAGGAAAGGATGGTTCATCCAAAACATTGAAAGAAGAGCCAGCACAGCTGGAGCACGGTGAGAAGGAATACATTGGTGAGAGATGAGGCTCAAGCTTGCAGGGCCAAGTCACTTAGGATCTTGGGAAGACTTTGAAGGGACTCAAGTCACAGGTCTGACCTGACATTATTCCGTCTAACCAACCAATTCTTGAACATTTGCACTGAAAGAGATGACCCAGTTTCTGTCTGTGGCTTACAGCCTCATGGAGAGAACCATTCTTATTCTGGTGGGTATTAGGGTTTTGAAGAGACACAATTAATAGCACTTTTTTTGGCCCACTTTTGAAATCAATTGAAAAATAAAACAACACAGTCAGCAGAGGAAGATGATAAGGATGAAGATGAAGCAGATGAATCAAATGCCATTCTTATTTCTAAAAAGGCTGGGTCAGAAGACGTAGCTCATTCTAAGAGCCAAAGTGAGCTTGCAAACTCCCTTCTGTCCAGTCCAGACTATGGGAGAGCCCACTTGAGGGAAAGTTTGGGTTTGCACAGGAGTCACACCTACCCAGGCTACTGTTTTCCACTATGCTAGGTGGAGAGGGAAGGTAGGAAGAACTGAATTAATTCATTCCAAATCGAATTCCTCCTCCCTCCCCAGGTTCTTTTTTATTTTTGTTTTCGTTTTTTTTTTTTTTTTTTGAGATGGAGTCTTACTCTGTCACCCAGGCTGGAGTGCAGAGGCACTGTCCCAGCTCACTGCAACCTCCGCCTCCCAGGCTCAAGCGATCCTGCCATCTCAGCCTCCTGAGTAGGTGGGATCACAGACACATGCCACTATGCCTGGCTAATTTTTGTATTTTTGTTAGATATGGGTTTTCGCTATGTTGTGCAAGCTGGTCTCAAATTCCTGAGCTCAAGCGATCCACCCACTTTGGCCTCCCAAAGTGCTAGGGTTACAGGTGTGAGCCACTGCACCCGGCCCCCAAGGTCCTTTGATAGATTAGCTTCCCTCCTTCAGAAATGTGGACCTACTGCTTCCACTTAGCAGCCAAGTCACTGTCCCCACCTCTGTAGGCAGGGAAAGCGGTTGGACAAGAATCCAGCAGTACTTCGGGAGACTCTATTCTCATGACTGGAACTTCAAGAGTAGGGAATAAGTGTTCCTCCCTTGTTGTTGCTAAAAGACATTAAGAGAAGGGACTCAAAATACAACCTGCTCCTTTTGAGTGAAGATGGATTCCGATAAATGACAATGGATCACCTCCTACAGGAGAACACAATGCTACAATCCCAAAGCATGTGACTTCCATGCTGGACTAACTTCTGTTTGCTTTTTCATCCACATAAGTAAAATTCTCCAGTTGTTTCTTCTTCAAACCTTGCTTGATGTGACAGATACCTGCAATATGTCTAAATTAAAAGGGTGACTTTTAGGATCACAGAATGTTAGTGCTGGAAAGGTTTTCAAGGTCATCAAGTCTAATCCTACTCCTTATTTTATTGGAAAACACAAGACCCAGAGAGATGAAGTGGCCTGCTCAAGGTCACCCAAGCCATTTATGTCCTTCTCCCAATTATTTGGATTGTATGACTACCGATATTTCCAACTACATCATGTTGATATAGCTGAGAAACTCATTATTTATAGAAAACCTGTGATGCCTTTATTAAAACAAAGCACAGGTTTTTTTATAAAATAAAAGTCACCCTTTTATCTATTAACAAAAATTTGTGTTTTGTTTATTAACTTTTTTTAATAACCCCTGAACTAGTGGTTTGATTATTCTGGTTCTAATAAATGTCTCCTTTTTAATGTTCTCTTTTCCTAATTAACAAAGTACCAAGTAGAAAGAGATAAGTTATGCACTTTAATTACAATAACCCCAGGCTACAGGGAGAATTCTTATCACTGGCTTGGACCGTACATTCTGTGCTCACTTAGAAATAACATTGGTAAAAACTTCCTGTAAGCTGTGGATTTGGGATCTGAGGTGGCGGGGCAGTCAGGAAAGAGAAGTAGTGAGGCTTTAGTTCCAGGTTTCTTCCATCATGCTGTGACTGGTTCTCTCTGTGCTCATTTCCTTCTTATTAAAAATGGGAAATGACTATTATCCTGGATTATTATGAGAGAGGGAGTTTGGGATGCTGCAAAGAGGACTGGGTTGCAGCAGCAGGAGCCCAGAATTCTAGATCAACTCTGCCACTAATGAGCTGCTTCTCTGGGCGAGTCTCATGGATTCTTTGAGCCTTAGTTGACTCCTCTGTAAAATGGGCTTGTTGTGTTAGCTGATCCCTGCGGTCTCTCTATGAAAGTTAAAATTACTTTGACTCTAAATCCTTGTGATTCCATATTCCTTTTCCCCTTCTTCTTCCGTACCCTATGTTTCCCCAAACTGAGTGAACTCAGGTTTCAAAGAAATAGGTTACAAAAAGTGTCAAAACGGAAACAATTTTTACAGAGACCAAAGAACATTATCCATTGAAAAATATGTGCCTTATTTTACTTGTCGAAATGAGCAGAGAATCCAGGATTATTTCCATTCTCATTATGGTATCATTTTGTAGCAGCAGCAATTTGCTTGTGGTCCTTTTCTCTGAGGAGTTCCCTTCAAGAAACAGAATTTCCTAGAGCAGATGGAGGGGCAGTAAGAGATCTCAGCCACCTACACTCTAACCCTTGGCTTCTCTAGGTTCCAGGTTCTTCTGACTGAACTATCTTTAGATACTTGATGCCAAAAAAAATTGTGCAATAGAGTCTTATGGACATTGAACTAGAGTCATATTATCTGATTCTAGAGTTAGAGCTTCCTCTAATGGGATGCATGATCTTGATTTTAAGTCAATTCTTTTCTGTGGCCTCGGTTTCCATGCTTGTGAAATGACAAGATTGGGCTGGATGGTGTTTAGATCTCTTTCCATTCTTACTTCTAGCTTCATTTGGGGGAAAAGGACAGGATTGGTGGCAGTTTTCGGGGTCTTTGGATTGGGAGGCAGAGTCCCACCATGTTGAGCAAGGGCAGGACATAGTTCAGCACTGTGGGAGTGTCTCCTGTCACTCCTCTCAAAGGTGTTGACCTTTGTTGAGTACATGAAGTGTTAGTGACATGGAGGAAGGGAAAGGATATGAAGAAATCTAAAATATGGTTTCTGCCCTCAAAGGATTTACAATCGAGTTGGTAAACACAAGGGCAAGAGTCTAAGGCCAGGAGCCCAGAAGATCTACATACCATCTTACACGTGTGTTGACTTTATCAAGCAATGGGCATTTATGCTGATTGGAGGCATATATCCATGGCTGGGTTGCCCCATCCAGGAGAAGATGAAGGAATGTCCTACAAGTCTTGGTGGCTTCTTACTTTGTGGAGTCACCATTTTTCCCAGAAGAGTCTGTTTTCTTTTTAAAATGTCGCTTGATTTTGGTCTTCTGATGGCACACATTCAGCTCTGTCTCCATAGAATGCATGCCCTCTGGGAGAATAGGTAGGCTGTGTGTAAGGAGATAGGAGTGGGAAAAAGATGACAATGGGAAAAAGCATTAACCAAAATCCTAGGGTAAGAAAATACAAGATGCATTCAGGAGACAACTGGCAGGCCAGTTTGGCTATTATATAGCTTTTAAAGAGTATTTTTTAAAAAACAACAAAAACCTGAAAACATAATTAGGATTCAGATTAAGTAGCATGATGTAGTCAAAAGAGAGACCAAGGATAAAATCTAGCCCTGCCATTCCCCATCTGTCTGCCTTGAGCAAGTTATTTAATCTCTCTGTGTCTATATCTCCACTTGGTAAAATGGAAGTAATAACACCAATTTTATAGTATTTTGTGAGGATTAACTTAAGCGATGTATGAAAAGCTCCTGGCACACTAAGAATGATCAACATATGGTAATTTTCTCAAATTCTAGGATCTTTCTACCTCCACAGTGGCTTCTTCTGCAATAGGCGATTAGGAGAGCAGTCACCAGACAGACCTTGGATTTGAGTTTAGCTCAGCCAGTTATAAAGTCTTCAATTTTAGGTAAATTACTTAACTACTCTTAACTCAGTTTTCTTATGTATAAAATGGATTAGTCATACTTACCTTGTAAGATTATTGAAAAGTTTAGAAATATATCATGTTAAGCACCCAATAGTACCTGATAAGAAGAGGAGATGGAGTAGAATTCAATAAATCATGGTGATGGGGGAAGAAGGAGGAAAAAAGGAGCTGTTTTAATTGAGAACCTTGAATTCTTGACCAAGAAGCCTAGAATTTATGTTGTAGGCAGTGGAGAGTCACTGAAGGTGATTTTTCAGATAGGAAATCATAGGATAAAGATGAAGAGAATCTTAACCTTGTTGAGAATGTGTTAATAAGGTGCACAGGGCAAGGAAGAACAGCCTGGAAGGAGAGAGACCAAACTACTGAAGACAAAAGCCAGCTTGCTTTATGTATGTGCTGTATAATTCTTTTACTACCAAATGGATTTCTTCTTCTGGAATCTAACAATTCTGAATATGTGAGAGAGGCAGAGATAGAAATGAAGAGTGAGGGAAAGGACAGAGGGGAGAAAGAGAAAGAGAGAGAGGGGCCGAGAGAGATAGATACAGTAGTTCCCTCTCCGCAGGGGATGTGTTCCAAGATTCCCAGTGGATACCTGAAACTGCAGATAATACTGAACCCTATATATGCAGCAGAACTAGCATAAATTTCATTTTCCTTCTTCACAGTTTCACAGATAGAAGATTCATTCTTGCCATAGATCTTAGCAACCTCAGCATATGATTTTTTTCTTTCCTTAATTCAGTTGAGAACTTTCACCTTTTAATTTAAAAGATGCACTTCATGGCTTCTCTTTGGCATATCTGAATCCCAGAATCACTGCTCTTGCACTGTGGGGCCATTATGAAGTCAGATAATGGTTACTGGAACATAAGCACTTCGATACCATGACAGTGAATCTGACAACTGAGACGGCTGCAGACCATGGGGCAGGGAGCATATGGAGCACGGATATGCCAGACAGAGGGATGATTCATATCCCAGGCAGGATGGAGCAGGGCAGTGTGCTATTTCATCGTGCTACTCAGAACTTATGAATTGTTTATTTCTGGAATTTCCCATTTAATATTTTTGGACTGTGGTTGATCGAGGGTAAATGAAATTGCAGAAAGCAAAAATACAGATAAGGGGGACTGCTTGCTGTACAAAGATAGAGACAAGAGGAAGGAGCTGTCCTCAAGGGCCTTTTGTGTGAAGACATCTGGCACACAGATACGCTGCATGCAGGTGGCTTGAGAGAACATGCATCCAGGTATAAATCTGGCATCGACAGGTTGAATTTTCAGTTGACAGGTGGACTACTTTAAATAAAACTGGGGAATTGGTGTGGAAGGGATGAGAACACCGCCTCCCCTTTGTTATCCCACCTCCACCAAGAAGTGCCCGAACCCCTGAGAACAGCTCACTCCACCCTGTCTCTGGGTCATCTGCATCATCTGCTGACTGCACTTCTCTCGTCTGGTCTGGGAGGAGATTGATTTCTGGTCAACAGCACGCCCCCTGACAAAAATGACTTTCTGCCATTTCCTTCCACTCCATTTTCAATCTGATTGCTATTCTGTTTGGAGGAGTGCTATGGTCGGAATGTTTATGTCTCCCTCAAATTCATATGTTGAAATCCTAACCCCCAAGGAGGGGCCTTTGGGAGGTACTTAGATCATAAGGGTGGAGTCCTTGTGAATGGGATCAGTGCCCTTATTAAAGAGGCCCAAAGGGGCTGGTTTGCCCTTTCCACCATGTGAAGATGCAGTGAGAAGGCACCATCTGTGCCCTCATCAGATACTGCCAGCCCTTTGATCTGGGACTTCACAGCCTGCAGAACTGTGAAAAATAAATGTTTGTGGTTTACAAGCCATCAGTTTATGGTACTTTTGTTGTAGCAGCCTGGACAGACAATGTAGGAGGGTGAGTTTGTCTTCCTGAGAATGGTGCATGACTTAGCTTATTCTGAAAGCAAAATGTCTTTAAGTTTAGTTTATGTTTTTTATGCTTTTTATGTTATTTTTCCTTTTTCTTTTCCACTAGGCATCCAAACACTGGATGTCTAATAACTAATGAGTGGCAGCATCCTACCAAAGCCAGTTTCTGTTGCCAAAGTTGTTACTGCCCTAAAGGCTGGTGCCTGGCTTTTTCAGTTGAGAGAGGGCAGCAAGTTAATACCTGTGCTGGCCCAAATCCACTGTGAGGACATGCAGGTGCCCTGGAGCCGCTCTTTAAAAGGCTGCCACCTCCTGGTGGAGTGTTTCCCATGTGCAACCTAAATCAGAGCGCTGTGGATCAGTGGATTCTGCGGATGACAGTTGAATAAAAATGCCAACTGAATGTTCCCCAAAAGATGATGCTCTGTATTGACGTCTGAGAGGTTTTCTCACCCACCTTTCAGTTCTGAAAGATTTAGTTGTCCTGCTAAGATGGATGAAATGGATGACCCCCAAGATACCTTATAGGGCCCCCTTTTTTTGGTTGTGGGAGTGTTTACTATAATCTCCCTTTTTTGTTTTAAAGACCTTTTAGTGAAATACTTTGTACTTCAAAAGTATATATATGTATATATACAACATATAAAAAATATGAATATTTACAGGTACCCAGCACTTACCTTAAGAAACAGAATATGATGGAATACTCTCAAAGGCCCCTGTGAATCACACCTCATTCACATCCCTTTTCTATCTTCCCTTGGGTATTTATGTGTTTGTCCTGCTTTTTTAAAGAGTTTAAATTACATATATATGTATCCCTAAGTAATATATTGTTTTGTTTGCTGTTGTCTTTTATATTAATGTCATCAAACTAGATGCATTCTTTTGCAACTTGCATTTTTTTTGTATGAAGTCATGTGAGATTAAGCCATGTTGATATATTAAATGATGATTCATTCCTTTCCCCTACTATATGGTACTCCATTCTATAGATATACTATAAATAATTTAGTCATTCTTTGTTGATGGACATTTGGGATGTTGTTTGTTCTTATAAATAGCATATTTGGAGTATTTTTTACTATTACAAATTCTGATGCTATGAACCTGTTTTGAACACGCCTTTTGGTACACAGGTACAGGAGTTTCTCCAGCTTTTGTAAGTTGGGATGGGATTGCTAGGTATGAACAAACATCTACTTTATGAAATATTTCCAAGTATTTCACAAAGTGACTGGACCAGTTTATACAAGTACCATATGAGTCCTCATTGATCCCGTCCTTAGTAATATTTTTATTATCTGATTGACATTTTTGCCAGTCTTGTCAGTATAAAATGGAAGCTCTTTCTGGTTTCAGTTGGAAATTCCTTAGTAACTTATGAGAGGAAACTTTTTTTATATCTTTTGGTCATTGACGCTTCCTTTTCTGTGTTGAATTCATTGTTATGTTTCCAATACACTGCGTTCCATTCGGTACAGCTCTGCCTGTGGCTGAGTTAGGCTAGACAATAGTGCAAAGAAGGCCTGTGCTGATGAAGGGTGTGCTGCTTTTCTTTGTGAAGGCCCTGAGGAGGCGGGAAGTGGCCGCTATGGACCCCGTTATATCACCGACATGGGAGCTGGTGAGGATGATGAAGGATTTGAAGACGACTTAGATTTGGATATTTCCTTTGAGGAGGTAACAATAATCTCTGCTCTTAAAACCCAGGGTGTTTGTGTTTTCTTGCCGAACAAGACAATTTAGCCAATGGACCATAAACATTTTACTTAAAACTTAAATGTGCCCATTTGCTTTTAACACTGATTTGTTTTGTCTGATGATCAGTCTCCAGGTGCTGATAAATCAGTAGTAGGGAAGTACTAGCCATCCTGATGTTCCATAGGCAGCTCCTGCCTGCGGACTTCACAATCTGGCAAAAACATATTTCTATTTCCCACCAAGGGAAATTTCAGAAAATCAAGTATTATAAGGAAATGAACAATTCCTTGACAAAGTCATGCATCTTCATCATATTGTAATAAGAATAAATAATGTAATATCAGTTTTACTGCTGATTTTCTGAGTAATACAAGGAAAAGCACTATAAGTCCCTGACCATCAAGCTCTTTGTCCATAAATTAGAGTCAGTGCTGTCTTCCCCATCTCCATCCTAGGGTTTTTGGAAGTGACCATGTTTTCAAGTACTAGGCAACAACTATAAATAAAACAGTCCAATTGCCATGCTCTGTGTTCATCTTGAACCCCTTTCCTTCTCTGGCTTTAGGTTAAACCACTTCCTGCTACCAAAGGAGGGAATAAGAAATTTTTGGTGGAAAGCAAGAAGATGTCTATATCTAACCCAAAGACCATTTCTAGGCTCATCCCCCCTACCTCAGCATCTCTCCCTGTGACCACGGTGGCTCCCCAGCCCATTCCCATACAGAGAAAGGGGAAGAATGGTGTGGCCATAATGTCAAGGCTCTTTGACATGCCTTGTGATGAAACTCTCTGCTCTGCTGACAGCTTCTGTGTCAATGACTACACCTGGGGGGGCTCGCGATGCCAGTGCACCCTGGGCAAAGGTGGTGAGAGCTGCTCAGAAGGTAGGCCCTTGGGGGAGAGGAAGAAGTGGTGATGAATTGGCACCATTGACAGCCAGAGGGCAGTTTTGTGGTCCAAACATAGTTCCTTCTAGTCCCTTCTCCAAGATAAGTACCTTCGTCCACATATTGGTCATTAAATTAACTATACAAGGCAAATTGTGAGGCAACTTTCATTGCTTCTAAGTAGACAGCAGCCCTATTTCTATGTGTGCCAAATGTGTAGTCCCTTTAAAGCAATCAATAAATCATCCTGATACTATCTTAGAGAGGTAGGTTTTACTATAATCACATCTCTACCAAAATACGCAGTTAAAGCTTATGCATGAGGGTTAAGAAGGATAACAACTGGGCCAACTTATATTACACAAAGGCCTGTATAGCTGAGGGCAAGTGACAGTGGCCCTAATGCCATTGGTTTCTTCTTAGGAAAGCCAGTGCCGGTCTCCAAAAATGCAGCTTCTTCCTAAGAATTTCAGAAGCTCAAAGTCTCCAAGAATGAGAGTTGTAGGTATAAAAAGTATAGAAAAGAAGATAGCGAAGTTGAATAGATTAGTGAGGGTTCTCACTTAATGATATTCAGGCAACGTTGTATATTGATTTTTGCTTTTGAAGAAGTGAGGAAATAGCATTCTTTTGTGTTGTCTTTTTTCTTCTTCAGATATTGTTATCCAGTATCCTCAGTTCTTTGGCCACTCCTATGTAACGTTTGAACCTCTGAAGAATTCTTATCAGGCATTTCAAATTACTCTTGAATTTAGGGTAAGAGGGATGTGTTGTTTGATGAGTGCTTTTTGGACACTTTAACACAGCAATGTGCTACATTCAAAGGCTGGGGGAGAGGAAGCGGGGCAGCAGGGAGAGCGACGAAAGGTAAATATGACACAGAGCCTGTCTCTAAACCAGCTCATGAGACAATAGGAATGAAGAGTACATTCACAACATTCAAGTGTGACAGTGAGGAGACGGTGGGTTTGTATATTACTGAACTATAGAGTAGCTGGCATGAAGATTGCAAGTGAGAATGTTGGGGTCCGAGCAATGTTGTTCACAATAGTGATTTCTCCCAGGCCAGGATTGAGAAGAAACAATGCATTCCCCGTTCCAAAATTGTTTAAAAAGAGAGCCCAATTCTCTGTCTTCATTGTGATAGCTGTCACTGAACAAATAGAAAACTTTTCTTTACGCAAGCCTTGCTTCGTGAGGGCCCAGTGGAGGTTCTCTGATTTGAATCAACTGCAGATAAGAATTCAGTCAGTGACCTCAGCTTAAACTGATTCTTTTGGGTATCTCCAATGATACAAAAAGGTCTGGAGGTCTGGAAAGAAGTCTCATTTGAAGTCATGGCCACAGTGTTGAGTCTTCAAGAAATGACCTGTCTTAGTCTAAGACCACCAGCACAGCTTTTGGCTGAGCTATTCTTACCATCCTGTTCTCCTGATAGAAGGAAAGAAGCAAATGTGCATGCCTCCCCAGGGGGAGGGAAATAGAAAGAACAAAGTGAAAATAGAATTGGATGTACACCAGCAATGTCCTCACTGTGACCGTGGTCTTTGTACATTTGGTTTTCTGAGGCTCTGCAGGTGCATCCACAAAGGACAAGTAAAGAGCGGGTCAAAGATGGGGTCACCTTGCTCTCGCCTCACTGCTACCCCTCAGTTTATATCACTGCCATTTGTTTATTGAAAATGAACTGGGACCAGGTATCTGGGAGTGAATTGGAGCCCACATGCTTGACCCTTTGTAGATAGGATCGTGGAGGAGAAAATGCTCAAGTTTCACATTTGTGTCTTTCCAGGTGGTGCCTTAAGGAAGGGGAGGTGCTTACTGTTCATGTGGCTTTTGTTTGTATAATCACAGGCGGAGGCAGAGGATGGCTTACTGCTCTACTGTGGGGAGAACGAACACGGGAGGGGGGATTTCATGTCCCTGGCTATCATCCGACGCTCCCTGCAGTTCAGGTAATTCCTGCCAAAAGCCTCACACTCTTTTTTTGTTACATTATCTTACATTATATTTGCCTTTTTATAGTATGAAAAAATATATACAGGATAGGTTCTAGTAGATGAAAGAATGGTTTGTATAAAATGAGTATGAACCAGTTTACCAAATACTGGTGTACTGGGATTGCAGGATAACCTATAAAACTTGGGTTTTGGAAATCATTCATTCATTCAGCAGCACCTACAGTGTAACTGGCTCTGGAGGTGTTGTAGAGTGTACCTGGTCCTGGGGATGCTGTTGAACATACCTGATGCTGCAGGTGCTGTTGAATGTACCTGGCACTGCAGGTGCTGTTGAATGTACCTGGCTCTGGAGGTGCTGTTGAATGTACCTGGCACTGGAGGTGCTGTTGAATGTACCTGGTGCTGGAGGTACTGTTGGATGTAACTGGTGCTGTAGGTGCTGCTGAATGTTTCTTGAGGAGGGTACCTGGCACTCCTGTCAATCCTGAGGATGCAGAGTGAGCCAAAGGAATACAGTTTCTTTTCTCTGGAGCTCTAGTGGATGTGATGGGAAGAAGGCTGGGGCCTTCTCATCTCCCTTTGGCAAATGTGGCTGACAGGTGTGGACTGAGAGGAGCCTCCAACCTCCTATGGGCTTACCATCCTCATCTTCCTCTGGGCTGTGCTGGGAACTCTTTGGCTTGCCTCCACTGCCCTCATCGTTTCTCCCCCAACACACTTTGGAAGCCACCTTTAGCTTATGTGTGGTCTTCCTGGGGGGCAGAGTTTTGTCGAAGGGTGAAGATTTTAATGAGTCTTGTGGAGGTGTGCACTGCACCTCTTTGTGAACAACCAACGGGCACCAGCCTTGTCCTTCTCCGTGGCGCACTGGCTGACATCCTAATGGCACCAACCCCCTGCTGCCTGACCTTCAGCATGTGGCGCAACCTCTCCAAGCCTGCCTTTCCTCATGGGGCTGTTGTGAGGGTTAAATGAGTTAATTCATAAAAGCGCTTAGAGCAGCGTCTGACCCAGAGCAAGTACTCAATAAGCATCAGCCATTATTGTCTTCTTAAATTACCTTCAGCATAAAAGTGTTTTTGGTTAAGTTGAAGAAGGCTTCTGAGCATCCCACTTGGGCTAGAAAATGGGCCCCCATGCTTTACTAAATGATTTGATTCACAGAAGTTTGGTGTTAGCCACCAGGATCTTGGGCGGTGGTTTTCACCTTGTAGGGTCCTAGCACTTGGAGGATCGGATAGACTCTCAGTAGCACTGGCAGTTGTTAGCTGGTAGCAGCTCTCCAACTATGTAACTCCTGCTGAGTGAATCTGCTATCCTCTTCAGGGTAAGCCTGTTTTGCAATGCCTCTTGACTGCATCTCACTTCACTGAGGATCTCGAGACAAAGGGAGGGCCTGAGAAGTGGCTGCAGTTAATGCAAATCCTAGTAAGGAAAATGCCGGCTACGACTCCTTCCCCACCGGCAGTCTCAGGATCCATGTGGAAGAGGCATGGTGGCTATTTGGAAGTGGACCAGAAAGGTCCAAGATTCCACCTGTTAGGCATAGTGACCATGGGCACTCCTGGGCCATAGGGAGGTTGGGATAAAAACAAGAATAATGCAGCCATCTGAGGACACCCCTCCTCTGTCTCACCTCACTGCTGAGCCTCCTGTGGACCTCGCCTGTATTGAGGTACAGCTAAGCACAGATGGCAGGGCTGGCCAGCTTGCCAAAATGAGCCTGAAGACCTGGATTTTTATATTTTATGAATATCACTGAGCTTTATTATTTGAGAGTTTGGAAAGTCCCCAGAGAAATCCCTGGAAACACAGTGACTTGCATTCTATTCACTGTAGCTTGAATTCACTGTAAGCATTTGGCAATTGCTGAAAACAAGAAGGAGGTCCTTAGTTGCCCATCATTTTCTTTTCTTTTTCTCTTTCTTATGATTTTTCCTTTACTTTTCTTATGGGTCCTGTCCTTTTCAGAAACAAAGAAGGCTAAATTGCTTCCGAGCAGAAGTGATCATGTACTTCCAGTCAAAAGAAAATGGGAGCTGGTTGCAGTGGCTCACACCTGTAATCCCAGGATTTTGGGAGGCCAAGGTGGGCGGATCACGAGGTCAGGAGATCGAGACCATCCTGGCCAACATGGCGAAACCACGTCTCTACTAAAAATACAAAAATTAGCCGGGTGTGGTGGCATGCGCCTGTAGTCCCAGCTACTCAGGAGGCTGAGGTGGGAGAATCGCTTGAACCTGGGAGGCGGAGGTTGCAGTGAGCAGAGATCACACCACTGGACTCCAGCCTGGGCAACAGAGCGAGACTCTTTCTCAAAAGAAAAGAAAAGAAAACGGGAATGCGGATTAGCTACTACCTTTCATTAATTTCTTTTTTTTTTTTTTTTTTTTTGAGACAGAGTCTCTGTTGCCAAGGCTGGAGTGCAGTGGTGCAATCTGGGCTCACTTCAACCTCCACCTCCTGGGTTCAAGTGATTCTCCTGCCTCATCCTCCTGAGTAGCTAGGATTACAAGCATCTGCCATCGTGCTCAGTTAACTTTTGTATTTTTAGTAGAGACAGGGTTTCACCATGTTGGCCAGGATGGTATCGAACTCCTGAGCTCAAGTGATCCACCTGCCTCGGCCTCCCAAAGTGCTGGGATTACAGATGTGAGCCACTGTGCCCAGCTTTTTAAAATTTAAACTTTTATTTTTTTATTTTTATTTATTTTTGAGACAGAGTTTCACTCTGTTGCCCAGGCAGTGGCTTGATCTTGGCTCACTGTAACCTCCACCTCCTGGGTTCAAACAATTCTGCTGCCTCAGCCTCTGGAGCAGCTGTGACTATAGGCACCCACCACCATGTGCAGCTAATCTTTGTGTTTTTAGTAGAAACGGGGTTTCACCATGTTGGTCAGGCTGGTCTCGAACTCCTAACCTCAGGTGATCCGCCCGCCTTCGCCTTCCAAAGTGCTGGGATTACAGACGTAACTCACCATGCCTGGCCTAATGTCAACTTTGATTTTAAATACAGGGGGTACATGTGCAGATTTGCTATGTGGGAATAGTGAATGATGCTGAGGCTTGGGGTACAGATCCCGTCATGCAGGTAGCGAGCACAGTACCCAAATGCCCATGATTTTCTAAGTTGCAGAAAAAATCAGGTTAACAAAGGCCCTGCATGGAAAGGTCCTATGGGCAGATGAAAGATAACTAGACGGAGATCGTCCCCAGGAAGAGGTGCCTAGTTCTTCCCTGTATTGATTTCAACAGCACTTGATATTCATAAACATGACTCTGAACAGACTGACTCTGAAGGGAGCTGTTGACCTGGAAGTGACGTCCACGGAATCTGAAAACATAATGGCCTGGTTCGTCAAGAAATCTTCTTTTCCTTTTCCTCCCCAACAGGTTTAATTGTGGAACTGGGGTTGCCATCATCGTAAGTGAGACCAAAATCAAACTAGGGGGTTGGCACACGGTTATGCTCTACAGAGATGGGCTGAACGGGCTGCTGCAGCTGAACAATGGCACCCCAGTGACAGGCCAGTCTCAGGTATGTATGAGCCCCACACCCTGCCCACCCCACATACCACCCACCATAAGTCTCCTGAGAAGGGCTTACTGCAGAGAGCCGTGGCAGAGTCTGCAGGATTCAAGTTCTGGATGGGCTTGGTAAGGCCTATTTCTCATGGTGAACCCATGCAACAGACCTTTGATGTGCTACTGAGTGGTCTTGCACTCCAGGTGAGCTTTCAGGGCACACATCCACCGCACATCTACCAAAGAGAAGAATTAAACTTGCAAGCATCATTGCTGTTGGTGCATAGGTCCATGTTGCAGGACTGTGCCCAAGGACATGTTCTCTTTCCCTAAGTACATCAAAGCCAGCAGTAGAAGAAGGCCCATATTAGAAAAATAGAACCCATTATTACTATTATTACTTGGAGGCAGGGTCTCACTCTGTCCCCCAGGCTGGAGTACAGTGGCATAATCATGGCTCACTGCAGCCTCTACCTCCCTGGTTCAAACCATCCCGCCTCAGGCTCCCAAGTAGCTGGAACTACAGGCATGTGCCACCATGCCTGGCTAATTTTTTTTTTTTTTTTTTTTTTTTGTAGAGTTAGAGTTTCACTGTGTTGCCCAGGCTGGTCATGAACTCCTGGATGCAAGCGATTCTCCCACCTTGGCCTCCCAAAGTGCTGGGGTTACGGGGATGAGCCACCACACCCAGCCTAGAAGCCATTATTAGTGTCAAACACAAAGCTTGCTTTTAGGGCAGGAGTGTTGCAATCCTGTGCTTTAGAAGACAGTCTTGAAAGGTTCACTTGGTTCAAAATGCAGGAATAAGCTGTTCATCTACCTTTGAGGGGGGCCGTAATTGTAGGAAATGGTTAAAAAAAAAAAGTTGGACTGTTGGGCTACTCAGCAAATCACCTAGTATTCACATATTTGTTATGGTCTGGGCAATTTTAGGACTATGTTCAGAATAAACAGTTTGGATTAGCAGCCTGCCAGGGAACTGAGCCTATAATTATAATCAGGCAGGTGTCTGTATTCTCCAAGGAAAAATGTAGCAAGAAAGCCTTTGTTTATATGTCTAGAGCTTCCTCCCTGCCTGGGCTCCTCTCTACTCTTTGCCAGCAAGACACATTATATAAAGCAGTGGTCCCCAACCTTTTTGGCACGAGGGACCAGTTTTGTGGAAGTCAATTTTTCCACGGACCAAAGTTGGGGGATGGTTTCGGGATAAACTGTTCCATCTCAGACCATCAGGCATGGTTAGAGTCTCAGAAGGAGCGTGTAACCTGGATCCCTCGCATGCGCAGTTCACAACAGGGTTCGTGCTCCTGTAAGAATCTAATGGCACAGCTGATCTGACAGAAGACGGAGCTCAGGCGGAGATGCTCGCTCACCCCGCCACTCACCTTCTGCTGCGCACCCTGCTTCCTAACAGGCCACAGACTGGTATGGGTCCATGGCCCAGGGGTTGGGGACCCCTGATATAAAGGGCTATGCCTTGCTGACACCCTGCCTTCCAAAATATAGAAGAAAATATCTCATTAGTTTGGATCCCAGTGATTCCAAAGGATTAAGAATTCAAATTTAGTAAATGTGAATCCAGGGAGATTGTTTATGCTCAGATGGCTAGGTAAGAAAAAGACAGGGTCAGCGAACTGCATCAGTGCCAGGACTATAGGTCTAACATGATAAAAGTTAGTTTGATAGGAATAAAGAAACTTCTAGCTTGGGTCCAAAATACTAACATGAAGACAGAATGGGGAAGCTACAATAGAAGCCTGTGAAAATGTCTAATCGCTTAAAGTGGGGGAAGTTCCATAGCTGTTAACAAACAGGGTCATGTGGTAACAAGAAGCTAAAGAATTATAGGCTGTGTTAACGGAGTCATAGCATCTAAAAAAGGGAGGTGATGATCTTATTCTATTCTGGTGACTATGTGATAGCTTCTAGTGACTCAGATGGTGACTCTAATCCTCCGAGAGGATTACATTCACATCTGGATCACATTCTAAGAAGGCTGCAGACAAATTGGAGCAGTTCCGGGGTAGTCACCCAAACTGGAAGATGACTTGAAATCCCTTCAATGATTGATTGAAGGAGCAATGTTTAGTTTGGAGAAGAGAAGATGAAGGCATGCAAGGTGGCTTTTCATTATAGAGTCAAAGGGAGAGTCTTGGGAAAGAAAGATTTACTCCATGGACCCCCCCTCAAGGCCAGAGCTGAATGGAGTGAGCCTCAGGAGGTCGATTTTAGCTTCACCTAATCATACAAAGGGACAGAAGTGCAACAGACTATCTCAGGAGAGGGGGGCATCCTTGGGAGGTGTTCAAGGCATAACTTATCTAAACTTCTTGTTAGGGATGTACCAGGAATCCAACAGCCAGTGAAAGCTTGAATTATAAGAGTTTTTATATTTTTTGTTAATCTCAAGATTCTATGATTTTAATGAATATAAGAATTAATTGAGCCAGGCACAGTGGCTCATGCCTCCAATACCATTACTTTGGGAGGCTGAGGTGGGTGGATCACTTGAAGTCAGGAGTTCGAGACCAGCCTGGCCAACATGTGAAACCTTGTCTCTACTAAAAATATAAAAAAATTAGCCAGGCGTGGTGGTGGGCGCCTGTAATCCTAGCTACTCAGGAGGCTGAGGCAGGAAAATTGCCTGAACCTGGGAGGCAGAGGTTGCAGTGAGCTTAGATTGCGCTACTGCACTCCATCCTGGGCTGCAGAGCAAGACTCCATCTCAAAAAAAAAAAAAGAAAAGAATTAAGAATTAATTTGATTGCCAGGCACAGTGGCTCACGCCTATAATTCCCACACTTTGGGAAGCCAAGGCAGGAGGATCACTTGAACTCAGCCTAGCCTAGGCAACATGGTGAAGCCCCATCTCTACCAAAAACAGAAAAATTAGCCAGGTGTGGTGGCATATGCCTGTAGTCCCAGCTACTTGGGAGGCTGAGGAGGGAGGATCACTTGAGCCCAGGAGGTGAAGCCTGCAGTGAGCCATGTTTGAGCCTATGAATAGCCCTGCACTTCAGCCTGGGTAACATAGCCAGACCCCATTTGTATTAGTCCGTTCTCATACTGCTATGAAGAAACACCTGAGACTGGGTAATTTATGAAGAAAAGAGGTTTAATTGACTTACAGTTCTGCATGGCTGGGAAGGCCTCAGGAAACTTACAATCATGGTGGAAGGGGAAGCAAACACGTCCTTCTTTATGTGGCAGCAGCAAGGAGAAGTGCTGGGCAAACGGGGAAAAGCCCTTTATAAAACTATCAGATCTCATGAGAACTCACTACCACGAGAACAGCATGGGGGTAACCACCCCCATGATTCAATTACCTCCCACTGAGTCCCTCCCACGACCCGTGGGGATTATAGGAGCTACAATTCAAGATGATATTTGGGTGGAGACACAGCCAAGCCATATCATCATGTTTTTTTTTTAAAAAAATAAGTAATTGCAAGAAGCATGTAGCTTTATGGATACTCAGGCTGTAGATTGCCTCCATACTAATGAGACTTGCTAAGCAAGTTGTAAAGCAGGACCACAGATGTGGCTGTTTAATAAGCTTTCTGAGAGACACTGATTCTATCTGAAGTGGGATTCCCCAGCAACAGACCTGAGATGTGGAGTCCTGTGCAAGTGATGTATTAAGAAAGTGCTCCCAGGAGAAACTGCTAAGAGAGAGGAGACGGACAGGGAAGAAGAGGATATCAGCAAGAGTGAGATCTCAGGCCAAGTTTTTCAGGGTATGGCTTCTGCCTGATCCAGTAGAGGAGCTCTGGAGTACAAATTATACCTCAGACTCATCCGAAACTGTTAAGGGCTGTCCTGGGAGAATGTGAATTCCAGGGCACTTCCATTTCTCTGTACAGGCAGGCAAAGCAAGCTCCAGGGATCAGAAGGCAACCCTCATCTGAAATGTAAAAGCCAGGTTTGAAGACTGTTGCCCGGGATCTTGCGAAGGGCACAGCAAAATAGCTACCCACCCCTACAAGGCACTTTATGCTCTAGAAAAGGATTGAGCTGTCAGGCCTTCTGCTGTGGTCCCAGATCATGGAACAAAACTGGAAGGGCCAGGATGGGATCCAGAAGAAGTGAATTCTGAGAATCTTGGTGAAAGAAGCCAAGAGGACATTTAACTCATCTAATGAAAGCAGCATGCTCAGTGGCTGGCAAACAGCGTAACCTGACCCTGAAAACCCACTTCCTAGCTTGTGTTGAGTCTACTATTTACAAATGATTCTTATCTCTTCATCAGAAAAGATAAAACAATCATTAGATTTTCCACTTGCTGGTAACAGAAGTTTAAAGTATCAAGATTATGTTTCAGAGTCTTACACTCTGAACATTTTATAAGTTCTGGCAGCGTGCCTTTCCCTGACACCCTTCCTTACCCTGTAATGCAGATAAATGAGATATTTTGGTCATAAAAAAAAGAATGACCAGGCCGGGCGTGGTAGCTCATGCCAGTAATCCCAGCACTTTGGGAGACTGAGGCAGGTAGATCACGAGGTCAGGAGTTTGAGACCAGCCTGACCAACGTGGTGAAACCTCGTTTCTAAAAATACAAAATTAGCTAGGCGTGGTGACACATGCCTGTAATCCCAGCTACTCAGGAGGCTGAGACAGGAGAATTGCTTGAACCTGGGAGGCGGAGGTTACGGTGAGCCAGGATGGTGCCTTTGCACTCCAGCCTGGGAGACAGAGCGAGACTCTGTCTCAAAAAAAAAAAAAAAAAAAAAACAAAAAAAAAAGGCCAAGGGTGACTTAATTTTGTCCCATCTAATCTTCAGCTCTGTATTTTGTAACCTTTAAACCTGCAATCCAGATTGTGGTTTGGTCTAAGATGGGAAGTTTCCCTACCTCACTGTAAAAAAAAGAAGTCATATTCATAAGCAAATTTCAAAACACTTTGCATCATAATCTGTTTGGTAATTCCCCTCCACCCCCCGTCCACCCCAACAATGTTTCTCTCAGGATATAGTATAAAGGTGACTAGGACAGTGAAAAGGTAATTGTTAGCCACTGTATACAAAATTAGTATTATCACCTTTGGAGGCACAGAATAGCCCCCTAAGATCCTTCCAAAGTACACAGTCAACTGGTGTCAAGACTGGAAAGAGAACGTTTTTGTTGGATGCCTAGCATGGTTCACTGCCTGGTGGGTGAGGCGTGTCTCTGACCTCCCTTCCCTTCCCTTCTAGACATTCCAAAATCCTCCCTTCTGGAAGCACAGCCCTCTGAGAAACTCACTGAGCTCCCTACGGTAATCGTGGGTTTAATTTTCCAGTAAGGCAAGGTCTTAAAGATAAATACAGATGGAAGAAAATGCTGGGGCTGTCACTGACGTCTTAACCATGTCCCTCATAAAAATCTGGTGTGTTTTGGCTTTTGATTTTGTTTAGTGAGAGTATTCATGAGTGGTCATCTTTCTTAAAGGGCCAATACAGTAAAATTACTTTCCGGACACCTCTCTATCTTGGTGGCGCTCCCAGCGCTTACTGGTTGGTTAGAGCAACAGGGACAAACCGAGGCTTTCAAGGCTGTGTGCAGTCGCTCGCTGTGAATGGGAGGAGAATTGACATGAGGCCCTGGCCCCTGGGAAAAGCACTCAGTGGGGCTGATGTGGGTAAGTGGCTGCCTGGTGGGTTGGGGTACTCTTATGGGACTTATGTCTTATGGGACTGCCTTTCTGGCTTGGGCCATGGAGGGAGCAGCAACATTAGGTGCTACCCTGGGAAGCTGGTACCTTCAGAACATCAGGAGGGAGGTGGGCCTCAGGGGTGAGGCTGGTGCTCTGCAGACATGCTGCTGACCCCGCATCTGAACACCAAGATATGGTAACAGTATGGTGCACCAAACCCTGGTTCTGTCCTGCTAGCAATTTGGGCCTCATCATGAAATATGGCATGGTCTTACTGGACAAAGCAACAAGCGATCCAGCCCTTTTACCTTACCTCACCCAGTCCAGTGGAAGAACCAACACAGTAATGTAAGAAGAGCTTTCATACACTCTCTGTTTCTTAAAGAAGTGGTCACATTCTAATTTGTGATCGCTGTGCCAAACATCTTCTCATATGCTCTCTCATTTACTTTCACACTAACGCTAAGAGGTAGAAGTTATTATCATGCCCATTTTACAGATGAGGAAACTGGGGCTTGCAGAAGTTAAATAACTTATTGAAAGTAGCAGGCAGAGCTAGGCTTATTTTTAAAGCAATAAGGACATTTATTCTATCACTGAAGGCAGCAGGTAGATAATTCCCAGGTTGGTTAATTCAGGGACTGTCTACTAGAGCTGCCATAACAAAATACTGCAGACTGGGCAAGTTAAACATCAGAAATTAATTTTCTCACAGTTCTGGAGGCTGGAAGTCCCAGATCAAGGTGCCAGCCAATTTGGTTCCTGGAGAGGCCTCTCTCCTTGGCTTGCAGATGGCCACCTTCTCGCTGTGTGCTCGTGGGATCTTTCCTCCATGTGTGCACACCCCTGGTATGTCTGTATGTCCAAATATCATCCTATAAGGACACCAATCGGACTGGATTAGGTCCCCACTCTTATGACCTCAATTAACCTTAAATACCTCCTTAAAGATACTATCTCCAAATACAGGGAATTAGGACTTCAACTGTGAATTTTGGGGGAAAAGCTGTTCAGTTCATAACAGGGTCTCTATGATATCAGGACTCTGGGTCGATATCCCTATGATACTCTCCTTTTCACTCACTACTCTAAGCGTCACATCCTCATGACTTTGTCCTTGGCAAGAAATGGCAAGTCTCCTCCTTGAATCTCTTTTCCCTCCATCTCTAAGATGCTATTTTGAAAGAATGCACAGTGAACAGCATAGTCTCACTGCCTAGATTCTACCGTTAACATTTTGCTGCATTTTCTTGACCACATATCAATTCATCCCTTTCTCCATTCCTCAGTCAGAGGTAGGATTCGATCCTCATGACTCCTAGAACAGTTTTTTGTTTTGTTTGTTTTTCTTGTAGCTAATATTATTAGTTGAGCACCTACTTTAAGTAGGCACCATTCTAAATTACTTTGATCTTTCCAAGGTTATTGTGAAGTAGGTGCTATCATTAGCCTTACTTTACAGATAAGAACCAATGGGGCTGGGCACAGTGCTCATGCCTGTAATCTCAGCACTTTGGGAGGCTGAGGCAGGCAGATCACGTGAGGTCAGGAGTTGGAGACCAGCCTGGCCAACATGGTGAAACTCTGTCTCTACTAAAATACAAAAATTAGCCGGGCTTAGTGGCACACCCATGTAATCCCAGCTACCCAGAAGACTGAGGCAGGAGAATTGCTTGAACCTGGGAGGCAGAGGTTGCAGTGAGCCAGGATTGTGCCACTGCACTCCAGCTTGGACAACAGAGTGAGACTGTCTTAAAAAACAAAAAACAAAAAACAAAACAAAACAAAACAAAAAACCAATGGTACAGAACAGTTAAGTAACTTGCCCAAGGTCACACAGCTAGTAAGTGGTAGAGTCTAATGTGACCTCAGCCATTCTGGCACAAGTGACTACCCTCTTACCAAAATCAGCTACATCAATGGCTACCAAATTGTTTCCCTCCACCTTGTTCACTCCTATAGGTGATGCCATTGTTATAACTATAAAAGATGAAGTTTACTTAACAAAAATAGTTTACCATCCATTGATTACTTGGTCAAAGTAAACAGTAAGCAGCAATGACTGAAACAATTATTAAAGCTGTCACTATGGTAGGACAATGTCTCCAAAATCCATCTTCTTTCTGTGATGATTCAGAACATAAGAACCAGCCATTCCATCAGGAGTCACATGCCTTGCTTATGAGCCTGGACTCTGAAGGCAGATTGCCTGGATTTGAAAAATTTTTGCAACTCAGTCTCCCCATCTAGAAATAGTAGCTGCCTCATAAGATTATTTTGTTTAAATGAGTTGTGGTGTGTAAAAAGCACTTAGAATAGGGCTTTGCACATCGCAAACATTTCGTAAATGTTTCCTGTTATTAATATTGTTATTCATATTCTAACCCTCCCATCAAATCAGCTATAATCTGTTTCTTCAGGGGAACAGCCCTGAATAAACCTGGTAGTCCTGAAATGGCATGGCAACCTCTGACAGGTAGTTCAGAGGTTGTAAAGTTGGGCAAGAACTGATTTCTGCCAGCTTTGTTAATTCTGACACAGTGCGATACCCACTTTTCCAGCAGGTGGCACCAAAAGGACCTCTCTTGTGGGCTTCAGCTCCCTGGATACAGCTATTGGATTACTGTATAGACTTCCCTCTGTGAATATTAATGGCATGTGTCAGCCATGTTGGTGTTTTACATTTCTTCGCATTTCATTTCCCCCGGGGTTATAAGAGTGGGGCTGATTATCCTTCCTCAGCTTCCATGTTTGCTGTCCTTTGGGTTAGTCCTCCTGAAATTCAAGTTTTTGTAAGTCAAACGCAGCCTCACCAGGGAGGTCATGGTTCTCCATCTGATATCTCTAACTTGTCATTGCCATCTTCAACTGTGACTTTTTCTCTGCCTTCCCACTAAACCCGTTTTTATTCCCCAGAGGGGCTTGCATTACTCAGTTCCTTCCACTTCATATCCTGTCTTTCGTTAGACTGTTCCCAGCTCCTGTGCTCTCTGCAAGTCACATTCTAGAATAGTTGGTCAGAAATCTCAGCAAATTTTGCATTCTCTGGTCCAGCTCTTGATTATTTCCATTCAGATTCTCAAACCTATATTTCCACCACTCATTTATGCCAATCCCATCTTGGATATCCCCACTCTGCTGGAGCAGTCACAGAGCCACTTCCCAGGGTATTTGAGATTCAGGGGGTCTGCGGTGACCATGGGTCTCACTATGGCTTACGAGCTCTTTTCCTCATTTCACTCAATAAATACTTCACTGAGCACCTGCTTAGTGCTTGTCACAGTGCTGGGTGCTGGAGATCAAGTAATGAACAAGACAGGATCCAGCTCAGTCCTCATATAGTTGCCATGTGGAGAGACCAAATTAATATAGTAATCACACAGTGAAGGTGAAGTTACACCTGGGGTAAGTGTTATGGAGGAGAAGTGGTGCTGCAGTGGTGATGTTTAATAGGGAGGTTGTAGGGTCTGGGGGCCAGGGAAAGAGTTTCTCAGAAGAGGAAGTTAATATGAAGCAAGAGTAGGAGTGAAAATGTGGAGAAGGGAAAGAAGGACATTCCAGGCAGAGGGAAGGGCTTGTTCCAGGGGAAGAGGAAGGGGGAGATGGGTGCCATGATCTAGTTTGTGATTTGAGAAGATCTTCTGACAGCTCATTAGACGGGGCTTTCAGGGATACATGTAGACCAGCTGAGGTCTATTGCAGTAGGTCACATGACAAATAACGGTGTGATCCAGGTGGTGGTGGTGGTAGAAACAGAGACGGATCTGACAGATCATTAGGGGAAAAATAGGTGGGCCTCGGTTACGGACTAGGGGTTGGGGACAGGGAAGTTTCTCCTTGTTCATGGTCTCTTTAAGGAACTCCACCCCATGATGTTCCACATTCTTTCCCCTCCTTAGGAGTCTTATTTCTCTTCTACCTCTCGCTTTCTTATCTAGCAGAAACCTACACAACAACTGGCCTATGGTAGGCGCTGGTGAAAGTGACTTTACATATTGATAATGAGGTCTGTGTATACATGACCTTGCCACACCCACCTCTCCTCCCCATCACTCTTGAGTTAAGAGTTTTCCCCCTAAAATGAACCTATTCAGCTACACTCTGCACTCACCCTTCCTGGCTGCCCTGGGCCCTCGCCGCCAGGTTCTCTCTTCTCAGTAGCCCAGGGATTCTTAACCTTTTTGGCACTGCAGCCCCCTTTGGTGGTCTGGGGAAGCCCATGGACCTCTTCTCATAATGATGTTCTTAAATGGAGAAAAATAATATATGTAATATTATAAGGGGAAACAATTATATTGAAACCCAGCTCTATCACATATTTTTAAAGTTTTGCTTTTACAATAATATATGTGCTCCTTTATAAAGCATATTAAGAACAGAATTATTTAATGGTGGGTGAAATAACTCCCATGACTTCAAAGTAGCAACAAGTATGAATGATACTTCAAAAAATGTGCAATAAATGGAAGGTGACAACAGCTGTGAGGTCTATTGGTCACAACTCACAAGAACTACTAACACTAGAAGTATCTTGCCTGTATTGAAAGTTGATGGAAATACATACCCAGCTCCAGGCAGAGGCTAGGGAAGATACAGATGCAATATATTTTCCTTCTCGGTTCACAGAGCCCCTGCTGTGGCTTACTCACCCATGCTCAGGTTCTCTCCAGCTCACACAGGTGCCATGCCTTGTGTGACCTTGTACCCACACTGGTTTGGAAACTCTGGGAACCTCTCTCCTTTCTTTCAAGGCCTGATACCAGCACTGGGTATTTCCACAGTCACCTTAGACTTAAATCCAACCAAAGCAACCTCTCCCTTTGCTTTGCAGAAGCCAGGTCCTGTTCACAGCCACTCTCATTTCTTCCCTCCTGCACCATTATTTTAGTCTTTCAAGCTACAAACCTTGAGATTGTGCTGGAGGAGTGTTCTTGCCTTTCAGCCTCTAGAATGAATCTCTCATTTCTTACTTCCTTGGATGTCTGATCCTTCACAGTCTCTCCATTTTCTTTGTGGCCATCCTGTTCACTCCCTATAGGAGTTTTTTCATCTCCTCCACTCCTATCACTCACCAGTCTGTTTTGCATGCCATTCCCAGAGTAATCTTGTTGAAATGCTGCTTTCACCAAGTCAGCAACTCCATCTGGCTTTCATGACCTCCCCTCCCCTACCCCCACCTCTTAAAAAATGGTTAAAATGCATAAGACTTGTAATGTAATCCTTTTCTGTACATCTAAAATAACATACAAGGATCCCGCTTCTTCCTGTGGATCCAGCCAAGCTCTGGGAAGGAATCACAACCCACAGAAATTGGCGGGGCTCAGGGACCTTTGAGAGTTTGGCTCTTTAAGATCAAAGTCAGCCAGCATCTCTGTGGAGGCTGTGAATGCTGGGGGTGACATTCTTAGGGCTGTGGCTGGAGACCACTGGTCATGTCTGCCTGAACATTCAGTAGCCACCAGCTGGAATTCACAGAGGCTAGCCACCCCCAGCTGGGGAGGCAAGCCATCTGCACGGGCTTTAATCAAATTCTGTTAGCAGTCCCTGAAGTCAGTCTCCTCTCCTGGGTCTAACCTGGGTGCCTGGCCTTTACCCCTCCTCCCAGTGAGTCTTTATGAAAAGACTGGACCAATTCAAGGAGGGAAGGGTGAGAGATTCATCCTGCCGAGATGACACACTCAGGCCAAGGAGGGCTCCTGCCCTCACAGGGTGGGCTACCAGCTCATGCAGAGGGCAGCCTTGAAGACTGGGAGAGAGCACAGCTGGACCCTTCACTTCCAGAGGCACGCCCTTCTACCTCCACCCCCAGAAAAAGTGTTTTGTACTCCCTCATGTGGTTCTGGGCCAGATGGTGGTCCATCTGTCTAACTGATTTCTTACACACAAAGAGAAAACACAAAGAAGCAGAAGAAAAACAGCCCATGAAAAGTCCATTTGTTTTCCTCTGATGACCTGCACTTGAAAATGACAAAGGATACCCTTTCTGGATCTCTCTGATCTGTTTGGTGAAGAGAACTCACTCATCAGATGTTGAGCCTTTCAGCCTTCTTACCACAGGCCACCTTTCTGTCCCTCATCAGGGTGTAACTTTGGAAGTAGAAATAGGGATTCTGAAACCCATGTGCCAATGTATTATGGGGCCCTCCCTCCCTGCTCCCTACCCCAGACAGAGAAGTTGACAATCCAGGTGAGTTAATCAGCTTAGACGTGGCTGGGTAACTCCTTCTGTGCCTACCTTGCTTGTCTCAACTTTGAACCAACAAGGCAGCAGCACTTAAGCTAATTGGGGTCATGCAATTTAGAATGCTTTTAACATAAACACCCTGTTGACATTGGAGGGATTGAAATATGCTCTGTTGGGAGCAAGAGAGAGATGAATTAAAGCAGAAACAGCTTAGTCATCCCAGTTAGTGGTCATAAAATTGCCCAGAAATGTATTATTTGATTTATTGTGTCCATCATGTTTTTTAAAGTCTCTATGGCTCTTCATACAGGACAAACCAAAATCAAATTAAAATGAAGAGCAGGTTCCACTTATCCTGAAAGCCCATTTGCAGTTGTGCAGAGCTGCAAATCAACAGGAGTAAGAACTGAAATGTATTTATTCAGAACCATGAGCTGCTGGTGGGGTCAGCGCCACTGTGTTGGACTGGCACACATGGAGGATTGGCTTTGTAATTCCCATTCTGTATTTAGGGGAATGCAGCAGTGGAATCTGTGATGAGGCCTCGTGCATCCATGGTGGCACCTGCACAGCAATCAAAGCCGACTCCTACATTTGCCTCTGTCCCCTTGGGTTTAAAGGTCGACACTGTGAAGATGGTGAGAAAGAAGCAAGTTGAAGGCGGTTTCTATCTGCATGTTAATTTGTGTAGATGTACTTTATCATCAATATAGTTTCTTTGTTAATTTGTTTGTTTGTTTTTGAGACAAAGGCTCCCTCTCTTACCCAGGCCGGAGTGCAGTGGCGCATCTCGGCTCACTGCAACCTCTGCCTCCCGGGTTCAAGTGATTCTCTTCTGCCTCAGCTCCCGAGTAGCTGGAACTACAGGCGCCCAGCTAATTTTTGTATTTTTAGTAGAGATGGGATTTCACCATGTTGCCCAGGCTGCTCTCAAACTCTTGACCTCAAGTGATCCACCCGCCTCGGCCTCCCAAAGTGCTGGGATTACAGGCGTGAGCCACCACGCCAGGCCTCATCAATGTACTTTTAACAAATCTAACAAAGCCCCATACATTTTTATGGGATCAACATTGCTTTGTTGGGAGAGATGGGGGAAACTTTTTAAACAAGGTTGGAGTGTCTCTGAGTGCCAAAATTTGTTTGGTAATGAGAACTCACTCATCTGATGTTGAGCCTTTCAGCACTTCTTACTGCAGGGCACCTCCGTCCCTCAGCCAAACATATGTTCATTTCAAGATGCTAAGAATCAGTGGGCTCCTCTTGGCCCTTGAATAACTTTTAAAAAGCCTGTATTGGTATGGTTTGTATCAGACTGAATTCAAAGCCTTTAAAGCTCAGGCTCATGCTCTTTAGAATTTCTGTCAATTTCTGATAAAAGATTGGGAAGATGAGGCCAGGCGCAGTGGCTCACGCCTATAATCCCAGCACTCTGGGAGGCCGAGGTGGGCGGATCACGAGGCCAACGTGGTGAAACTCCGTTTCTACTAAAAATACAAAAATTAGCTGGGTGTGGTGGTGCACAGCTGTAATCCCAGCTACTCGGGAGGCTGAGGCAGGAGAATTGCTTGAACCCAGGAGGCGGAGGTTGCAGTGAGCCGAGATAGCACCACTGTACTCCAATCTGGGTGACAGAGCGAGACTCCATCTTGGGAAAAAAAAAAAAGATAGGGAAGGTAGACACAGAAACGTTAACAATGTGATGGGACAAAAGTAACCTTTTTTTGTACTGTTCTACTAAATTATGCCACATTTTAATACTGTATATACAGAGAGTATGTAAATATATATACATGCACACACATGTGTATATAAACATGGAAACACATGCACACAAATACACATATGTGCGCTCACACAGGCAAATAATAACAGAAAATTTCAAAGATTTTGGAAAATCATGGAGGGTTCCAAAAGTGATTTTGGAAAATCATTTTTGCAGAATTCTGAAATTAAAATAAAAAGAAAATAAAACTGAGGCTAAGATCACAAAACTAGTCAAATTCTTCCCTAATTCAGATTTGGACCTAAGATACCATATTGGGGAAAACTTTTGTGATCTCAAATCTCATGTCACCTAAAAGAGGGCATGTGAGTCAGGGTAAGCCAATGCTGTTACATACCAGCTCATATTTCAGTAGCCTTACATAATCAAGGCTGGTTCTTGCTCATATTACAAAATCACTGCAGGTCAAAGATGGTGGTGAGAGAGGGGGTTCTGCTCCACACAGTTATACAGGGACACAGTTTCCTTCCATCTAATGGCTCTTCTAGGGCCTTAGAGTCCTCCACTGATACTTGCATCCTGCCAGCACGTGAGAGGAGAGAAAGAGCATGGAGGATGGAGGGAAGTTTTAGGGGCCAGACTTAGGGTGCTCTATGATTCTTCCACCCATGTTCTACTGGCCAGAATTCAGTCACACCACCAACCTAACTGCAGGGCTGCTGGGAATTGTAGTTTAGGTCTGTACCCAGGAGGGAAAGAACACAGCTATGGGTGCACATCTGGCCAGTTTCTGCCACAGAGGGATTTCTAACACCATGCTTGTTTTTTCAGCTTTCACCTTGACCATTCCTCAGTTCAGAGAGTCTCTGAGATCTTACGCTGCAACTCCCTGGCCACTGGAGCCCCAGCATTACCTTTCCTTCATGGAATTTGAGATCACATTTCGGCCAGACTCAGGAGATGGTGTCCTCCTGTACAGCTATGACACAGGCAGCAAAGACTTCCTGTCCATCAACTTGGCAGGGGGCCACGTGGAGTTCCGCTTTGACTGTGGCTCTGGGACCGGTGTCCTCAGGTGAGGGCTGAAAACTTCTGGGACTCTTTCCCTTAAAAAGGCAAATAGTAACTGCTTCAGAAAAAAACCAAATCGCCATTCAACAGCTCACACTCATCCTGTCTTCTCTACATGCTTATCTTCTGAAACTTGTCCTGACTTGTCCTGCTTCAGGCAGATGACAGGCTTCCTATAGAGAGTGCTCTCCTGCCCACAAGGCTTCCTTTTCTCAAATAACTACCCAACAGGTAGCAATTGTATGCTTCAAACTATGGAAAATGGACTTGCTTCAGGTGGAGGTAAACTGCCTCCATTTCCACCTAAAGTTATGTCATGTCATCCGCAGAAACTTGATGAACTGTAACTAGTCAGCATCTCATACAGAGCATCACATGATGGGCACCCAGCAAATACATGTCAACTAGTAAAAAAGTATTAACAAATATTTTTGAACAAAAATATCCTTGATGACCTCACTCTAAATATTCACTTTCCTCTTGAACTATTTCTTTAATGGAAATTGACAGTGAATCATCAGCAATGCAGAGACCCGTTCCCTAAGCAATATGCTCAAGAAAGATGTGTGATGAGTGGTTTCAATAGCATAGCAGGAAATGGGTGCTTCTGCAGTACTTGCTGGTATTTGCAGAATTGGTGTAAGTAGTCAAAACTTTCCTACTGTTATCTAGTTTGTACTATTAAATTACTTAGCAGGTCGATTGTTCCTTGGAGCCTGTAGTTGGTAGATGCAGACGCTTTTATTTGTTTATGTCTCCCATCTTTTTATTGTGTTGATGGTAGTTTTAACCTTCAAGCCAGAGGGGCCACTAATCGCATGCAGACATGCTTCTTGTTCCTACATTTGTCTAATTCGTCTTTTTTGAAACTCACTAGGATGTTTTGCTCCATGGTGCCCTGTAACAGGGTATCAGTTAGTCTGTTGTTTCAAAGAATATTGCAAACTGTTTTCAATCTTTATCCATATTGCTAGACTGTCATGTTTAAAAAGAGTATGTAGGTGAGATGCTACAACCATGCATTGCCCTTAACTACTGATCATTTTTCCTGGCTGATAGAAAATGCTCACTGCATTAGGTTTTAACAGTTCTTAAAAAGGATGGTTTGTTTTTGTCCTTGTGGCTGAATTCCTGCACATCAGTGACACCTTCCCCTCTAGGGGAACGGACAAATATTGTTGTACCTCTGGTTATGCAAAAACATCCTATATTTCAAGACAACTTTGGTGGGGATTTAATTGATTCAATTTACATATGATTATGCAAAATAGCCTAAGCAATTCACTTAGAACTGTATGTCAAGTTGACAAAGGAAGACACCTTGAATATCACCTTGCACTTTTAAATGGTTTTCTTCCTGGATAGGGAATGACCAGAAAGATCCAGGAGAGGTTCTGGGCTCATCAGCCCTCCTCCTGGACAGACTACCCCCTCCACACTGCCTCTCTGCAGTGGCAGCTCCAGCTGTGGGGTCACAAGCACATGGAACCCTTAGAAGTCCAGCATTTCTCTCTTTCATAACTCTGTGCTTATTTTTGACACGAGGTGCTTTTAATTTTTTTTTGTAAATTTACTAAGTTATTGTTTCACTGCCTGTCAGCAAAGGCAACTGGAAAAAGAATTTTTAAGAATTAGGTGATGAAAATGAGGCAAGAGTTTCTGAGGGACAAACCACCATCTGCCCCCTTATCCTATCCCCTCCTGAGCGTAAGCTAACAACAGTGATTACTCTTGGTGTTTCAGATGCCCCATTGGAAGCTGTTTATTTTGAAAACCATTTCAAAGACTTCTTGCTCAATTAAGACAATGCAGTGAAAACTCAAACTACAGGAAGTTGTGGAATTGGCCAGATCATTTTAACTTTAGGAATAGGATAAGATGGGCAAATTCATTATGAACTTGATTAAAAAATCACGACAATTGGAATGAGTTCTTGATGGCTGTGATCGATAAAAGGATGTTGAGGAAGGTGGCATATTGACAGCAAATGACCTCTGCAGTACAAAAACATGAAATGGCTCTGTTATGGAGATAGACCACTTAAAAAGGGCTGCTTATTTCTTTATTGCATATTGATTTAGCCAAGGTGATTAAATTCTAATTGCTAAGAACAGATCACAAAATCATTTGCCAAAGCAAAAATCAAGTGAGGGGGTGGTGACCTTTCAATAATTGTGCCCATTGGTATTCCTCATGGTTTTCTAAAGATGATCCAGGACCACAAGATAATTGGGAAGTTCAGCGAGGGCCAGGAACTAGACATTGCTAGAAATACAAATGCAATAATGAGTCTCTTTCTGCACACCTCACTATAAAACGTAATGAGTAAAACTTGCATAAATATCATTAAACTTTAAGCACTTCCACTTTGAATGAATAATTGAACTTTTAATGTAATTTTAATCATTTTTACAATATCAGAAAATATGGAATCTATTTCCCTCCCAATATTTTATTATGAAAAATTTCAAACATATAGAAAAATTGGAAGAATTGTACAGTAAGCATCCTGATACCGAGCACCTATAGTCTGTAATTAACGTTTTGCTATATTTGCCTCATCACATATCTAGCCATTATTATATCTGTCCATCCATCCTTCTTAATTTTTAAAAAAAAATTTTAATGACCAAAACAAAGTATCTAAAACTGCAGCTTCTCAAAGAACCACTTGTTCTTGCCCATCTGTTCCTCTCTTCAAACTTGACCTTGGCCTCCCATTGGGCCTTGTGGTTAAGAGCAGGGTCTCTGAAGACATCTTTATTGATAACAGTTTTGTCCAAGGGGATATCCGGTGGCTGTAGGGGCAATCTGACGTGCCATCATCAATGTTCTTCACGATGACAGCTTTGCGTCGGAGTAGCATCTGGCCAGGACCACCACCAGTTTCCCAGGTTTCAGGAACTTGCCCTTTTCAACAGCAACCACTCAGGCCTATAGCAGAAAGGTCCTTCTTATTTTTTATGCGTTTCAAAGTATGTTACAGACATTGGTATGCCAAATAATTTGTTTTTTACATCATAGCTCTTACAATTTTTCTCTTCTTCCAAGCTTGTGTGCAATTATGACCATATTTTATCTTCATGCCACCTCTCATCTAGAAAACCCATTTCACCAGACTCACTGAACCCCATTTCAGGCTCATTGTAAGGAATAAATAAAACAATAAATGCAATGTTCCTACTGTATGAAGGCATCCAATAAATAGTAGGTAATCCTGCTGTTGTTACTAAGCAGTAATTAGTGTTTTCTTTTTACTGAATGGATTGGTGTGCCTAAGGTTAGCATTAGTTTCCTCATGGCTAGATTGACAAAAATGATCCATAACATGCTAACCCATGCTTGGTTTCCTTCTATGTTCATCAGGGTTCTCCAGGGAAACAGAACCAATAGGCTATAAATAGACATGTAGAGAGATTTATCATGAGGCATTGGCTTGCATGATTATGGAGGCTGAGAAGTCCCCTGGCCTGCCATCTGCAAGCTGGCAGCCCAGGAAATTTAGTGGTGTATTTCCAGTCCAAGCCTGAAGGCCTGAGAACCAGAGAGCCCATGATGTCCGTTCCAGTCCAAGTCAAAGGCCCAAGTACCAGGAAGCTGATGATGTAAGTCTTGGTCCAAGTCTGAAGACCAAAGAACCAGGAGCACTGATGTTCAAGGCTAGAGAAGGTGGATGTCCCAACTCAAGAAGAGAGAGCACTTCCCCCCTCCTCTTCCTTTTTGTTCAGTTCAGAGCCTCCGCAGATTCCATGATGCCTGCCCAGGTTGGTGAGGGCAGATCTTTACTAAGTTTACTGATTCAGATGCTCATCTCTACCAGAAACACACTCACAGACACACCCAGAAATAATGTTGTACCAGCTATCTGGGCATTCCTTATCCTAATCAACTCGATACATAAAAATAATATCACATCTTCCTTCCACAGGAGTGAAGATCCCCTCACCCTGGGCAACTGGCACGAGCTTCGTGTATCTCGCACAGCAAAGAATGGAATCTTACAGGTGGATAAGCAGAAGATAGTGGAGGGAATGGCAGAGGTAAGAACAGTACACCTTTTCTCTTGATGGTTAGTGTGAGCCAGATTACTGTTTTCTGCCTGTCTTGGTAGAAAAGCAGCAGAGTGTTCTGGTTAACTACATGGACTTCAGTGCCTGTGTGGAAATCCCAGCTCCCCACTGGGCAAATTACTTAACTTTTCTATTGCTTAGCTACAAATGGGGATAATAATAGTATGGGCCTCATAGAGTTGTGAGGATTAAATGAGTTGATACCCAATACATTTAGCACTTACAAAATTGCCTTTCACCTCTTCGCCTCCCAACTCCACCTTTGTTCTTATCAGCTACAGCAAGTAGTAGGTAAGAACATGGACTCTGGGGTAGGGCCTGTGGTGCATGGGGGAGGCCTGACAAGAACAGGCTGTAAGTCCAGACTCCTGGGGCTCAAAATCTGGCTCAATTACTTACCAGTGGTGTGAGCTCATACTGGTTACTTGACCTACCAAGATTGTTCTTGTCTCAGCATTATCCTCTTATCAATGGGGATAATGGTGATGATAATAGTGCCTACTTCACAGAGTTGTTGTGAGAATTAAAAGAATTGTACATGTAAAACACAACAGTACCTGATGCCAGGTCAGCACTAAATAGCTTTACATAGTAGCAGTAGTGGTGGTGGTGGTCGTGGTGAATAGTGTATGGTTATGGACTCAAGAGGATAGGATTTCTACTTAAGTTTATAACTTTCCTCCATGATTTTAATTCCAAGGTTATGTTCAAAGAAAAATAACATTTTTAAGAGGAAGTCAGGGAGATTTGCTTTAAACTATAGCCTGCTAGGATTCTGCGAACACACACACAATTTATAGTTCCTTAAAAATAGAGGGGACTTTAGATTTGCCAATATCTTAGTTCCCACCAGTTTTCATTCTGTGTAAAGGAAGATTTGCAAAGGACATTGATAAATTTGGGTATATTAATAAGCAAATAGACTAGTAGAAAAAAGAAAAGGAAAGAAAAGAGACTTTCGCTGGGGAAAGAGGTACTTGACTGGAGAGAGAAGAAAAAGGGACACATGTGTCCAGAAGCCAGCCTGAGGGGCTGCAGTGGTGGGAGGACGAATTGGAACCAAGGGCCTCCTTGGGAATGAGGGGAATCCCAAATTGGGTTCTGTTTCAAGAGGTGGGCACCCTTCACACCTAGAAAATGCTCTATATATATCTGTGGAAGGGAGGAAGGGTGGGGGCAGGGAAGGGGGGAGGGAAGAAAGGAGGGGATGAATGGAAATTGATTTTAAATGGAGAACCAGAGTCACTTCTGGTGCAATCCAGAACATTCTAACAGCCGACTTTAGTCCAGGACAGAATTAGAAGCTCACGAGAATACACCTCGCTGTCTGTTGGCTTAATGATATAAATCCAATTGTATCTCTATAGATCTTAGTTGCAAACATCTGTAAAACAGGAACAAAAGCTGAGGATGGGAACATTTGTCAAAAGTAGGGGCAAGGTCCATGATTATAAATAAGTTACTCTTCAGGACACAGTATTTACTATTAGGATCTAAGAGACAACACATAGGTGAAAACCACACCTGAGAGTTTCTATCACTGCACATCAGCAAAAGAGCATGAAACCAATACGGTGACACCTACACTCTCCCTTTTGGCTTTTTTACCTCTGGCGACATGTGGGTGAATGGAGCTGACTGGAGTTTTAAAGAAAAAGGAACCCACAGGAAGGTGTGGCTTTGGTGTGTGCATTGGAGGGACATTCTGCTGAGTCCACTGTGAACCAGGAGTGGGAAGGCCAATGCCTGATCTCCATATGCTAAACCTTCATCAAGTCTTTTCCACAAGGAATTCTGCTCCCCAGCTGTCCATATCATGTTCGAAGTGTGGCTGACAGGGCAGTGGTCTTAGAGCTCAGAGACAGGTAGGGCAGGGGTTAGAGTACACTTTGAGGGGCTAACCCAGGACCTAAGCACCTAAGAGCCTGTGTGCAGACTAAACCTGACCACCAGGCTGCTCAGCTGGCAGCTCTGAGAAACAGCAGAAGCCTGGGCTTGAGTCCGACTATGCAAGACACGTGGAAGAGCAGTGCTTCTGAGGCTTTCAGGAAACTCCAGCCTGGAAGTTTGCTCAGCTTTGCAAACTGCTTCCAGCCAAGCCAAAGTATAGGATCCAGACACAAAACCCCTCACTGCAGAGCAGGCCTGGCTTTGGTGGGATATGTTTTCTTCTCTCCTGCGGTCCCCCTTGGGCATGGCAGCTGCAGCCCTTCCACTTGTCAGCAGGAGGGTGCTGCATGACGATTTTGATGAGCAGCCAAAAGGAACTGCTCCTCACTCCACGAGGCCCCGCTGCTGGACACAGCCATAATGCAATTTTTTTTCCTAGCAGCCAGCTGCTCTGAAACCTCCTTGACCCTGCATCCTTCCTCCTTTCCTCTTTCCATCTTATTTTAGCTTTTGTGTAAGAGCAATGACAAGAGAAAGATGCCTGTGGGTTTGTGGTGACAGTTCCTGACTGGTTCAGTATTCTGCTGGGCCACAAGAATTCCTGAAAGCCTTTATACTTCTTTGTTAACCTCCTAGTTAAGGAAGAACCCTCAAAGCTGCCGGAAGGCTATTGACAGAAGGCATTTTGGTCTATTAATCTAATTGAAATTTCCCTGGGCTACCTGGCTGGACCCAGCCATGGGGGCACTCCCTAAGATAAACAGAGCTTCTTCCTCCATGACTCGCCTGTCTTGTCTTCTCTACCCTTGACATGACCCCAGATTCATTCTCCTCCCTCTGGCCAATGATCTTCCAAAGCACAGACCTCTCTCTCCTGCTTAAGTCTCATTGCTTTTTGGGTAAAATTCATGCTCGTAATGTGGTGTGTAAGGCTCTGCATGCTCTGGCCCCCTCTCGCCTGTGCCTTATACTCACATTCCCTCTAAGCCCCAACGTCTTCCAGTTTCTACAATGTTAACTCTTCCTTGACCACCTCCCCTACTCCCTGTGTCTAGGGTAGGATATGAGACTCCCGTGTCCGGCACCCAGGTGCACCCATAGCCACCTGTACAGTTCTTCCCAGTGCTGATATCACCTGCTCTTTTACTTGTCTGTATTCCCTGCTCGCATAAACCCCTGCAGGGCAGGACTGGGTCTTTCTTATTTTCTGCTGTTTGTCCAGCACTTAACATAGTGGCTGGGGCATATTGTAGTATGTGCCTAATAATATTTGTTAAATCAATGATCAAAGCTGCTACTATTTGTATTTATTTTATCGTAAATCAAAGAAAATAATAACTTAACATTACCTAAAGTGTGTTCATTCCCAGAGCTCTCAAATGTAAGGATTTCTCACTCATGATACATATCCACCAATGGTTAGCTGCAGCTGTAATCTGAGATCTGGGCTGAAGGAACAGAGGGAAGGAGAAAAGGGCATGGTGAACTACTCTCTGGCTCTGAAAGCTTCTGCCCAGAAGTGATTCTTTTCTCTTCTGCTCATGTTTTATTGGCTATAAGAAGTCACACAAGCTCATCTGAGCCGACAGGTTGGAGGCAATCTTCCTGTGGGGAGGGGTACCTGTGAACGGTAGTGCAGTCTGCCACAGTCATCATGACATAGCTATGAGGTAGATACAATGACTCCCATTTTGCAGACAATGAAATGAAGTCTCAGAGACTTTAAGACGTTCACCAACATTCAGGCAGGTGGTAAGGAGCAATGAGAAACACTGTGAAAGTGAAGCCCTTGTGTAGACAGATTGTCATGATGGGTCTCTAGGCTCTGTCTACCATTTTGTTCCCCAACAGGGAACTGAAGACACATTTGATCATTTTGAACATCTGTTTTAAAGTCATACAATGCTTTGTTTTTAATCTTTTGGCAGGGAGGCTTCACACAGATTAAGTGCAACACAGACATTTTCATTGGCGGAGTCCCCAATTATGATGATGTGAAGAAGAACTCGGGTGTCCTGAAGCCTTTCAGCGGGAGCATCCAGAAGGTACAGGCATCTCTTCCTCATGTTTACTGGGCCACCCAGACTGTAGACAAAGAAAGTGAGGATTATGATCAGTGTCATCTGCTGCACCCAAGAAAGACACTTTGAGAAAGTTTTAACATTTTTAAAAATTTCTATTTTAATGCCCACAGCATGGCTTTCCAACCTCACTTTCTTAGAACATCTGCTCCTGGGTCTATGCCCGGCAGACATTCCATGAATGCTACTTGGTGATGATGAATTTTTATGGCAAATCTACCAAACTATATTAGGACTGCTGAGGGAGTGAAATGGCATCATGTGTCTGCAGATACTTCCACAGTAGGGAAGGAGGTGGACGGAGGTGAATAGCAACCTTGGCTCTGCGCTTCTCTTTTGCGGTACTTTGCAGTTTGCTCAACATTAGAGCCAGTGCTCATCCCCACCCCTACACTTTAGCAGTTGGTGTTCATTGATCATGTAACCAAGCTCTTAAGAGCATAGATTAAAGAGTTCTTCCCTAGAAGGTTCAGGAAAAAAACATTCAGTGAAAGATACTGACTCCCCCGGCTCTCTCTTTTTTTTTTTTTTTTTTTTTTTTTTTTTGAGATTGAGTCTCGCTCTGTCGCCCAGGCTGTAGCGCAGTGGCGTGATCTCGGCTCACTGCAACCTCCACCTCCTGGGTTCAAGCGATTCTCCTGCCTTAGCCTCCCGAATAGCTGGGATTACAGGTGCCTGCCACCACGTCCAGCTAATTTTTGTATTTTTAGTAGAGACAGGGTTTCACCATGTTGGCCAGGCTGGTCTCGAACTCCTGACCTTGTGATCTGCCCACCTTGGCCTCCCAAAGTGCTGAGATTACAGGCATGAGCCACTGCTTCTGGCCTGCTCTCTTTTATTCCTTCTCTTGGGGCTGCCCATGATCTCTGTGGTTATGAAGTCATGCTCTGTCTGCAACAGACCTGCAGCTTGACTCCCCAGCCCAGGTGGGCAGAACCACCAAACACTGGGAGAACAAGGATCTGAAGAAAAGCATGTTTAGTTCCTGGGTGTTAGCTTCATCCTGTTTTCCTTTAGTGACCAATGGTGGCTAAAGGATCCTTTTTGGACCTGAGATGGAGCATGAGGGAGGCTAAGGTGAAGGAGGAATGATGAAAGAAGTCCCTCCTTTCACTGAAAAGGGCCCCTGGTACTGTGACCATTTTATCTCGCATCGCAGTGTCAGGCCCAGTCAACATTTGCTGACAGTCACGTGTTTCCCTTTGTTACTGAAGTTCGAGGTCTGTGATACCTCAGTTCAGACCATTCTCCCCTATGAGTGGGATTGGCCATGCTTAACCAGGTGTTTCAAATTCTCACCTAGGAAACAAGCTGGGATGCTAAGACGTTTCCCATCCTCTGCCCGCTCTTCTCAGGCTGTGCCCTCCCCTTCACGCAGCACACACAACCCTCTCCCTATCTCCTGCTAGAAAGACCACCCTCTCTTGCCTGATTCACGGGCTGGGCCATGTCCTGTAGTGAACAGTGCCATTCCTGGCTTGTCTCAGCACATATTACGCAGTTTCATGGTCCTTCACTTGCAGCCTGAAAGGGGGAGATTGTAGAAGGATCCTGGCTACTTTCTAGCAGCTTCTCAGATTCAGGACTGGGGAAAAGTTTTCTCTCAACTCTCCCAGTGCTCTCCAAGGGCCAGGCAAGCCTTTGGAAGCTTAGATTCGTGGCAGGAAGTGCCATTGCTAACCTCTTATAACCCCTGGGCAGTGGGGGTTCCCCTGGGAGGTGTTCTTACTGTCTCGAAGTTCTGCAAAGCCAGCAACAGTTCAAAGTAAATCCATATTCTGAATCAAGGGCTGGTAAAGTTGGATCCATTTATTTGGGGCTAGGGAACCCAGTAGCCCCTCCTCATAATTTATCAGTTTCACTAGAGTCACATTGCAGGGCAGAAGGTGCAAGGGAGCTCTTGAGCACCAGTAAATCCATGCACAGTGGGGTAAAGAATGCGACCTGTGTTTCACTTTTGTTTCTTAAGTGGGGAAGGGAATGTGCAGAGGGAGGGGATTCAGGAACGTCAGGGAAGGAGGATAGCAGGAGTGAGTGGGACAATCGGGGAGGTCCAGCTGATGGAATTTTAGGAGACTGCTTGAGAACATTAGTTGGAAACATAAAGGAGTACACTAGGAAGTGTCTCTGGATTCCACAGCCACCGGGAGCCAGGGTGCCCTGTTTGACTTCCGCCTCCGTAACACTGTGTTTTGCACTCTCCCCACTCTGCTTTATATACCAGTGTCTCCCAGCCTGGGCTGCATCTTCTGAGGTGACTCTCAAAAACTTTTTAAAGTTACTGACGACTTGGTCTCACCTTCAGAGATTCTGGTTCAATGGGTCTGGGCGGGTCTGGGCATTAGTATTTCTTAAGAGCCCGCCAGGTGGTTCTAATGTGCAGCTGGGTTGAAATCCGAACTTTGTAGTTCTTGGGACTTCTTTACAACCTAACCGAGTGGCCAGTCTTCCGGAACCAGAGGAGCGCGTCACTCCGCAGATTCTCCCAAGTGGATCAACTTGGGATCACTTCAGCTCCTGCATAGATGACAAGACTATGAAAGTAGAAACTAGGCCTGGCGCGGTGGCTCACGCCTGTAATCCCAGCACTTTGGGAGGCTGAAGTGGGCGGATCACCTGAGGTCAGGAGTTCGAGACCAGCCTGGCCAACATGGTGAAACCCCATCTCTACTAAAAACAAAAATTAGCCGGGCGTAGTGGCGGGTGCCTGTAATTCCAGCTACTTGGGAGGCTGAGGCAGGAGAATTGCTTGAACCCAGGAGGCAGAAGTTGCAGTGAGCCAAGATTGCACTACTGCACTCCAGCCTGGGCAACACAGAAAGACTCCATCTCCAAAAAAAAAAAAAAAAAAGTGGAAACTGGACTTAAAAAAATTTTTTTTCAATCTCCCTATGTGTAGCTCAGGTTAATTTGCCAAGGGAAGCTTTAGAAGACTACAAAGATGTTTCTTAATTCCTGAATTTCTTTATGTTTTTCTCTCTCAAGATCATCCTGAATGACCGAACCATCCATGTGAAGCATGACTTCACCTCCGGAGTGAATGTGGAGAATGCGGCCCACCCCTGTGTGAGAGCCCCTTGTGCCCATGGGGGCAGCTGCCGGCCCAGGAAGGAGGGCTATGACTGTGACTGCCCCTTGGGCTTTGAGGGGCTTCACTGCCAGAAAGGTACGCTCAGGGGTCTGAGGCACAGCTCCCTGGAGGGAGTGGAAGGAACGGACAGCCAATTGGGGGACCACAACTCTTAATGGAAGAGTTGTAACAGTGGTACAACCATAGTGGTTATTTTGATCAATTATTTCAATAACTTATTAGATGATTATTTATAAACTACCATAATTCCTTAATAAGAGTTAAATGCTGAAATACTTCTGCTAACAGTGAGTAAATAGGTTCCCCACCCTCTGCCCTGGCTCCTTCCTTGAGAATCACCTCATAGTCTAGCAACCCAAGAGTTAACCCATAACAGAGTAGGGGTTTCCAGGACTTTTGCATCTGAGCCACTCCCAGAGCCTATCCTGATAGATGAATGCCTATGCTTTGTAGACTGATAAATATTTTAACCCCTGTCTGTGCATGCTGTATAAGAGAAACCTTGCCCAAATATGCAAAAACACAAATTATACATTAGTTGCTCCAAACTAAAGTATGCATAACCTTCTGTATAGTGCTATTTTTTAGGCTATCAAATTGCTGTGCCTCAGTTGTCTCAACTGTAAAATGGGAATAATAATAGCAGTATTATTGTGTGTCTAACACAGAGGGTTATAGTATTGACTAAATGAGACAATGGATCCAGAACATTTAGAAGAGGGCCTGGTAAGTACTCAAGCAACCAACAAATACTGGTCATTATTATTCGTGGGGAGAAAAATAAAATCCATTAGCAGGTGCTGTGGGCTACTCAGTTTCCATCTTACCCTAGACTGAAAGCCAAGGCAGGTCATAGACCATGAGACCCTGCTGGACTTGCTTTCTGTACCTGCTTATGGGAAGCTGAGGACACGGCCCTGGTATCTAGAATAGGCTTCCCACATATATCCATCATGTTGGGCCTTCATTTTTCAGTTTCAGTGTGGCCTTTCCTGCCCAGGAACTTAAAAAAAAAAAAAAACAAGCCTGGAAGAAATAAAGCAATGAGCCTCTGAAGGAATGTGCACTGTCTTTCTTATTTCCAGGTTGTTGATTTTTATCAGAATTAGGGCTTAGAGGAAAACTATAAATTACAGGTAGGTATGTTGGTATATGGAATGGTAGGAGAAGTCATTTTGTCATTTTGCAGCAGTCTTGGAAAATATGAAAGATGCCAATTTGCCAGTTGGAAGCCTTAGTAGTATTTCTTATGTTTAAATGAATTTGAAATCTACATGGCAAATCTTCCTTGTATTTTTAACAAGGGAGGGTAATTGATTCATTTGTGAATTATCCTGATTAGAATCCTAACAAGCAAATTGCTGTTTAGCTAATAGGTTGTACTTACAGAGATTTAGCTGAAGAGTGGCTCATTCATTCAGAAAATTGGGTTTGGATTTCACACATCAATGTTTGAATTTACTAAGTCTCCAATTTTACCACAGGAGCATCCAATTTGTGCTTGCCGTATATCTAACATTAATGGTCAATATGTAAATCCCGGACTTAGATGAACATTTAGCACTGGAAATTAAAGGGAGAAAGAAAGGATAATGTGTGATCTTGTTAGCCCTCATTTCCTGCTGCAGAACATTAGTCGTAACAGGGATAAAGTGCTCACATTTATAGCTTTGTAACTATAGGTTCAGGTTCAATGAGAAGCAAATCTTACCAGAATGTTGGGGCAGATCCCAGTGAGCACCTGGATCTGGCAAGATCTGTGGGAATGGATGACGGCAGAGGGAACTGCAGGACATTGGGGACTCTTTTCCTGCAAAGCAGTCTAGAACCAAGATTGGAACCCAGATGAGCCAGCAGCCACCCTCCATGTTGAATTAGTATCAGATTGTGTTTTGAAATCAAGATACTGCTTCTGGGAAGATGGCAACCTTTCCAAATCCTGGGAAGGTTCATATATCAGAGGTATGGCCCCTATCCCATAATTTCCTTTCCATCATAATGACTGGAGAGGATTAATGGGGCTCTGCAACAATTTTTCCAGCTCCAGCAGGTACCAATTGTGGGCAGTTGCCATGCCGACTGCTCTAATATTGGGGAAAACATTTAGTCCCATTGTAAAGATTGGAAAGAAAAGGAAAAGAGATGGGCGATTATGTTGTTCCATAGAGATGCAAGAGAATACATAGAAAGTTTGCGTAAATCCTTGGTTTGAAAGACCAAGAATGGTGAGAAGCCATCCTTGGTTGTCAGAAAGAATCCTGTCTCATCCAGCAAGGTGATTTTTAGCCTCATATATTTAAAAGTTGGGGTTTTTTTCTGCCTCATAATCAAACCATGTTTCAAAACAAGAGCCTGTTCCCAGTATTCCTACAGAAGTTAAACCAGTCCTTTTACATGAAGCAAAATGGTATAGAAATAACCAGCACCAGGGCTCATCCAATCCATACCAAAGGGCACCTTCTTTATGAGGAATTTTGTTTTCTGGATCGTCAGTGAGTCTGGGTCTTTTTCAGCCTCATCAGAGAGTGTGGCAAGTGAGTTCCACAAGGGCCGTAGTTGGACAATTTGACACTTGTTCCCACCTCTTGGTAACCCAGGAGAGCAGGGGCCAGAAACTCAGACAAATCCTGGAGCAGTTCCAGGCACTTGGACTACATGGTGGTTTCAGGGCCCCCGCTTTTCCCTGTGGGGTTGGGGGCAGGAGCAAGAGAGCCTGACCCAGACCAAGGGGTGCACTGAGCTCCCACTGAGCATCTGAGATGCTCTTGGGATGCCACAGGCTTCCTGTAGCAGTGGCCACTGCAGAAACTCAAACCTGTCTGTCCCACCTGCAAGACCCACCAGGACAGGAGAAGCCAGAGGTTCTTCTTACTCCCAGCTGTGACTTCAGGTGCCAAGAAAAAAACATAAGGTTTGACCTTGGGGGTCCCCTTGCCTTCCATTTGGTGGTTTCAGTTTCAGGCATCTTCTCCACCCCATGCACTACCCCAATACCTAGGCCCCCTTTTTTCTCAACAAGGCCTTCCCCATCAAAAATTACTTCCATACTTAGAGATTTCTTTCCTTTTTTCTTTACTTGCATCCAGTGGACCCATCCTGTGTCCCAGTTCCTCAGAGCTTGTGTATCTAAGTAAGTTACTAAAATGTTCTAGAAGAATTTCACAAAGCTCATGTAAAAAACTAAGTTCTGAGGAATATGAATCGCTGCTTTGTACACACACACACACACACACACACACACACGCATTCACGTACACGAAATGGGAGGAGGCTTCTATGGTGAAATACATTTGGATAATCCTGAGTAAACAGACAATTCTCTCTCTTCTGCAGAATTTCTCAGAGCCTTTGCTATGCTCTGAGCGTCTAAGAGGTGAGTACAGGACACAGATGTTTTCTCTGGGTTCTCCCAGTCTATAGTGGACAAGTCACCTGGGAAACTAAGCTTTGGCCCTTGCTTCCCTTCCCTGTGTTTCTAGAACAGCTTCAATTCAGACTGTGCAGGATTCCACAGGCCACTAGATGGCGGTGTTTCTCTGTAGCAGGTGGCCCCGCATAAGACAGAGCCAATAGCTGTTGAGACAAAGCTAGGCCTAGCGCCTGTACTCATCAGGGGCGCACAGTCCTCAAGTAACCAGTGCTGCCTGATTAATACTGACCTACCACACATGCAACATTTAGGGCATTTATGTTGTGTTTACTTGAGTCACATCATGTTCCAGGGTCTGATTTGGGTGATTTTGTTTGTTTGTTTTAGGTCCCAGTGTATATATATAAAAAAAGCTTCTGTAAATATAAGAAAACTCTGTATATAAAACCACAAATTAATAAAACACATAAATTATGCATGCTAAAGGGAATTTCTCTTTAATATAATTTAATATATTAAATGTTATGTCATTTATTATATTAAAAATTAATATACTAAATTTTTATATTTAATATCAATATATTATTTGATTTAAAATATTAAATTATATTAACATAATATGTTAATATTTAATACTAAATATGAAATTTTAATATATTAATTATTTTAATATTTTTAATTTAATATATTAAAATATGTTTAATATATTAAAAATAAGTCATTTCAAATTAATTGGAAAAGAGAGGTTATTTAATTATTGTTACACAAGTAATTCGGTTGTTATATAGGAAAAAAATTTCAATTGCGTTTATCTTACAGATGAATTAAAGAGTGAAACATGCAAACATACACATTAAACAAATACCCAGACTCTTTTCGCTGCAGTCCTTCAGCTAATGACCATGTTGGCTGTTCCCAGTCCCTCATTCTGGTCATTTTCTCTTTTAGTAATTGGAACTTGTAATAGCACAATTCTAAGATGGTTGCCAAGATTCCTGCACCTTTGTTAGGGAACCAGGAGCATAGGAGAGCCAGGGTGACAACATTAAAAAAAAAATCAACTCCATCTTAAAACTAGCAAGGTACATTCCTTGTCAGTCACATGGTCATATAAGATGTCTATGGCTAAAGAAGCAGCTTAGTAATGTCTGCAAAGACAAACCCTAGGACAACCAAACATTCAGACGCCCTGATATCGCATAACAATATATACTTTTAAGATGATTAGAGTCAGGCCAGGCGCAGTGGCTCATGCCTGTAATCCCAGCCCTTTGGGAGGCTGAGGCGGGCGGATGACCTCAAGTCAGGAGTTTGGGACTAGCCTGGGCAACATGGTGAAACCCCATCTCTACTAAAAATGCAAAAATTAGCCAGGTGTGGTGGTGCATGCCTGTAATCCCAGCTACTTGGGAGGCTGAGGCAGGAGAATCACTTAAACCCGGGAGGCAGAATTTGCAGTAAGCCGAGATCGTGCCACTGCACTCCAGCCTGGGTGACAGAGCGAGACTCTGTCTCAAAAAATAAAAAATATAAGATGATTAGAGTCATGCTTTGATGTATTTATGCACTAAAATGCGAAGGATAACTTCCTTTAGAAAACATTTAAACCAACTACATGAGCCAAATTCAAGGGGATTTCTTTTCTGTGGATGGTATATCATTAAACACCCCCAGAATGGGAGATCTGGGGGTGTTTAGTATAGATGTTGCTCTTTAGATAGTTGAAGGGCTGCTAGTTTAGGGAAAGGTTTTGTTTGTTTTTCCTTTGTGGCTACCGTCAGCATACTATAATAAAGATCTCTGTACCTAGTAGAATGGTCCAGCACGGGAGCGTGCCACCTTGTGGAAGAGTGAGCTGCTCATTGTGGGAAGTGTTTGCTCCGGCAGGATGGGCATCCATCAAGGATGCTGCTGAGAGGAGCCCTGGTTGTTGGGGAAGTTAGCCTTCCATGCCCACAGGGCCCTTTGCTTTGCTAAGGTCCCGTGAACGTGGGAAAGAAACCGTGGTCCCTTCAACTCTTTTTTTTTTTTTTTTTTGAGATGGAGTCTAACTCTGTCACCCCAGGCTGGAGTGCAGTGGCGTGATCTTGGCTCACTGCAGCCTCCGCCTCCCAGGTTCAAACTATTCTTCTGCCTCAGCCTCATGAGTAGCTGAGATTACAGGCATGCCCTACCATGCCTGGCTAATTTTTGTATTTTTAGTAGAGACAGGGTTTCCCCATGTTGGCCAGGCTGGTCTTGAACTCCTGACCTCAGGTGATCCACCCGCCTGGACCTCCCAAAGGGCTGGGATTACAGGTGTGAACCACCACACCTGACCAACTCTTTATAGTCTATTGGGAATTCCAAGCTCCTCAAATGGAAAATTTGCTTTGCCTGGACTGCAGGGCTTCTGGCTTGGAGGCTGCTGTCCACTGGGGTGTTTTTCTGTGTGTGTCACCATATGGCACAAGCTTTTAGATATAAATGTAAGAAAATGAAAAAAACACATTTCAACTAATCAGTGAGGCCATTGCCACAGAAAAAAGGCAATGTAGAAAAAATTAGGTATACTGGAAATGGTAGAGAGAAGTGGGGAATAGGAAGAGATTTGTTAAAGGATACAAAATTACAGGGAGATAGGAGAAATAAATTCTGGTGTTCCACAGCACTATAGGATGACTATAGTTAACAATAATATATAGTTTCAAATAACTGGCAGGAGGACATTTGACTGTTCCCAGCACAAAGAAATGATACATTTTGAGATGGGATGGATATGCTAATTACCCTGATCTGATTACTATATATGTATCAAAACATCACTATGTACCCCATAAATATGTAAAATTATTATGTGTCAATTAAATTTTTTTCAATAAAATAAAAGCAAAAAAATTAGGTATAGGGTTAGGTTAAAATATAATCATGTTGGCCAGGCGCAGTGGCTCACACCTGTAATCCAGGCGCTTTGGGAGGCCCAGGCAGGTGGATCACCTGAGGTCAGGAGGTCGAGACCAGCCTGGCCAACATGGCGAAACCCCAACTCTACTAAAAATACAAAAATTAGCCAGGCATGATGGCACATGCCTATAGTCCCAGCTACTCAGGAGGCTGAGGCAGGAGAATCGCTAGAACCCTGGAGGCAGAGGTTGCAGTGAGCCGAGATCGCGCCACTGCACTCCAGCCTGGGCAACAGAGCAAGACTCTGTCTCAAAAAATAATAATAATAGTAATGTTTACAACATTTAAACCAACTACAAAGAGCCAGAAAGGGCTCAGTGGTCACTTCAAGCTCTGATGATTTTGGATGTGATTATTTGTCCCTATATATACTCACTTAAATGAAGCATAGTTTGACTATTTTTTATTCAGTGGTGTTATTTCTCGAGGGTGCCTCTGCCTTTGTTAATCAGAAAATAACCAGGGGTCTGGAATCTTGCAATGGGGGGTGGCGTGGGAATGAGGGCGATATTTTCCACTAGGGAGAGAGAAGAGGCAGCTAGCTGGCTTATCATTCCTTTTTCACATGCAGCCTACAGCCAAGAAAAGTAATAATCATTGACAAGGTAAGTAACTCTTGAGCAAGGAGCTGTTTCTCTAGATTTAAAAGAAATGCAGATTGTCAGTTGAAGGTGAGGGAGCCTCAGAAGTGTCAGACAGCTGATTCTAAACATCTTCTTGGTCCACCGCCACGCCCACCTTCAATAAGCCGAGAAGAGGTGAGGAGGCGGGTGGCTGGGTGCCAATCATGCTGAGGAGAGATTTCCAGTGGTTCCCCGCGGGGCTCATATTCACATTCCCTAAGAGGACGTTCTGGACTCTCGGGCAGAGCTTTGTGAGAGAAACAAGGCTGGCTTCAAGTGATCTGCAACCAGAGTAATTGGGATTTGACAAGGACTGTGAAAGGCTGACTCTCCCTGTTCTCTTTCATGCTGGCACCGGGCAGAGTGTGGGAACTACTGCCTCAATAGTAAGTACAGTAAGTCCTGTGAGAAACTGCGAGAGCGCTCTGGGCTGGGGCAGGCCAACCGCATGCAGGGGGACCCGGGGTGAGTGGTGTGGGAGCTGGGACATGCCTACGCGTGGTGGGAAGCCTCCCCGCCGGCCAGCCAGAGGACACTTCTCTCCTGAGCTGGGGGCTGAGCCGGCAGCTGCTGGGGGCGCCCACAGACCCCCTCGGAAGCTCATGTGCAGAGCCGATGTGTGGCAGGCACGTCCCAACCCTTGCAAGGAGTTCAGGGGAAAGATGGCTGTTGGCCACAGGCCCACCGCCACGGGCCAACAACAGCAGGGACAGGCCCTGGCGGTACCTCTCCCCCGTGGGGGTGAGCCAAACCCACCAGGGACTCCTTGGTTCCGTTTAGCTCCGGGAAGGCCTCCCCCACCGCTCAGCTTGGATCTTCTCTCCTCCTTCTCCCTTCCCAGCCATGGTGTCCTGAAACGAGGGGCCGGCTGCCCCGGCTGAGAGCTTCCTTCCACCTCCTCCATTTTTGCAGTTCCCTGCCGCTGTATCCTCCTTCTCCCTGGCCTTTCTGTCTATTCCTCTGGGTCTATTCCCTCCCCTCCTTTTCCGGCGCCGCCTTCTTTCCTTTTCTGTTTCCCGTCCTTCCTTGCCCGGTGGCTGCCTTCTCTCCCGGTTGTCTTCCTCGGCACTTTCTTTCCTCCTCTTCTTGCTGCAGCGTCCCTTCTTTCTCATTCATGCCACCCGTTTTCCTACTCGGCTCCTTTCCCGTCCTCTTGCCATTTTGCCCCCCAACTCTTTTTTCCTCCCTGTTTCCCTTCCTCGTCTCCTCTTCCTCCTACCTCCCTTAGTCAGAAGGGAGTGGCTGGGGGTGCAGCCCCAAACTAAGTGACAAGAGCCTTCATCTCCGGCCCTGCTAGGTCCTTGCAGCCTCAGGCCCTCTTCCAGGGCTGTGCTGCTTCAGAGAACCACAGAGCAATTTCTTGGGTAGTTACCTCCAAAATTGTCTTTTAAATTTTCTGTTTCGTCCTTTGCTTTTCTTGTTTTCTTTCCTCTCTTCCTTTCTTTTTTAGTTTTTATGAAAGGCTCTGGGAAGCTGCCAACATAGGGACTTGTACTTGGGGGCCCATTGTCATAGGCTTTGCTGTTTCCGCTCTTTTTTTATGTTTGAAGGTTAATCTGTACGAATTTTCATAGTATCAAATAATTCTACATTTCCTCTCTGGGGTGGAGAGTCCTTCGTTCAGTGTCTTCTTTGCACCAACCATGTATTTTCGTGAAGCTATAACGTGTTTTATAAACCTTCTTATTCTCCCTCATTTTGTACATTTCTTTGAATTTGAGATTTATTCTACCTTAATTTCTTTAAACCACCATTTCTGTATCTTTCCAAAGAGGAAAGAGATATTGCTGTTATTTCTCCAGCAGAAATCCCCTAGCCTCATCCCCCGTTCATGACATCACACACAGCTACTTAAACTCTTCTTTTGCTAACTATGTGTAAAAGGGTAATTCCTCAGGAAAACAAAGTGATGAGAGTTTGGGAGGAAGAAAATGCATTTCTAAAATATTGGAAAGTTGAGAGGGGGCCAGAAGCCAGAATTAAGAAGAGCTGGTCAGTTTCAAGGCCTAGTGCTCTCTTAACTACGTGATCTCAGGCAAATCCTCCATGCTTTCTACTCCTCACTTTCTTCTTCCATAAAATGAGAATAACCAACCCTTCCCTTCCCCCATACTACCTGCTACTTCATGAGATTGTAGTGAAGATCTTGTGAAATAGACCAGGCACAGTGGCTCATGCCTGTAATTCCCAGCACTTTAGGAGGCCGAGGCGGGTGGATCACCTAAGGTCAGGAGTTCGAGACCAGCCTGGCCAATGTGGTGAAACCCCATCTCTACTAAAAATACAAAAATTAGCCAGGCTTGGTGGCAGGTGCCTGTAATCCCAGCTACTTGAGAGGCTGATGCAGGAGGATTGCTTGAACTCAGGAGGTGGAAGTTGCAGTGAGCCAAGATCGCGCCATTTCACTCCAGCATGGGCAACCAGAGCGAAACTTTGTTTCAAAAAAAAAAAAAAAAAAAGATCTTGTGAAATACACTGGAAAGTGATCAGAAATGCGGGAGTCCAAGCCTCATTCATAGTGCTTTAGAGTCTCTCGAAGTCCTAGCTTAAAAGGTTCTGCAGCAAATTAGCTTTCAAGAATCCTAGTGGGCCTTATTTAGGGATTTGTTTTCTCTGCCTCCCTAGGAGAACATCTGGGGTTATCCCCAGCTGCTCCCCACATGGCCCAAGAGCTGCTCTTTGGCTTCCAAGAATAATTGGGAACAGTTCAAGTTTCAGCACATTGTGAGGCCTTCTCAGCAGCGCTGAGGCCAGAGGCAGGGACAATACTTCCCCAGGAGGGAAAAATGGGGGAGAAGCCAACCCCAGGCCATGGGGTTGGGCAACTGTGAACCTGGCCAAATATGCGTGCAGCCGAAGGGAAGGGGCTGATGAATTGTTAAACATCCTATTTCCAGGAGCTGGGTGTTTTCCTGCCATGTGTGTGAGTGCAGGGGTCAAGAGAACCACATACTATGTAACCTCCTTTTTCTGTTCTGTCCCAGCGATCATAGAAGCCATTGAGATCCCGCAGTTTATCGGCCGCAGTTACCTGACGTATGACAACCCAGATATCTTGAAGAGGTAATAAGCTTCAACAGGCACCTTCCTCAGCTTTCTGGGGGTAAATTTCTCTATATCTTTCTCAGGGCTTTTTCTTATATTTCATGCCAGAAGATAATTCTCAAAGAAGACCATTCAGCCATGGCCTCAGGGGAAAAACACACACAACAAGAAATAAACATAGAAACTAGAGCAAAATAAAACAAAAAACAAACTAAACTTGAGAAATTGACCTTTCAGATAACCCTGTTACAAAAGATCCAGTATCTTTCTGGTCAAAGGGCCTGGAGAGAGAGACACGACTGGTCCCAGAGTTTCCAGTATTCAGGCTTCGAGAAACAGTGAGAATGTGATGTTCCTGAAGCCTGAGTGATGACTATGATTCTGTGAGCAGGGCAGTTCCGTGCTGTGCCGTGGCCAGAGTGTGCAGCTCTGACCTGGGCCAGCAGCAGAAGGACAGACAGATCCAAGCCCATTCCCTGCTGAGTCCATACCTACCCTGCGTCTTCATCAGCAAAGGTCTCTTGTCCTCTTCAGGCTCTGGCCAGTTCAGTGAGAGGCTTCTCAGCTCTCTTCATGTGGATACAGGGAAATGCCCAAGTCACAGCCATGGCATCTCACCCCTGGTGGCAGAAGTCCCAGCCCTGGCCTGGAGTCCTCGCTCTTGGTTTGGAATAGCCTTTGACATGGCAAAATCCTCAACTCGGTCAAGCTTGTCTTTGGCACTTTCAGTTTGCCCCTTATCTCTTTCTTTCCCTTCCCCAGTTCTTTGTGGTTTCTAGTGTGCTATTCCCCTTTCTGCTCCCCACACAATCATTCTGGGATTTTCCTTCCTCTTCAGATTGACTGCATCTTAACACACAAGGGCAAATCTTTAAGCGAAAGGCATCCAGTTCTTAGGGTGGAGTTTGGTGGCTTTTCAGGGAACAAAATGTGGTTGGGAGGAATTCTCCTAGGGCATTGGATGTCCCTGGTAACGCCCAACACACACCAGGCAGACACTGCTTCACTTCTCTAATCCCAGGTTGTATTAATCTACGTTGTCTTGGCATGGGGACTTAGGTAAAATGGATTCCCAGCCAAGAGAGACCGTCCTCCTTCTTCAGCCCTTTCTCTCCAAAGATGGAAGGTCATTCAGTCCCTAGAAAGCAGTGACAGCGTGAAAGGGGCCCAAGCCTTCAGTCTCTGGGGGTTAGTGAGAGACCACTAGGTGGTTTGGGGGAGTAGAGGGGCTTGATGAGAGCAGGAGACATGAGGCCCAAAACCACAGCTACCTCAAGGGCCATAGTGTGTGTGTATGTGTGTGTGCGCATGCATGTGTGTGTGTGTGTGTGTATGTATATGAAAGTATAAATGCATGTGTGTGAGGCTGCAGGTAAAAGTCAAGTTCAGGGTCTATTTCAGTCAGATATCTTTGGTGCCAAGTAACAGAAAGTTCAGCTTAAAATGCCTTACCCATGAGGGATATTTACTATTTCATATCACAAGGAGTCCAGACTTACACTGGATCTTGGGTTGATTAATTAAGAGAAGCAGCTGTACCCTCAAATATTCCAATCTCATCCCTATTTCTTGCTTGCTGTCCTCAGCGTCTTCTCCAGAGGCCACTCCCCAGCTGCCCATAAGCTGCACATAAGATGACTCTGACTACATCCAGTGGAAGTCCAAAAGACTTTTTTTCTCATATGACTCTTTTTAAAAGAGAAGGAATTCTTCCCAGAATTGTATCTCATTGGACAAAAGGGATATGATTGTGTCTCTTCTGTGCTGCCACATGCCTGCCCCTAAACCAATCACTGGCAAGAGAAATGAGAACCTCTTGATTGGCTTGTAACCAATCAATATACCCAAGGCAAATGGGAGAGGGAAGGAACCTGAGCGAAAATCTGGGCAAAGCAGGTCTCTAGGGAATGGGTCAGTGCTAGATTGTGCTGAACCTGGCCTGGGGGGCCTCGCTCTTCCCTCACTGTTCTGAGGCCCTGCATGGGAAATGCAAACTTGGTCTCTTCCTGACGAGCTCAGGCTCTGGGAAGCCTAGATAATAGTTCCCTCCACTGTTCACGATTGAGGACACTGCAGACACAGACCCAGGTGTGTGAGACAGACAGAGGGATGGCTCAAGTGACTAGAGAATGGACAAAGAAACTTTTCCAATGACATTATGCTAGTAGCAATGTTAAATTATGTTTCCTCCTATCTCACCCTTGATTCAAGGACCTCAGCCTTCCTCTTTTCTCTGTGCAAGATGAAACACTGATCACACTAATAAGAATGAATTTCTGAACTAGTCTATTCCCAAGCATTGCTAAGAGCATGTCAGCCTGTGAACCTATTCCCAGCCGTGGCTATAGAGCATGGAGCTGGCCTAGCCTGAGCACCCCTCCTTTCCTCGAAGCTTCCTGTTCTTCTCCACCCTGGCTCTGCCTCAACACCACTCCAGACCATTCACTATCAGGCCTTGTTCCTTTGTCTGAGACGCCATCGCTTGGGTATTTTCCCTGTCTAGACCTTGTCCCCAAGGACAGTCACCGGCCAGAGCTGGCCATCCACAGCCGTGGTCCTAGCCCAGAGTGGCTGCCAATTTGAACCTCTTGGTAATTAGGAAACACACTTTCTGTTGGGGAATGGGGCCCCTGAGTAGTAAAACAGGAAAGAGAAAAGAATGAGGTGTGTATGGGGGTGCAGCCTAAGCTGTGACATTGGCCATAGTCTTGCTAATCTGTCACTCAGCAAATGCTCTCTGGTGGGGTTCACAGTGCTTGGGGAGAGAGACTGCTGCTGAGTGAGCAGTCCAGACCTTTAGACCCGTGGTGCGACTCGTGGTAATGAAGTAAGTGTCAGAAAGTGCCAGACTATCCTTACATCTGGTTCCTCAGGGCTGGCAGACAAAACTGGAATTACTCGGAAACAGATGTTGGTGGTTGATTTGGTGGACTTATTTGTGTATTTCCTCCAGGGTGTCAGGATCAAGATCAAATGTGTTCATGAGGTTTAAAACAACTGCCAAGGATGGCCTTTTGCTGTGGAGGGGAGACAGCCCCATGAGACCCAACAGCGACTTCATTTCCTTGGGCCTTCGGGATGGAGCCCTCGTGTTCAGGTAACCCCCTCTCCATCTGCCTTCAGCAGCACCTTGCGATTTTCTCAGACATTGCAGATCATGCCAGAGTGATTCAGAAGGGAGCCAGAACACAGTCTGCTGGAATTGGCTGAAGCCTGAAGCTTCAAGGCTTATTGGAAGCTCCTGGTCTTTCTTTCCAACATTCATCTTATAGAGCAGCAGTCAGCAAACTATGGCCTGCAGGCCAAATCTGACCCACCACTCTTTTTTGTAAATAAAGTCTTGCTGGGGCCGGGCACAGTGGCTCACGCCTGTAATCCTAGCACTTCGGGAGGCCGAGGTGGGCAGATCATTTAAGATCAGGAGTTTGAGACCAGCCTGAGCAACATGGAGAAACCCCATCTCTACTAAAAAATACAAAAATTAGCCGGGTGTGGTGGCAGGCACCTGTAATCCCAGCTACTAGGGAGGCTGAGGCAGGAAAATGGCTTGAACCCATGAGGCAGATGTTGCAGTGAGCTGAGATCGCGCTACTGCACTCCAGCCTGGGTGACAGAGCAAGACTCCATCTCAAAAAAAAAAAAAAAAAAAAGAGTACAGCAGTATTCCAACAGGACTTTTTTTTTTTTTTTTTGAGACAGGGTCTTGCTGTTGTCGCCCAGGCCAGAGTGCAGTGGCGCAATCTCGGCTCACTGCAACCTCTGCCTTCTGGGTTCAAGTGATTCTCTTACCTCTGCCTCCCTAGTAGCTGGGATTATAGCACGTGCCACCATGTCTGGCTTTTTGTATTTTTTGTACAGACGGGGTTTCACCATGTTGGCCAGGCTGGTCTCAAACCCTGACCTCAGGTGATCCACCCGCTTCGGCCTCCCAAAGTGCTGGGATTACAGGCATGAATCACTGTGCCTGGCTTGTACTCTCTCATTTATATATTGCCTGTGGCCATGTTCATGCTACAATGGCACACTTGAGTAGCTTCAATAGGAACTGCATGGCAGAGCCTTAGGAATTGACCGTCTAGCCCTGTGAGGAACAATTCTGTGCCCTTGTTCTAGTGTGTTACTGCTGCATGTTCCCTACTCATAAATTAGGAAGGGGCAGAAAGAAGACTTGGATACTGCCAAGCACAAAGGCCAAGCATAGAAGTGAGTACTCAGCCTAAGACTCAGCAGCTCAGGGAGGTCTAAAACCCTAAGCTCCAGGAGCCCTGACTTTAAATTCTGACTCTGCTCCCTGTTAGCTGTGTAGCTGTGGGAAGGAGAATCCCTGCTTTCAAGTCTCCTGCTGCCAGAGGAACAAAGCACAGATTCATGTCTCAATAGATCCACCCAACATGAGAGTTTTGTAAATACTTCTTGGGTGTTACCGATAACGCAGTGCCAGAAGTTCTTCCCTCTTTTAAGTGAATTTAGACTGTTTCCAAATTTGTCAAATGCATAGCTATGAAGTGGTTAAAGAATTACCTGAATGAGTTCTCCCCACTCTTCTTACCAGATTGGGTGAAAGCTGAGCTTCCAAGGGGCAGGGCCTGTCTCGTGTAATATCAAAACACTTCTCTAGAGATTGTCATGGCACATCCTCACATGAGGTTAGACATCGCTCATCTAGACAGTGGCTTTCCAAGTGTGGTCCCCAGACCAGCAGCCCCAGCATCACCTGGGAACTTGTTAGAAATCCACGTTCTCAGGCCCCAACCTGATCTACTGAACCAGAAACACTCTAGGGGTGGGGTCCAGCAATCCGTGTGGTAACCGCTTCCCCAGACGATTCTGATACCCTCAAAGCTTTGAGTTCCATGGGGGAACTCATTTCTTGGACTTCTACTTCTTAATTCACCCTCTGATGACTAGCTCAAGTGTTTGCTAAATGATATGAAAGTAATTGAATTGAAATAGACAAAGCAGGGATCACTAAACAGTGGAGAAGCTGAAGACTTAATTCTGGGGCTTCTGTTGGTCCTGTGCTAAGATTACTGACAGCCCAAGTAGGATAACAGAAATCTTTCTGTTTGAATAAAAGGCATTTTGAGAGGAAATGTCACTTGTCCAATGTTATGCTATTCCCTAAATAGCAGAGCATGCTAAGTGACTCCATCTTATGATTGTTGGGGACTTTGGAGACTCATATGTAGTTGAGGCTGGATGCTGGCAGGTGAGAGGCAGCTTCTCACCATCTCTGCCTTCCTGTCCTCCGTAGCCTCCCACCCATTGCTAGCCCAGAGGTTGAACACGGAGCTCTTCACACCCTATTTCAGGCTGGCTGCCTTGAAGCCATTTTCTTATGGTTTTCCTGTGGTTAACCTCATCAAGGCCTCAAGTACTTGATTGTGCCCAGAAAAGAGAACCGAAACAGAAGCTCAGCTGTGGGTGGGATGGTCCAACTTCCCCCTAAACTGCCAGCTGAATCTATTCACCACCCATTCTACTCCAGTAGGGAAACAGCTCCCACCAGCTCCCATGCCCAGCCCTGGAGAGCCCCCTCCCCTCTCCCACCTGCTTAGGATCCTTCAAAGAGCTCTGCTTTATCCTGAACATACTTCTTGTTACCATTTCTTTCTCAGGATTCTGAAAATTGGCCCTCTGTTTTTCTTCCAATCCTGGAGTTCTGATTGTGATCTGTGTAAGACACACTGCTGAACCCAGGCCGAGGTCGACTTCTGTGCCTGCTCTGGTCCTGGAGCCGCCCCATTGCTGCCACTCTGTTCTTCCTCCATCTGGGCTGTTATCCCACCACATCAATGTCCCCGATGCTGATGTAGGGAAGCGTACCGGCGGGCTGGGGACAGAGAGGAATTCCAGTGTAGGCCAGTGGTTTGAAGATGTCAGCGGTGTGGTGGGCACCGGGTCTGATTAGAAACAAGCACCCGGGTGTTTCCGGGACCCATGCCCTGAGAAACAGGGTCTGAAGTGGCTTTGGAATCACACATGCCTGATCCCCCACGTGGGCTCATGAGTTACCTAAATCTCAGCCTCTGTCCCCTCCTTGCAAAACGACAGGGTTCGCTGTAAAGATTAAATGAATGAATTCATGTAAGGGGTTCAGTGTGGGGTCAGGTGTAGCTAATTAATGATAATGATAAGAAAAATTATGATCCTTGCTCAAGCATTTTCTGAGTCTTAGAAGCCTTTACCTCAGAGAGAGAACACGTAGTTATTATTAAAATGTAGTTCTTATTTTTATTATTGTTATTGTTATTTTTAATAAGTCACGGGCCCTGCGCCCAAGGGGCACAGATCTGTGCAGTCTGGAGAGTGAATTGTTCTACAGAGCAGACAAATCGTTCTTGAGGTTTCAGTGTTTGATCCAGGCTCAAAGCAGATGGAAGAGGAACCCTAAGATAATAAAATATAGTCCCAACTTTCATGACTTTCTTTACCTAAAAGCTGGTTCTTTGGCTAATTTAGTGCTCAAAGGCTTTCTGCCAGAGAATAGGGAAAAACAATGGGATTCTAAAAATGTATATATGTATATATATTTATAGTTTTGGTGCAAGATTTAGCAGAAAAAATAAGGAAATCAAAGTGCTCAGTGAAAATGAGTGTGTTTTTCTGTTTTCTGTTTTGTTTTTGTTTTGTTTCATTTTGTTTTGTGATTGTATGTGGGGCATAAAACCTACCACCGGTGGGGTTTGTGAACATTGCTTGACTGTTCACAGTGAACACTGCCCGCTTAGTTTCACCTCATCACATCTTCATGCAACGAAGAGGGGGAAGAGACTTGACATTAGCAAAGTGCCTTGTGCTACAATTTAAAGGGGGCATGATTAAAAGTGCCACCACAGGAAAGCAGGAAGGTGGCCGAGTGGTTTCCAAAAGGCCTCACCTGAAGGTATTTCCGGGTGGCCCACCTTGGTGCTCTGGCTCACAGCCTCTAGTGCACACCAAGCTGAGTGGCTCAGAATAACCCATCATGGCAACCAGGTTCCCAAGACGTGGGTAGAGAAGTTAGACATACATTCTTATATCTGTTTGTTTCTACATTTTTATACTGAGGCATACCTTCCATGCCATGCACACCTGTTCAGTGTAGAGCTTGATACATTTAGAATATGTAAACACTGAATCACTGTCACCCAGAACAAGATATAGAACATGTCCACCACCCAAAAATGCTCCCTCATTCTTCTCCCAGTGAAGGTAACCACTCTTCTTGGTCATTTATGATTATATACACGAGGGAGCTTTTCCAGGGTGAGTATCAGCACGTCAGAGGAAGCGGGAGGTTCTTTGGAGGGTCTGAAATCAGATGGAATTGAAGGGTTGGGGAATCGGGCCATGGAGAAGCCAACTGAGTTGCCCCCTCCCACAGTGATGGCTGGATTCCTGTCTGCCAGGTTCACGGTTGACTCCCTAGAGCACATTCTAGCTCTTGGCCTGAACAGGAGAGTTGTCGGGCTGCAGAACAGAAGGAAGGGCACCCTTTGTCTAGATGGGCTCTTAGACAACTGAAAAGGTTTTCATTCACTGCACCACAATCATGTTCCAATCCAGCCTCCCTTCACGTACACAGCCAGATCACCTTGATTCTGAGATCTGGGTGTTCCGGACTGCTTTGGTTATATATTGACAGCTTGTTGGCTTACTTTCACACATGGCTAGTCTTCAGAAGAGGTGTGACATATTCAAGCCTTGGTGGCAACTTTCTCCTTCCTACCAGTCCCTTGGGGTGCATTGTCAACCCCGTATCCAAGCTGCACTAAGTGCTGCCTCTGTTGGGAGTGGTGGGATTTTTCATTTGGCTCCTACGATGTGCAGTGCTTCCTACATATGTCATGTTACTTAGCATTCCCTAGGATTCTTCAGGGAAGGGATTATTATCCCCGTTTGACAGATGAGAATATGAAGCAAGTTGCCCAAGGTCACAGAGCTGTTAACTAGCGAGTCTGGGGATCAAGGCAGGTCCGTTGAATCTGAGTGTCCGTGCTCTTTCTATCACCCCACGCTGCCTCTCAGAACGGCCATAGATAGTAATTCAGCTAAGTTTCTGCCCACCAGCAACTCGCCCTACTTCCTATTCATTCAAGAAGTATTTAGCCACCAAATCATGAAATCTCAAAATTCCGCCACCAGGCTGCTTTATACAAGGAGGTACTTGATGTGGGAAAACTCATTAGAAAACAGTGGACTTTTCAGGGTCAGAGTGGCAGCTTTGTCCCAGGGTTTGTCAAGTCACCCCAAGTCCTATTCTTGGTTAAATGTCAATGGGCTGTGTGAGTTCTTCGAGCCTCCATTATTAAAGGAATGATCTATGGTGCTTTCTCTGGAGAAAGCCAAGCACTTTCTATTCTTGCTGTTTTCTCAGAATGAGTACATGCCAGTGCTTGTTAACTCATCCAGATTTTCTCTCGACATCCCTCTCTCTTGGGCAATGAGGTGAAGGAGAGATATGTCCTCTTACAAAATGAGGAGGGAGTCATCCCAGGTGGAACATACTTCCCTTCAAAAGCTTGATGGCCTAGGCTTTATTGTATTATCCAGGGAAAGTCTGGGCAGTTGGCCCAGTGCCCGGGCTAGAGTAGTCACTCACTAAATATTTGTCGAATTAAATTTAATTAGAATAATTGAATGAACACTGGATTAAGGGGGATATTTCTCTCTGGTAACAACATGTTCATGTTTTCTGAAACCCTTATGGTATCGGGGTATCTGGGAACTGAAATAGAAAATAGGAAGCCACTAGAGAAACCTGATAGCAGAGTTAAATGGATAAGGGCAGAGGATACACCAAGTTCAAGTTCTACATTAGGTTTGTGATTTTAGGCAAATTCCCTTAATCTCTCTGGGGCTCACCCTACTCTGCAATGTTCATTTTTTTTTAAAAAGTGAAAACAGATGCATTCATTTCTTAGGGCTCTGATAATACATGACCACAAATTAGGTGGCTTAAAACAATAGAAGTGGGCTCTCTCACAGTTCTGAAGGCTAGAAATCCACCATGCAGTGCAAGGGTTGGCTTCTTCTGGAGGGTCTCAGGGAGAATCGGCTCCATGCCTGTCCCCCAGGTTCTGGTGGTGGCTGGCAGCCCTTGGCATTCCTTGGCTTGGAGATGCCCCATTCCAGTCCCTGCCTCCAGTTTCCCATGGCTTTCCCTGTCTCTGTGTGTCTCTGGCTCCATGTCCAAATCTCTTCTCATAAAGATACCAGTTATATTGGATCCATGGCTGCCCTAATCCAGTATGACTTCATTTTAACTAATGAATCTGCAAAGACCCTATTTTCAAATAAGTAACATTCTGAGGCTCTGGGTAGACATGAATTTGGCGGGTGGAGGGAGGGGGCAGACCATCATCGTAACATAGTATAAAACATTACACATGATAAAGCCCTTCTTGTTATTCCTGATACTTTAGTACTGATGTTGCCTTACATGAGGGCATTAAAAAACAATCTTGATAACATTATGCTAAGTGAAGTAAGCCAGTCACAGTCACAAAAAAGACAAATACTCTATGATGCCACTCATATGAGGTATGTAGAAGAATCAAATCCACAGAGTCAGAAGGTAGAAGGCTGGTTGTCAGGGGCTGGGGGGAGGGAAGAATGAGGGGTTATTATTTAATGCAATGCTTTTGTTTTGTAAGATGAGTTTTGGAAATTGCCAGCCCAACAATATGAATATGTACTTAATGCTGCGGCACTGTATGCTTAAAAATGGTTACGATGGCCATGGTTATGTTACATATATTTTACCATAATTTAAAAGTTTAATAATTTTTAATTTCATGAACCAGCCTAGAAACCCAACAACTTTTATAACACTCTTGTTTTTTGTTAAGGAAACTGCACTCTGAGTTGCAAAGAACTTTTGCCCTGAGAATCGTCTGTGAACCGTGTCTGCTTATGCCTCAGTGTTTTATTCTGTTCTCTGTCTTCTTCTTCTCCAATGCCTTAGCTATAACCTGGGCAGTGGTGTGGCATCCATCATGGTGAATGGCTCCTTCAACGATGGTCGGTGGCACCGAGTTAAGGCCGTTAGGTGAGTCCCTCCCGCAGCATGAGGCAGAGCCAGAGCTGAGCAGTGGTGGGATGTGGTGTCCAGTTCCCTTGTAGTCCCACTGTCCTGTTCCCCAACTTTGCCTGGCATCCTAGTTACCCCTGATCCAGGGCATTCAGGGAATTTTCTACCAATTCCCGCTGTGCCCTACATTGACACTATCAGGCCAGGGAAACTGAACCCCCAAACCTTCATTAAGCAGTAACCTTCTGGAGAAGAAACCTTTTGATGGCTGATCTGGAAGAACCTTGAGAGTTCAGTGTATGTGGACTTTAAAGAATGTTTGGGCCGGGCATGGTGGCTGACACCTGGAATACCAGCACTTGGGGAGGCCGAGGTGGGTGGATCACCTGAGCTCAGGAGTTTGAAACCAGCCTGAGTTACATGGCGAAACCCTGTCTCTACAAAAAATACAAAAATTGGCTGGATGTGGTGGCACACGCCTGTAATCCTAACTACTCGGGAGGCTGAGGTGGGAGGACCGCTTAAGCCTGGGAGGTGGAGGTAGCAGGATCATGCCATTGCACTCCAGCCTGGGTGACAGAGTGAGACCCCATCTCAAAAAAAAAAAAAGACTTTCAAATCTCATTGTACAGGCAATCCTCCCCCCTCCCTCTGGCTTTTTTTTGTTTGTTTTGTTTTGAGACAGGTTCTCGCTCTGTCACCTAGGCTGGAGTACAGTGGTGTCATCATGGCTCAGTGCAGCCTCGCTTGACCTCCCAGGCTCAGGCAGTCCTCCCACTTCAGCCTCTTGAGTAGCTGGGACCACAGGTGTGCACCATCTGCCTTGCTATGTTGCCAGGGCTGGTCTCAACCTCCTGGCCTCAAGTGATTCTCCCACCTTGGCCTCCCAAAGTGTTGGGATTACAGGCATGAGCCACTGCACCTGGCCACTTTTTTTTTTTTTACACATTACCTAAACCTTAGAACCTGACTGTATTTCACTCAGCCCCAATTACATATCTCCCCCATCACAGAGGTAATCACCATCCTGACTTCTGATTAACTTTGGATGAATCATTCCTTTGCTCTTCTTTATATAATAGTTTTACTATTAATACCTTTGTCCATATTTCTAACAACATATTTTCAGAAACGAAATAGCAGGCTGAAACTTAGAAATGTCAATCTCGCAAGTTAGATGAAGGTCCCAGGAGAAGATAAGCTGAAATGAAGGTCTGGTTGGGGTTCCCTGAGAATTTATCATAACCCTTTCTGGGGAAGCCAGTGGGTAAAGTCATGAGTGAGGCCTGGGAAACATGGCGCCCACCATGGCTACTTTCCTACTCAGCTCCCATATAGGCTGCAATGGGGAGAGACTTGCTGGGCCCCCAACCCCTGGCTGCTGGGCCCCCAACCCCTGGCTGCTGGGCCCCCAACCCTGGCTGTTGGGCCTGCCTTTGAAACCCTAGAGGAAATGGGGATACAGAGGCAGATCTGTGCCTCTCAGCTTCCCAGATGGTCTAGAAAGCCCTTGAGACAGAGGTTGATTTTGATGAAGTCTCAACTCTAACTTTCTGAAAAAAGAAATGTTGTCCCATCATGAATATCCACATGCTTGGATTTCAAATAGTTTCTAGACTACAAGTTAAAAATTCAGAGCCCAGCCTAACTCCAAAATACTCCAAACTCTATGGCTTCTAACTTCTTCATTTCTGCCTCTTACCCATCTTTAAAGGGGCTTGGCCAGAGACATCCAAAGGAATATGAAATGCTTGAGCTCTTTACCTCTAACCACACTTGATCCCTACAAATCCCCACCCTGGGAACATCAGGGAACAACACCCTTCTCCCAGTTTCCTTGGGTGGAGATCATTGGTAGAATACTCACACATTGTGGAATAATTTTTAAGCCTTCCCAGTTGTTGTTGGGGTTTGATTATGTGTATCAAGATACACTCTGGTGAGGATACCAGGCACTTCCTAGACATCTAAGGAAACTGATGTTAAATGATCTTCCCCTAGACTATACAACTGTTTGTGGGAAAAGCCAAGATTAGAATCCCAGCTCAAAGCCCTTTCCATCCTACCCCATGATGAAACCCACCCAAAGCTAGGATTTCAGATGTTTGGGAGGGATAAGGCAGTGGAATGTTCTACAGGAAGAATTTCACATGTCAGAGTGTCAAGCTGGGCACCATGCAGATGGCTTAGCAGACTTGGCTTTTCCTGTTGGCATCATGGATACCTCTGCTGGTGGGTCTTAGGTTGCAATGAGGGCTGAACAGAAGGAGTCGAGCCCAGGAACTAGATGAATGGGAGGATTCCAGCAGATACTGTGAGTTGTGAGCAGACAGGCCTAGAAGGGAAGAGTTCTCAGGGGGAACTGGGTCAAGGCCATGGATATCAATTATGGCAAGAAGGATTGAGCAGATACCTTAATTCTCTGTAGCAGGCTCCAGGGTTAGAGATAGGAGTGTCAATGAAAAGGAGATTGCCCAGGGGGCCTTGCTTTGGACAGTGTCTTGCTCTGGGGCATCCTGCTCTTGCAGGCATTAATCCCAGCAGAAAAGAGAAAATAAATTCCAGTTTATTAAACATCTCCAGTTGCCAGGTACTTTTCATACTTTGTCTCAATATTCACAGCAACTTAGGTTTTATAATCTTCATTTTATGGATAAAAATGATAATGATATTGATAACAATAACAACACACTCCTCTACCAGTCTTTATAGAGCAAGATGTGTATCAGGTATCATGCCCTGTGCTTTGTACGCATAACATCTGATCTCCACAATAATCTCGGGAGATGGGCATAGCTATTCCCATCTTAGGTGAGGATGCTGAAGCTCCACAGATTCACTGTTCATTCATCATCTGGGATGAGCCTTATATCATTCCAGACACAGGAGATACCTCATTGAAGAAAATTAACATCCTTGCCTTGATGGTCTTGCATTCTAATGGGAAGCAACAGACAATAAGTAATAAACATGATAAAGAAGCATGTTATTATGCTAGAAGGTGATGCCACATTTTTTCAAATCTAAGATGCCATTGATTATAAGGTATATCTTCATTTTAGATATAAAAAATGAAAAACTCTTAGACTTTATGAACTAGAGTAAGTAGAAAAAAATGGAATATTTTAGAGTAATTAATTTTTTTTTTTAAAGGCAGGGCAAGCAAGGCAAGCTGTTGCGGGTTCTGCCTGTCACAGCATTCAGATACAGGATTCTAAGAAAGCACTTCCCAAATGGGAAGTTTGTGGTCTCAAAGATGGGGACAGAACAAGAGAAAGTTCTGTAAATCTCTAGAAGAGTTGCTATCAAGAAGTGAAGCCTGAGTGAGTCCACCCCCTAGTGCTATAGAAGCAAATGTATTTGCTTGAACAAGGCTCATGGGGCTGGATAGGTTTGAAAAATAGCTTTGAAAACTACAAAGCCCTTGCCACCAATGAACACCTCCCTCTTCCTGTCGTCAGAGTCACTTTAGGGCTCTGTGGGTCCTTTAGAAACTTCTGAGCCACTGGCCGGGTGCAGTGGCTCACGCCTGTAATCCCAGCACTTTGGGAGGCCGAGGAGGGCGGATCACTAGGTCAGGAGATCGAGACCATCCTGGCTAACGTGGTGAAACCCCGTCTCTACTAAAAAAAATACAAAAAATTAGCCGGGCGAGGTGGCGGGCGCCTGTAGTCCCAGCTACTCGGGAGGCTGAGGCAGGAGAATGGCGTGAACCCCGGGGGGCGGAGCCTGCAGTGAGCCGAGATCGCGCCACTGCACTCCAGCCTGGGCGACAGCGGGACTCCGTCTCAAAAAATAAAATAAAATAAAATAAACAGAAACTTCTGAGCCAGTCTTCCCATCGAATGATCTTATACCTACAAAAACTGCTTCATTGGCTTCTCATTGTACTTAGAATCCCAGCTCCCCATGGCTTCCCATGCCTCGCCACAAGCTCTCCTCCCCTGGGCTTCACCTGAAATTTCTTCCCTGGCCCGCTGTCACCTTCAGGATAAATTCTCAACTCCTTACAAGCGGTTGACCGTTTGCTTGGGGCTTCACCTTTCCCAGCCCCAGTGTTCTGTGAGTTCCATCTGTGCTAACCCCTGCTCTTTCTCTTTGCTGTTGTTGCTTTCTCTGTTTGCATAGCCTTCTCCTTCACTTGACTTACCTACCCAGCCTACAAGACTCATTTTGGACAGAATCTCCTCTGAGCAGCTTTTTCTGACCATCTCTCTAATAACTGTCCTCTCTCTAGTCTAAGTTAGGCGCTGCTCCTCTGGTGTAATTCCACAGCACCCTTGTGGTCTTCGCCGTGGAGTGCTGGCACTGTGTTGTCATTCACAGTTTGACTTTTTGTCTTCCTCAGTAGACCACAGGCTCCTGAGGGCCACACATTTGCTTTTTGCTTTGATTTCTGCAGCCCCATCATTTAGCACAGTACCTGGCACATAGTGTGTCCTTTAATACATTTGTATTGAAATGAATGAATGATTGAATGAACTCCAAAAATGCCAGGCTTTTTGTTCTTTTTTGTTTTGGTGTTTTGCAGGGATGGCCAGTCAGGAAAGATAACCGTGGATGACTATGGAGCCAGAACAGGCAAATCCCCAGGCATGATGCGGCAGCTTAACATCAATGGAGCTCTGTATGTGGGTAAGTGACCGACCCTCGACCAAAGCAAAATTAGGCCAGTGCTTTTCTTGTTAGTCTTCCATTTGCTGTGCCGAGGCTATGTACTTTGCTGGATCAAATACCTGTAAATCAGGAAGCCCTCCAGATATTCCATTCCTTCATTTTCTGAACTGCTGACTCATGGCTGAGGGGGCAGGAAGGGCTCCCTTCGATGCTTTTATGCTTTGGACAGATCCACCAGGAAAACCAGGCTTTTCTTGTTTATAGAACAGGAACCTGCTAAATATAGCTCCATGAGTTCTCTCTGACAAAACGGGACCTGTCTTTCTTTCCCCTTGCAGAATAGAATGACTAGTATTTCTGTAAATGGCTTATTATAATTAATTCACTAGTGCAGACACATAAAAATGAAAAGCTATTTTTATCTATATGATATTTTCTATTGAAAGCATTCGACATCAGTGCATTTGTTTTGGTTTAAGATGACATCACTTCTAACTACACACTGCATTCTGTTGACATTATACCACACTTCAAAATTTACTAGACACTATTTGGTCTCAAGGTGGTCAGTTGGGCCAGAAATCACACATGAGGAATGAATTTATAGCTTTTGATTGTGTAAAAACTGATCCAAGTCAATCTGTTCCTTCAAGGATAATTATAAAATTGAGAGAGGTGAGGTACTGAGCAGCTCAAGGGGCCCACAGCCCTCACATGTCCCATGAATCAAGGGATGCCTTGGCCAGCAGCCATTCAAGTGCCCCAAACTGGAACCCCGACCTTGCCCTGCGGACACCTGTCCTTTGGCTCACCTCATCTCCCTCTTGCTTCCTGGCAGGTGGAATGAAGGAAATTGCTCTGCACACTAACAGGCAATATATGAGAGGGCTCGTGGGCTGTATCTCTCACTTCACCCTGTCCACCGATTACCACATTTCCCTCGTGGAAGATGCCGTGGATGGGAAAAACATCAACACTTGTGGAGCCAAGTAACACCAGCTGGCCTTGTCCAAGGGACAGAGCCTTCTATTCTGAGAATCCCAGGGGCCCTCAGACCCTGCCTGATGCTATATGCAGAGGCCCAGGGACCAGGTGTGTTTCCTCTCACCAAGAAGAAAGTACACACTGATGAGAAACTGAGAACCAAGACAGGCATCCCTGGGTGGCCTTTCCTGCTGACACTCCACGAGCTGACCCAGCAGAATTCTCTGTGTAGGAAGCATCGGACTTTGTCCATTGAATATGTAGCGGCTGCCAGAGATCACACATCAATGCAAATTCCAGAGCCTGTCTGCTATAGCTCAGTGACTGTGTTGTGATTCATAGTACATTAAAAAGAGAGAGAGAGAGAAAGAATCCCACAGGGCACTATTAAAATACTTCTCTCCTTCCCTGACTCATGACACTCTTCCTGACAGCAGAATGACTGTGTGACCTTGAACTTCACATTTCCCACATTGGCCCTTGGATTGTTCGGATTAACCCCTTCCACTCCTCACTGGCTGGTTCACTGTGTTCTGACTAGTCCATAAAAATAAAGATGGAAGGAGATCAAACACAGAATCATAATCATAATGCGGCCCCCTTCCCCAGAGCTTACCTCGAATGTGAAATCCCTACTTCTTATAATGCAGAGTTAAGGAGCTGAGCCCCCATGATTTTGTAGCTGTACTTTTGTATGTGTATATTTTTATAGCTGCAGATTGTCCACACAGTATACTTTTGGAAGTTTGGGTGGATGACTCTGAATTCTTGCACACCTTTCCTAAAAATTTCTCCCAAGAGAGACTTGTTTGGGCCTTTTGTGGTGTCAGTGGAATGGATAGGTAACTTGGGTGGGCAACTTGGGGAGCTGACCATTCTCTTTTGGTAAATGTTGACGGCTCAAGAGGATGAATATGAAGCTTTCCAAGATAAGCAGATTAAAAGGAACATGTGTTACCGAGGTAGGTCACTGTCATTTTTGTTTTAAGAGTTGGGGGGAGTATCTATAGTAAACTTGAATAAAGGGGACAAAGCTAGAACTTATTCATTCATTCATTCACTTATGGAGTTGTTACTGATTTTGCGGAGGTCAGGTTCATACCAATGGACACTAATACAATCAGTGTTCCCAAGGCTGTGCAGGGGTGGGGGGACATGCTGTCAGGATGGTCTGAGCATCTGGGTGAGAACCAGAGAAACAGGACTTCTTCCTTCTGTACCATGAGCTGTGTCCCTTTACTATGCAAGCACATGACCCCAGAGACAGCTGGTTCACTGGCAGATCCCCATGATGGACTTACTAAGGGAAAGGTGAGATGAACACTGCCCCCAAGGAGGGGGTGAAATATGATCTAACTTATGCAAGAGCCTATAATTAGTCCCAGTCTCGACTCTACATTTGTTTGTGCAGCATTCATTCAGCAAAGACTTTTGGGGTTTGTGCAAGGCACAGTTTTAAGCACATAATGTAATTCTAAAAGATGAATAAACTAGAGAGGTTCACTTTGTGCCCCAATCTCCTGTCTTTGGGAAGCTTTGATGGCCAGGATCCTTTCTCCCAGAGGAATCATGGTTATCATCATCATCATCATCATCATCCACTCCTAGACACATAATCTTATATGAGTGCAGTCCGGAGAAAGGCCACATGGTAGAAAGTGGGTCCTCCACTTCCCAGACACCCTTGCCTCAACACCTCTTCCTTTGATACTGCTGGGGCCAGTGCTTCCCAAGATGTCATGGAGTTGCTTTTACAGGCCATTTTGATGGATTCCCTCCAGCCATACATATCATTGTGATCTTAGGCCATTCAGCTGAATTGAAGCTAGAAGAGCTGTTGCTAATGAGTTGTTGTTCCACGAAAGTGTTATCCAGAGAAAAATGCAATGACCCAGGGATGCAGGCCTGGGAGTAGAACCATTTGCCTCTGGGTGGGAAGCAGATGAGGCTAAGGGGAGAAGAGTGACGTGATGACAGGGTCAGGGGAGTAGGGATCTGACAGGTGAGAGAGCAGCAGAGTGGAGGGACCCAGGAGGAGCTGGTGACCTGGGAGGCTCAGGGTCAGAGGACAGGGTAAGAGACAGTGTATCCCATGTGGGCTCCTGGGTGTCCTGTTGTCTCTCTATGTGTATCTGCTGTCATGGCCACAATAATGCTGCATAACAAAAATCACAAAACTGCAATGGCATGCAGCAACGAGTGTTTATTCCTCATGCGCCTTAAGTGGTCAGCTTGGCAGCTCTGCCAGTCTTGGTTGGGCTTGACTAGGTGGATCTTCCGGTGTCCGTTGGACTTGCTCACACGTGTCAGGGTTGCTAATTCAGGACAGCCTTGGCTGGGTTGGTGAGGTGGCTTGTGTCTGCTCCGTGTGTTTCTTGTCCTCCTCCTGGGCTAATGGGCTGGCCTGAGCATGCCCTTCTCCTAACAATGGGGGAGGGCACGAGCACGAGAGTAAAGGTGGAAGGCCTTTCACAGCCTCGGCTTGGCACTGCCACACCCCAGTCATCTGTGGATTCAAGAGAGGAAGAAACGGGCCGGCCCCCACGTGACATATGGGCTCTTCTCCAGCATGAGAGAACTACCAAGCTGCCCGGTGGAGGGCATGGACTCAGGAGCAGTGGAAAAGCGTCACTGCTGATGCAATCGGTCTACCCCAGCAAGTCCTACGTCATTCACAGCAGGGTGCAGTAGGGAGGCCGTGACCCCCTGGCCATAGGTCTTCTCCGACCTTCTTTAACCCTTGGGGCTGGAGGCGAGGTCCATGATGTTCTCAGTGCCCAGCCAGGCCAGGCCTGATGCGAGCAGCACCCGCCCTCCCCCATCGCAATGCGGTGCCCTCTCTTCCCCTTGCCCTCCTTCCACATGCTCCCTGACACTTGGCAGCTGGCCCCGTTGCTGTTCTGAGGAGGAGGGACTGGACCGGCTGGAAGATGGGATCTGTGCCTGGCTTTTGGGTAGCCGCTGTGGGGAGAGCATGTTGAAGGCTGGCCAGGCTCTTGGCTGAAGAGAAAGGTTTGGGGTGTCGCCAGGGAGCTCAGAGGCTAACAGCAGTCCCTGTCCTAGGGAGGAAGGATGGAGTGGGGCACGGGATCCTGAAAAGCTTTTCTCCCACAATCAGGGTCTGAGGAAATTCCCCGGAACCTCCCACATGTTCGAAGCAAGGGTGACCGGGTGTGGGGTGAGGATGTCCTTGCTTTTCCTATTAAGATGGCCTCCCATAACCCTGCATGTTCCTGGAGGCCCCACCTCAGGATTTCTCTCAGGAAGGTCTGTGGGGGTCTTCTGTGTCCCCCTTCTGCGGCTGCCCAGGCAGCTGCCCCGGCCTGCCCGCCGCTCTGAAGGCCGTGCCACTCTCCCACCCTGGTATTTGTCTTTCATTTCCTGACCCAGTCCTGCTCCCTTCTCCCGGCCCTCCAACACAAACAGGCCGGCTGGTGTCCACACACAGACTGCCCTGCTGGCACGGGCACTGGCGCTTTCCTGCTGCTGCCCCCTCTCCTTCCTCCCTGCCCACCTCCTCCCCTGGCCCTGCAGGAGCTGCTACCCCCTCCCTGCGTGGGAGGAAGGAGCTCGGAAAAGCGCCCGGAGTTGGAGCTGGCAGGCCCAGGGCTTTCCACTTGGAGGAAACGCTGCATTTTTCACCTTTAACCCAGAAAAATATGGTTCTCAGAAAGCTTGTTTTTAGCACTGTGAGTTCCCAAAGGAGGAAGAATAGGCAGTAGGGGGGCCCCCAGCCTCTCTGAGCTCCGACAGCAACCCCCACCCCAGAAGGCCGTTCTTCCTGGGAGGGAATGACCGAGGGGCAGCCTGCAGAGGCCCAGCTCCGAGAAAATAAAGGCAGAGAATTCCAGCTCCAAGCGGAAAGACAATACTTTAGGAGAGGAGCCTGGACAAGGCATGAGCCGCTTCCCACCTCCTCCCTGCCTCTTCCAGCTCCTGCCCAGTCCAGGAACGCATAGTAGTTGCCCTTGGAGCTGGGGGTCAGTCCGGGCGTGCCCACCACCGCCCAGACCCTTAGCTGAGAAGGGGGTAAGATTAGCTTATCAAAGGCGGGAACGACGTTCTCCAGCACTTTCTCCCTGCAGTGGGGAGAGAGCTGCCAGCATGGAATCAAAATTAGAATCTGAAATCAGGGGTCGTACAGCTTTAGCCCACTCCCACGTTATTTGTCAACATGGAGATGTGGGTCGTCCGACGGTATCCGAACTAGGGACTTATCCGGCACACGCTAAACAGAGAAGGGAAATGTAAGCAGCCCTACCTCAACCATTGTGAGGCCAGAAGTCCCAGGGCTGCCGGCATTTAAGCTGGTGGGTCCCGTGGAAGTGACAGGCTGCCGTAAGGAAGTTCCAGCTTACAGGTGGCTATGTTCGGGCCAGCAAAATGACTAATCCAATGCAACAGCATCAGCTGGCTTCTGGGCTAGGCCCTGTGAGTAACCGCACCGCAACCTCACAGTCAAAGAATGTTCACATATTTGATCTTCATAACAGTCCTCCTCCTATGATGGCTGGAGCAGATGGGCATGGCCTATTTGACTTAGGAAGACAGACACTGGCCACAAAGACTGGGTGACTTGCCCATGGTCCCATCACGAGGACGCAGCCACGATGCTGTCCCGTGGAGCTTTTCTGCCCTCACCCTGACCTCTGGTCAGGTGCAGTCTGCCCAGGGACACCCGCATTGTTGAGGGACATTCTGAGGCTCCCTTGGGTTAGCTGTCGTCTGCAGTATAGTCGTGTAAGTGAGGGAGATTCGGACAAAGGCCATGTCCCAAGAGTCTGCTTGCCAACGCATGCCAGTTTCTCATCACAGCCCTGAATCTGCCTTCTTTCAAAGGCCTTCTGTTGCAGGGACTCTGGGTTGAGCAAATCTGAAAGCAGAAACTAAAGAGCTAGTCCAGCAGGGTGGGATTCAGGCCCCTCTACGGGCAACTGGGTGTAGGTTAAATTCTTTTCCCTTCCCTCCTTTGCTTTCATCTCCACAAATAACCTCCATAACCCTGGGGAGTGGTTGCAAGCTATTTCTGCCCAGCAGCGTGTTCCCCTGGGCCCCTGCCTCGCCCCAGCCAAGCCACGAGCTGAAAGAACAGGGAAGGCAGCTGGGAAAGGCCTCCCCTGCCGCTCCTCTTCTTCCCGCTTGCTCTTGCTGAGGCATCTTTGTCCTAGAAAGTTCGTAGCTCCCAGGAGCACTTGCCATTTCCTGGAAAGACGGGAGAGAGAACATTATGTCTCAGCCCCTGGGAGGATGTCTCTTCTTTTCTATTTATCCATCTTGTCTTTCAGTTTTGCTCAAGATGCAAATGGTGTCCAGAGGCATAGAAATTTCCCAGCATGTGGCATGGCCTCCCCCGATGTCCCAGCTGCTCACCTACAAGCCAGGGCCCAGCCCGGGGCTATGACCTCCCCGAACAGCCTGCTGCCAAGGGGCTGCAGTTCTGACTTGGCTAGGAGAGGACTTGAGTTGGAATGTCTCTTCGAAGGAAGGCCAGGGAGGCTCAAGAAATTTGCCGTTTATACTCACTTAATAACAAAAGTAAGAGGCACCAGGCCAGGGGCTTAGCTAAGGAAAGCCCTGTTAGGAAATTGGCCAAAAGAAAGCGGAGGCAGAGAAAATGGACTATGAGGCAGAGAGAGCTGTGGGAGGAGAGGGGTATGGGGCCGCAGGGGTCGCAAGGCTCAGTGCGTGGTGACTTCCGGCCCTGCCGGTAGCATTCCATGTTCTCACTGAACGTGGGGTTCAGAGAGCAACTGTGGGGGTTCAGAATGAAATGGGGGGCCCTGTCTAATACAGTGGAAAGTGGAACACAAGCCGATTGCTTGTCCAGGTCACATTCACACCACCTCAGAAATGAAAGAAGCCTGGGCGATCTCTGTTCCAGCTCCACACGGGGCTAGAGAGGTAAGAGGATGTGCCCAAGGCTGGGGGCCTTATCCATGTGACTGCCTCTGGCCTGGAAGCTGGGAGCCCTTGGGAGTGGGTTGGGAGGCTTTGGGGGTGGGGAATGGAGGGTGAGGAGCGGATGGCCTGCGGGCCCTCGCAAGGATTACTGTAGTTGCCCCCTCCAGGCACTCGCCCACACAAGGTCGGTTGACATTTCATTGACACTCACTGAGGACGAGCTATTCACAAACCAGCCCCTGGCCAAAGTGCCAGTGAGGATATAAAGGATAGAGAGGACTCAGCTCCCCCTGTCAAGGTGTCGCCTGGGCTGTGGTCTCACCTGAGGCTCACTTGCTCTTTGTTTCTTCAAAGCCAGGGGAGACTTTCTTTAGGCAGGGCCCAGTCCCTCTCATAAGAGGTCTCCTCAATAGGTCGCCCACCCAGGATCATCGCCTATTAACTCCAAGTCAACTGATAAGTAGCCTAATTATGGGAGTGACAACACACCATTTCCACAGTTCCATGCAAGCATCTCGGGGGCCTTCGTAGAGTCCTGCCTACCACAACCCTGATCAACTCTAACTTTCAGTCTCTCCCACCTCCAGATGATACCTCCCCAAAAACCAAGTTCATTTTCCTAAAATGCACCCTCTGTCCTGTGCCATCCCAACTAAAGGCTATGCCACGGTCAGCTGTGTCCCTAAACAATGAGTCAAACACTCATAAGATAAGGGGAGTTCTGTTCTCAGAGAGCATAACCGTACTTAAAAATTCCTATTTATAGTTCCTGAAAATCCTGTGTTCCTGGGGTCCAGGGACCCTTTGCCATGACTAAGGACCTAGGCTGGGGTACAGTTGATGGTGTGGGTGCCCAGGGGGATTGAGGAAATTGTCAGGCAGCTGCCCTTTCCAGTGGCCACTCAGCATGACCCCAAGCAGCCCACAACTTAGAGGAAATAGCAGGGAATCCATGGAACTCTGCATCAGCATCTTTGGTAGCCAGTTACTTATAAAAGACAGTATTTTATGACACAGAAAAGTTGGTTTGGGTGTTTTTGTGTATAAGGTGCCAATGGCTTTTAGTATGAAATTCAGATGTCAAACTAATGCCAAACACTTTTGCTTGACTTTCAAAGTTATCCATTATTTAATGAAAAGTATGAATATAGAAAAATGTCCAGAATACAGAATAGTTCATCCATACATTGGGATTTCATATATCCATGAAAGAGTACCATATATGAAAAGATTTTCAAAATATGTGAAATAAAAATTCAAGTTCCAAAACAGAATCTACAATTCTTTTATATATGCACACATATACATATATATGAATAGACATGTACATATATACACACACATATTCACATAGGAAAATATTTCCGAAAGGATAAAAAGTAAAATGTTGAAAAGACCTAATGCTGCATAAAAAGATTGCGTGGGCCCAGCATGGTGGCTCACCCCTGTAATTCCAGCACTTTGGGACGCTGAGGCAGGCAGATCACGAGGTCAGGAGTTCGAGACCAGCCTGGCCAACATGGTGACACCCCGTCTCTACTAAAAATACAAAAAATTAGCCGGGTTTGGTGGCATCAGTCTGTAGTCCCAGCTACTGGGGAGGCCAAGGCAGGAGAATCGCTTGAACTCCGGGAGGCGGAGGTTGCAGTGAGCCGAGATCACACCACTGCACCCCAGCCTGGGTGACACAGCGAGACTCTGTCTTGGAAAAAAAAAAAAAAGATTGTGTGATTTCTTTTTCTTTTCCATTGATTTTCTAGTTTTTCTTCAGTGAGTATTTTTTGTTCTGTCTACTCAGGATATCACCTCTTTTGGAGGGACTCATCTTTCTCCAACTCTTGTGAAAATGTCCTTTGAATAGAACCTATGTCCAGCCACAGGACTGAACCAGGAATGAGCACATGACAAGCCAGGCCAGAGTGCTCGCCAGATCACTGTGAGGACTCCCCTGATGGCAAGGCCATAAGCTTGGAGGAGCCTGGACCATGGGCCCAGCTGCTTGAGGAGGTCTTGCTTGAGGGAAGAAAGTTTTGTGTGTAAGGAGATACGTGTTATTTCCGGGTGGAATAGGAGACTACAGTGGTGTGGCCTGAGGAACATGCCAGGGCTTACCTGCCCACAAACTAGATGCCTGAAATATCAAAGCCAAGACTATCTTCCAGAGAAGCAGATATGCAGTTTGGGGAAGAGGGACGGGGGCCAGAATGGATCACTTGGTCATGCAAGTTGTCCATACAAGTTGGAAGGATATGGAGAACCTAACCCACAGAAAATGAAAACAAGGTTCAAATTGGGGAGGAGATGGCAGAGGGTGGAGGTGACAGACAATGTGTAGAAGGACTCTAACCTGTTGTCACTTCGGATAAAGGCCATTTATCTCCCATCTGCTGTTGTCAAAGAGGTAAGAAGGTAAGAGTAAATTTCTGTCTAGGGAGAATAAGGTAATTGCATTCAACACATCTTAAGCATCTACTTACTACAAGGCAAGATGGCCCAAATCTGGGGAAGGAGCTGCTTTGAGCTACTACAGGGAGCCTCCCATCCTTGTCCTTAACCAGGGTTCCCTTGTCTTGCACAGTCTGAGACTATCCCGCAAGGGATCACCCTCTGTAAAATAACATATTTCTAATAACCAGGGAAACACATTAAACCACGTTTTTCTCAAGGCGCATTTAAAGAATATTAATCAAGCACCTGAGATGTGGCAGATCCTGCACTAAGCTTCATGGATGTAAGAGCCCGAGACATTGTTCAATTCCCATTCCCAAATCAAGCGTTAGGATCGTGCTTGGTGCCGTGGGGACACACAGGCCTGGGAAGGCACAGGACTGAGGGCCTGGCGATGCTGGAAAAGGCTTCTCTGAGCCAGCAAGGCCTAAACTGGGCCCTGCAGATGGAAGAAGTCATCTAAGTGAAGCCCTTGTGTTCACTTTGTGGGGACAGATGCCATGGCTCCCCTGCAGGTCCTGTGCTGTGCAGCTTCTCTCTGTGTAAATGGGAGAGATGACCTAAGGAGCAGCTAAACAAGTGCGGAGGCATTTATACCTTTAAGGCCTTAGGTGTTCCTGTAGTTTCTGAAGAGGCATGGGTAACAAACATCCACTGCTGGGAACATGATGTACTCTGTCTAATCCTCCCCAGTCCTGCAAAGGTGGGCATGAAGAGCCACGTTTCAGAGACGAGGAAACGGGGAGAGGCTGAATAACTCTCCAAAGCTTATCCTGATAGTGAGTTGTGAAGCTGGGATGGGAGCCAGGCCTGTGAAGCCTCCCGCAAGGCAGCGGCTGACTCGGAAAAGGTGTGAACCCAGCCTCAGCCAACACAGGAAAGGAAAGGAGCGACAATGGTAATTGAGGAAATTAGAGTCTAGGTTCCATTCTGAAGGTGTCATGTTGCCTGCACTGGTAATTGGGCAATTTAGGACTAGGAGGGTCCATCTGTTCTCAACACTCTGCTTCCTCAAGGCTTTCAGTCCCTGGCTCGCATCAACTCCAAGGATGGTGTAGGTGAGGGGAGTATGCAAGTGCCTCTAGAGCTGGAAGAGGCTCAGCCTCGAGCAGAGTTACGGCAGGCTGAGGGCAGGAAGGGGAATAAAGATTTGTTTGAGCTGAGGCTTGACATTCTTTCATAACTTTGGAAGGTTTGGAGACAGAGGTTCATACACTGGGATTGCATTCATTTTAATGCTGTTTCCACTTAAAAGGTTTTTTATTTTTTTATTTTTATTTTTATTTTTTTTTGGAGATGGAGTTCTGCTCTTGTTGCCCAGACTGGAGTGCAGTGGTGTGATCTCGGCTCACTGCAACCTGTACCTCCCAGATTCAAGCGATTCTCCTGCCTCAGCCTCCCGAGTAGCTGGGATTACATGCACGCACCAGCACGTCCGGCTAAGTTTTTGTATTTTTAGAGATGGGGTTTCACCACGTTGGCCAAGCTGGTCTCGAACTCCTGACCTCGTGATCCACCCGCCTTGGCCTCCAAAAGTGCTAGGATTACAGGCGTGAGCCACTGCACCTGGCCATCACTTAACAGTCTTTCTCAAGGTCATCCTCAAAAGCTTTTCTTGTCTCTAATCTGAAACTAATCACCCAGGGATAAAATCATCTCCAATTTAAGCACAAATCAGTTCAAGGCATCTCTTGTTATTTCATCTTCCCTGGGACCAGCACAACGAATATTTTCAATTCAGTTTTATTGTTGATCACTCCAGGAGAAAGCTAGTAAGATCAAATTTATAAGCCACTAATAACAAGCTATTATTATAGTTCTTTTGTGAAGAACTTATTTGTAAGCTAACATTTTAGTTGACATTGAATACCTTTAAACATTTTTTTCATACATGTCTATTTTTTCTCCCAATAATCTCATCATTCTTCTCTGATTCTTTTTAAAAGTTCCCGGGGTTGAGGGTGCTATACATCTTGACTCAAGAACTCACCATCTGGGAAACAAGTTATGCATTGAGAATCCCCAAAGAACAGGCTATATGTATGAACTTCCTAGCACTTAAATACTAACATGCTTTTTACAATTGAGTTGGTCTGCAGTTTCTTCTGGTTAAATCCAGGCCCATTCATGTTTCAATCTGGCTAAGTCTAGGCTATACATATGACTAAGGACTTAATTTCTCCATTTAAGAACATCTATTTAAGATCACTTTATACTTTAAAATTACTGGTTTTGCTAAATCTGTGACTGTATTTCCTAATAGGGTGAAATAAAATTTTGATACATTCTCAGAATCTTCAGGAATTTTAAGCTATTTTCAGAGGACATAAACTAAAAACCATTACTTTAAAGACCAGTATTTATTATTTATTTGCTAATGTTGGATTCCCACTATTTGATTATTTTGATGCTAACTTCTCAGGTAAACAATAATGACTTAATGGACAGATGGATGTTACACCAATGGCACAGCAATGTACTCAAATGTTAAAAATACATCCATAGCGCTATGTGATTGCTTTACAACCACTGTATTTCTTACGGGATAGAACAAAAAAATACAACAACAAAGCAGAGCCACTTCTCCTAAGTGTGTAACATGGGGAAAAACCCAATAATGCCCAAGTCTGTCAGTGTAAGATGTAAGAAAATATATTTATTTTTTCCATGACAATACTATGATAAAATTGTTAAATACATGCATGTTTTAAAAACAGACATAAGTAACATCTTTAGAGTTAACAGCCAAGCATACTAGTTTTACATTTATGGTGTTTTAGTAATAGATTATTTTCTATGTTTTTGCTATAATCATGTTTTCCAAAAGATACAGAAACTAAATTCTGAAATTATACAATGATATAAAGTGTCCAAATTTCCCATTCTAACAGCAATTTAAAATCCAAATTTTCACAAGGCAGGAAATGCTTCAGTTATCATCTAAGTGGAGTTGTTTTATTCCATATTACTCTCAGAATTCTGTGAATCAGACTGAATCACACACATGTACTTCATCTATAGTTTTCTTCCTGTATAAGTGTATTGAAATGTTTCCTTATACGATTAAACATGATTTTAGGTACAGCACATCACAACTGTTTATTCACCTTAAAAAAATGTCTGTAGTGGTAACATTTCAAGAAATGAAAAAGGGAACAGTTTGGGATCCGCAGTTTCTCCCTATCTTCTTTCAGCTACATTTACAAGCATTTGACCAAACAAAAATTAGTAAACAGTTACTAGTATTTATAAAAAACTTAAAATATTTAACATATAATACTCACTTTAAAAAAACATTCATTCTACAAACCTTATAAAAGACAGAAACTTATATCTGTTCACAGTATGTGTATTTTGTAAACAGTAATTCACTATAATGCAATTTTGAAAGTAAAAAAAGGTAATTTCCTAGTGTTATAAGGACCTTGACTTATGGCCAGCTAATGAAAGAGAAGAAAACCTAACATCCTTATTAGGAAAGTTAAGTATTTTGAAATGATTTATTTTACCTTTCAACATACTTTTAAGATGGTACTATCTTAAATCTAGGATGTCTATCTATCCAGGCCAATCTTTTGCAAGCAATTCTGAATTTAAATGTATTTAAGAAAAAGCCGTGCTCTTTTTTGAGAAAATAACAGGATAAAACAAACGCCAGGAAGGGCATCAATCACATAACACCTACCCCTCCACAACAATGAAAGGTTTCTTTTTCGTGTTGTCTCCCGCTACTCACAATGTTATTCATATTTTTCCTAAATATTGTGTTGGAAGGAAAAATTAAATACAAGGAAACACTAGCTTATGATATATTAGACAATTTGGGGAAAAGCATTTGGAATCAAACTGGGAGAAGAATGTTTTACAAAAATTGTATGAAAACCATTATTCAGTGTTCTTTTCTATGAGCAATTGCAAAAACACTAATACTAATGTTAAACCTAACAGTTAACTTTTCCACGTTATAAATGAAAATTGTACTACCACCTAGAGATATTTTGATCTTTTATAATACACAACTGGAATGTTTAGGAAAATAGTTCGGAAGCTGAAAGTTACCCATTTAAAATGGAATAATTCTTAACGGAAGTACACTTTAAATGTATAAGGAAATTCAACAACTTAAGTGAGCCATTCAATCACGTGTGCAAAGTATTTTAGTCTTAAGGGCAACACATAGGATCTATGTTGTTAGCTTTTTTTTTTTTAAAGTTCTGATTGGCTACTGTAAAGGCAATCTTAGAAGATGCATGTAAATATAATATAAATCAACTTTCTTATCAATTAGACATTTTCCCCACTCACATCTCTTAGTTTTTAGGGTATTCAGTCCCAGCAACCAAAAAAAAAAATGTAAATCATATTTTGTTTCTGGCTAATGTTCAATCAGTTTTTCTTTTATAAGAGCTTTTGATGTACTGTTTCTACGGTTCTTTAGGCACTTACACATAAAAACATTCAGAGGGTTTTCCCCTTAACACACAACTTTTAATTCTCATGAAAATGTTGCACAGTTAGAATTTGTCTTGCATAGGTAAATTCTGTTTATAACATGGACTCTGATAATCCAAATATTAACATTCCTAATATAGGGAAAAATAAGCACCATTCATAGCTAAAAATAATAGAATCCTGTCATAACCCAATATCATAATTACAAGGATCTGGATATATTCTAGACCAAATCACACTCCCTGAAACATTACCATGTACAATAAAGCCTGAAATAGCCAACTAATTGAATGTTATTCTTAATCCTTTACACTGGCACTAAAAATAGTTCATCTGTAATAAGCATGAATACGACCATGTAATAATTAATAGCACTAATTGAAAAGGAATAAAAAAATCTAACCACCATAGCAAAATAAGGGGTTTAAGTATTATTAATAGCCCTGGTACATAATCCATAAAGATAAAAACGAACCAAATTCAAGCCAAGTAATTTCCAATGATATTCTAAGGCTAAGTCTAAAAGATGAATGTTCTGTAACTTTGGCCATAAATCATTTTCTTCTATGAAAATTTTCTTCTAGAATAAATAAGATGGGCATGACAGCATGAAACTTCATTTCAGCAGGAAATAAAGACTTAAAATAAATGCTTTCAAGAAATAGTTTATCAAGAGAATGAGTTCTGAATCAGTTAACCTCACACACGGACACACTGTTGGGCAGAACACATGCTGGCTGGTACAAACATGCCCCAGTTGCACACCCATCAAAGAAGAAGAAATTATGAACACTTAAAATTATGGAGAAATAAGATATCTAGTGATATACAGGCATGAGTCCTTCCTCAGTTTTCACTCAAACCGTGGAGTCACTTCCGAAGTAGATTTGAATCTTTGAGTCAATAGTCTCAGATCCACACAAGCTAGATTTTGGTGTGTATCACCCTTCAGGAAAATTCTGTTGAATCTGTGACACTCTGGGATAGGACTCAGTCAAGAAAATTAGTTACTGAGCTTTCACGATGTGCCTAGTCTTTGTAGCTAATAATCCCACATTTTACTCTGAGATGCCCAATTTTACACTTTCAAAATAAGAAAAAAGGCATTTCATAAAATGCACACAAATTTTAACATAATTCAAAATAGAGAATAGCAAAAATAACCTTAGAGCAAACAAAAAATTTTATTAGATTATATACCTGAGCAATAGAAAACTTCGAGATAACATTTTAAAAATATTGACACGTTAAGGAGTATTTTACTTTCAAAATACCATAAAATTGATTTTAAATTCCCTTTGGAAGAAAACATCCCCTAGTCTCCTTCACTAAATTACAAATAATTACCCAAATATAAAAAGGACTTGCAATGTTTGTTAAATATGGACGGCATGAAGACAATTAAGAAACTATAGGACTTATTTCCAACAAGAATACAATATGCATGAAGTTTTGAAAATGTGACTTTTTACCACAGTTTCTGAGAGTGTAATAGTACTAAATGTTCTAAATGTAATCTTTCAGATCCACGAGCGGTGAAAGTAATGCTGGTTTGGAAAATGAGGTTGATACTTCCTCTCTTAAGCTTCTCAGTGAATGGCTGCTTCTGTTTCTAAGCTGCAGGAACAAAGCACCTCTATCATATAAGCACATAAACACACAACTCAACTATCCAGATACTCAGGGCCACAATCTCAAATCTAGGGCTGTATAAATTCAACAAATTGATGACCTAGATTGCATACATGTGCTAATCTATGCAATATATGATTCACAAGGTTCATCTAATGTTAAAAGTCTAGCTAAGTCTTTAATAATTTAATATTAAATAAAATATTAATTATTTAAAATGGTCACTCATAAAAGAAATGTAGTCATAATAAGCCCCATAATGATCTCCATTCCTCGCAAGGGAAGCTTGATTTGAAACTGGCTTGTAAGTGAATTGACTTGTAAGAGAGGTAAAAATGTGTCTTACATGAATTACTATCCCACAGATATGATGGAACATAATGCTAGTTTGACAATTAGATTTTTCTAACCAATGACTGGGCTTTCACTGAGGAAAAGAGGGATTTCTCAATTATTTTCCCAGTTAGTAAGGGCTGGAGAGAACACATCTAGCCTCTGCTTCTAACTAGTCCTTAATTGTAGCTTCCAAGGGAGAAGCCACGAATCTAACTGGACAGAGCACAATCAGTATGAGACCACCTTGTAAATGCAGGCATGCAACCTTCATTGACAAACAGCGCACATTTACCAGTATCTCAGACAACTGAACATGTGACCAATCTCCTTCCAACTTCCCTCCCCTCTTCCCGTGTTGTTACTCTCCCTACACACACAGGTTGGGGGGAGTAGAGGTAATATCCTGGGATCTACACAAGGGTCTAGCTGTCTTGAATTCAATGAGGGAAAAGAAGGAAAACTGCTTTGGCCCCAGACATAAATCACATTCTTTTAAGCACACAGCAACTTATAAGGAGCTTGCCCAGACTTAATAGCGTTACTCTGCTTCTCATTAAGCTAGTGATCCTCGTGTAGGGGATCCAAAAGTAGGGGAAAGGTGAGTGATATTCTGCACTTTTTTCATACAGAAAAAAACAATGAAGTCTTGGATAGAACGAAAGGACTTAAGAGCCCCAGTGATATTCATCATTAACCAAACAAATGAGTCGTTATATAGGTTAGAAAGGGCCCTGGATCCAGATGGTCACAGTTGAAATGCATATATATTGACAGACAGAGATCAAACAATCTCTTCTGGCCTTTTCTCATTATCTCAGGTTAGCGCCGTTTAGAGCAATAAACTTTTACTGTAGCCACACTTATCCTTGTCCTGGAGAGATAAAGTACGGGATTGATACATTTCAACAGGGAACAAGGCAGGAGTTGAGGGCAAGCAGACAATGCTAACAGCAAGCTTTGGCAGGGAGAGAAGGCAGCCCCAGGTCTGATGTCTGGGGTGGAAGCTAAGGGAAGGAGCCAAAGAGGATACAAAGGAAGACAAGAGAACACTCTTTAGGGATGGCTCTGATTGGATATATTTTTCATTACTGAACATTTCTATGAACTATTATATAGTTTTAATATACTATGTATGTACAAAATGAATTGCATTTCATTCCAAATTTCCACAGATCATAAAGCTCAGAAATTTAGCTGAATCCTAGCAGTTAAAATCAGGATTCATACACAGAGAACCTAAATAGATTTTGTCACTTGTCACTCTGGCTTTTTTCCACAACATGGTTTTTAAAAAGATACAATATGAGCTTCAAAAAAAATTAATTGATCCATTATTTGCAAATACATTACAGAATCTCAGATGATAAAAAACAAACAAACAACCAAAAAAAACAAACAAAAAAGACATATCTTATTCGGACACTTAAAATTTTCAAGTACTTTTGCCTTAAATATGAAAAGGTAAAATACATAGGCAACCTGAGGGCAGGGAAAATACAAGATACACTTTTTAGTTTTTCCTTCTGCTTTTCCAAGAACCACAATCACTCCAGACATCGCTTATGAGAAACAAGGGTGGGCAGAGGATGCTGTGCTGAAGGCAATCAATTCTGCACAGCTCACCAAGCAATTGCTGCACCTGCAACACAGGTATGCCCATGGATTCAGATCAGTTTATGACAGTTACTAAGAAACAGCCCTTGGGTAACTGTTCCTGTAAGAAGCATTCTCTCTTTAGTTTTATATTTAAAAATGTGAGGACTGGATCAGATAATGTGGCATGATGAAAAGACTCATGAGTGGGAGGAACATCCACCAGAAGGTGTCAAAGATCACCACTGCCTGGGTAGCCAAGCTCAACGGCATGGTCTCCTCAGGAGGAACGAAATCCAATCAGAACTATATGGACAGCTAACGCTGCTAGATATTGCTTAGTAGTCATCTCACATAGTAAGTCACTGGAATTACATGCTTATGAATAATATTGAATTTGCTCATATAAAGCTGTCACTGTATCACAAAATAAAATGATTTTTAAAAAATGTGGGTCTCTAGTCTTAGAAGTGTAAATTTTAAATATTAGGGCAACCAACTGAAATAATGGAAGCAAGCATAAAAGCTAAAAAATAATGAAAAGGCTTGCAAAACCTATCACAGCAAGAAAACATGATTATGATTTGGGCTGGTCAGTGTCACACTTGTTTTCAAAGTTTGTACCCCTGAGACAACTGTTTGATAACCATTATACAGTAGGCACAGAAATAAGCATACTTTATCAAACAAAACACTAAATCGCTGTCACTACATTAAAAATTATATTAATTTTTGTGAATGCTGTGGATAGAGGAGAATAATCTTAGAAGTTTTAAAATCTGTGCTTGGTTTTCATCTAGAAAGGAGTAAACGTCAGGCAAATAAACTTCACCTGTTACTTGGACATTTTCTCCCTGGCCTGCAAATCCACTTACAATTCCACCAAGTATACACATGAGAAAACCACAAACAACAGAACAGAAAACAGTTGCGGCGGGATTTGTTTTACATGTACGTACAAGTAGGTATTAGCCTTGAAATGCTTCTTGAAGGTAGAGTACATGAGAATTCTTTGGCTTGATCACAAAGAGCTCCCAATCTTGAGTTTTGTGGATTGAGGATTCTGAGTCACTATACTTTGGCTTTTAGACTACATTAAAAGCACATGAACACTTTCAGTGTAACTTAACATGTAGTGAAGTTCACCTCCTAACAATACTTCACAGGATCCCTCCAAGAATGCCCAGTGCTGATGTAGCAACACTAGCAGTAAGAGCTTATTGAGATGGCTGACTGAAGTGACACGGTGACACTGTTAATCGTTTGGTTTGTTCTGAAAAAAGTTTGTAAAGGACCACCCTCCTCCATTAGATTTAGGAGAGTCTTCATCTTTAGGAGGAATCAAAAATTGTCGGGAATTAATGGAGCATGGACTTCCAAATGAGACAATCTCACTGTTGCTGTCTATGGATCTAGGAGAGTCTGGAGACACTAAATTCCATGTATTTACATTGGCCTGAGGTCTGTAACCCGCAGTTTTATCTAAGTCCTCTTCTGCAGCTATATCTTCCACAGTAGAATTAATGGGGAGGTGCATCTGTGGCTTATAGCCTGCCCCTCCTACAGGGTCATTTTCTTGTTCTTCTTCTGGTTTTGCTTGAGGCTGATACATCGACTGAACATCAATGTAAATAACCTGTGCAGTCCCTCCAGCTTCATCTGCGGCTGGGTTTGGTATTTCTTCCTCAATGATGGGTGGACAATAGGACACAACCACATGGTTTTCAGGCTCTGCATCAGAGCGATCTTCAGGACGCTCAGCTACTGGGGAAATTATTTCTGTATCTTCTATTTTAGGAAATGCTGATCGAGTTTCCAGAACCTCAACATTATTTGGGGTACAAGGATTCATTTCCAATGTTTTAAGAGCACTGCTTCCCTAGAAATAAATTTAAACACAGTGATTAAAAATAGCACTAAATGCCATTGCAATGCTCCTCCTATAAAAAGGGACACATTTTTCCCCAATCTGCTTGTAAACAGGTGTCTCTACTACTCTGTATTTCACACAACAGCACAGCCACTTTTTTCTTCCGTATCAGTATTTTCCTTGTTATTAATACTTGTGGGAGAAAAAAGAGCACTGTATAATTTAAAATTAATAATTTTAGAAACTGAGATGTTTTAAAGTATATAATTTTCCCAATACTTTTTAATTAAAATGACATTTGCATGTTAAAAACTTTTCACAAAAGATTAAAAAAAGAAGCCAGCACATCAAAGATAAATATAAGAAAATAAAAGATTACCTCACAGACACTCTTTTGAAACTGTAATGCTTTACAGTTTTCTGGATTTGGAATATCAGGGTAGAAGGTTTCTTTAATCCTTTAAATAAAAAATTATTACAGTAAATTTAATAGTTTTAAGATTATTAGATAATAAATTAATAAATCATTAGGCTTATTTTGAAGTATTTATGAATCCTTTAATGCACATCTGAGATTAAAATGGAAGATCTTTAGTGTGATCATTCACTACAGCTGTCTATACAATGCACTGAGAGGTTCCAACTTGAAAACCATAAACAGAATTCCATTTCTGGAACTATAATACCCATGTATCTCATGAAAATGGAAAGCAAGTAATTAAAATTGTGGCTGTGCCATCTAGTCCAAAGGATCTGGACTATGTAAGAACAGCTGTGATCCCATGGCACTGCTTTACTGAGGTGGTTAAAAAGGTGGTCATAAAGGTGATAACTACATGTCATGAGTACACTGCAGGCTGTGCTAAGAAAAAGGCTATTAATCTTGACCAAAAACTAAATGCAGCCAAAAATGAGATTTGCCTTTACCGAGGTGGTCATAAAAGTGATAGCCACGTGTCACGAGTACACTGCAGGCTGTGCTAAGAAAAAGGCTATTAATCTTGACCGAAAACTAAACGCAACCAAAAATGAGATTTGCTCAGTGTCCTATCATATTTTTATATTTATAGCTACTAAAAAGAACTGTATTACTTGAAATTCCTACAGAAAAAATAACTTTGTTAATGTGAGTTTGAAACGCTGTAACTTCTAAACTCCCTTCTTATTTTGTCTTTTTTTTCTTTTTTTGGTACTTTAATAGTTGGGTTTTTTTTGTTTTTTTGGTTTTTTTGAGACAGAGTCTTGCACTGTTGCTAGGGTGGGGTGCAGTGGTGCAATCTTGACTCACTGCAACCTCCAACTCCCTGGTTCAAGTGATTCTCCTGCCTCAGCCTCCTAGCCTCCTAAGTAGCTGGGATTACAGGCACGTGCCACTATGCTCAGCTAATTTTTTGTATTTTTAGTAGAGACAGGGTTTCACCATGTTGGCCAGGATGGTCTCGATCTCCTGACCTTGTGATCTGCCTGCCTTGGCCTCCCAGAGTGTTGGGATTACAGGCGTGAGCCACTGCACCCGGCCTAATAGTTGTTTTAAAAATGTGAATTTTGGTAATGAGAATATGGTTACCAAAATAGACTATTCTATAGTTCTACAACTATTACTATTTTGATTTATAAGCCAGGATTGCTAAAATATGTTCTCTTGTCATAAATGATGGCATTTTTAAGGTCGGTGAGGACTGGTCTAAGCATGAATGCAGCCACTGGCTCCATACCCAGCCAGGACAGCTCTTGCCAGGTGACCATGCACATGGCCCTCTCTCCCACGGAGCTCCCGCTGACCTCACCTCATGTCACTCATTCCTGTTTCACCAGGCACACAGCTCCTCCCACTTTCTCTGAAGGTTTGACTCTTTCCAATTTCAGGGCCCTCAAAGAAATAATTATCTGTCTGTAACATTCTTTTCCCTCTCCTTACCCTTTGGAACTGTACCGCAGACCAGCCGTGACGGGCCATGGCCGACCAGCTCGCAGGACGTAGCCCCCTGCTGGTCTCCTCAGGGTACCTGGTTCAGTCTTCCTAGCACCCACTCACACTCTGCAAGCACACACTTGCTGGATGCCTATGGTTTACTGTCCCTCTTCCCACACTGTGCTCCAAGTCTATAAGAGCCATGGCTTGTTTTGTGCACCACGATATGATATCCCCCTTCACATGGAAGAGGTCATTCATATTTGTTGAATAAATGAGCAAATGATTAAAATGACCAGATTTTCTAAATAGGTCACCAGGGCAAGTGAGATCTTAATCATTAAATTATGCTTAATCTTGTAGATAGCTATTGCCATATTTCAGCCTATAAATATTTTTTATAATAGTAACTGCTATGACTTTAAATTATTAGGAAAAATAGTAGAAAAAATTTACACATTGACTCTATTAAGACCTTTAAATAATATGTCATGTTCTTAATATTAAATCCAACATTAATTCTAATTAAAACATTTTTTAACTAACTTATTACAACAAAAAAGATACACTTATTTAATACATAAACTAATCTTACAAATCTTATAATCATGCCTTTAAGAAGAAAACAGCAAGAGTAAATGCAGAACTATTACCATTCTCGTTTCCGATAGCAAAGGATACTTGTCACCACTCCAACAATGACAGCCACTGCCACTGGGATGAGAATGGCAATAATTAATCCCACAGCTGAAACGAGAGTATTGCAAATATTAAAATCGCCATTTTTAGTGTGAAGTACAGAATAGATGTATGTTAGAAGGTATTTAGGTTGGTAAATTATTTAGGAAAAAAACAAAATTAACTGCTGCAGGGACACTGAAAAACTATTAAAATCAAACTTTCAGGTATTGTGATAATTTTTATACAAATACTTAAACTCTTCCAAGTAGGGTTTCTCAATCTTGATACTTGTGACATTTTAGGCCAGACAGATCTTCACTAGAGGATCAGGGGAGACAGTCCTTGCACTACTGGAAGTTTAACAGCATCCATGGCCTCTCACCGCTAGATACCAGCAGTATCCCCCAGTTATGACAACCAAAAATGACACGAGACAGTGCCAAGTATCTCTTAGGTGACAAAATCACTCTCCGTTGAGAATCACTGCTTTATAGAACCATATCCTCATGGCTCTTTATATAAGAGCTGTGTGTGAACTCCAACTCAGGGGTAGAGGATAAGCCTATGATCGAAGTGAAGTTCTTTACCGCAGAAAGATAGTCAAGGCCATCACTCTTCTCTCAAATTTGAGTGTTGTGCTTTACAAAAAATTTTTTTAAGAATATCTCCTTCACTTTTCCCTAGATATGTTAGAAATCACATAACAGCTGGAGCAAAATATTTTTAAATGTTGACCGTTAGATAAATTCAATATGACTTTAGACCTCTAGACTTCAGATGTATCCCAAATTCATTAATTTCTTAGGTACTCATTTGGAAATAACTTCAAATAACTGACAAGAATAAACATGAAGTAATCTTACAGCTTTTTAACCCTTCCCTCTACCAGCCAAAAACTGCAACAAAATGTGAATGTTTTTTAGAAAGGGCGGGGAGGGGTTCCTACATAAACCAAGAATCACTAGAACACTACGCATGCAGGATGGAAAGCACCTCAACAGCAACCTGAAACTTACAATTTTCCTTTGTCACCACATACATACTCTTCTCCGGGCCCACTCCACCATCTGTATAGGCTCGCAAGACCAGGTGGTAACTTGTTTTACCTTGAAGATCAGCAATTCTCAGTGTCTTCTGGGATATGTCAGTAATATTCTTAACTTTTATGTCAGAACGACCTATTTTTAAAATGAAGTATGTTAGCACTAATCTCTAACCCGTTTCAAATGCATGGTTACCCACACCTGTCTCACCAACTGCCCTTCTAAGTGGGTCTAGCTGAGGCCATCCCAGCCAAGGACTCTGGAGCTGCCACTACCTTGTTCAAGCTCTACCCCCACGCCAGTCATTAGCTGTGTCGTATGGGCCCCTTATTTAAACCACTCTCAAGTGGAGTTTTTCTACTGATGAAATAGAATATCATGACTTAAGCTGTTTGAAGTTTTCACACACATTCTGTAGCATAATGCCTGGCACACAGCAGGCAATCAATAATAGTCCCATTTCTGCTACTAAAAGCATGAAAACCACCACAACCAAAAGCCACTTAGGCTGAGCCTTCCCATGAGTGAGAGTGAAAGATGGGATGAAGCAAACCTGCAGATCAATAGAGATGACTCCAAACCACTTAGAAAAAGGATCAGTGTGATGGGGACTCTCAAATAAGACTAATGAGAAATCCTTTGGGTTATAACTTCAAAAGGAAGAGTGAGGAATCATTTGAACTACTATTTTATTTTTAAAAATTTAACCAGAATAATGCAGGATAACAGGTTAAAAAATTAAATAGTACTAAATGGTTACTAACAAAAAGTGACAGTTCTCTACCAGCTCCTCCCCTCGCCCCCTACAACCACTGTAAAAGCCATGTAATCAAGTTTCTTTGGGTATTTATCTCTATATTCCAAAGTAGCAAACTTAGAGAGATGTGACTTTTAACTATTAGACCTTATCTACACATACTTTATAAGGGCAGATAAAGATAGAGCTCTTTTACGCTACCATCACCCTTTCCCCCACCACATCATTCGTATAGAAACATCGGAACTTTTGATGAATTCAGTGTTTGGATTACTATGATTATATAAATATGAGTTACTGCTAAGACACATTGCTTGGTGTCATCATGTTTCCTATCTTGTTTTCCCATTGTTATAACTGCTTTTTCCCTCATTTGCTTGATTTTCTACATACCAGTCAATAATTCTTCCCATATCCTCCAATGTACACTCAGATTTTCCACGTGGTCAAACACAACAAAATCCCAGGTCCACATCTTCTCTGCCCTCCCCTCCACCCATCCCTTGCCTCCTGCACTAGACTGGATGCCTTCAGGGCTGAGGCCCTCCTGGAGCTCCCTGCTCTCTCTCCCCTGTGGCTTCCTGGACCGGCCTCACTTCATTTCCTCATTAGGATGCACTCTTCTAGTAGCTTCTTGAGAAAAGCAACATGGGGAAAGTAAATGTTTGCAGCCTCGCATGTACAAAATATCTGCATTTCTCTCTCACGTTGGTTGACAGACTGGTGGAGTATCGAATTTTAGGTTGAAAATAATTTTCATTCAGTATTTTGAAGAGACTTCTAGTATCTGGAGTGTTGCTGGGCTGTCTATTGCCATTATTATTCCTGATTGCTTGCACATGACCTGCTTGTCTCTGATCATTTCTTTCACATTAGCTGCTTGGAAAATTCATAATGACATACCTTGGCATAGATCTTTTTTCTATTTATTTTGCTGTGTATTTAATGAATTCTTTGGCTCTATATACAGTAGTCCGCCCATTTTCCTCAGAGAATAATTATAACAATATACTGTAATAAAAATTACGTAAATATGGTCTCTCTCTTTCTTAAAGTATCTTATTGTACTGAACTCATCTATTTTCAGACTGCTTTTTGCCAGGGGTAACTGAAATGGCAGAAAGCGAAACCATGGTAAGTGAAACAGCGGAGAAGGGGATCTGCTTGTAGTTAGGCCCTTCAGTTCTAAGGAACGTTCTTCAATCGACCCCTCCGTTCAGACCAGATTGATCCTCACCACTCAGCCTCCAAGGCCTGGTCTGGCAGGTACTGGAGAAGTTCCTTCTCAACAATGCCTGACTGCCCACACAGATTTCACAATCTTCCACTCATTTAAGTCATTTGCCCCACTTCCACCCACAAATTTCTGAATCTTCTTTTTCAGTGTTGTTTTGCCTCTTCTGTTCTCTCCTTGTGGCTTTATTAGAGTTTGGGGGTGTTTCCCCTTCTTTATGCTAACTTTAGTGACCCATCTACCATGTCTCACTGGAAATCCAGATGCTAGAATTTTAACTGGTTCAAGTGTAAAATTTCCAAGCATGTGAGGCAAGTCACACTAGGCTCTGGATGTTTGTGGAATTTGATATTCAGGATGTCCCTCATTCACCAGCAATCATGAAGGTTCAGGAAATGCAGAACTTGGGGACCGAAGGGGAGGCACACACTTTCTGCAGGTGTTCTAGGGAGTGACTGAGACAGTGCTCGGCCAGCACTGCCATACCGTGGTGGAGTTCTCTATTTCTCAGACAGGCATTAAATAATTAAAATGATTTCTTTCTGAGGCGAGGTCATCCAGGGACATGAAAGCTCTCAAACTGAAAAGATGATATGCTTGTGTTATGCAGCTATGAATAAGAAATATCTGATTCTCAGCAGAAACATAATGAAAGGAAAAGCCAGAAATCTGTACAATTTTGTATTTGTAAATCTGAGAATTCTCTAAAGTCTTTGGATGTACACTTGCCGATTTCCAAGGATTGTCTGTACTTTTTAATACATCCCCAATCAAGTCAATTAAGTTTTCCAGCTTATCAAGGGCATGGCTAAGACGCTAATAGGCCAATGGTTTTTTGTCAAATTACAACTGAGGATCTGAAGCTAACTCTTTGGATTCCTGAGTTTTTCTCCTCCACTGCTGTAAGTAAAAGATTTCTTTTTGGAAGTAAACTTCATGAGATGCCTTGTTATGGATTATGTACAGCTCTAATAAGAGATGGTTTCTGTCCTATGAGGCTTATAATCAACGGCTTCAGAATAAATGATTTAAATGATTTCTGAAAGACTATACATGTCATTATTGCACACTAAAATCTTAAAACTCTTATATTCATAGAATTACTGCCTTTTCATTTCTCTATCTTTCAGATAGTTTTGAAAACCAGTACTAAACTACTGAGCAGGACTTTCCTTTTTTTTCTGTTGTGGTTAATGAGAAACTTCTAAGAAACACTTTCCTTGTGCTATCAATTTACTCACCTGATTCTAAAACCCTCATCTTAGATGTGTCTCTTTCTCCTTTTCCAAAGTAAAACAAATATCCTCTTAAAAAGCCTCTAAGTTCTTCCACAGGAATGTCTTCCCATTTTACTAATATCGAATCTGCAGAAGTATCCTCAACAGTAAAATTTGGTGCAACAATGGGAGCTGTAAAAGGAAAAAGTCAATTGCTAAAGGGGAGTGTATGAATACAGAGTAATACAGTAATGTTTCCTGAGCTTTCTAGCCTCAAAAATAATTCAACTTGGAATTAAAACTTTATTTAATCATAAACTTTCAGAGAGAGATGATCACAAACGCTTTTTTTGTGAAGCTTACATACTAATAACCATAGACAAAAATATTTTTAGGAACAAAGGTAGAACTTACAATATCCCTTTTAGACAAACACATATCTAGGGAAGCAATCTATGCAAAATCTTTCAGTGGCTATTCAGATAGACTTCATTTGTATTTCACATCTTTATTGATAGTCCTGAAGAAGTTAATAGTTTTTTAAACTTGTAAAAGTACTAATTAAATATTTTTGACATCCAAGTTCAGATTTAATTTTCCTGAGGACGAGTAAAATTGTGAAATGTAAACATTCAACAAATGATTTCAGAGTAAGCAGGCCCAGTGCAGTGGCTGATGCCTGTAATCCCAGCACTTTAGGAGGCTGAGGTGGGAGGATCGTTTGAGCCCAGGAATTTTGAGACCAGCCTGGGCAACATAATGAAACCTCATCTCTACAAAAAAAAAAAAAAATTAGCTGAGCATGGTGGCATGCACCTGTAGTCCCAGCTACCCAGGAGGCTGAGGTGGGAGGATCACCTGAGCCCAGGAGGTTGAGGCTGAAGAGAGCCATGATCTCACCACTGCACTCCAGCCTGGGTGACAGAGTAAGACCCTCTCTCAAAAAAAAAAAAAAAAAAAAAAAAAAAGAGGAGGAGGAGAAAAAAGTAGTAATCAAATACTTTTTAATTTATCAAATTATTTTACCTTCCTTCAATTATACATCTTATTTTTAGAATTCAATCATACCATTGTTGCCAATTTATAATTTCTCATGTTGCCTTGAGCTCTTATAAATAAGTACCCATTTAACTTACCCAATTCTTCTATATATCCAATCATGGAGCGTAATAATTGATATCCTTGATTTCTGCATCCATACAGGAAAAAATTATATCTTATACCTGGTCGAAACTCATCTATAGGATGAACATATCAGCAAACTTTCATAAATATATTACTATGAATATCTATTTTAGAAACATCAAGTTCATAACATACTCTAAAATTTCCAAAGCTAATTTTAAAGATGTTTTCTTATTAAAAAATACATATATATTTTAAAGACTAGTAAATATTCAAAAGAAAATTGACTAAACAAAAATTAAATTTACTTCTATTTTAACAAAAAGTTTAGTAATATAAGATGGGATTGCATTGAAGAGAACAACGATGATTTAAGGCTTACATTTTGTTCCTTTTTCCAGGAAGAAATCATCATTGCTTGATTTTTTTTTTTTTTTCTTTGACGGAGTCTTGCTTTGTCGCCCAGGCTGGAGTGCAGGGTCATGATCTTAGCTCACTGCAACTTCCGCCTCCCGGGTTCAAGTGATTCTCCTGCCTCAGCCTCCCAAGTAGCTGGGATTACAGGTGCCCGCCACCGCACCTGGCTAATTTTTGTATTTTTAGTAGAGAAAGGGTTTCACCATCTTGGCCAGGTTGGTCTCAAACTCCTGACCTCGTGACCCACCCACCTTGGCCTCCCAAAGTGCTGGCAACTGCTTGATTTTAATGAACAAAATGTAAGTCTACATCAACTTCCTGGGTCAGTTCACTAAGCCATTCATTCGAGGTCCACATCATGCCTCTATAAATCCCTTCCTTACCTAGTGTTATTTCTGAGTTGGAAAAAGCAAACAAACCCACTGCTCTCTCCTCTTGTTCCAAGAAGCAGAATTAAAAGTTGCACTCTGCCTTGAAGCTTCAGTGTTAAAGGAATTAGGTCTTAGAGTTTATTCCTCTTTATAACATCACCATTAAGTGTCCTTGGGTGAGTTAACTCCACAAGATATAGAAATACTTTGAATTAACTCCACAGGACATAGAGGTACTTCCAATTGAAGTACCTTAACTTAAATTCAAAAGGCTGCTTTTAAATGTCTCCTGAATACAATGCAATGTGTACAATGTGAGCAACACAGACATGCACAAAACGTCAAGCATGGAGACACTTGCAGAGTGGTGGGGAAGACAGACGAACAAGGGTAACCATAACAGTGTGTTATATTAGAGGTATGTATCAGATGCCATGGAATCTTAAGTGAGGGGCCAAATGAGTCTAAAAAGATCAGAAACAGCTACAATAAGGGCCATCTGAATAAGGCCTTGAAGGGCAATTAGATGCTCATCAGTGGTGGTCGAGAAAGAAGATAATGCCGGGGGACACGCAGGGGGGATTGGCAGCATATGGCATTGCATTTAATTTGCAGAATGCAATTATTCTGGTGTGGTTAAAGCATTAGTTCTCCAATCAAGTGCCTATAAAACACCAGTGGCCTACAGGCTCCAATTTGAGACAGTAGTCAACTTCTAACATCATACAACCCAAGAAAAACTGAATCAACTTGTCTAAAATATTAACTTTTCTTCTTGTAATCACTTTCCTTAAACGTTTGTTATGTGCTGGCACGTCCTAAGTATGCAGTAATGCAACTCAAGCTCAGCCAACTGTGTTTAGTTTTGTAACATTTTTCTTTGGAGAAAGGTATGCTTGAGGTTATCATTTTATACTGCATGTACATCTGTAAATCTGTACCTCTTTTTATGTTAAAATTATTTATTAACAATATTTTATAGGGCTCTGACACTTTAAAAAAAGAGGCTGAGAAGGTTAGAGCATTAGGAATGTGCTAAGGTCAAAAAAGAGAGTGGACAGCTTAATGAGTAGAGAACAGGATGAGAGAGGAATAAAAGGTGTGCCTACTATGTGCCACTTGCTGTTCCAGAAGCTCAGCAGTAAATAAAAGACAATATTCCCAGCCTCTTGAAGCTCTGAATAACTCTGAATTTGAACCTGGGTTCTATCACATACTAATTTTGTGACCTTGGAAAAGGCACCTAACTTCTCTGAGTTTTTGTTTTCTCAAGCTTTGTGTCTTTGTTCAATTGAGTTGGCACAGAAAGTTCTCTTCCCACAATCATCGCGGGGCAGCTTCCCCATATCCTGCAGGTCTCAGCTAAAACTTAAATGGGTAGATACTCCATTTATATCCACTCCAGCCTATCCCAGTCCATCCTGATTATTCTAAAAGCTCAGGTGAGAAAGGACAGACTGGAATCGTGTAAGGCTCATTCAGCAACATGGGAGGGGATGGAAGGGAAGGTGCAGGAAAAGAAGGGTAGCATGTGGCTGGGTCCTTGATAAGTACAGTGCACTGTAAGGAAGGATAAAGGGAACAACTCAGGAAGATCATTACCACTTCAGCCAATTATACATGTGGAGGAGTTTGGCTGTATTCCAAGTAGAACTGGAAAATAATCTGAACTCATACATGATAATCCAATGAATGGGACCCATCCTCATCATCTGAGAGAGAAACAGTAAGCAAGTAGAAAGTGTTCCCTGAGAGAGAGGTAAGGAGCAGGCTGCTTGCTCTTCTGCACTTCCCTAACACGCGAGGGAGGCAGGAGACAGGAATGATCACGAAGCATCACTACTGACAAGCTACAGGGTCCAGAAATCCCATGGGGACAGGCAGGATACACTCCCATTGTGCCAGGAAAACAACGATGATATTGCAGAGAGGGCTCTAATTCCTAAGGACAAGGCTGGATTAGCCTGTAGGTTATTAAACACTCCTCTGTGGAAAAACTTCTCAGGCTGCATCCCATAGAGGGACACTCACCGGCAGCTCACAAGCTCCTGAGCATCAGGCTCATGGAACGCAAGGCCTCCCACCCACACTGCGCTCAGTCCAGCCGATGCCCCCTTGCCCTGCATCAGGGTTAAGTGGTAAGGGGTTCACGGTCTTTGTGCTCAGTCTCTCCCTAACCTTGGTAACCTGGACCCTGGGCAAACAAGGCAAAGGCCCTTGTGTGAGACCAGGCTACAGTTCCGTAGTTTTTTTTTTTCATGAACATTTATTTAATTTTCCACATAATTTTTAATGTTACTTAACATTCCATTTTATAGGTGTACCATCATTTACTCATTCCCTTATTTGCTATTTGGGTTTTTAATTTTTCACAATTATCAATAATACTGTCATGAACATTCTTAGATTAAATCTGTGTTGTTCTCTGATTATTTCTAAGAATAAATTTCTAGACCAGTAATTACCAGATCAAAGGGTTTGGATCCTTCCATGTGCTGCCACAACTACCCTCCCAGGAAAGTCAAACCTATTTATACCCATCCAGCAGTAAAGAGAATCACTTCACTGCACCCAGTCTTACGTGTTGCCTTTTAAAAATATTTTGTAGAACTTAATTGAGAGACACTAATTCATCTTACCAGATTCTATTACAGTTTCAGTGCTGTTTGAGGGAACTTTTCTCCAGTCCATAAGGCATGGTTCCGACCGAGACGAGTTACACCACTTAATGACGTAGTCGCAAGTCATGTTGGGGTCGTAATGCCAGGTGAGGAGAATCCCCTTTCCCATCCCAACAACTTGTTCTATTTTGAGATCATCTTCAATAAGAAAGGAGGATATTTTACTGGCATTAAAAACAATAATATAAGGCAAATCTCATAAAAATGGACATGAGTTAGAAAAATCACTTCATTGTGAAGAAATTATAAAATAGTGCTCAAACTAGATAAACCTAGAGCAAAGATTAGAAGTGTTGCTCTGTTATTTTCATTTTAACAACTGTAGCACTTACCTGTATACATAGATTAACACAGCAGCTCAAAGAAAGTCGTTTTTAAAAAGCGCCTAGGATCAGGTAGTGACATACTGGGACTAGGACATCAAGATCAAGGCACAGGAAGGACGCAGCTAAGGACACTGGCTGGGACAGGGTGGGAGAGGGAGACTGGGGAGGGGACAGTGGACAGTCTGAAGCCCTCCTCTCATCACTCACTATGAATGCGTGCAGAGAACAAGCGGGGCCCAGTACAATGTGCAGAGTAGGCACACAACAAACTTGTGGAAACAGCAGAAGAACTAGCCCCCTCTTTCTTTCAACGAAGACTGCAGCCCAAGAGCTGGGCTGAAGGGGTTGTCTGGCTGACCAGGGGTAGGGTGGGGGCAAGGGAGAAAGCTGTGGAGACACCCAGAGGCGATGAGGTGGGATGGCCAGTGTGGACACTGAGAAGGAGAAGTCTGCACAGCGTCCTAGGAGACACCAAGGGGCAAGGGGCAAGGGGCAAGGGGCAAAGGCTGAGGGCAGAAGACAGGCGCAGAGGCCCTGGCAAGGTTTTGTTTCCCTGTCTTGCCAGATCTTGGCCTAGGTAAGAAGTGGAACCCCAGGCTGGGGGTGAAGAATTGGGGTAGAAGATAGGGCAGTGTGGTCAAAAGGGAGAAGAAAATTTCCCACCGTAACAGGAGAAAAGAGGTAGATTTTATAACTGATTTGTATTTAAGGGTTCAGTAAAAACAAACATAGAAAGGTTTCTAAGAATAAATTTTTAGACGAGTAATTGTCGCAGGAGCCAGATGCTCAGGAGCCTGCAAACTGCAGGTGAGCGGCCCTTGACGGGATGCAGCCATGGGAGAGTACTTAATCACCCACAGGCTACAGAGAGCGTTCAGTAAAACCAACACAGACATTACCCACTGTAACAGGAGAAAGTAACTAATAGCTATAACTGATTTATATTTAAGGGTTCAGTAAAAATAAACACAGACAAGTTTTTTGAACAAAATGTACATTCATAAAGCAACTACTACTAAACGCAAGACAACAATTTGGCTGAGAATAGAGAACACTTCGGACATAACAGCTTTTTTTGCTCAACGTGATTAAAAAGCCACAGTGTAAACCTGAGTTGAGGCTGCAGAGCCTCCCTCCACTCGGGAAATCCTCAAGGAATGAGGATTTGTTCTGGGGTTTCAGAAAGTGTCTGGAAGCTGATGACAGAATTGCTAGTTCTGTAAATTACCATTTTCTAAGGGATACACAGAAAAGGTAGGATTATGTTTCCTGAATTAAAAGACAACATAGCTATTGCCTAGCATTGTGAGTGCAATGAAACATATAATCTAAATCAGTATGTTATCTTCTTATGGATGTTCACATCTCTGTCTCCTTCATTTTTTATTTTGTTATTTTTGCCAGGCCAAAATGAAGAAGCCATTATTAAGCCCCTCCTCCCAGCACCTGCCACAACCCCTGTGCATCTCCAGCAGCACTGCTGCCTGGGGTTTGTATCTCTGAAATGCACTTTGTTTTCCCCCTTCCTTCCTCCTAATTCTCCTATGACTGACTCAAAGAGAACAAAGATGCAGTCAAGTAACAATAAGAAACAGCCTCAAACTGGAGTTGGAAAGCTACTTAGAGGACCCTAACTGGACCAATTTTTCTTCCTCTAGGAGCTGTGGTTACAGAAAGGTGCTCCCATATCGGGGCAAGAGAGCAAAGGTGGGTAGGCAGAAAATGACTGGAGCACAGAGGTCTGTGGAAGAAGAGGTGGAAGTGGCCGTTTAAAGCTCATAACTCTCAAAGTTGTCAAGGCAGAAGCTGGGAAGAATGTATTAATCACTGGACATCTGTAAAATTTAAAGAAAGGCACTAAATTTTAAAAACTACACCACAGTTGTTTTTCTAAGGCCTATATTGAAGATCTAATTTATACCTTAAGAAGACTTTTTTTAATCAATAAAGAATTTCTATTAATAAGGAATTTCTTATCAAAAAAGGTGCTAATTAAAATAAGCGTTTTTTTTTTTTCCTGCCCAACAATTTGCAAAACAGCCTAGCTGACCTAAAATAAACTTTCCTAGTCTTGGGGAAGTGTCTTGGAGAAGCGTCTGAATATCATTTGAATAAACTCTTAAAATATTTCTTCCTAAAAGTACTATCCACCACTGTAACTCTCCAATATTATCCACTATAGTTACTGAGTACAGTAATGATTGTATCCATCAGTGCACATGCTTCAAGTCAATACTAATGACTTCTTTCTCAATGAACTGTAGACATCAATCTGCTCATTCTGCCTTCTAGGTCAGCAGCAACAAGGTATACGAGAAGAAGGCTGACATGACAAAAGAGCAAGTAACATCAGACATTTCTCACTTTAGTTTCCCGTTCTTATATACTAAATCATCTCAAGCACTCACCATTTGGAATTTCCATACTCGCTATTTTGGAAGGTGGTGATGAGCCCACAGAATTTTTAGCCACTACGCTGATGATGTAGTCATTCTTATCAAGTCGTATCTCTGCTTTGTGCTGAGGATCAGGGATTTCAGAAAGGGACTGTGTTTCCTCATCTGATGAACACGATACATTGTAGGAAAGTATTTTTCCATTAGCTTCATTAATGGGTAAAGGCTATGAAAAACAGACAAATTGTTATAAAACCCTGCAAAACGTGACTGTGACTAGGCAAGGTAATTGGGTTTAAACTGGACACTATATTAACAATAACAAGGTTGGCCAGGCGTGGTGACTCACGCTTATAATTCCAGCACTTAGGCCGAGGCAGGTGGATCACTTGAAGTCAGGAGTTCGAGACCAGCCTGGCCAACATGGTGAAACCCAGTCTCTCCCAAAAATACTAAAATTAACCAGGTGTGGTGGTGAGCGCCTGTAATCCCAGCTACTTGGGAGGCTGAGGCAGGACAATCACTTGAAGCCAGGAGGTGAAGGTTGCAGTGAGCCAAGATCATGCCACTGTACTCCAGTCTGAGCAACAGAGCGAGACTCCATCTCAAAAACAAAAAACAACCAGTTACAAGGTAGTATCAGAAAAGATGAAGCTGGCCAAGTGCGCCTATAATCCCAGCACTTTGGGAGGCCGAGGCAGGCGGATCATGAGGTCAGCAGTTCGAGACCAGCCTGCCAAACATGACAAACATGAAACCCTGTCTCTACTAAAAATACAAAAATTAGCCAGGCATGGTGGCACCTCAGGAGGCTGAGGCGGGAGAATCACTTGAACCTGGCAGGTGGAGGTCACAGTGAGCTGAGTTTGTGCCACTGCACTCCAGACTGGTTCAAAGAGCGAGACTCTGTCTCAACAACAACAACAGCAAAAATGAATCTCTCAACAGTGTAAAACACAGATTTAAAATCCACTGGGAGCAGGGTAAATCAGGAAAGAGACACTGAAGAAAAACTATACTTGCTATAAGCAGTAAGAGTACACAAAAATTTAAAAATTAAGTGAATAAAAAACAATATTTATCTCCACATTTTTCAGGAGCAAAACTTTTAAAACTATCCAGAAGCACTGCTCTACTTAGCAACAAACAAAACATTTTAAAAAATAGCATCATGGGTTTTTTTCTAAACATTTGTTTTCTCATTTTAAAGTATTACATGCCCACTACAGAAAATTTGGAAAATATATAGAAGTTGAAACAAGTAAAAATCTCCCATATTCCCACCTCTTAAGTATTCTTTCATTTTGATATTTCTTTCAAGTTGTTTTTCTAGGTATAGATTTTTTTACTAACATTGTTTTAATCATATTACACCATTTTACTTTTTACTTTTCCATAATATATGCTAATATACGCTTGTCCATAATACAGTTATATACATTTTCATGGTTTTATGTCTTATGTAGCATTTTTACCAGTGTACTTGAATATCCCTTAAATAAATGAAATTTAAGTTGTTTCTAATTTTTCACAATACTAAAACAAATATTTTGGTGAACTTTTTTGTGCCACTTTTTTTCTTTTTCATAGAAATTTTTAATATGAATTTCTAAAAGTGAACTTACTGTATAAAAACAAATGAACATTCAAACCTCTTCATTTATACTGAACTGCTTTTCATAACAACTGCCTTAATTTATACACCAATGTATGGGGCTCTCTGGTCAAGACTGAGGATGATCTAACACTGCGAAACACTCTGCTCCAGCAGAGGTCTCTGTGATGCTCCAAATGGCCTGCTCTAAGGGGCAGGCTTTAGTCCTAAGACTTATGGGCTTCTTGGGATACTCCAGACCACACACTGTTTGAAATGTCCTCCTCCCCCAGCTTCTCTAATTCTATTTTCTTCGTTGTTCCTGCCCCTCTAAACCTTCCCCATCTCCTCTGCTGGTTCCTCCTCCTCTGCTGGTTCTATGCATGCTGCTGTCACCTGGGCTCCATCCCTGGCCCACTTTTCACCTTGCATCTCCAAGTGATCCCATTTATATGCTACTCAAAGCTGTTTTCAGTGCCAACCTCTCCCCTGAGCTCCAGAGCCTTACATATATCAAACCGCCTACTGAACTCTACTCATGATATCCCAGTGGCATACCTTTTGAAAACTCACTATGACCAAAACTACATAATTTCTACCCGAACACACTCTGACTTGGCAAATGGCGGCACCATCAGCATAGATAATGAAGCTAGAATCTAAATCATTTCAATGTTTTTAGTCTTAAGTTTTCGTCTAGTTTGAACAATATTTCAAACTTTCGTATATTGAAGTAAATTGTATAATCGTTGCTATATTATCATGAAATCTGACAGGCAACTGAGAGTAGCTGGGGGATTTTCTAATCAAGAGTGGATGTAACAGTCAAATACAATCTCAAAGCAATGGAACTCACATTGAACCTGCATGTACACTTCACTTTACTCAAAGCTGTATCGACGTCAAAAGTTTTTTTAAATAAAATTATGTTTTACTTTCCATAACAAAATTCACTATTTAAAGGAATCCTATTATGACTGCTTGTGTAAAATCTAATATAGAAAACAATTGTTCATGTTTTTGATATTCATAAAATACTTAAAAATATGGCAACAAAAAATGTTCCAGCAGAGAAAAATTAGTAAAATATGCAATTCATATTTCATCTAAATACTTTACAAAATCATACAAAACTTTATAACTGGCATGTTATAATGCAATTTATTGAAGGGAAATAAATTACACATGAAGTATATAAAAATTTACTTTCCTATTAATAGAAAAAAATATAACAAACACTTAGGATTCTAACCTACAGATTTTGACTGAAGTGAGGGAGATGGAATTCATGAAATCTTCAGGTCCTTTACAGGCCTTATAAGATCAAACTCGAGAAGGCTCAGATCTGACACAGGAGATCCTCAAATGACTGTGGGGAGTTAGGAGTGACGAGGAATTTGGGGGGTTTAGGAACCAGGTTAGATTCTCACCAATATTGCAACAAAAGCCAGTCTGGGAAGTTTCAGCTCCTTGATAACCCAAGTACCATGCGTAAGTTAAGCAGTTTAGCAAAGTAATGTAAATGTTCACAGAAAAATTAGATATTTACCTTCCAATAGATTATTAAATTTTTTCCATCAGAACTCCACTCTCTCCAAGTATCAGGCCCCTTTGAAGGACCTAAAAAGGAGATTTTAAAGTTAATATCTGAAGACACATACTATATGTATATGGTGCTTGGCATTTTTTTTCTAGGATGTTTGGAATTCTCAATAAAACGTGAAGCAGTTCAGTGGCTTCCACTTAGAAAATGAAGCAATGGAAAATCTAAGCTCTCAACAACTTTTGCAAAACACACGGCCCCCTCGAATGGGTGAAAATCTACCTGCAGGCCAGCTGTACTGATTCCCTGGGTTCCCCTCTGCCTCACATCCTCTCACTCCCTCCTTTCTTGGCCACACACTGGCTTCCTGGCTGTCCCTCAGATATGCCAAAGACACAACTGCCTCAGGCTCTCTGCATCTTCTGTGCCCTCTCTTCCTCTGCCTACAACTCTCTTCTCCTAGATAAAAACAATATGGCATGCTTCCTGATCTTTGTATCTCAGCTTGAGTATTACCTTATTAGTGAGGTCTTTTCTAACTACCCTATTTAAAACTGCCATTCCCTTCACCCCCTCCTTATCCCTCAGCCTCTATTCCTATCACTTCCTCTCCTCTGTGGCATTTGTCACCAGCTGATAAACTGATGTGTCTGTGTCTTTGTGTTTGTGTGTGTACATACATACATATAGATGTGTATATATATAAATTTATTTCTAGTCCTGGATCCTACAAACTCCATAGGCCGAGATCTCTGTTTTATCTGCTGCTATATCACTGCTAACTAGAACAATTCCAGACACATACAGGTTGAGTATCCCTCATCCGAAATGCTTGGGAGCAAAAGTGTTTCAGATTTTGGATTTTTTCTAATTGTAGAATATCTGCATATACATAATGAAATATCTTGGAGGATGGGATCCAAGAACACATAAAATTCATTTATGTTTCACATACACCTTATACACACAGCCTGAAGGTAATTTCATACAATATTTTAAATAATTCTGTGCATGAAACAAATTTGTGTTAAGTACTTAAGTGTGGAATTTTCCATTTGTGGCATCCTGGTGGTGCTCAAAAAGTTTTGGATCTTGGAGCATTTCAGGTTTTCAGATTACGTATGTTCAATCTGTAATGCATACTCAGTAAATATTTGTTGAGTAAATTGATGCCTTCATCTTAATGAGGTGCAAATAAGATGTTTCCTCTTGGAGACAACAGCTCATTAACTGAAGGCAAAAACTACAGTGGCTAGTCTCCAAAATGACCAATAATCCCCATGTGCGTGGTGCCCTCCCACATTGCATCAGGGTTGGCCTGTGTGACCAACAGTGTGCAGTAGACATAATGGTATGTTACTTCCGATTTTAGAGCATAAAAGATACTGTTCAGTCACCGGCTCTGGGAGGAACTGGCTGCCATGTCATGAGCACACTTAAGCAGGCCTAGAGAGAGGCCCACAAGGTGAGGAACTGAGGCCTCCTGCCTTTAGCCACATGAGTGAACCATCTTGAAAGTGGATCCTCTAGCCCCAGTGAAGCCTGCAGTCCCCACCCACATTCCTGACTGCAGCCTCATGAAAGACTCCAAGTCAGAGAGATCCAGCTAAGCTGCTCCTGGATTTTTAACCCATAGAAATGGGAAGATCATAAACATCTGCTGTGTTAAGCCACTGAATTTTAGGGTAATTTGTTGCACAGCAATAGATAACTCATATCCTCCCTCTCTGTACTCATGCATAGCTTTCACTTTTGATGATACAAGTAATTCTTACACATGTCGCAAAATGCCCTCATCTCTATTCTTCACATGTCTTCATGTGGAGAGGCAAAAATCTAGATTAACATCTATCATTTATTTGCTTTGCTATTTCTTAAATTTTTGGAGGAAGTATTATACTGCATAATATAAATAAAGCTTTTGCTATCTTTTGTTAAATGATTCCTAAAAATTAAACCTATTTCGGCCGGGCACAGTGGCTCACGCCTGTAATCCCAGTACTTTGGGAGGCCAAGGCAGGCACATCACAAGGTCAGGAGTTCGAGACCAGCCTGACCAACACGGTGAAACCCCATCTCTACTAAAAATACAAAAATTAGCCGGGCGTGGTGGTGGGGCCCCTACTTGGGAGGCTGAGGCAGGAGAATCACTTGAACCCGGGAGGCGGACATTGCAGTGAGCCGAGATCGCGCCATTGCACTCCAGCCTAGGTGACAAAGTGAGACTCTGTCTCAAAAAAATAAAAAATTAAACCTATTTCTGAGTTTTTTTTTTTTTACACCTGACATCTGGTTATTCGAAGATAGAATATCATTCTGTCTTTGGAAATTATCATATTTAGAAAACCAGTTACCTGATTTTATACCTAACTTGACCTGGGTATACTACAGAAACTGAAGTTCAAGACCTTTTAGCCACATTTCTCAGGTCTAGGTCACAAATAAAAACTAACAAATTCTCTTTTTTAGTAATTGTTTTTTTTTTTTAAAAAAAAGGCCAATGAGTTAAAAGCATAATTAAAATTCCAAGCAGAAAAGAATGGGAGAAAAATCATTCTATGCATTATCGTAATATGGTGGCAATCATAGTATAGATAGAGGAGCCCTGGCTTTCTCATAATTTATGCCAATCATTTTTCTATACTATGACAAAACTTCAAAACTATCATTTAAAATATCTGTGATATTTTATTAGCAGGTATTACATAATTTATCTAAACATTCCCCCACCTTTAAGGACTCTAATAGCATTTTTTTTTTCTTATTTAGAGACGGAGTTTCACTCTTGTTGCCCAGGCTGGAGTGCAATGGCGCAATCTTGGCTCACTGCAACCTCCGCCTCCCAGATTCAAACGATTCACTCCTGCCTCAGCCTCCCAAATAGCTGGGGTTACAGGCATGCACCACCATGCCCAGCTAATTTTGTATTTTTAGTAGAGATGGGGTTTCTCCATATTGGTCAGGCTGGTCTCAAACTCCCAACCTCAGGTAATCTGCCCACCTCGGCCTCCCAAAGTGCTGGGATTACAGGTGTGACCCACTGCACCCGGCCAACATCTTCTTTTTAAAGAAGTTGTAAAACTTCAGAATACACAGTAATTATTAGCCATACATCACTTAGTTAACTTACTGGCTTCTGTTGTTAAATGTTGTTTTTTATTGCTCCATTTGCTCCATTTCCAGAAAGTTTCAGTAGAACAACGAATCCGAAAAGTATATAGAGTGTATGGATTTAACTTGTCCAGAGCAACAAGATAACTTGAATTTTCTACTCCTTTGATTGTGACATTCCGCTATTGGAAAACAAATAAATATATATATATGTATATATTATGTGTATGAATACATATATATATACATACACATACATACACTTTTTTTTGGTAAGAAAGCCTTCACATTTGTAACACAAACCAACGGAATGTCAATGAGTTTGTATATGTAACACCCAAAGCAGTTTATCCACTGTAATATTTTAATTCTTATATACCTGCCAAGCCAATGAAATTATGCCCTGTAATAGTAATAAAAAATTGGGTTATCTTTTTAATCCAAATACTGGCTCTAAGTAATAATGGTCAATTAAATTATCTAAAGGATTATATAATTTTGATAATCAAAGGGCTAATGGTGATGCAATAAACCTTAATGTGATTTATAATTTGAGATGACTGTGAGGAATAAATGTATTATTTGGATGATATTTGGAAGTTTCTTGGAGGCAGGCATTACCTTTTGTGCATCTTTGTTAATATGACACTTAGAACTTCTAGTATGATGCTAAACATGTAGCAAATATTCAACAAATACTTCCTTAAACTAAGTAAATATAGTTAAAATGAAACATTTCTAAACAAATTTGAATATCTGCCTGTTTCACAAAAGCCTCTGAGCTCCCCAAAACATTACAAAGAAGGTTTTCAGGTTATATTTTACAGTTGTGACTGATTTTCTAGACATCAGTAAATTTCCAAATGAATAGTTAAGTACACCTCATTTATTTCAGACTTACCACAAATTACAAGATAGTATAATATAAAAGTCAACCTAAATATTTAAAATGTATTAAAAAGTCATGTTGTGACTTTTAAGTACCAATTACAGCTTGTTCCCACTGCCACACTTCACAGTTTTAAAAAATCACTTCTGCTGTCTAGTGCCAATTCATCCATTAATGATGCTAAAAGTTACAGCAAAAACTACTCATTCATTCACAAATTTACGGAGCACCAGCTATGTGCCAGGTACTATAGTGCATCTGGGAACATTCTGAGGAGTAAAAGTCATATTTACAATTGTTTTTCAAATGATACAATGCTGTTATTACATGGATAGTAATGTCTTTCTTGGTTCTTAGTAAATCTCTATAATAAATAATCTGAGAGCTTAAGCATATCAATTTGCTTAATTCTTTTTGAGAACTATTTTATCCAAAATAATCACAAAGGAAGTCTTTAAGAGAATCTTACCTGCTCTTGTACTGAATTAGATTTCTTAATTTCAATTTCACATAAAAAATTAATCTTTGCAAAGTTGCCTGGTAAATGCCAAGAAAGTTTAACAGCTGTTGAATTAATATCCTTCACTTTGAATGAAGTAGGAGTATGGGGATAAACTGCAAATATAATTTTTAAAGATTAAACACTTATTTAAAGGGAAAAACTATCTTCTAATATGACAAATGAGAAGAAAACATAAAAAACAACGAGGCATCATTAGTGCTGACCAACAACATCCTACCCAGTATTTGTGGAATTGACAAACCTAATTTCTACTACTGACATCTTGCCAACATTTTTAAACAATCGATCATGCTCAAAGCTCTTAAATTAGTGTCAGGAATACTCAAAGGTAGTTAAGATCACAGTATCTACCTTTAAGGAACTTCTAATTTACTTAGGGAATGACCAAAAAAAAAAAAGAAAAGAAAAAAGAAAGAAAGGTAATTAATAAGAATATAAATGCCAAGTTCTAAATGAATGATACAGATATTAACCACTATGTAAATGTAAGCATGGTAAGGTAAGTCTTACAGTGAAGATGGAACTTAAGATGAGCTATGCAGGAAGAATCAGACAAAAATTAGCCAAAAAAAATGCAGAAAAGCATTTTAGGCAGAGATGCCAATAATGAAGGTACAGCGAGGCAAACTGCATATTACACTGGTGATAGTGTGTATGCCCAGTTGAGTGGCGGGAAAGAATCACATGGGAAATAAGGCTGAAATGGCAGAGGGCAGACAAATACATACAAATACTACCATGCAAGGATAAAATGTAGCCATGGTGACACTAGGAAAAATCCAGAAATCGCAAAGACGACAGGAAAGAACAACTGATAAAAGTGACTTATGCTTACAAATAAGGCAACAGGATCATCTACTAATCAGCTGTGAGACTGTATGAGACATGCCTTCGGTTTAGGCCCTTTCTCCCCTGCCTGAGTCTCTAAGAGAAGGTCTAGGCCGTTGCTCAGTGTGCTGTGAGCCTGACATGGAGTGTTAATGCACATGGACCATGGGAATGAATACCAAAAAGACCAAGCACATTTTATTTTTATTTGGAGCTATATATTAATACGATTGGTAAAAATGCAATCAGTAATAAAAGGGACGAACTATTAATACATACAACAACATGGATGGCTCTCCAGGACATCCTTAAAAAAAAAAATGCCAAACTGCATACTGTATGATTTTACTTATGTAACAATCTCAAACTGATAAAACAGAGATGAAGAATAGATTCGTTGTTGTCAAGGCACAGGGATGTGACTGTATGTACAGGGGATGCTGGAAGGGCAACATGAGCAAGTTCCTTTGTAGTGACAGGGCAGTTCTGTATCTTGCATGTGGTGGTGGTTACCTGAATCTATACCTATAAATTGCATAGAACTACACACACACACACACACACACACACACACACACACACACACACGAGTACAAATGAATGCACATAAAAACTGAGCAAGGTCAGTAGTCTAGTTAACAGTGTTTTAAGAGTGTCAATTCCCTGGTTCTGATATTGTACTAGAATTATATAAGATGACACCACTGGGAATAGCCAGGGGATGGGTTCACAAGGCTCTTATTATTGTAACTACCAGTGAGTCAACAATTACTTCAAAATAAAAGTTTTTAAAAATTGGGCAGAAGATATTTCAGAAATCAAAAATTATCAGAAAGAGTAAATTACTAATTCAAGTATTTAAATTCAATAAAATAGTAAAACTTGAAATTATACATTTAAAGTTTTTATAAATAAAATTTATGAAATTAATATTAAGTAACTATAAAGAAAATAATCAGCAAAAAGTAATCCCTATAAGCATTTTTCATTAAAGCATTTCACCACTTTTAAAGTTATTTTTAAGACATTAGTTTATGTACAGCTTACCTTTTTCAGTTATATTAACTAAAATTGTTGATTGTGATCGACCCAGCGGATTGTGAGCATTCAAAGTAAAATTATATATTTCTTGATTTGGAAGCATTTGAAATAATAATTGATAGCTTTCGTTTGTAGGTGCTTCAGCTCTTTTAAGTCTAACATATTTTCCTGAAAAACTGTTAATTAACAGAAAAATAATTTCAAAATGGCAAGAGATAAATATTGCAGGAAAAAACGGGCAAATTCGTAATACTTAATTTGTATAAAAAGTTTAAATTTCTAATTAGAAGCATATTACATACTCAGAGAAGAAAATGTATGTGATACAGAAAATAGAAGAAATTAATCAGCCATAAGTTTACTACCGAGAAACAGTCTCTGTTCATGTTCAAGTGTTCTTCATTCTAAGCTTCTTAAAAGAGGAGACATAAAATTGAGTGTACATGTGGCTGAACTGCAGTGCTTATAAGTGTAATTTTATACAGCATATTTGGTTTTATATCTTGTTTGTAACATAAATGATCTAGTGCAGTTCCCTATGTCATTTAACATGCACTTCCAACGTACTCCTTGCCATCTGACATCTTTTCCCAGTTATCATTACCTTTCAACTAAAGTGTAGCTTGTAGCACGTGGGCCCACCAACGCTGTCACCCTTCCTGGATTCCAACTACATATAATTTCTTTTAAATCATGTGTCTCACAATTCAGTTGTTGAGGAGTATCTGGTGGATCTAACAGAAAAAAAATGCAGGTACTTATGATTACATATATTTTCCCTGAAAACATAATATTTTATAAACGTCAATGTTTTCCACAATTTCCTAAAAAATGAAATAATTTACTATTTACATTTTACTTTTGAATAATGCAGGAATTATTCTCTCTGTAGCATGTCTTGTCAGAGTTCATATTACATTAGAATTGACAGATTAAAATATACTGAAAAATGACTCTTAGCTCATCTGGAAACTCCCTGTAGCAACTTGAAATATCAGTTGTCACTTTTTTTCCCTTAATCCTATTTCAGAGGCTACCAAATCTCTCAAAGAAACCTGAGTCTAATATGTTGTCAGAGAAATCTACAGGTTAAAAGTATTATCATCTATCATCAATATACTGTGATTCGAAAAGAAATACCAAATCATATTGAAAATCAGTAAGTCATGTTACATGTTTCAGAGTTCTAAAATACATTATAAGTACTGTTGTTTAGAAAACTCTTGGTAAAATTCTGCATCTCAGTATATACAAACTGACTGCGGCTCTTTTGTTGTTTTTCTCTTTATCAAAACTGCTCTCCCCAGCTTTAAGGCAGGACTAGAAAAATTAAAAGAAATTTTTTTTTTTTTTTTAAGACGAGACCTTCAAAGTGATAAATGAGCCCAGGTGCAGTGGCTCACATCTGTAATCCCAGCACTCTGGGAGGCCAAGGTGGGCAAATCACCTGAAGTCAGGAGTTTGAGACCAGCCTGGCCAACATGGTGAAACCCCGTCTCCACTAAAAATACAAAAATTAGCCGGGTGTGGTGGAGGGTGCCTGAAGTCTCAGCTATTCGGGAGGCTGAGGCAGGAGAACCGCTTGAACCTGGGAGGTGGAGGCTGCACTGAACCCAGATTGTGCCACTGGAATCTGGTCTGGGCGACAGAGCGATACTCCGTCTCAAAAAAAAAAAAAAAAAAAGTGATAAATTAAAAGTCTGCAGTCTGACACTGCTTATTGTAGAAATTCATATTTCTGTAATCATGTTTAACCATACACATATAGAAACTGGTATTTCCTCTCTCATATTTATCCAAACTATCTTTCACTTTAGGTAAAAGTTCTTTTTTAAAAAAACTACTTGTTTAAAAATTCTGTAAAATTTTTTTTTCACAAATCTGAATTAAAAAAAAAATACTCCTTAGTTTATCAACCAAAACTTGGAAAATTTCATACCTTCCCCAGAGATAAGGATAACATCCTTCAATGATATTTCAGGTAACATTAAGAGGATTAATGAGTGTTTATATGAGAGTTTAACAATTAGATAAGTAAACAAACATTGACATATTTATTCTGAAAATTGTTTTAAATCTAAGGCCAAATATTCAGTCACTCTATTAAAACCACATACCAAAAATATGGAATATATTTAAAATGCTGGTTATTTTAGGATTTGGTAGATATTAAGTTGAAATATTAAAATCTAAATAACAAGAGCAAATAAGAGATAAATAGAAGGACAGACAGAAGGGGAAAAATTTGAGAGGACAGTATTTGAAATGTACTAATTTTCTTTTCAAAGAAATTAACTTATAAAATAATCAACTGAAGCTACTAGGTTAAAAGCTAGGTATACATCAACTACATTTTTATATACCAGTCAATAGAAAATGCAATTTAAAAAACAAAGTCATTTTTAATAATATCAGAAAACACCTAGCACTAGGAAAAAATTTACCAAAAGACATAAAGACCTCATATTAAGATGAATTAAAGAAGACTCAAGTAAATGTAGGGATATACCATGTTCATAGTTTGGGAGATACAAATATTGTAAGAATGAAAATTCTCCTAAATTGATCCACGGATTTAATGTAATCCCAATCAAAACGCCAGCAGGTTTTGATTGGGTAGGTGTGTGTGCACGCAGACGTGTGTGTAGGGAAAAACTAACAAGCCGATTATAAATTTCTTTTTCTTTTTTTTTTTTGAGACGGAGTCTCGCTCTGTCACCCAGGCTGGAGTGCAGTGGTGCGATCTCAGCTCACTGCAAGCTCCGCCTCCTGGGTTCATGCCACTCTCCTGCCTCAGCTTCCCGAGTAGCTGAGACCACAGGCGCCTGCCACCATGCCCAGCTAATTTTTTTGTATTTTCTTTTTTTAATAGAGACAGGGTTTCACCGTGTTAGCCAGGATGGTCTCGATCTCCTGACCTCGTGATCCGCCCGCCTCAGCCTCCCAAAGCGCTGGGATTACAGGCGTAAGCCACCACACCCGGCCTAAATTTCTTTTCAGTCTTTTCCGTAAATGGTGGCTTAACAGGATATCCATAAAGAAAGGAAATAAATGAATCCTGATACCTAACTCACGAAATAACCTGCTCTTATAAATTTCCTAAAAGTTCTCTCTGAAGGGAGATGTTACTGCTGCTCAACAAATATTGTACAATATTTCAACCTCCAAACGTTATAAATGAAGGTTAAACTATAAATTAGCTTGTTCTATTACTATGATAAAAGATTACAACACTGTCTGAAATAACACAAATGGAAACAGTGCACAGTCTCATTTTTTAAGTTTTAATTTCTTCTTTCATACTTTTAAGTAATAGCTCACTTTTGGTACTGCTCACGAAGCAACTTCACTACATATACCACTGGGTCTCAACTTAGACTCCAGGACTATTTGTGAGAAATGTTGCAAGTAATTTCCTAACATTCCATTAAGAAGGATAATATGATTTCCAGGATTTAAATTTGAACATAACCTCACTTTCACTTGAATTCCAAATGCATTACTGAGCAGACAAAAAGAGAGTCAGATTACAGCCATCAAGCTGAGACGAGCACCTAAACCCGGCTATTCCTTTGGGAATACATCAGTATCTGAATGAAATTCATCACGAAGTACTGTATGAGTAAACGAGAGAGCTGCTGATCTAGACCACAGCTGAGAATCATAAAAAGAAAGAAAGAAAAAGCACTAAGGAATCAAAAGAAATATCATAAAATCTAGTCAATCTATCTTATACACATTATTCAGGCGACCTTTAGACCAAAATCCCAGACTTCTAATTCAGCATAAAGGGAGGAAGGGACTCACTGATAAAGATGAAGCTGTCAGTGACACCAAAACATTACAGTTGCTACAAGGAAGGGAGGCAGAAAAACTAAAATTGAGACCTAAAAATTCTACATATTTATCTGTGGACATTCAACACAAGCCACATGGGCAGGGCAGCCCACAACAAACTACTTTTGGAAATACCATGGAATTTTAGACTGTGGGGTGATCATGTTAATAGACACCTTGAATGACAGAGCATACAACATATATAGAACGCAGTGGGAGAGTATGTTTCCCCTCACCCATGTCCTCCTGCCAGCCTGTTCTCCTCAAATATAATAGTTAAAAGATGGAGAAGATATGTTATGCTACTGAAAGATTTTGTGTAAAATTGCTATAATTTCTTTAATTTAGATACTTTAAAAAAGGTATACTTTAACTGGAAAATGAATTCACATAATTTCTAAACAATGCAGGGTTAAGAAATATTATATCCTATCCTTAACAAAGCTGTTAACTAAGAATTTAAACTAAACATTAGAAGCTAGATGTTTCAAATCTGATTACAAAACCAACAAATTACACAGATACAGGTTATGTGGAAAACAAGCTTGCAATTCATTTTAAAACAAGCAAATATTCTAGTGCCTTTGTATAGCCTTTATATTAAAGAACAAAGAAATGAGAAAGAAACAGAATCACTCCTCCCACCCCCCCACTCCAGAAGAATTAAGGCTTTCAAGGAAGACCAAAACAGGTTAATAGGAATTCTCTCTTTAAAATCATATACTTACATCCAGCAAAAATAACGGTTCCAAATATGTTATCTTCGGTTGTAAAAACTACATTTGTTCCACTACTTGCAGAAACAGAAATATTACGAATCTTGATTGCAACATTTTCCCCATCAAGATGGATCAAGGGGCAGTTTGTATGGCCAATCAGTGCTGATAACACTTTTTCTTGACTCACACAACAAAATGTTATGTCTGAGCCTACAAGTATCACTTTATCTTGAGGAAAAACCTTAGTCTGAGAATCAGGTATCCCTAGAAAGAAAAAGAGGAATTATAAACATTTTATATAGAAGTATTTTACATAAACTTTTCTGCATTTTAAGACTTTCTTTTCATAAGATGACTTTTAAAATAGCCCAGTATATACACTACAAACTGTTAGGTGCTTTGTAATGATAATGGTCCAAAGATAAGGTGTGTTCCACAGGTTTTGTAGGAGCAAGATATATACGATAAATTTTTTAAAAGTGTATGTGGTTTTATTTACTTATGAAGGGATAATGGTGAGGAAGCAGAAGCAGATTACAGGTCAGTGTCTAAAGTTAATGCCACAGGTTTATGTCTAAGAAGTCTAAGGGTTGAAATTCAGTGGGTTTATATATACATGTGAACAATCCACACCCCCCAAAAATCACTAATTAAATAATTCCATTCCTTTTATTCAATGTATTTAGGGCATATGTCTTACTTTCCATCAGCCTAAATATATGCCCAAGTACTCCACACCCTAAAAAACAACTTACTTTAATCTAGTCCCCTTCCTTCCTCTAATCCTTTTATCCATAGAGTGATCTATCTCTACAATGACTACCAGCCTTTCAGGATTTCATTTTATGGTCAACAATTTTCCAGGCCCCCTATTCGAAACTGCCAACATTCTCCCTGTATATGAGTTTTACTTAATGTACGGATGCTTTTTGGTATGCTTGCAGATCCCCGTGTTCCTGGCAATAACTATGCAGCCTCTAGGGGTCTGCTCTGTGAGCCAGAAATTGGGAACTGTTTTGTTTTTTTTTTTTAAACATAGATTTCATCTCAGTATCATCTACACACAATTTTTAATGCTCTTCAATTCCTATGACAGTGATTTTCAAACCTGGATGTTTATCCAACCACTCAGAAAGTTCTTTCAAAATACAGATTCCTGAAGCCTATCTCAGACTTTTTGATCAAAATCTCCAGGGATGGTGGGCTTAGACGCTCCCAGGTAATCCTCATGCAGCTGAATGAGGTTATGAGAAGTGAAAGCTCAAACTAAATCTTACTCTTAAGTGAGACTAATTTAATTCATCTGAAACAAACATTCTTTAAATATAAGCTTACAAGAAATGTTCTTCACAGGGCTCCAGTCACTCCACTCTTCGAGACCAGAAAAATGAAGATTGTCAATGTAGCATCTAATTTCCACAAAATGAATGGCACATTCCAAGGGCATATCTGAGGCCCAACTCCAGTGATGAAGTGTATCTTTGCCATTCAGAGTTGTGTTGTGGGTCACCTAAAAATGAACACAAACACAAAACTGTATTTCCAAGTAGCAATATGTTTTGCTTTCCTTTAGAATTAAAAGACACAATAGATTCCATACAATCATCAGCTAAGTTTATGTTTTGTCCTTTAATACAACTCAGTTTTGTGTAAGGTATAATAGCAGAGTAACAATAATCATGATTCATTTGTTTACTTCTTCAACTTTAGGCCCTAATGTATTATATAAGATGTTGCTATTCATTGAAACATTCAATTTGGTATGCAAGAAAATGCAGGTTGAGTATCCCTTGGGACCACAAGTGTGTTGGATTTTGCACCTTTTCAGATTGCATTATATACTTCTCAGATGAGCATCTCTAATCTAAAAATCTAAAATCTGCCTGGACAGTGGCTCACACCTGTAATTTACCCAGCACTTTGGGAGGCTGAGACAGGCAGATCCCTTGAGCCCAGGAGTACAAGACCAGCCTGGACAATACGGCGAAACCCCATCTCTACAAAAAAATAAAAAAATAAAAAATAAAAAAATAAAATTAGCCAGGCATGCTGGCTTGTGCCTGTAGTCCCAGCAACTCAGGAGGCTGAGGTGGGAGGGTCTATTGAGCCTGGAAAGTCAAGGCTGCAGTGAGCTGAGATCATGCAACTGCACTCCAGCCTGGGTGGCAGAATGATATCCTGTCTAAAAACAACAAAAAATAAATAAATAAAATAACAAAAATCCCAAGTCTGAAATGCTCCAGTGAGCATTTCCTTTGAGCATCATGGTGGTGCTCAAAAAGTTTTGAATTTTAAAACATTTTGAGTTTTGGATTTTCAGATTAGGGATGCTCAACCTGTATACCACTGCCTAATGATCTAAATTTTTCATAGAGTAGAAGTAATTAATGGGGTTGCACTTTCAAAAGCTTAAGTCAAGGAGAGGGGCAGCATTTCAATAAAATAGTTTTAGACTAGATTTGTTTTTTATATAAGTATTCTATATAGTTGCTTTTATTTTTAAATAGAAGATTAAATATGTAAGTTATACTAATACAAATTATTATTAATTGTGAGAAATGAGCAAGATTTCAATAAAATATTGAGGTGCTATAAAAGATAACTTGGGACTTCTAGGCAAACACAATAGATTAAACAACTATTTCCTTCTCCCTTACCTCCTGAAATCACTCCAAAGAGTAAACAGATTTTTTTTAAAGGTGTGAATGGACAAAGACAAAATATAGAAATAAAGCAACATCACTAAAATCTGGAAGCTGGAAAGCAGATGGATAATGGTAACTGATGTAGAAGACCTGAGAAAACAAAATCTTAAGCATCCAATGGGAAATACAGGAAAACAGCTTGTTTCTATCACAGAAATGCCAAAGGGCTCAGTGAGTGGCTATCCCAGGCTCCCCTGGAAATAAAGAGCTCAAAACAGCAGGACTGCTTGAAAGTTGTTTGAAGATATGTTGGCTACCCAGATCCCTTCCCACACTCCACACTACCGAAGGACTACCTTTGTTTACCTTGGCAGAAGAATAAAGATTTATGTTCTGGAAAAGTAAAACAGAATATCTTTGGATTGAAGAATTTTAGGAAGAGATGAGAATGGGGACTATCATTCCAAAAACAGGGGGATTGCTAACCTATGCCTTCTTCCTCTGCTCAGCTCCCAGGATACTGGTTTGCCAGACTAATCCTCACCAGGTAATAGTCTAAATGAACTTTTCTGAGTCACATAAACATGTCAAAATGAAATACCTAAAATAATATTTGGCGTTTGCCACCTGCATAGCCCATCCTCATCACTCTAGAGGGAAGGCCCCCATCAACAAGTCCTATCCAGAGAAACCAAAGTTCCAATTAGATTAAAAAAAAATTTTTAACAGCCCCTCGCTTAACTGTGAGCAGCAACCAGGATGACCAGAAAGTGTACAAGAAATTCTAATACGAAAGTCAATAATTGAAAAGAAAAGAAAAAGAAAAAATGTGAGGAAACAGGGCATGTAGAAAAAAACTTTAAATCATTACTATCCTCAGAGATAAGACATTGCATCATGAAACAAAAACTGGATACATTAAAAAAATAACATAAATCCTTTCAAAGAAAGGATCTTCTATAAATTAATAAACATATGAATAGAAATTCAATAGCAGGATGCAAAATCCAGTTTAGAAAAAATTTCTGAGAAAATAGAAAATACATAGAAAACAAGAAAGATAAAAACAATTAGAGGATTGTTGTGGAAGGTTCATGAAGAACAGAAGTTCTCAAAAAAAAGGAGAAGACAGAGAAGGACAAATCAAAGAAATAAAACAAGAAATTCCCAAGCTGACACACATGTGTTTTTAGACTGACAGGGGCCCAATGAGTGTCCAGAAGAACAGATAAAGATTGATCCACACTAAGAAACAATGGAATCATACCTTCAAAATCTTGACAAAATTTCCCAACCTGTAATTCTACACCCAGTTAAACTAGTAATCACGCACGAGTGCAGAATAGACATTTTCATAAATGTGGTATCTCCATGTATTCCTTTGGTAAGCATTTTACACTCTGCCCAGTAACGTATGAAAGTTCCAGTTCCTCTACAACTTCTCAGTAATAGTAATTGACAAGCTTTTAAATTTTTAAATAATTAAATTAAAAGAACAAATTATATTTGCAAGCTAGCTATTATAGATAGCAGAGAATATCTACAATAGCAAATAACTACTGACAGTTGGCTCCCTCTATTCATCGCTCCACATCTGTGAGGTCAACCAACTATGGATCAAAAATACTTGGAAAAAAATTTGCATCTGTGCTAAACATGTGCAGACACTTCTTGTCCTTATTCCTTAGACAATACAGTATAACTACTATTTACACAACACTTACATTGTATTAGGTGTTACAAATAATCTAAAGAGGGTTTAAAATATACAGGAGGATGCCCGTAGGTTGTATGCTAACGCTACCGAGCATCTTTGAATTCTGGTATCTAAGGGAGGTCCTGGAAGCAATCCCCCAAAAGATACCAAGGGACAAGTGCAAATGCTTCCACAAAAATGAGGAAATAAGAGAACGACTGGAGATTTGGCAAAAAGAAGATCCATCATAAGACAAAGTTGTAGGAAATACCCTAGATGATGGAGATCCCTTGGACCACAGCTTCCTAAGAAATGTGCTGAAAGACACTGAAGTCTATCTTGAGTGAGTTATAAATATATCTAGGTATTAATCCATTCAAACCTAGAACTGCTTGGTAGGGGTTGGGGCTACTGGAGCCTCTGTGATGCCTCTGGCCACAAGCGGTCTCGGCTATTTACCACACTCTGTGCTATACAAATATTATCAGTGTCTATGTGAGCCTTCTGTGAATAAGGTTGGGAAGCCAGCCAGAAAGCCCTCAGAGATTTATTCGCAAAGATAAAATTGATAAAGTACTTAGTATATTTGAAAATTCCAAGGAGATCTACACAGCCTGCAAAGAATTTAGGATTAAAGTAATGAAGCAGAGAAATAAACACAAAAAAACAAGATAATATAAGGAGTGTACAAAAAATTGTGGATTTTTTTATAGACCATAATACAAATGATGAATACTGTTCTACCAAAAATTATCATAGACTCTATTGGAAAAAGCTAGGAAAATGGCAGGCTGCGGGGAGAAGGAGGGAGAGGGAGGAGCAGAGAGAAATGAGGCGGTGGGGGGAGAGGAGGAAAGGGAGGGGGTTGCTATCAAGAAATAGCAACATAAGCATGTTATTTGGAGAAATGAAGATAAATAATGAAAGAGATCAGTTAAAAGAGTTGAAACAGGTCGTTTCCAGGGAAAGTCAAGGAGGAGTATTTGTGTGTGGGGGAGCAGTGCCTGGTGAGCTCTTCCCAGTGTGTGCAGCACACAGCTCCCACTGCTGGACACAGAGACCACAGACAGACAAGTGCCTCACAAATGAAACATGAATGCAAAGTGTTCTTGATTTTTAAATTATTATAAAATAATAGCATTAGTGCAAAATAATAGGATATCATAAAATGACTGATCACAAGCAATTTTGTCTTAAATACTGACATTAATAACGTACTATTAATAAAAATGCCCTGAGGCATTTTCCCTTACTTTACAGTTCTAAAGAAATGTGTTCTTTCTCATTGCTTCTTGCTATTATTTTCCCAAATTTTTTCCCAAAAGTAAGGAATTACTGCCTTGTCATTGGCTGACTTACACATGTTGTAGAATGAGCTATATGGTTTTAGCCTAACAGTCCCTTCATTTAAGTTTGATTTCACTCACATTTCAGAGTGTCCCTCTTTAATTCTAGTATTCTCTAGTTAGTTCCTCCTCAAGTTACATTAAAAATTAAAAAAGCCTCGTCCCTATCCATCTGACAAAGGGCTAATATCCAGAATCTACAAGGAACTTAAACAAATTTACAAGAAAAAAATCAAACAACCCCATCAAAAAAGCGGGCAAACGATATGCACAGACACTTCTCAAAAGAAGACATTTATGTGGCCAAGAACAAAAAGGTCATCATCACTGGTCATTAGAGAAATGCAAATCAAAACCACAATGAGATACCATCTCATGCCAGTTAGAATGGCGATCATTAAAAAGACAGGAAACAACAGATGTTGGAGAGGATGTGGAGAAATAGGAATGCTTTTACACTGTTGGTGGGAGTGTGAATTAGTTCAACCACTGTGGAGGACAGTGTGGCAATTCCTCAAGGATTTAGAAGCAGAAATACCATTTGACCCAGCCATCCCATTACTGGCTATATACCCAAAGGATTATAAATCATTCTACTATAAAGACACATGCACACATAGGTTTACTGCAGCACTATTCACAACAGCAAAGACTTGGAACCCACCCAAACACCCATCAATGATAGACTGGATGAAGAAAATGTGGCACATACACACCATGGAGTACTATGCAGCCATAAAAAAGGATGAGTTCATGTCCTTTGCAGGGACATGAATGAAGTTGGAAGCCATCATTCTCAGCAAACTAACACAGGAACAGAAAACCAAACACCGCATGTTCTCACTTATAAGTGGGAGTTGAACAATGAGAACACACGGACACAGGGAGGGGGACATCACACATCGGGGCCTGTCAGGGATGGGGGGCTAGGGAAAGGATAGCATTAGGAGAAATACCGAATGTAGATGATGGATTGATGAGTGCAGCAAACCACCATGGCACGTATACACCTATGTAACAAACCTTCAGGTTTGTACATGTATCCCAGAATTTAAAGTGTAATAAAAAATTATAAAATTTAATAAATAAAAAAATAAAAAGCCTTGTCCCTAAAGGGAGTAGTGACAAATAATATTTGTTTAGCAGCTTTACAGATATACTATTTACTTTGCAGACCCCAGAGCAAATATTGCCACTTTACAAAAGATACAAACTAGGTTTGAGGAGTTATCCTAAGCCTGTAAGTGGTAACCCAGAATGCAAAATGTTAGGCCATAATGACAAGTTAAGCAATATAATTTAAATAAATAATACCTTTAAGACAGCACCTGCAGAACTGTATCAAAGCTAGCTGCAAATTAGATTAACAGACAAGACTTGCCATTAGAATCAAGAAAAGTGAGAGTCTGCAGGCTGAATTAAGATGGGCTTTAAGGCTGGGCGCGGTGGCTCATGCCTGTAATCCCAGCACTTTGGGAGGCCGAGGTGGCCAGATTACAAGGTCAAGAGATCGAGACCATCCTGGCTAACACGGTGAAACCCCATCTCCACTAAAAATACAAAAAGTTAGTCGGGCGTGGTGGCATGTGCCTGTAGTCCCAGCTACTGGGGAGGCTGAAGCAAGAGAATAGCTTGAACCCGGGATTTGGAGGTTGCAGTGAGCCGAGATCATGCCACTGCACTCCAGCATGTGCAACAGAGCAAGACACTGTCTCAAAAAAAAAAAAAAAAAAAAAAAAAGGATGGGCTTTAAAATAAGAAGTAGGCAGATGGGGCAAAAAAGTGAGACCCCATCTCTATGAAAAAAAAAAAAACAAACAAAAAAAAACAGCTGGGCACAGCAGCATGCACCTGTAGCCCCAGCTACTCAGGACACTGAGGCAAAAGTATCCCTTAGGAGTTTGAGGCTGCAGTCAGCTATATGATCATGCCACTGTACTCCAGCCAAGTTGACAGAGCAGAACCCTATCTCTAAAAACAAATGAATAAAATAAAATAAAATAAGGAGTAGGATTTGACCTGGGTCTTGAAATGCAGGTTCGAGTAGGATACGTGAGAAGGGGAGGACATTTTAAATTAAAATATATATATTTCTTATAAAATATAAATTGTAGCAGTTAAGAGCAGACTCTGAAACCAAGCTGCCTGGGTTGGAATCCTGACTCCACCACTTAAAGTCTTCCTGTGACTCTGTATCATCTGTAAAATGGGAATAATAATAGTATCACCCTCCTGGGACTGTTGTGAGGATAAAAAGAATCAAGGTATACAGTAATGTGCTATATAACAATACTTCAGTCAATGTGGGACCACATATACCATGGTGATCCTATAAGATTATAATGGAGCTGAAAAATTCCTATTACCAAGTGACATCATAGCCAACATAATGTCATAGTGCAACGTATTACTCATGTGTCTGTGGTGATGCTGGAATAACAAACATACTGTGCTGCTGGTATAAGAGTATAACACATATAATTGTGCTCTGTACATAATACTTGATAATGATAATAAATGACTATGTTACTGGTGTATGTATTTAGTGTACTACACTTTCTATCATTATTTTTGAGGGTACTCCTTCTACATGTTTTTAAAAGTTAACTGTAAAACAGCCTCAGGCAGGTCCTTCAGGAGGTATTCCAGAAGAAGGCATGGTTACCAGAGGAGATGACAGCTCCATGCATGTTACTGCCCCGAAGACCTTCCAGTGGGACAAGATGTGGAGGTGGCAGACTGTTATACTGATGATCCTGGCCCTGCGTAGGCCTAGGCTAACGTGTGTGTTTTTGTCCTTGTTTTTAACAAAAAAGTTTACAAAGTTAAAGAAAAATAATTTTTAAAAATACAAAAAAGCTTGTAGAGTAAGGATATAAAAATATTTTTGTACAGCTGTACTATGTGTTTGTTTTAAGCTAAGTGTTAATACAAAAGAGTCAAAATATTTTTTAAAAATTAAAAGTTCTGAAGTAAAAAAGTTACAGTAAGCTAAGGTTAATTTATTACCAAAGAAAGATAAAAAGTTTTATAAGTTTAGTGTGGTCTAATTGTACCATGTAGACTACAGTGGTGAATAGTCATGTCCTAGGCCCTCAATTCACTCACTGACTCACCCAGAGAAACTTTTAGTCCTGCAAGCTCCATTCACGGTAAGTGCCTTATACAGGTGTACCATTTTTTATCTCTTTAAACATTTTATTGATACATAGTATTTATGGGATACATGTGAGTATTGGTTACATGCACAGAATGTGTAATGATCAAGTCAGGGTATTTGGGGTATCCATTATCTCATGAGTATTATCATTTCTGTGTTGGGAACATTTCAAGTCTTCTAGCTACCTTGAAATATATAATACATGGATGCTAACTACAGTCACCCTACTTGACTATCTAACACAGAACTTATATCTTCTATCTAACTGTACATTTGTACCCATTCACCAACCTCTCTTCCTGCCCCGTCCCACCAACACACCCTTCTCAGTCTCTAGTATCTATCATTCTGTTACTAATAATATCTTTACCTCCATGAGATCAGCTTTTTTAGTCTCCATGAGTGAGTGAGAACATACTATATTTATCTTTCTGTGCCTGGCTTATTTCGCTTAGCGTAGTGGCCTCCAGTTCCATCCTGGTTGCTGAAGATGACATGATTTCATTCTTTTTTATGGCCAAACAGAATTCCATTGTGTGTATATATCACATTTTCTTTATCCACTCATCTACTGGACACTTAGGTTGATTCCACATATTTTCTATTGTGAATAGTGGCATGATAAACATGTGAATTCAGGTAACCCTTTAATACACTGATTTATTTTCCTTTGGACAGATACCCAGAAGTGGGACTGCTGGATCCTATAGGAGTTCTCTTTTTAGTTTTTTGAGAAATCTCCATACCGATTTCCATAGTAGTTGTACTAATTTACATTCCCAGTCGCATTGTATAAGAGCTTCCCATGCTCCACATCCTCACCAATATATAAGTTTTTTTTGTCTTTTTAATAATAGCCATTCTAATAGAGGTGAGCTGATTTGATTGTGGTTTTAATTTGTATTTCCCTGGTAAGTAGTGATATTGAGCATTTTTTCATACACCTGTTGTCCATATGTCTTCTTTTGAGAAATGTCTATTCATGTCCTTTGCCCACATTACAATGGGAGTATTAATTTTTTAATTGTTGAGTTGTTTTAGTTCACGGTAGGTTCTGGATATTCGTCCTTTGTTGGATGAATAGTTTGGAAATGTTTTCTCCCATTCAACCGTCTCTTCACTCCACTGTTTCCACTGTTGTGCAGAAGCTTTTTAGTTTAATATAATCTATTTTTGCTTCTGCTGTCTGTGCTTTTGCAGTTTTAGCCATAAAATCTTTACCTGGACCAATGTCCTATAGTATTTTCCCCATGTTTTATAGTTTCAGTCTTATGTTTAAGTCTTTCATCTATCTTGAGTTGATTTTTGTATATGAGAGACAGAGATCCAGTTTCATTCTTCTGCATATGAATATCCAATTTTCCCAGTACCATTTATTGAAGATGATATCCTTTCCCCAACTATGTATGTTCTTGGTACCTTTGTCAAAGATAAGTTTGCTATAAAAACATAGTTATTTCTGGATTCTCTACTCTGTTCCACTGGTCTATGTATCTGTTTTTATACAAGTAACATGCTGTTTTGATTACTATAGATAACCTTTTAATATATTTTGAAGTTGAGTAGTGTGATGTCTCCAAGTTTGTTCTTTTACTCAGGACTGCTTCAGCTATTTGGGTTTCTTTTGACTTCATACAAATTTTAGGATTGTTTTTTCTATTTCTGTGGAAAATGACATTGGCATTTTTGTAGGGAATGCATTGAATCTAAATGTGCAGATTGCTTTGGGCAGTTTGGTCCTGTTAATGATATTAATTCTTCCAATCTGTAAGCATGGAATGTCTTTGTGTCCTCTTCAATTTCTTTCATCAGTTTTGTAGTTTTCCTTATAGAGATCTTCCAACTACTTGGTTAAATTTATTCCTAGGTACTTTATTTTTCTGTAGCTATTGTAAATGGGATGGCTTTCTTGATTTTTCAGCCAGTTCATTATTAGCATATAGAAACACTTCTCATTTTTCTATATTGATTTTACCTCCTGCAACTTTACTAACTTTATTTACAGATCTAAGTTTTTTGGGGGAGTCTTTACACTTTTCTAGATACAAGATTATATCACCAGCAAAGAGGGACAATTTGACTCTCTCTTTCCCAATTTGGATCCCTTTTATTTTCTCTCTTGCCCGACTGCTCTGGCTAGGACTTCCAGTACTATTGTTGAATAAGAGTGGCGTAAGTGGTCCAGTCTTTGGGTCCCGGCAGTGGAAGTGGTAAGCCGAGTATGCCTGTCTTTGGACCCCAGGATGGCATTCACTGGCCCCATTGTTAGTGGGTCCAAGGGGGCCAATTCTTGAGCGTCCAGGTGGCTTGCTTGGATGCTGGTATTGAGAGTGGTGGGCTGGGTACGTTCTCAGGCCCCTGGCCAGCAGGTGTGGTGTGGGTGATGGCAGTAGCAGTGGTAGGATAACCCTCTGGGTCTTGAGCAGTGCACTCTGGTGCTGACAGTAGATACAATGTGCTGAGTGGGCCAGTCTTCAGGCCCGCAGGTAGCATGTGCAGTAGGTGCCAGCTGTGGTGGTAGCAGCAGGGTGTGTGGGCCTAATCTCAGGCCCCTAGAAGAGGTGCTCAGGTGCTGATGGTGGTAGACTAGGCTAGGTGATTCCTAGGTCCATAGGCTGTAAGTTCTGGCACCAGGGCAAGGGAACAAAGCTGGGTGGGCTTGTCCTCAGGCCCTCTCGTAGTACATGTAGACACTAGCTGTGGTAGGCAGGCATGCGGTGTTCCCCATGCTCCCTCCAGAATGCTCAGGTGGACAGCAGCAGTGGCTGTGCTGCGGCCCTGCTACTGAGGAGGAAGAGATTGCTTTCAATGGTAGCCATAGGCATGCAAGTGGGGAACGCACAATTTGCATTCTAGTCTCAGTAGCTGTAGTCTGCGCTTCACTCACGCTTCAGCCTTAGTGGTGGCACATCACGCCCCACTTGTGCTTCAGCAGTTGCAGGCAGGGGACTCTGGGCACATGGAATGCACTTTAGCAGTGGAGCCACTGCTGGTGTTCTGCTGGCTGCCTCACTTTCCTCTTCCTTCCCTGCTTTAGGTGCTTCCTGTCACTTCTCTTGAATCCCGATGCTCTCTCTAGGATGATCTATTTGAAGTGTGAAGATCTACTATTCCCTATCTTGGTTCTTCTTTGTAGAGAAGTTGAGTACGAGGTGCCTCTAGTCAGCCATCTTGAAGTCCCTCCTCCATTTAAAGTCTTCTATACCATATTTTTACATATCTTTTCTATATTTAGATACAGAAATACTTACCAATATATTACAATTGCCTCCATTATTCAGTACAGTAACATGCCATGCAGGTTTGTATGTGGCCTAGAAGCAATAGGCTATTGTCCCATATAGGCTAGGTGCTAGCTGACTATTGTTATTTTAGGAATGAAATACATGGGTTGTCAAAGAGAAACAATAAGAAAGTATGAAATATAGAATAATCTTTTTTATTATCTTTACTATTTTATCTATGTACTTGAGCAACTTGAACAAATAAACTGTAAAATCATGAGATGGTCTTCTAATTCTTAAACCTGTAACTAAGCAAACTCCAAATCTATCAAGAAAAAGAGTAAAAGGCTGAAAGGGAGCATTTCCAGGTAACAGCTGTCAAACTTTTCATAAATGTTGTTCATTACTCCTTAGAGGCCATTCATAAACAGGAATGAAAAAACGAGAGAGGGAAAAAGCATGTACTGATAAATTCAAGCTTATAGATTTATAAAAAAAAATTCTCTATGGCTAAGTTCTGGCTAAACATGCTTCAAAACATTAGACAAAGGTAAAATAATACACTAAATTAAATGTGCACTTTCATTTACATAAAAACATGCATATAAACAAGTCCAGACAGGAATACACAAAAACAGTACTTACTATTTTCAAGTGGTAGAATCACGGCTTATTTCTCCCCTAATTTCCTATGCTATCTGTAATGGTTACACATCATTTAATAATTAACAAGTGATTTTTAAATCATGCATGATGTTTTTAATGAACCCTGAAAGGTATCTGATTTACTTCCTAAATAATCCAAAAGTTCACTGATACCACCTTAAGGCTTCTTAAAAAAAATTATTCAGTTTCTTTAATGTCATAGGAAGAAAATCTATGTTCAAACTTACTAATTTTACGAGCTCCATACTCTCTTTACGTAGAACTTTAATTTCCCAGATAACATTTGAGCGGTGTGGAAAAACTGAACCCCTGTCGTTCCACTTTAGGTATAATGTAGAGGTTGAGAAATCAGCAGACAAATTCAAGATCTCTGGAGTATCTGGAATTAAGGCTTTAAAAAGAGGAAACAAAAGAGAAAACTTAGTAAAATAAGTAATGATTTTTCATACTGTAACTCCACTAATCAACTACTTATAAACTCTATTCCTTCTTGATCAAAAAATCAATAATCAAGATTTAAAAGGAAACTCTAGAACCCAGTAATAAGGACATGGACTGAGATGCCATATATGGAAAAGATAAAATGTCATGGATATTTCAAAGAAATGACTGGATCAAAGAAATGAAGGGTTGGTTCTAATGAGAAAGGGAAACGACTAATATTCTCTCAAATTTCTGAAAAAGGGGAACATATATATTATTTATTTGTAGAGGCAGCTCCCAATGCTTCATCAGCCAAATTTAAGAAAATTATTTATTAGCTGGCTGTTTCAAATCCACAGCACATTTTCTAATACAAACAGCAACTAGGTTTCCACAGTACTCTAGTGTCATTTAGTCAGGAACCTACAGGTAGGCAACATCAGAGAGAAGAAAACGAGTTTCCTCTGTATGGCTGTAGGGCAGCCCTAAGAAAATAACAAAATATAGAAAGCTTCCTTTGGTAAAGGCTTCTCTCTGTTTTCTCTGCAGCTGTCTCAGGCATCTCCTGGTGTCAAGAGTCTCTCGTGCTGGGGGATGTCACCCACTTGAGAAATGCTATGGGCATTACTGATTTTCAATACCATTAAACAGTAGCAGGATTGTCTCAGTGACTAAGGCATTGAGTTAAGAAGCCAGTGGTTACTGTGCAGAAGTAGCAGGATATAAGAAGTGTGTCAGAAAGGTTCCTTTATCAGTAGTATGCAACACAGACTGCGGGGGATTGAGACAGGGGATAAGGTGACCAATTAGGAGACCACTGGAGCAATCCTGGCTAGAGTGACAAGGATATAAACTAAGATGCCATCTATGGAAAAGATGTCATGGATATTTCAAAGAAATGACTACATCAAAGAAATAAACGGTTGGTTCTAATGAAAAAGGGAAACAACCAATATTCTCTCAAGTTTCTAGCTCAGAAAGCAGCAAGAGGAGCAAAAGGAATCGGGAATCACTGTGAAGAGACACAGAAGCCTGGCTATGGATGAGTAAGGGTCAGGGGAAGAAGACACCATGGAGTCAGAACGTGGATGCAGACTTAAAAGGAACTGATTGAGTGTAGTGGTAGAAAAGAGCATGAACACAAAGACATAAACCAGCCAAAGCTCCTTTTAGGGGCTGCCAATAGACAATTACATCTTCAAGGAGCCAAAAACACCAACATGAATCCAGAGAGGGAATCCTAGAAGCAGAAGGAAACCAGAGAAAATCCAGGATCATCGAAATAAAAACAAATAGTTGTTACCTGTGCCAAATAAAACAGTTTATAGAGGAAGACTGTGGAAAAACCACTGGCGAGGCTACTGTTAATATCTGAGAAAGAAGTTTAGGAGAACAGTGGGCTCTGAAGCTGCATTACAAAAGGTAAAAGAGAAAAAAATCCATGCTCAAAGGTTTGGGCATCTCCTAGGGAGAATCCAGGACACTAAAAAAGGTAGCAGGAAGAGTAATGTATCCTTGAAAATCATTAACTCTCCCTAAGGGCGGATAAATCATGGAAAATTTTGGACCAATGGAAAACAAAGAAGGTATGAGCATGTTCCATTCTATGAAATGTAGACTTTCTGGTTTGAGAATCAGAGAGACTTGGACTTTCTTCCATGTTTCCTCCTCAAATAACAGTAAAGTAAAGGTGAGTTAGAAGAAATCCATAGACTCACCCTTTCTTGCCTCATTTCTATCCTAGAAGCTCAAGGACCAATTACATATAGTCATGGTAAGCCCAAAACTGCAGGACAGTGCAGGGCTAGGGTAGCTGAATATGCTAAATAACAAAAAGGGCAGAACAAACCAATACACATTAATCTCGGAACTTAAAAATAGTTATTAAAAATAGGTTTAACTAAAATTTGGCCAATACAGTGTTCAACACTGGATTTATGTAAAGTGTTTAGGGCTGTACAGGACACAGAACATGTGGATTTACAGTCTAAACTACAGAGCAAAGTCAACAGTTACACAGCTGTATAAGGACAGTGGAGGATGCTTTAAAAAGAAGTTTTAAGTGGGCAGCTCCTTGTGGAAAAGGAAAAATGCAGACAAACGAGAGGCAAGAAGTTGATTTAGTGCCAGGACAGGGAAAGCTCAGGGTGCCAGTGTGACCAGAAAAGAGCAAGAGGCTTCCAAGAACACAGCTATTCTTTCAAATGATTCAGGATGTCACATGATGTAGTAACTTACAATTTATGAAACACGGGAGTATTTTACTAAGACAACGCTCATCTTTAAAATGCTTCCCTCCCTGAAAAGTCCACATAATTTACATTTTATTTAAATAGCAGTGGGCTACTCTTAAAAATACAAGTAATATCCAACATTTCAAGCTAAAGACAGTAATGGCCATAATTACAAGTACAAGGATTTTAAAAAGCCACTGCTCCCTTTCTTTTCTTTATAGCATATAGGGAAGTTTCCCCTAAGCTCCCATTAACTGCCATCTGCATTTCTTTGTGCTAAACAGACATGTGAGGACAATGTTAACTTGCTTTCTAGAAACTCAGATAGGGAAGAAATTTAATGAAAATCTTTTTTATTTTCTTCTAATGCTAATTCAGCTTTACCCATAATCTACGTGCTCCTGCTTCCTTAGGACATAAGAAGATAAGAGTATTCCCAGCTTTTTTTTACAGGACCCACATTCTGCTTCAGAATGACCCAAATTTTCAGGTGATTTTAAGAAATGCAGAAATTAAAAATCTTATGAAGAATTTTTCATGCTTACACATGGTAAGTACAAACTTTACTGTGTGTGTGTGTGTGTGTGTGTGTGTATATATATATATATAAAATCTTGTTTGCTTTATATAATTTAGAAAGCATCTTTAGATCCACAGACACTTAATTTTCATACTTTTATTTAGTAGCAAATTGTCAAGAGATCCAGATCCTCTAAAGGACAGCTATACATGCATTGCAGAGCTTCTCTTGCACACAGTAGGTGCTCAAAGATTTGCTGATGTATCCATCTCCTCCGTTCCTTACACTCACCTAATTTGCTTTTCAATTTTCTTATCCCAATACTGTTATTCTAATCATGATCAGGACCATTATTATTTATAATGCTACCAATACATTACATGATATGTAAAACACAATGAACTATTAATCGACTGAGTCTCCTACAGTCTGTCTTGATTTGCCTTTCTGATTCTAATACTGTCATTTTTCAGTAGCTTCCCAGATAAGACTACACCCTAGAGCAAGGGGCATCTGAGAAATTCTGGAAGGTACGCAGGAGTCAAGGGGGCTAAAGAAAGAGTATGGAACTGAGGGAAGGAGCCTGAATTCTGGGCTATTTTGACTGGCCAGAAGAAAAGTTTGCTTCCTTCTGATCTTGGCTACCATCTACAATTCATAGGGAGGTTGCTGAGTGAATTAAAAGTAATAGCATAACACATGAAATTCAAAAAACTAGAAAGCACCACAATACTAACAAGTGACACTTGACTTACTTTAAAATTGAGTTTGTTTTCAAATACTTACAAACGTTTTGTTCATTTAGTGTGAATTTACTTGTAGAACTTCCAAAATCATGTAGAGAATTTATTGTTATTTCATAATCACCATGTGAAAGAGCTGGAATTTTAATACTGGTTTTCTCCAACTGATAACAAGAACGGGACCTGTAATAAGAAATTGAATTTTAATTAGCAAATAAAATTAATAGTATAATTTTCATAAAAATTTGGTTAACACAAAATACAATGGAAAATACTTTATGCCCTCTTTGTTGCAAAAACATGATAGGTTGTACCGCATTTTAAGACTGAAAAAACAGATTGATAGTAACTTTACCAATGTGGGGGTAGGAAAAACAACCTCATTGTACCAAAAGTAGAATAAGCATAGATGACTCCAAACAGCTGGAGTTTTTGCATGCCTTTCAAAATCCCACCTCAACCTTCCCTTTGTAGGCTGACTTCCACTACTCACACTCCACCCCTTCACTGAGGGACCAGTGCATCACAGCGCTCCTCATGCTAGGATGATGTTCAACGGATGCTGATGAAGGAAATGAAACTGGCAACTCCCCTGCTCCTCTGCCTTGGCTCATGGTTTCTTCTTAACAGAACTTCCTCTTCAGTTCTGTTTTCAAAATGCTTCCAGTTCCCCTGGTATCTCTTAGGCAAAATGATATTTTCCTCTCTTGTTCCACAGCCCTTGATATCTCTCCAGAGCATGCTTATATTCCTTATACTGTTGTTCATATATGTTTCAAACTTCTTATACAAATGTTTACTTTACTGAAAGGACTTTCCATGCCTCTTGCATTCCTGCCCCCACCAACTACCCAGCCCCAGCCTTAGGGCTGGGTGCTTAGGACTCTGGACTTGAATGGGTCCAGCTCATCTCCTTCTAAACCTCTCACATGGTGAGGCTTCTTTAGGCATCAGCAATGCAAAAACACCTGAATTCTCCAAATCACGCCATCTCATACATTCAAGCCATTGTACTCAATATTCTTTCAGGGTAGAATGTCCTCCTATTCCTTTTCTGCTGAGAAAACTGACTGTGCCTACTCCAGAATTACACCTCCTCTGACAGCCTTTCTAGACATTCATACTCCTAGTGTCCACTCCCTTGCACAAAAACCACAGCCTTGCTACTATTTGTTTATTGTGACCTCCCAGGGGAGCAGGGGGCCAGAACTAACTTCCTCTCTGTTTGGCCTGTGGTGGGCATGTGTGCTCTTCAGCAAACTTTTCAGGCTCCCCCTTCTGGACTCACACTAAGACCGTCCTTCCCTGCCTCTCTGAAGCAAGGTATGGCCATGTGGCTTTATTTGGTGGCAGAAATCTGAGTGACAGTCTTATCTACCAGATCTGCACTGAAAGCCACTGCAGACTCTGTCCCCTCTTCTCACCTTGCCATCACACCTCATAATGCTTGGTGCCCTACAGGAGAAAAATGAGGCAGAGGTCACGGCAGACTCTGCTGGACACAGAACACAAGCAGGAAATAACCCTTTAGTTTCACAAGCAATAAGGTAAGAACTGAGGGTCGTTTCTGCAATTCAACCTAGCTCATTGTGAATTAAAGTAAATTAAAATTACCTGTTTTCAATGCAAACTTCATAATCAGTACCACGGCCTGTTCCAGAGGGTGCTTTCCAAGAACAGTTCCACACTTGCAAATTGTTAGTTACACACTTCAAATCATGAGGAGCCCCTGGAGGAGACACACACACACACACACACACACACACAGACACACATAAACACAGAATATGCTGAATAAGTCAACTGCACTCTAAAAAGTCAACCATTTTCAGTTGTAAGCACAAGCATGTGTGTCTGCAGAGAGCCCATGTTTTTTTTTTTTTCAAAGAGATGATCCTGCAAGTCATGGGAGTGGACTGGTTTTCTATTTCTTTTTGCAGCTTTGGTTAAAAAAAAACAACTAAAGGGTAAACTGATGAAAGTGGGCCAGCTACTAGACCATTTTGGGGTTAGGCTGCTATCAAAAATTCCACTTCCAAGCAACTAAGACAAATTAAGGGAGTGAGTGGCTAGTCATGTAGATTCAATAATGGGACCAAGAGAGGGCTTGAGGGGATTCTAGCACCTCTTGAATCTTCAATAGCCCCACTTAAGGAAAAAACAAAAAACAAAAACAAAGAAGTCTTAAGTAAAAATGATGTGCCTTCCAAGTTTTTAAACAAAACTTTGAAACTCCTAGTCACCCCCACCTCATTGCTTGCTACCAGACTGCCCCCTTGGTAGAACTCCCATAACTAATCTTTAGGTTATTATGAAGTATATTAAATTTAAACAGTAATAAACTCATGAGTTCATTTGAGAAATATATTTTTGGTGTGGGCCTAAACAATTGAAAGTAACAATTCAGAAGATTACAATCCTACTAGTACTTACTCACATCTATAAAATAACATTACACCATGGAATATGTAAGCACTATGCAATGAAAAAAGTCACCCCGAAAAGAAAATGAGTAAAAAGAAGGGGGGTATAAGAGAGAGGGAAAGAGGGAAGAAAGGAGGGAAACAAGGGGAAAAGGCAACTATAGAATAAAAAAGGTAGTCCATCTCAGATTCTATAAATGTTTATGAAAAATGTTTTTGTTTTTGTACATGGTTGGTACGATATTCACTGTAGCAATAAATTATACGGCTATTTATATGACAGAAAAACAAATATTACATTAAAAGTACTCACATTATAAAGCAGCACTAATCATAATAATAAAGTAATTTAATGAATGACCTTGGAGAAAAGAGATCTATTTAAATATGGAAATAATATAAAAACTAAACCAACGGGCAGGAGGATGATAATTTCTTTATATAAATAAGCTATAAAATATCTACATAAACATTCTTAATATATTTAAGATGTAACATAATACATTTAAAAATATTTGGATTTCATTGATATGACATTCTAAAAAGGTAACATTATAGAGACAGAAAACAGTGTCTATGGAGACAAGGCAGTGCTGGCAGGGGATGGGCCTGGGAGGGCTGACTACAGAGGAGCCAGGAAGCTTTTGCAGTGCCGGGGCTGTTCCCTATCTTGATTGTGCTGGTGGTTACATAACTACATTCATTGTCAAAACTCACAGAACTGAATCTTAAAAAGGCAAATTTTATTGTATGTAAATTATATTTTAATTTTTCATGGTAAAATAATATTTTGATCTATCATTAAGGATCTTTTTAAAAGAAACTAAAAGTACATAGAAAAAAGATGACAAAAAAAATGAATTTTAACCAACAAAATCCTAAAGGGGTCAATAAAGCAACAAAATTGCTTCGTCATCAAAATGGAAATAAAACTGCAATCTGTTCATTCTCTGGAAGGCTGATGCACTTACCCTTTTTCTGGCTATTTACTTGATTCATTAGATATAGAAGAATAAATGTTGATAACAGCCACTGGAAATTTGAAGCAGTCCTCATTCTTTTATTGTCCACCATCCAGGATGGTCGTTTCAAACATACGTAAATATCCATCATCTGTGCAATGCAGTCAGTCCTAGGTTAGGAGAGGAATTCCAGATGGTGTTCAGATTGTTCTGAAGGCTCACCTTATACTGTGCACACAAACACTCAAATAGATTCTGACAGATTCTGAAACACTGTACATTTAGAGACTTTGGAGATACTCAAACTCAAGCTTCCCTGGCTTGTGGAGACATCAATAATTGGACACAGCTGTTGCTTTAGGTATCTACTACGAGGCCAATTTTCAAATGATGGGCTTCAAGTTAAAGATCATAACTATAATTATAAAATTACAACAAAATTATAAGCACATGGCTATCAACTCTACTCCAACTCTACTAAAATGTAGAAAAGCAGTGCATGAGACTGAATTTTTGACAATTTTAAGTGATACCTGGATTGATATTTTTATGTATTTTATTAGTACGTTAACTTGTGTTTAGTCATTTATGACAAGTTATATTAGTTTTGTCTCCCATTTACATGGTGTTGGAAAGTTTCTATTTCATACAAATTTAATAATTTAAAAAGAAAAAACTAGGGTAACAGTATGGAGATGTTGCACATTGGACATTTAGGGATCCCCCAGAGTAATGAAATTCCCATCCACCCTTCATCCTTTCTTCCTAGAGGGACACCACCAGCCAACAAGATCCTTATGATACACTGAAAACTCTTGTGTCAGACCTAAAATTGCCTCATTTATTACAACATTGGCACAGGGCACCAAAGATCACAAAACATATAAGCAAAGGCTAAAATATTAAAGAGAAATTTAGGATAACCAAAAGGAAAATAAAAAGTACTTCCAGAGAAAATGGGGATGATATAGGAAACAAGAAAACTTAAAAGAAAAAAAAAGAACCTAAAAAACTCTAAATAGTGTCCTCTGAGCAAACATGGCATAACTATAAAAAACTAGAGGATGCAATGAAAAAGGAATAACAGGAAATAAAAATAGCTCTTAGAAGTTAAACATATTGTCTGATATTAAAATTAAAATAAGAAAAAGATTGAGTAATCTTTCAGAACAAAATACAAAAAAAAATTGAAAATGTGGGAAAAGAGATAAGAAATGAAGACTTGATAAAGGAAAGGAGATCCAACACCTAAATAACTGGAGCCCATTGAGAGAATTCGAAAAAATATTTTTCTTAGTGAAAGCAGATGGCAAGATCTCTTCTCGGCTACTGTCAAGTACTGTCAAAAACCCAGGAAATGAATCCCAAATAGCTTAATTATAACCATAACATGCAAAAGGCGTGAGCACACATTTCAAAAGTGTTCTATTATTTTCTGGATGAATGAATAACTTCCTAGTCAATTCCAGGGTCATTGAGTTTACTTAGTAGAATGAAAATGTATTCACAAAATATCTAAAATGCCAGTTGCTGAATTTATAGAATTATACAACTGTACAAGAATAACTGAGTAATGGAGCCAAACATGACCCTAAAACTCAAACTCTGACTAAAATAATCATAAACCATATTCACTGACTGGCTAAACATTATCTTGAAATGAAACAGTCCCTCACTACAAGTTTCGATTATTCTAAAAAGAGACACAGGCCCTACAGCCATGCCAGGAAGAAGTGCAAGAAGGGGCGGAGGGAGGCAGCTGAGAAAGAGCTCTGGACCAGGTGCTTCCAGATTTAGATGCTAATCTTGGCTCCATTACTAATTAGTGGTATGGCTGAGGGTAAATCACTTAATCCCTCCCTGCTTCAGCCTCAACCATTGGAGCAGAGAGGCATGCTCTCTATTCAGGATCCACATAAGAGACTTCCCAAAGCGAAGCTGTAATATTCCATTCCTGCTGGCAGGGAACAGGCACGCAGACAGTAGCGAGCTCGCACAAAGCCTATGCCAGCAACAGCCACGGATCAAAGACTCTGCTGAGGAGGTCAGTAAGCAGGAGGAAGGCGATGCCCAGGGACAGAAGGATCAACGGCAGTGTCACTGAAGCCTGCTTAACTTAAGCAGGATAATAAAGAAGACTTTCTGGTGTGATACATTTACACAGAGAATTCTGGGCAAGTCTATTTGGGCAATACAATATTGTGCTTATAACACATCAGACTTCCCCACCAAGCAAAACTTTCAAATGGACTTACTGTGGGCCAGAACAATACATGAACAGAGCCTTCCGAAGTACTTTCAGAAAAAAAGTGATGCTTGTGAAGCTTTTCTCTGCTCACTCCTGATAGAAACATTGTCAGAATTCACTTTTTTCCCCTGTCAATGCCTTATTCCTTAGAGGAGCACAAATTTTTATACGATTTCAGGAGCTAACTTTCAAAATTAGGATGCAGCAACAGGGTGCAAATGCAAATATGCAGGGGCAAAGCAAGTAACAAACGTGTTCACAGCAGGTGCAAACTGCAGCCCCTCTGCCTAGCATAAAAGTGGCAGCCACCAGCCTCATTTTGCCAAATATGCTGATTTTTCCAGATGAGGTAGAAATCTGGCATTTTAAATGAAACACCAAAGTTTGTAAATGTGAGAAAATAATGCATATGTTTTACACATTCTAAAGGCCAGACAAAATATGCTCATGGGCAGTATCCTTCCTGCCCAAGGGTGACCAGTTTGTTTCCTATACTAATTATTTTAAAGGACTTAAAAAGTCAATAAACCCTTCTGCTAAAGAAAAGTAATCATGCAGAATAAATCTGTAAGACTGTTGAATGGAAAGAAAAATATCTGGTTCTATTTCTTTACACATATGCTGACTTCAATCTTAGACCATCATAAAGCACAGGCAGAACTTGAGCCTGGGGCCCCACATGGCAAAGTTCAGTCCTGTCAACACGGGCCCCTGAGCTTTTAAAGGCCTTGTTTGTGAAGATGAGTGTTCACACATGTACTTTGACTTGTATTTTTCTCAACCTTGAGAATTCTGGTTCCAGTGTACATGAGGTTTAGGGCTTTTCTGCCGAAGAAAATTAGAAAAAAAGAGTTGAGAAAAGTAAAGCTAAATACCAGAAACTAGTCCCAACACATTTTGTTGCTTATTTTGTCTCTGTTCCCCTGTCCCCCAACCCCTCTCTATATACATAAATATGGTGGCGGTGGTGGGGACAGGTAGGTAGAGACAGATCAGGAAACGTGACAGAGAGTGAGTTAGCATGTCCTGCTGGCACGAACCTAGCCTGGTGGCACTGAGGCCTCCAGCCTTGTGTGCAGAAGGAGGCCTCAGGCAACACCTGCACAGTCAGGGTGAAAGGAATCAAGACAGCCCAAAGCATCTTTTATCTCAAGAATCTATCTTTTTGCCATACAATAAGATGACTCCCTTGTCATTAATTCTCAAAAGAAATTAAATACTAAGCTGGAACACTCGAGGGAGAAAAGACTCTGAACTACTGTAAAGGTAAATAAGCCTACGAGTGGGTCACCCATCCACAGGAGTGGAGATGCTGGGAGTTGAGCAAAACAAGTGCAATCACACAGGCAGTAAACAGTACCCGCACTGCTCATTTGTATTCTTCCTAGTGTCCCTTTCTTTACTGTTTCCTAGGAGGAAACATCAACATTGTTTAAAAACTTTGACCAGCAACTATTTTCCTTATCCCATTTCCCTCCCACAAGATCTTAAATTCCTCCAGCATTAGCTCCCAGTGAAGAAGGCTTTTCAGGATCATAAACTCTGCAGTTTGGTAGACTCCATTGTGTTATTGAAGTGAAGTGTAGGGGCTCTTCAAGTTAAAAGAAAGAAATACTTACGAAAAACATACACTTGGCCAGACTGAGAAGTTCTATCTGGGAAGACTAGACTGCACAGGAAGGCATGAATAGCTTTTCAGAAAGAGGGAAGCTGGAACAAAGTGATGTTTCAAGGAGATTAACTAGGACATAGCTGCAGTAACAAAGATGTATGCAAAATTTATCAGTATATAGGTCTAGTCCTAGCAAAAATCTAGTCCTCAAAGAGCCCACATAACCCAGCACAAGGAATCTGAAAAGACTGATACCAAGATGCATCACTGAGAATATCAAAATATCTGTATCAAAGATGTTACAAGTTTCCAGGGAGTGGAGGCCATACACAAGGGCTCAGGAATAAGAACAACATCAGAATAAATTAGTCAAGTCAGGCCTCTGTGACTTGCGGTGTGAGTGTGGACAAACCCCCATTGTAACACAGGGATGGTGACAGCACCACCTCCAGAGCAGGTTACGGGTGTACATGAGACACTGGGTGTGTGACCCATAAATATTCTTGAGAAGGGGAGGAACACACCAGACTTTTTAGCAATAAAAGCTAAAAAGAACACCTTCCAAAATACAAGTGAAAATTATTTTCACACTTGAATTCTATACTCAAACTGTTGAGTGGATAACATATATTTTACAAAGACATGCAAAATGTCAAAAGATGTATCACCTTCCGTGTACCCATTCTCTGGAAGCTACTGCAGGACATGACTGACCAAAATGAGGTACAAAACAAAAAAGAACAAGAGAGAAAATATACAATCCATACAACTGGAGTCAGAACCTAGAAAGAGGCCTTGCACACTGCCTCTGCTGTGTGTCCGGGCCACACTAAAATGGCTGCCATTCCACAGCTGCCAGACCCTTCAGGACTCCTTAGGCCAGCACCCTTTTTCCCTTCTTGCTAATTTCATCTGCACCCTCCTCAAGTCAGCAGTGATGCTCCTAGCAGGAGGTATGTTTGTCATTGCCTCTGAGAGTCCACAGGTTAGATGCCATCTGCTGCTGCTTCCACAACACTTTAATTATATTTATGTCATGGGGTTGCACAATTCATGTTCCATAGGCCAAATCTTACCCGCCTCTTGATTTTGTAAATCTTCCTAGAACACAGCCACGCCCACTAGTTTAAGTATAACCTATGACTACTTTCCCATGACAATGTTAGAGCTGAGTGGCTAGGATAGAGATTGAATGGTCCACAAAGCCTAAAATATTTACTGCCTGGCCCTTTACAGAAAGAGTTTGCTGACTTCTGCTCTACTGCTTCACTTCCTAATCTTATAATTCTCCCTACAGACCGTCAGATCCTTGAGAGCAAACACATCCGAGTTCACTGTAACCCTCAGTGTCCAAGCAGTACCTGGCACAAAGCAGACACCAAAAACTCTAAGCCAGCTGGCTGAATGAATACCAAGGCACAAATTATTATATGCCCACACAGTATACTTTCATTGTTAGGCTGCATGCTAACCCAGGTACTGCCAACACTAGGAACCCAAGTTAAAGCTCTGGCTCCCAAACTGCACTGAGGCACCCCAAGACACCAAAGCAAACTGACAGAGCTATCACAGAATATCTAAGTTTTTGAAGGAAATAAAGTGACATCTGTCCAACACTCTGAAAACCGTTAGTTCAAGGTAGTCCACAGTTTCAATATTTGCTCATGCTACATTTTTTTGTGTGACATCGTATCTTTATCTTTGGTGAAGAGAGGGAGGGACTAGTAATTGCTGGGATAAAACACAAGTACTACCCAAACAAATCAATGTAGAAATGGAAATGAGGGTGCTGGTTTCCAAGATTTGGGAAGCTATGCAGTACTCAATAGCTTCACACATCTCATCAGTAATTAAGGTTTTTTAAGAATGAAATAAAAATACTACCATAGACCCTTCATATCCCAGGGTTCTGCAACCACAGATTCAACCAACCTTGGATTGAAAATATTCAGAAAACAAAACCAATAAAAGACAACAGTACAACAATAAAAAAACAGTAAAAAAAAAAGTACCGTTTAACAACTGCTTACATAGCATTAACACTGTATTAGGGATGATTTAAAGTAATCTAGAGATGATTTAAATCATATGAGAGGATAAGCACAGGTTATATACAAATACCACACCATTTTATATTAGGGACTTGGCATCCAAAGATTTTCACATCTGTGAAGGTCTTGGAACGTGCCCCCACAGAGATAGAGGGACAATTATATTTTTCCTTTTAAGTGGATACACGTTATTTCTTCAAACTGCTACTAAAGTGCTTGATCATAAATACTCATTAAATTGTTTGGACCCAGCTATTTCATAAAGAGAACTGTTAGGTAATTCTTTTGACTACAAGCATCATAAAAAACATTAACAAAACACGACGGGCACTGTGAACTATGACAGTCTGGGGACCTGAGTTAGAGGATAGCTTGGCTGCTTAGGGATTCCACTGTATCATACTTCAATATGCGTTCTGCATGTAGGAAAATAATATTGAAATTTAACATTTGCTACATTATAAAGACAAATCTATCACTGTGCATAATGCAGGATATTCATTCCCCAAAATAACTTTTTGGTCTATTATTCAAATAGAATAATCTTGTCAATTTTTTTTTCTTAATTCCTTTGCATTTCCTGGGAACTTTTAAAAATAGACTGTCTTCCAAAGTTTTTCTTTTTCAGGATCCTCCATGTCAGTTTTAGTAATCTCCATTGCAGTGTGGACTTCCCTGTTAATTCAAGAGCCAGTCCATTATGAACCTCAGCATGTCAAAACAAGTTTGAATACATCACTTCCATGCTTAAAATCCTCCAAAGGCTCTCCACTGTTTCAACACACAGTTCCAGTTCCATACTGTGGGCACAGCCCTTCGAGACGGCCATGAACCCCTTCCTCTCCATACCGCAGCAGCTCCCCAAACACTCCACATTCCCTTTGGTCTCAAGGCCTCTCCCAAAACCACTGCCTCCAATGGAGTGCCCCCTGCAATGTCTCCTATATTTCCCATTCTTCCATCTTTCGGGACTCACGCTATCATACTTTAGAGTAACATCTGACTACTCATATCCCACTTCAACTACGCTATAAGAGTGACTGGTATGTAACAGTCTTCAATAAATATAAAAGTCTACCAAACGAATGAACTTGTTTCTTCCCTTTTAACGATGAAGTGCTCTATTATTAAACAACCTGAAGAACATTCCTCCAATAAATCTTTAACATGCAGGAAAACATGACGAAAACTTATCTCTAAAAAGAAACAGGAACATCTCCATTTCCCAGTACTTCTCACTAATACCAAGGATTGTCTTTAAAAAAAAAAATTATTCTGTTGGGCCATAAATGGCATTTCTTTTTATTGCGTAATTAAAATATCCTTTCATATGTTTATTGATAATTTGCAATGCTTTATTTATAAGCTGTTTATTCTCTTTTGCTCCTTTTTCTAATTGGGCATTAATCATTTCCTTAATGATTGCTAAGAAAAAAAATCTTAATATGCATATTAACTCTGTTACATACATAGCAAATAGATTCCCCAATCGCTTTTACTTTCCAGTGAGTCTTTTGTTTAACTCTTACTAGATCAGATTTCTCTATTTTGTCCTTTGTGGTTTCTAACCATAAAGGTTTTTCTCATGCCGGGACTATGCAAATTGTCCTGATGTTGCCTTCAAGTACATTTAAGGTGTTTCACATTTTAAGCTTCATGCCATATAAAATTAATTTCAGTGTACAGTTGAGTCAAGGACCCACCTTTTCTGTTTCCCTCTAAGTGGTTACCACTTATCCCAACACCACTTATTAGGTAATCCATTCCTTCTCTCACTGACTTGAGATGCCATTCAGATTCTATTCCTACTTAGCTTCCTTGGTGGGACTCCTTAGCCTACTGCTCCTTCTATCCTTCACTTCCTGACTGAACAGTATTATCTGTGCTTGTGGCTATAACATCACTTGTATGCTAATTACTTCCAAATCCGTGTTCCCAGGATTGGCCTCTTCCCAGTTACAGATTAACCATTCACTAGACAATTTCTTGCTTACTTAGACAAATCCACTCAAGTAAGGTTCCTTCAGGCATGACAAAATATTCTGATGCTTCATATCCACTTGGATATTTCAGATTCCTCAAAAACTCCAGATGTACTGAATTAAGCTCACTTTCCCCTCCAAACCTGCTCTCTTGTAGCCCCGTCTTAGCCCATGGCACCAGTGTCTTCTGAGTAACCCTGACTCTTCCTTCTTCCTCACACCTCCCACCTGACTTGCCACTTTTACCTAAAACATGCCTTGACTCTTTCCCCATCCTCTCCCTCCAGTCCATTTCTACTGCTCTGGAGGCTGAGGCCCTCCTCACTCTCTGGCATACGTAATTTACAACCCTCTGGCAAGGGCCTCACACAATCCATCTTCCATAGTGAGTTGCAAAGCTTTAAATAGCATCTATATCACTAACCCTATCATTCTTTGAAGCTCCAGGCCAAATATCAGAAGGCTGGCCCACCAACAGCTCAGACAACCGTCCACACTAAAATTCACACGTCTATTCCGCAATCTTCTTCCACCTCCTCTACTCCTTTCCTAGGGGCATCTCTTCCTCTTGGTTCTCTCTTTTTTTTTTGAGACGGAGTCTCGCTCTGTCACCCAGGCTGGAGTGCAGTGGCGCGATCTCGGCTCACTGCAAGCTCTGCCTCCCGTGTTCACGCCATTCTCCTGCCTCAGCCTCCCGAGTAGCTGGGACTACAGGCGCCTGCCACTGTGCCTGGCTAATTTTTTGTATTTTTTAGGAGAGACGGGGTTTCACCGTGGTCTCGATCTCCTGACCTAGTGATCCGCCTGCCTCGGCCTCCCAAAGTGCTGGGATTACAGGTGTGAGCCACCGCGCCCGGCCTTCCTCTTGGTTCTCATGCTGACCACTATGTCCAACCAGACACAGTGCTCTGTTTATGCTCCCACTGGACATCAATTTCCCCTTTAGGCATTGTTCTTATCATACCAGGTATTATGGAAATCATTCTCTCCCTTCCTTCCACCCTCTTTTCCACTATAAGCTAAGATCAGAGCCTTATCTTTGTAAAATCCATAGTCTAGGAGTGCTTTATATCCACCACACGTACAAGATTTATTTGGTGACTGAAGCAAATCCATTCAAATAGAGTCCTCGGTGAGGACTTAAAATATTTTCATACCATTCAGTTATTTGTCTACATTCTGAAGAGTAAGCTGACAAACTTTATGCTTTTCAATGAACCTGTTTGCTATACAAAAATTCATTAATAAAAAGAATACTGGCTCAAATTGAAGTTTTTTTGGTTTTTTGGGGGGGGTAATACATAGAGTAAAACTATCCCTAAAGGCCTTTCTAAATTCTAGGAGGGGGAAAAATACTAATTACACAATAATTCTATCTAGGTAACAAGCTGGTTTTAGCTAACTCTACCATGTAAAATATAATTTATACATATATTTCAGATATTATGCATTATTTAAATACTGTTTATTAAGGAGCAGCCACTTTTCTAAGTTCTTTCAATGAAAAATTGGATTTAATTTTCATATCAATCCTATAAGGTCGGTATTATTCATATTATTTCCCTCTTTTTATAATAAGAAAACTGAGGCACAGAAAGGTCATACAGCTAGTAAGGAGCAAAGTGGGATCTGTAGCCAACTCTGACTGCAAATCTCAGCTCCAGGCCATTATACTAAACTGTAAAATGAGCAACTAAGCTGGAGTCAGGAGTCCTGGACTCCAGTCCCTATTCTACCACTGAATAGGTGACAGGTAGGGGCTCGCAGATAAATCACCTAACATCTCAGGTCTTAGCTCTCAAATTACACAACTAAGACCCAGCACCTGCTTTCCCTACTTTAAGTATCATAAGAAACTTACGGTTGTTTTGTTTTCAGAAAACCTTGTTTGTCACCTGCAGGAACAAACTGGTAGATGTACAATGTGATTAGAAATTCAGCTCTCCCCCGACCTGTCCGGTGAATACTGTTGCTGGGGGAAACACCACCTGCTCTACCAAGCACTTCCACTAATCACATTATAACAAAGATCAGACAGTCTATGTTCAGAGAACAAATGGAAAATAACTGCCATCTTACTGTTCTCCTTCCAACTCTAAGTACACTTTTAATTGGTTAAGCTCTCAACTCAGCAGGTGCAAACTCAAACATACTCCAAGAGCCAGCCAGATGAAATGACTGGAGCCATTCACATGACACAGGCTGGCGGGCAGCCCCTCGCCAGCTCCTTGTGTCTGTATTACACCACAGAGGACGAGCGGCCAGTACAGCCACAGATCTTCCAGTTTTTCCAAAAGGGCAGGAAATCCAGGTTGTTGCTTTTTTAGTTTTTTTTATTATTATTATTATGAAATATCCTTATTTTTAAATGCTGGCAATTAATTCCAATTAAAAAAAAAACACTATGTGGGCCAAACAAAATACATTTGCAAGCCAAATATAGTTCTTAGGGAGCCAGTTAACCTGTCACAAAATGTACTGGCATTAAAAAATTCTTGTCTTGCTGCTGAAATAATCTTAAAATATAAACTGTTTTAAGACCTAGATTTCAATGCACAGATGTTGACCAAAATGTGCCTGAATGCTTTCTTAACATTCTTTAGGGTCAGAATCTGAAGCTTTCCACTCCAAAATAATTCAAAATTTTTTTCTTTATGACATTATTTAACCCCAGATATCAAAATCTTAAGCATCATCTTAGATTATGCTTCTCAAAACAACAACTAAAATAAAGCCTTTAGCTCTGGCTTCAGACCACGGTCTACAACATCTAAGCAGGTGAAACATCTTCTATGTAAGAGTGGAACAGCATATGAAAAACATAACAGCACCTAAAATAACTGATATTTGGCAAAGCTATTTCAGAAAGGGGCATTCTTGTTAAGAAATAAAATCCTACAGACACAGAGGCCTGTGAGCTTGATAACTGATCCTGGATAAGATGATCAACAGTACTAAGAAAGGAATCCTAGAAAACCTCAGACCCATGCACGTCAGCCCATCCTTAGCCTCGACTTGATAAGCTGTTGTACTGGGAAAAGCAAGGATCAGAAACAACAAAATGTATCTCTGTTTGAACAAAATCTTTTCTAATACATGAAAGATGAGTATTAGCAAGGTAAAGAAATTCAAGCTGTGTAAACAGAGTGAAGAGGCTGCTTTTATCACATGATCAACCTTACTCAGAGTGCTAATTCATAGGATGATGTCAACCTGGACAAAAGTGATATAGACAGATATCAAAAACTTCTGTTTTTCTTGGTATCTTCATTAATGAGTTGCATGAAGATATAGGAATCATATCCAACTTATCTGTGGATGGAAAAAAATGGGCAAAATAGCAAATATACAGGGTGTAATAATAGGATTCTAATAAATAAATCCAATAAAATAAATTCAGCATGGATGTCAGGGTCCAAAATGAAATGATAATGTTGATAACAATAACACACAGAAAATGAACAAATACAGATGGGAGGAGATATGATTTAGCAGCAACACACGGGAAAACCACAAAAAAAGGTTAATAAGCTGGGCCAATATTGTAAGATGGCCATAAAAATATTAAGAAGGACTACTTTTTTGTCTTCTCACTTTATCAGACACATAATGTCTAAAATCGTGTCCTCCAGTGGTATTAAAATTGGAGGATTCATTTTAGTTTGAAAAATAAGTAGATAATCTAATATCAAAGTATTAACATGAAACATAAATTATGATTGTTGGTTTTATTACTGCCCAAGTCATCATAAATTCTTGCTCAATGTAAATCTTACTCTAGTAAATCCCATCTCACCATAAGTGCCAGCTACTACCTATTTCATAGAAGAAGTACCCACATGTGGGGACACTTGAACGTTTAGCAACTTGAGGGTAAGGCATCAATAAATCTGTGTTTGAGAGCTTTAAATAACAAATCCTTTTTTATTATGTAAGTTTAATCAGAAGCTTTATAAAAAGGACATGATAGAAGACGGTAGAGGCAGCATGATGCCTCTAGTTATGACTACCACTTGTGCCACTCCCTCAACTTTACCAGGTAAATAAGGACAAACCTCCAGAGTCGGGCCTAGTTGGGGCCTCTTTCCCTCAGCCTGCACAAAGGCAATGCTTCTAACCGGTCTCAGGACTTCTGATCCTCCCATAGCACAAATTCAGTTTTGTATGCCTAGAATCCTCCATGGCTCTCCCTGGCCTACAGGGAAAGGTCCCAAGTTGAACAGGGCATGAGGCTCTAGCTTTTTCATGCCAGCCTAAGTCCCCAGTGCCATCTCTGTGCACCTCCTCACAGTGGCCCCGTGCTTAAGTTCCACCAAATGTGTAAACATGTCAGGCTCTGTGGTGCCTCAGTGTTCCCGCACAGACAGATCATCTACCTGGAATGTCCTTCCCACTCCACTCTTCCTTGTCCCTTTAACAAATATCAACTCGTCCTTCAAATTTCAGTGCACACTGTTCCAAATCCAACCTTCCCCAGTGTTCTCAGGTCGTAATGCATATGCTTACATTACTACATATAATATTATATAGCAATGATTTATAAAACCATCTTTCTCACCAAACTGAGCACAATGAAGATTTTTTCCCTGGGAAAAAATATGTGCAACAAATATGACAAGTGTCACTATACTTAGGATATACAAATGGCTAAAAAAGATGCTAAAGCAAGATGAATACCTTCAATAGAAATAAAAATATGCAACTCACATACTAAGAAATATAAATAGGCAATAAACATGAAAATGACGTGAAACCATATTTCTACTGATTGGAAAAGGTTAATAAGAATGATACTAGATACTACCCTGGACAATGTGGAGAAATTGGAACCCAACCTGTAGTTGTGTAAAGCCACAGGCCACATGCTCCAGGGAGGCCCAAGCACTTAACCTGTACTCTCTCAACCCTCCAAAGAGGTTTGGTATTTTTCACATGGCATGCATGAGGAAATAGATTAAGTGACTTATCCAAAGTATTGTGGCTCGTAAGGAGCAAAGCCAGAATTTGAACCTAGACTTGCAATTATGACTCTAGAGTCTGAATTGTGAGCCATTATGTTGTCTTTCCAATTGAAAGCCTTTCACTCAATAACAGTAAGAATGATGAAGATAAACCAAGGCTACAAATATTTATCAAGAGCTCACTATGTGGTAGGCTCCATTCAAGCACTTCACATGCAACTTATGATCTACTTCTAGGAAATTCTCCTCAGGAGATATCAGACAAGATTTCAAAGGTGTGTTCACTAAATGCACTTATAATTTAAATGAAATAACCTGAATGTTCATCAATTTGGGATTGAGTAAAGAAGATGACATCTCTGCATGCATTCCAGCCCACTTCTCTCTTTCTGTACTCTTAATAATTTCTCAATCATGTTAATTAAAATCTATATGTGGTAATTTAAAAATTTATCTTACCCTTCCTTCCTCCCAGATTTATATGCCACTTTCTACCTGACTTTTCTCCAGATATACGTACAACTTGTCACCTGGAAGTCTCATAGGTGTCTTGAACTATGTCCAAAACTGATTGATTCATAACCCTCCTAAATTTGTTCTTCCCCTAACCTACACCCTCTCAAAATATAGCTAATTTATTCAAGCAAAAAAACCTAGCAGTCACCCTTGAGTCATTCCTTTCCTTCCCTATCGGCCTCTACCCACTCCCCATGTACTACCAGCTGCTACACCTTCAAATGCATGCCGAAGGAAAAAACACCCATCATCCTCATTGCCACCCCCAAATTAAGCGCACCAACCTCTTTTGCCTGAACTGCTATAAGAGCCTCTGAAGTGGTCCTCTTGTTTCCAGTCTTGCTCCCCACCAATCCACTCCGCACAAAGCAGAACCTTTCAAAAACAGCCATCAGATCATGTCACTCCCCAGTTTAAAACCGTCTAGTGGATTCTCCTTATAAGCACACCCCACTCTCTGTCCTGCATCCCCTTCCACACTCTTCACATACACGTCTCTCCTTTGGTCACCGGCTTCCAGTCTCCTCCAGGGCCTTCTTCCATTCCTCACATGCACCAAGCTTGATCCACCAAGGGCCCTGGCACTTGTCATTCCTATCATGGGGAATCACCTTCCCCTGACTCTTCTCATCATTCAAATTAACACTCACTTCCTCAGGAAGGCCTCTACTCATCACCTAGAAAGGGGGACAATTCCCTGCTTGCCTCCCTCCCCCAAATCCCGCACCACAACCACACACTGCTCACTCTTCCTTGTGGTATCCTATTTTATATCCTTCAGCGTACACATCAATACCTAGAGGTATCTATGCATACATAATTCCTGACTTATTGTCCCTCCCTCCCCACCTAGATGCTGAGCTCTATGAGTATCCAGTACTGAATATCCAGCATGACCTGAGAGTTCAGCATAGGTGGGGAGGAAGAGACAGAGAGCAGGCTCCTGTTCAGCACTCCTCTTCAGCGCTATAGCCCCCAAGAGCTAGAAAAACTGCCTGGCACACAAAAAGTGTGCAGTAAATATTTGTTAAGTAAACTGAATAATGGATGAATAAACTGAATCTAGTGTGCAGTTATGCACCATGGAAGATTATTAATATAAGTTAAAAAACTTAAATCATGGCCAGGCACAGTGGCTCATGCCTATAATCCCAGCACTTTGGGAGGCTGAAGCCTGTGGATCACCTGAGGTCAGGAGTTCAAGGCCAGCCTGGCCAATATGGTGAAATCCCATCTCTACTAAAAACACACAAATTAGCCGGGCGTGGTGGCGGACGCCTGTAGTCTCAGCCACTCAGGAGGCTGAGACAGGAGACTCACTTGAACCCGGGAGGCGGAGCTTGCAGTGAGCCAAGATCACGCCATTGCACTCCAGCCTGGGTGACAGACCAAGACTCCGTCTCAAAAAAAAAAAAAATTAAATCATGTTACAAGACAGAATGTACATACGGTTTAACATATTTGGAGATGTAGACATAAATATATGTGTGTGTGTGTGTATGTGTGTGTGTGTATACACATATATATATGCACAGAAATTAATCTAGAAGGATATGTAACAATGTTGCCTGGGGTTATCTCTGAATGGTGAAACTAAAATTTTTTTTTGTATTTTTACTTATATTCCCTGAGCTTCCTTAATTTTTATAAAATGAGCATTTTTACTTTTATAATTTTTAAAAAGCTACTTATGTTTAAAAAAATAACAATCCAGGGCAGGGCACGGTGGCTCACGCCTGTAATCCCAGCACTTTGGGAGGCCGAGGTGGGCGGATCACGAGGTCAGGAAATCAAGACCATCCTGGCTAACACAGTGAAACCCTGTGTCTACTAAAAATTCAAAAAATTCGCGGGGCATGGTGGCGGGCGCCTGTAGTCCCAGCTATGTGGGAGGCTGAGGCAGGAGAATGGCGTGAACCCGGGAGGTGGACCTTGCAGTGAGCCGAGATCACGCCACTGCACTCTAGCCTGGGTGACAGAGCGAGACTCCATCTCAAAAAAAAAGAAAAAAAAAAAAAAAAGAAAAAATCCAATGTAAAATCAAATAATGGATAAATCACAAAATAAAACCAGCTAATAAAATGAACAAATATTTTATTTCCTAGTATTCAAATAAATGTGGAGAAAATTCAACTGTATCAAAAGTCTTAAAGATATTTAGTTGTTTTGACTCAATAAACCAATTTTAAGGGAAGAATGTGAAATTTATTGGAGAAGGGGAAAAATCCAGCTTTATGCTTAAATATATTTACTGTAACTTTAATTACGAACTGGAAAAATTTAAAACAATGTAAATGCTCAAGTTATGGTTCATCCAGAGAATAAAATGTTACACAGTCATCAATACATACTAAAGAATTTTTAGCAACATGAAGAAACATATATACGCCATTACATGAAAAGATAAGGAACAAAACTGAATATCCAGTATGACCTGAACTATATGAAAAAAGTGAAGGAAAAGATGGGCAAAGAAATGTTACCTACCATAGTTTAAAACTGGCAGGCTTTGCCTTTAGATGTGTTTTGTTTGAACCATATACATAAAAAAAACAAAATTTAAAAACCCTTGAATTATTTGTCAATATTGCAAAATGGAGTGTTTAAAAATCAAAATTAAGAAGCTCTGGAAATACTCATTCCACATCTCACAGGATAACAATCAACTCCAGGTAAGAGCAGTTACTCCTTCCTAAGAACATGTGTTCTGGAGTTTTTCATAGTTCTCACCTTTCCTTACTGGTCTTCAAAACTGAGACAAGTTCCAGTTGCCATTTACCATCTAGATTGTCAATGTTGTCTATCTTGCAGTAGAGTTAAAGAGAAAGTGATATATTTCTGATTGTCTCTATATCAAAAGCATAAAGACAAAAGGCAGGACAGGCCCACTTCTGCCATTTATGTAACGTCCACTGTCCCTGTAAGCATTTGAGTTTTTGATCCCAGCAATGCAGCCTGTGGAATGTACTGAGTTCAGCACTCACAGCTTTGACTATTTGTGAGCTGAAAAAGTTTCAAAACAGTCATCTGTAATTTTATTGAAGCTGGCCTTCAGGAAAGGGTGAGTTGGCAAAGTCCTAAGTCTAGCCAGCGACCCAATGTCTACATGTCAACACAGCTTGGTTGCTCTCCAGTCACCATTACATACTCAGTGCAGCTCATACAGTGTTTCTTTGTGAAAAGTAAATCCCCAACACCCCCAAAAGAAAGCTAACTGCCAGTTCCAGTGGGGGCAAGGGGAGTAAAGTCCATGTAAGGCAATGGTATGGGGTAGAACAATGTGAGATAGAAGTAATATGTATCTATATGTACAATTTGTCACCTGCAAGTCTTGTCACCTCCAGTGTGACGAGATAGATAGAATACATATCTATATGCACAACTTGTCACCTGCAAGTCTCACACGTATCTTAAACTGTGTCCAAAAATGATTCTTGATTCATAACTCTCCTAAATTTGTTCTTCCCCTAACTTACACCCTCTCAAAATATGGCTAATTTATTAAAGCAAAAAAAGAAGTAAAATGGTGACTTTGCTGTTGGTTACACAACCTGTGATGTAACTTATCCTACCATGAATTCTACACAGGAACATGAAAACATGACTCAAGAAATTTTCTTTTTTTTATTTGGCCGTATGAGGAAAATAAAATGCAAGCTCAGTATTTGTCATAGATTCCAAGACGTATCTTTCACGACTACTGAGGGTCTACATGTTATCAAAATATTTAGAACAGTTGCCAACTTTAAAAAAAAAGTCCCTACATAAAACTAATTACAAAACTAATGTAGTTTTACACACTGTCAAATGGAGACATTATTTTTAAATATAGTCACGTGTGCTTAATGACAAGGATACAGTTCTGAGAGACGTGCTAGGCAATTTTGTTGTTGTGTGAACATCATAGAGTGTACTTACACAAACCTACATGGTATAGTCTACTAGACACCTAGGCTATATGGTATAATAGCCTATTGCTCCTAAGGCTATAAATCTGTGCACCGTTACTGTACTGAATACTGAAGGCAACTGTAACAGAACGGAAGTATTTGGGTATCTAAACATAAAAAAGGTACAGTAAAAATATAGTATCATAATCTAATGAGACCACCATCATATATATGGTCTGTTACTGACCTAAACATCTTTCTATGGTACACGACTATAAATGCTTTATTGCCACTCTCTCTCAGTAAGATCATGTGCTAGAATTTCTCAAGTGGGATAGCCATAAATTCCATGCATCCTAGATTTGCTAGGAGGAGCTCATTTTCAATAATTTTACAAAAGATAATCTCAAAAAGGCATGAGGTCATACTTAAGATAATGAAAGATTATCCTTCACAGAAGATATATAGTAGCAATTTTAAGCCTATTAACCTAGGATATTCTCACACTTGTGTAATGTAAGTCATCACTAAATCATTCATGAATGTCAACGAAGTGAAATAACCTAGTATGTTCCTCATATACAGTAGTTTGTTGAATAAGCAGGAGGCAATGTTTGTGTTCAGTAAGATGTAACATCACAACAAAATTCCTTTTAAAATCAGAGGAGAGAAAATGAGAACTACTTGATACTTAACTGCAGTAACTATCTATTTATTGAGTGGGCCTCCTGGCTTTGAACCACATTGGTCACTTCCATATGTCATTCACAGGGCAGAGACATGTGGGTCCAGGACACTGCTGCAAATCTGATGCCTACCTAGTGCCTGTTAAAGAAAAGGCACTCAACAGTGACTTGAATGACTCACATCCCACTCTAACACCTCTATAAAAGGAAAGAAAGATCAGACCCTGACCTTCAAAAATTTATACAGGACTATTCAAGACAACAACAGAAAAAGAAGAAAAATGCCTTCAATTCAAAATAAAATGTATTGGCAATGGAAGGCATTTCAGTTTTAAAGTAAATAAAACTCGACAAAGTATTTCCCAGTGACCAGAAGCAACAAAATAGTTTGTCAGAATGCCCTGAAATGCTTTCCGTAACAGTTTGATAAAACTTACATAACACAATTATTCTGCTTGGAAATTCTGTATTAAGAATAGAATACTGGCTTTAATCACCATATCAGATCAGTGAGATCAAGGTAACGTTTATTAAATACTACATGTGGGCACCGTGAGCTGGATATTATTATCCCCATTTCACAGATAAGGAAATACAAAACTTGCCCAAGTTCACACAACCAGTAGTAGCAAATGGGAAATGGGATCTGATCCAAGACTCTTCACCACACGGCATGCTTTATGTGTGGGAAATCCAGGAAAGTAAAAAGAATAACAGTCAATTGTAATTTCCACACATGAAAGACAGTATCACCTAACATTCGGCCTATAGTCTTCCTGGCATTTTACTACATAATATGTAGAAAATTGTACACACACACACACACACACACACACACACACACACTCCATAAGCAAAAACAAGGATCAACGTACCCATATGTTTTACAATCTGCTTTTTCAGTTTACAAATATTGAGTATCTTTCCACATCTATAAATATTCCCCTACATCACTGTTAAAGAAAGGGTATTCTATCACATGTATGCACCACAATTCATTTAATGAGTCCCCCTATTATTGAGCATTTAAGGTGTTTCTAGTTTATAACTATTATAAACAAACTTACAGGCTGGTTACAGTGGCTAACGCCTGTAATCCCAGCACTTTGGGAGGCCGAGGCAGGCGGATCACGAGGTCAGGAGATCGAGACCATCCTGGCTAACACGGTGAAACGCATCTCTACTAAAAATACAAAAAATTAGCCGGGCGTGGTAGCGGGTGCCCATAATCCCAGCTACTTGGGAGGCTGAGGCAGGAGAATGGTGTGAACCCAGGAGGCGGAGCTTGCAGTGAGCTGAGACTGCGCCACTGCACGCCAGCCAGGGCAACACAGCGAGACTCCGTTTCCACACACAAAAAAAAACTTACAAAAATTATTTTTGCAAATTAGAGGAGGGTTTTTTTAAATGTATTTTTTTTGTGGTGGTCACTAGAATCTGGAAGTGAGTTTTTTCCAAATTTCAGAGGACCTCCCTCCAGATTTTGGTACATCCCAGTAAGTAGGCTTCTTAAGAATCACTGCGAGGAGAAAGGTATCGACAGGAGTATGGTGCACAAATGCACTATAACCACTGCTAAAGACTGGTCACTGTACACATACTTTATCGTTTCTCCTTTGTTTACATTGCTAGCGGTGAACATGCCTGACTAAGGGACGGGGCACATTTTTGAGGCTTCTGATGAGTAATACAAAATTGCCCTCCTGTAAAGTTATAACAATTGAAACACCCACCAACAGCATTTGAAAGTGACAATTTCCAAAATCCTCCAGTTGATTAGATTTGGTTTTAAACAATCATATCCCCATATGGCCATAAATTTTTAAAATAGCTGAGCTATTGATAAAGCACAACTGAAAAAAAAACAGGGAAAAATTCAAACAATAAATGCTAGATTTTAAAGCATCTGTTTTCAAATACAAAATATAAAACTTAATGATACCAGATACCAGTAGGCTGAACTTAACAGAATGGCTTTAGAAAATCCAGTGATAACAGACTTTGAAAGGTACCAAGCTAAGATGTAAAACACTGCACCTTCGTTTGCCTGTCTGGCTTAAGAGTTTGGGTTTTAATAGCAACATGCTCTATTTTTCTAACAAGAAACTCATAAAACTGTATATTCTTTCAGATTGTATAAGTACTGTCTTATAGCTAACATGGCAATCTGAAGTTCTTAAAATTCCTTTAGATAATCACTTATTCAACAAATATGTGAACGTCTACTATAGACTAGGCACTGTTCTAATGCTAGGGACACGGTGGTAAATCTCGCAAAAGTTCCTGCCCTTGAGGAGCTGTTGGTTCTAGAGAGGAGTTGAGAACCCTGCACTTAAAGAGTCCGAAGATCATGGTTACACTGCCAATCAGGACTCCTGGATTCTTCGGCAAATTATAACACCACCTCTGGGTCTAAGTTTCTTTATCTTAAGAAGCTGACCAGATGGATCTGAAGGGCCTTCCAGCTTTCAATCAAGTTATCTACTTTACTTGATTTTTGTTTAAGTGCTTAATTTTCTATTATTCATAAGAGCTATGCATTTTAAGCTCTAAATAGTTTTTCCACAAAATCAGACTCTCCCAAAAGAACAATTTTACATTTACAGTAAAATTGTGGTGATCCAGGCAACTTCAAGGAATAAATGTAGTCATGATGAAGTTCCAGCAAGAAGAAAATGTATGCTCCTAACTTTAACTGTTTCTATGGAGATGTTTTTGCAATGGTCTTGCCTCCTTCACCTTTGTACTGCATTATAAACACTAAGGCATGAAGCATGGCAGGGCTATGGGTCTCCAGGCCCGTTGCATGGAAACAGTTGGCATCCTGTCCCCATGCAGCAGGCGCCTTAGTGCTTACTGTGGCACTCGGGTGTCCTCAGGGGCTGCAGCCTAAAGTCCTGGTGGCGATTCTCATCTCTCTCCCACTCACCTTACCTCCAACTCGACAGGTACAACAATTCTGCCTGAAGTCTACATCTCACTGCCCCATTAGCATTTCTGTCACCTCTTGCTATTTTCCACCAGATGTTCCACAATTCAACAGTCCTCGGATTCAAGGTGTCTTTGGAGAAGCCCACTTTGGGGAGAAGTTAAAAGAAGGTATTGCAAGAGGCCTCAGTATTCCAAGGCATTCTCTGGAAGAGCACCACACATACACTTTAGGTAGTGATATCACCGCCTTGTGGCCTCTAAGGATACTGCCGCTTAGTAATATAGCATATAAACAATGATTCCAATTCTTTCTCTGTATCTGCCTTACAAACCAGAAGAATGATTGGAAGCCAAGATTTTCACCTCTGTGCAAAAGTATAGAAAAAATCCACCTACCAGAAGTTTTTCCTCAACTTCCAACATGAAAGCATAGAATAGTATCTCCCAAACACATATCTTTGCTCACCTGAGCAGTACCAGCAGCAACATCCTATAAGAATGCATGTGTTGTCATTTTAGACAACGTAAGACAAATTTGCAATTCCCATATTTCACAAAAGGAAAGGTAAAGGAATTGGTAAAAGTACTTTAACTCGGGCATCTAAGCCTCTAAATTTACCCCAACTGGTAGGTGTTTCTACTCTTTTACTGAAGAGCTTTTACTATATCAGGACAAAAGGACACAGGCTTCTTTACTGAAGACTGAGGACCTAAAGAACCCTCCTTTACATATAATTTGCACAGAACTTAAGAGAAACAGTTGGAAATAAAATTGTCTTAAGTAGAAACTGCTTATTATGCTAAGTTATTAATTGATTAAGATAGGAAATAAAAAAGTTAAAAACCATCATTCTGGAAGATCACAACACTTCTAATATGGAACAGGAGTCCAAAAGTCACAGGAGAAAGATGTAGATTCTTATTAGACATCTATAACAATTGCTTGGCATAAAACTCATTTCCCAAGTTTTCAATTAATATTTAGAATGACAGATTAGAAGTTGGGAAAAGGAAATGCCACAAATTATTGATATTCCCTATAGGGCAGGCACACATTCCTCCTGTGAGAATAAAAGTACCTACATATATTTTATCTACTCATTAGTCTGTCATCTGGCCCAAAGAATTAAAACATTCAATACACACACCCACACACAAAAGGCATCTTTGAACTCTTACACTTATACAAATGGCTATTCCACGGAAATAAAAGATAAAAATGCTCACCTTTCTGAAAATCTCTCATAAATCACTATAATTTACTGAAAAGGTTTGTTTTTAAGGTTTTACACTTGAATTTCATGGAAGAGCAGTCAAGTGTAATTGACTTAAAGCAACAGTTTGACAAAAGTGATAATTTGAAAGAAAAGTGATAACAGTATAACCGATTGGCTGATGTCAAAGGCCAGAGCCAAGCTGGAAAACTAAAAGACTCCCGAATCTAAGTATTTTGACCAAAAGCAGGTAAGATTATTTCGTAAATTCTCTAATTATTCATTTACTCAATAACTATTCATAGCCCACTATGTGATGAAGGTGGTTCCTGGTGCTGCAAATGCAATGGGTAACAAGCAGATGTGTTGCTAGCCCCCTGGAGCTTCCAGCCTATAGAGGAACTCCACCACTCACATCTTTCCCACGTCTGTAAACATTTCTTGACATGCAACACATATGGGCACCAACCCCAGCCCACTCTTCTTCTGCCTGCAGCTCTCTCCTTTCCTTTCACCAACTCCAGCCACAGAGGTGGTCCTCTGTCCCTCAGGTATGCAAGGCTCAGTCCTGCTCCAGGGCCTTTGCACTTGCCCTTCCCTCTGCCTAAGCCACTCTTCTTTCAGATCTCCAAAATCATAGGCTTCTTCCCCCTCATTCAACTCTCAGCTCAGACCCCTCCACCCCAGAGAGGCTTCTCAGGCCACTTGATGTAAAACAGCAGCCCACATCCTGTCCCATTCTGCCATGCAACCCTGATTGCTTTCTTTCACAGCACTTAGCACTATCTAGTCACCATCACTTATTGTATCTTTGCTTCTTATCCATCTCCTTCGCTGAGATTATAGCAGGGTCTGTCTGTCCTGTGCAGTGCCATAATTTAGTCCCTAGAAAGTTGTCTGGAATATTAACAGATGCCCAATAAACACCTATTTCAGAAAAAATACAGACAACGTTAGCAGTTTTGTATCACAACAGTACCAAATAAAAGGCAAGAGAATGCCTTAAATTCTAAGAGGAGTTTGGACCATTTAAACTATATATATATATATATATATATATATATATATATATATATATATATATATTATATGTATGTATATATTTTAAAAGATTATGATAGCTTACACTAGTCCTAAAAGCCCTCAAAAATAAGCATAATGAAAATACTGAAGCTCAACATTGGCTAATGTTCAAGCTTTATAATGTATTAGGCTCAATTTCTAGCATTAGCATTACTTTTACAATTTATTCTTTTTCAAGAGCATGCTGACGAGACCCCAATTTTTTTGTTTTAAAGAAAAGCAAGAGCTAAGTATGTTTTAAAAGCATCCATCCCCTTAAAAGTTATTAACCCCATCATAAACTGTAAAATCTGTAACCATATTATACTAACATTAAAATATAAGATACTGGTGATAATCTACAGAAGGCAGGGATTTGAGTGCCTAATGGCAACCGAATTTTATGAAACATAAACTACCCTCATCTTCAATTTAATCAAAGGTACAAGCTGCCTCTCTACGTTCAAAAATATTTAAACACTTAAGAATTTTTCCTCAGATTATTCTTTAAAATGTGTATCTGTTCCTTCTTTTCTTTTGTTAAAACAAAGAGCCAAGTTGTTACCCAAGGAATAATGACTTTAGTTACTGACCATCATGGCTCCCACTTCACAGCAAAGATGCCAAAGACTCTTATGGATTACTGTGAAGTTATATAGAAGCAAACAGTGTATGCTGGGGAGAAGGCACACTTATTTCCTGGAAGGTGATATAAAGAAACAAATGACTACTGCCTTTAGGCCTTTGGGAATAACCAAATCCACTTAAAAACCTCAAAAACTAATGCTTTACAATTTCATAGCAAATTATTAGAAACAACCTACATATATCACAATGAAGAGATTAAATAAATTATGGTCCATCCCTAATGGAGTACTCAGCAGCTGTTAGAGAATGAGGCAGATTCTCTTAGATACCAATGGAGACTGCCATGATTTAGTACTCTGGGGAGGGAAGCGGGGCAGGGGGAGCTGGTGCACAGTATACAATGGGTCCTCATCTTTAGGAATACAAACAAAAAGAACACGTACAGAATGTTTACATGAGCATAGGCTATGTCTGGAAAGACATACACAAGGAGCCAGTAGCTGTGGAACATGATGGGAGAGAGGTATACTCCGTATCTTTTATATCTATTGAATCTTCTCCAGTGTGAATAGATTACCTGCTGCACAATTAATGTAAGAAAAATGCACACTATTACCAACATATTTGTCAAGGATGACCATTCAGAAGCAAATTTTTCAAAAATCACAAAAGTTTTGCTCCTTCAACAGCAGAGTCCCTGATTCTCATTCCCCAGAAGAGAATACAAGTCTCCACTAATCAAGAGGCTTGCTAGTGATCTCACTCACCTATTACAAAGCAAAGAAGTCTCAATTCAATTCTTGAAGAGGAAATAGCTGCTCCGATCACCTTGGGAACACATCATATATTTAAATTGAGCTTGCAACTAACTCCCTAATGAAGTTTCCAAATGAACAGTTGCCCCCGACTATAAAGCATAAAGTCAACGTAGAAGACAACTAAAAGAATGGTCTCGTGTTTTTAAAAAACACATTATACTTAGGCTTCCTTTTCTCTGCCAGGCTTAGACAAGAAACTCTCTGGTAACAGTGAAATGTAATTTCAGATCTGTGACAAAATAATCATGTAAGGGGAAGGGCAAGTAGCATTCGCGCTGAAAAAACTCCTTGGTTTTTCCACTTGTGAAAAGGAAAGGTTTGCCTTAAATTTAATTTCTGTACCATTTCTGGACCCCTGCCTAAACGATACTACTATATCACATTAATCTTACTTCAAGCAAATACTTTTTAAAATTAAAAACTAATCTGAAACTGAACAGGAATCGGAAGACAAACTTTAAACTGAAACTTTTCTGTTGAAAGAATGTATCTTTTAAAGACACATAAAAAGAAATGCAAAGAACCGATTTCCATATAAATGCCACTCAATAACAATACAGGTTATAACAATATTTGACTGCATTAAACATTCAAAAAGGAACACAAAGATACCCAACTGCAAATAAAAGACCTCATATATTTTTGGTAGCGGAATGTGGGGGGTGGGGGGCAAAAATCACATTAATTCAGATTAATCATGTAAATTCAGAACACGTGATGTGCAGTTTTGTGTCGCTCAGAACTCCTGAATCCAGCTTTGTGCTTTTACACAACATAACAGAAATGGCATCTTTCACAAAGCCTAACTTTGACCTCCAACACTTTAACTTTGGGTTTAACCAGTACACCACCTTCGGAAGTTAGCACATAAAAATACAGGTAAGTCAAATGCACTACGGATACAGAAAGGACGAGGAACAGGTTTAAAGGGGAGTTGAAGCAGAGGGGCACGAAATCACCTGGCAGGTCACCTCTCCGAAGGAAAAACATTTCAAGCTCCCTCCCATCCCCCAGGTAACCTCTGGCCTCAGAACTCACTGCCCTGCGTGGGGCAGAAGTTCTGGGCGCTGGAGTCCGCGTCCCCCAGGACACGAGGGTGACCCAAGGGCGCGCGGAGAGCGGCGGGACCCGGAGCGGCGCTCTCCGGGGTCACTCCCCTAGGACGCTCCGCAGAGCTGGGAGCGCTGCCCCACCCCGCCCGGGCCGCCCCTGGGGACCCCGCTCGGGGCTCCGCGGCTCCCCTGCTCCGCGCCGCGCCCACCCGCCCCCAGGACTCACGGTACGCTCCCGCGCCGCTATCTTGCCATCCCCTGCCGCCGGCTCTGTAGCCTCGGCCGCCGCCCCGGGGCTGCCCAGATCCCACAGCCGCCCGGGGGCAGGAGCCGCCAAGGAGGGGGCCGGGCACAATGCGCCGCCGCCTCCGCAGCCGCCGTCTCGCCTCCCCTGTGTCGGCGCGAGGCTGCTTGAGGCGGCCACGGGCGAAGGGCGGCCCGCTGCGCTCCGCGAACCCCGCGGGCCGCCGCCGCCGCCAGAGCCTCCCAGAGGCAACGGTAACGGCCACCGCCACGGCCGAGTCGCTCCAGCCGGGACTGCGGCGCGCGGGGGCGGCGCCTGCACGCCGCTCGGCTGGGGGCGCAGCGGGCCCGGCCCCGCCCCTGACCCGCCCCTGCCCCCGGCCCCGGCCCCGCCCCAACCCGCGCGCCCCCGCCGATCCCCGGCCGCGCGCCCGCGCGCGCGGGTGCTCCAAGGAGTCGGAGGAACGCGGCCGCGCGACGGGCCCCGGACGCCGAGGGTGGTGCTTCCTCCGAGCCTCCGGTGGTGAGGCCGCTCTCAGAAGGTCATGGAAGCGCAGGGGAGAGCGAGGCGGCCGAGCCCAGGCAAATCCTCGAGAAAGGCCGAGTGCGCGACGGCTCTGCGGGGAGGACCGCGCCTCCCCGAATGCGGCCGCTGCTGCCGCTGCAAACAGTGCCTTGAGGAGAGGAAAGCGGGGAACCGTGTTTTCGCCGCCTCTGTAACCACTGCACACAAGAAAACCAGCTTCTGGGAGAGGGGGATGATTGTTGGGACTTTGCGAATTACCTAAACAGCCCAGGGCCGAGGCGCCGCCGCTCGCGTCCTGGTCCTCCTGCCGGGTGTGGGGCTCCCCTGCCCGAGATGGCCAGCGGGCGCGCCGAGAGTATCCTGGAGCCATCTAGTCTTGCCTCGGAGGCGGGGTGGGCTTATTTGTGCGGAGAAGAAACGGATCTCTTAATGGGGTGAGATTTTTCCTCCGTACATTGTTCCCATTTCCGCAGTTTCACTTGGCCTCGGTTTTCTAGCAGAGTAATCACCAAATGAAATTAGCTGGAGAGCGTTTGATGGCGCAGAATCACGGTCTGAAGATGTTTACGCTGTATGCCGGACGCGTTTGATGGTGTTCTCTTCGGCACAATTAATTTTGCAAAGTTCAGAAATGTGCCAGACAGAGCCCCTGGCACGCAGTCAGGACTCTACAGACACACCTTGAGTAGGAAACAGGCTTGTTTGTTTCATCTGTGATTTATGTGATGCACCAGCACCAAGGCCAACGTGTTTTTTAAAGACCTTTCGATGAAACTCCAAAGCAATTTATAAATTGGCAAAATGAAGCTTGTTTTGTAAAATAACTCTTCCTTGTTGATCATGTAATTAAATGGGCAACAAAACACCTGAAAGGACATTTACTGAAAAGTAGACTCCCAAAACAAAAATATGTATTTCACAGCTAGATACGGTCGCTATTAGCGTCCTAATGGCCAACTCCATCCATGTGCGTATTTTGAACACTAAAAACGCCTCCTGTTACCCCTAAGACCTTGTTTGGATAACATTTTTCTATTATAAGTACTCGAAACCAACCCCATTTAAGATGTTTACCCTTATTCTTGAGTCCTTGATGGTTTGGGAAATTTATCATTATTCATATTGCACAATCCTGTCACTGTCTTTTCCATTAGGCACAGTGCCTAAGGTCCACAATATTTTTAGAGGCCCACAAAAAATATTTTAATTTCTTTTCAAATCAGAAGGAAAAAAAATTTAGGTTTAAGAAAGTATTTTAATATATATTAATATATTTGTTTTTGTGCTAATACAATCTTAAAATGTATGTATATATGTGTGTGTGTATATGTATATATATTTTAATGGAGTAAGGGGCTCAACGAAGGCAAAAAGGCCTAGAGCCCAAGAAAAACATGATGTGGCCCTGTTGCCTGGGGTTGAAAAATCCCATTCCATGAGAAGAATTTAGTTTTAAGAATATTACATAAAATGCTCATTTCTGTGGCCTTGCTATAATAGAAAGATGGAGATTCAGAGTAGTGATAATGGCTAACATCCACCTGATACACACCATGTGTCCATTACCTCTTAATCCTCACAGCACACCTGTGAAATAGGTACTATTCTCACACTTAGGGGGTAATGCAGGTTTTGTGGGGCCTGCAATTTATGCAATTTGGGTGGTCCTCTTAAAGAAAAAGCAAATACTGTGTATTAGTCCGTTCTCACACTGCTATAAAGAACTGCGCGAGACTGGGTAATTTATAAAGGAAAGAGGTTTAATTGACTCACAGTTCCACATGGCTGGGGAGACCTCAGGAAACTTAACAATCGTGGTGGAAGGAGAAGCAAGTACCTTCTTCACAAGGAAGCGGAAAGAATTGTGAGCGGAGGAACTTGCCAAACACAAAACCGTCAGATCGCGTGAGAATTCAGTTACTATCACGAGAACAACACGGGAAAACTGTCCCCATAATCAAGTCATTTCTCTCCCTAACAAGTGAGGATTACAATTCAAGATGAGGTTTGGGTAGGAACACAAAGCCTGACCCTATCCCACAGCATGTCCAGGCTGCCCTAGCACCACCCAATAGAAGGGAAAATGGCAGAGGGAAAGTCCTAGTGGAAAGAGACCTCAGTCTCAGCTAATTGTGGTGACAATATATTGCTTTTGCAAATTGTACATAAACATATGACCAGGTGAATGTATCGCCAAGGCTCCTGCCAAGGCCTGGGATGGAGGCCTAGAGAAGATGCCCGAAAGTTTATGCTGTGTGAGCTTCACAGAAGACCTGCCTTCCATGTATACCCATTTTACAGGTAAGAAATTTAGGGATTTGCCACAGCTTCTAAGGAACACCACATTCCTTACACCATACTGAGGTACAATTTGAAGAGTTGCGGTATACGCACTGTTTCGTGAGGAAAAACGGAGTTTCTGTAACAAAGCAAGAGCTTTAAAAATATGTTAGCAATATTTGACCAGGCCATAACCCAGCTTGGGGCACCTGACTGCTGTCTGTGCTGTCAAGAATAAATTTTTCTTATCTGTTGTATAAAAATCTGAATTAATCCATATGGACTCCTGAAGGAATTTCAGCTCAATTTCAAGTCTCATGGATTGAGACTATTTTTACTTACTTTGTCATAGACCAGTCTGTGTTGTAAATTCTAATTTATATAATATTTACTTTTTGCAATTTCATGAAGTGTTGCAAAATAAGTATCAGAACAAGAACGTACTTTGTTTGATGCTTATATTGCATAATACAACGAGCCTTATCTCCATAAGTGTTTGTTGAATAAATAAAATAATGAAACAGAGTAAGTCACAAAACTGAAGTAAAAGTGTAGGTTTTGTCACAAGCTAAAATTGAATGGGACTGAAGTAGCAAAATGTTGAGCTGTAAGTACTTGCTGGATAAGCAGAATTGACTTCTTAGTTAATTATTTTGTGCTAAACGTCTGTGATCTTCTTCCCAGCTACTGGCTCTTCTTTCTGTTTTTGTTTTGATAATTTATTTTCTTTTTTGTAAATGCTATTGCATTTGAAATGCATCATTATATAATAATGTTTAAATGAAACAAAAATCATAGTCACACCTGTAATGAAAGTTCTGGAAATGAAACGCTTTGTTTTTTGAACAGATCAATTACTCACAGAAACAGCAACCTTGAGTTGATGGTGGTTTTTTCATTAAATCACCTACATCTTGACCCTTAAACAGGCTTCTCTATGTGTGATCTAATATATATAGTGTTTATCAGTCAGCAGGAGAAGATATGGCTGTGTTCCTGGAATAAATTTTGGAAGCAAAAAAAAAAACATTCTACAAATTAAGCATAGTTTATTAACCGGTGAATAATTGAAATGAGTGAAACTTTTTTTCATTTTAAGCCTGACTGATAAATGTAGACTTAAATTGGTTTATTTTTGAGCACAGTGTTGGACAAGATTCAAAACTTTAATTATATCCCTGTAACATGAAGACATTTGAGAGTAATCAGATAATTTTCTCTAGATTTTATGTTCTTTACCCAAAGTGGTTTGGAATGCTATTTGAGAGACATGAAAAATATGACAAAGACCATCAAAAATAGTATCTGCTCAAAATTCTGTTTAGGATATTCTCTTTTAGATGCAATGATTTCAGGGTGCTATGTCAAGTAATTTGATAAATTATATCTCTAGCTTGGCCCCAACAGGATTGCATTTTGTTTTGTTTTGTTTTGTTTTGTTTTTTGTTTTTTTTTTTTTAGGCAGAGTCTTGCTCTGTCGTCCAGGCTGGAGTGCAGTGGTGCAATCTCGGCTCACTGCAACCTCCGCCTCCCAGGTGCAAGCAATTATCTGCCTCAGCCTCCTGAGTAGCTGGGATTACAGGTGTCCGCCACCACGTCTGGCTAATTTTTTTGTATTTTTAGTAGAGACAGGGTTTCACCATCTTGGCCAGGCTGGTCTTGAACTCCTGACCTCATAATCCACCCACCTCGGCCTCCCAAAGTGTTGGGATTACATGCATGAGCCACCACGCCCAGCCTGTCTTTTGTTTATTTATACCGTGCCTTCTTCCAAAAGGGACTTAAGGTGGTTTATTTACAATGAAAGACAAATATTTTTTAAAAAAGAAAAGTTGAAATTCTGGCTGAGACAAACAATAGTATTTGAGCATAAAACTGAGCCCAAGCTTCCTCATAGCAGTGAAATAGGGGAAATGAAGGTTTGCATAGCTCTCATTGTCAAGTGGAAGGAGTCCTACAGTTTCATCAGGAGAAAGCCTTTCCTGACCCAGTCTCTGGGAAGAATTTGTCTTAAGGGTACTTACCTGAGCGATACTCACATATCCAAGTTAAGAGGGACACTACACAACAATTTTGGCTATCTTTTGGTGGCATACAGAGCTAATTTTTTTTCTGGTGATTAACTTGAACATTGCTATTGTTGAAAGTAAGTAGTGAGACTCTTACTGTGGTTGTTTCGTTTTTGTTTTTGTTTTCCCTAGCCTTTGAAGTGAAGCCAATGATGTAAAATCAAGTCTTGGTTTTCCTAGTTTCCTTCTCTATAAAAAGGGCTTATTAAAAGTACCTACCTCGTAGGGTTGTAGAGATGACAAAATGAGTTAATTCCTATCAAACCACTTATTGCTATATCAAATTTACTGTAGCTTTCCTCAGCCAAGGTATATATATCTATTTTTTCCTCCCCTCTTAGAAGTTGTCTTATTGTAGACCATCTGAAATCCCTTTTGGAAGGATGCATGTGTATGTGCCTGACACAAAGTAAGCAATAAATATTTGCTGTGAATGTTATCGTTATTATAATTTCTACTACCACTCCTAAGTCTATCAAAGCTTTGGGAGTAGGAGTGATGGTGAGGCAGTTCTAGCCTCCAATTGTCCTTGCAAAGTAAAGCTTAGAGAATTATGAGGAGTAAATTGGTATCACTGAGATACCCATAAAGCAGTCATTTTCCCTTTGGTTCCATTGTATTGTTTACCATCACCTCCTGTCCTCTATGACTTCACTTCATTGTTTAATTTGAAGAACATGAAGTAAGAACACTTTCCCCCGATACACTAACATTTGCTTAACTCCCTGGGTCTTGGAGACCTCTTATACTCTTGGGAGGCTAAATGGCACAGCTGTTAAAGCCAACTCCCTGAGCCAAAAGCCTAGTGTTGGGGATCGTGGGAGCACCGCAAATGTGAAGACAGCCAGTGACAGGAGGGAGGGAGACAGCCCTACCAAACCCTCTCTTTCCCGAGTGAACTCTGTCCATCCCCTCTGCTCTGCCCCTCTCCATATGGTTGGTCCCAATTAACTTCCATCTGATTGGAATCTTCGTTTCAGATTCTTACTCTTCCTCTCCTTAAGGAATCTTATTGTTTCCCTTCTTGCCTCTCCCATCTTCTTTTCCGCCTCCGTCTTCACGTATACCTCACTTCTTAGCCATTGAGCCTCCATCCCTTTACCTCTTCCTTTTGACTTCCTGAGCATTCTCCTCTGTCCCTGCTTTTCTTTCTGTCCCCTTATTCTTATATTCTTATTCTTAGCTGTTGACCAGAGTCATTTAGGGAGGCAAAGCAAAACATTTAAATTGATGCTACCTTCTTTCTTATAGCCCATCGTACATCCAGAATACTGAGCTAATATTCTCAATTAAGCTAATGGATCCCACAAAAAAGCAATTTACTCCCTTTTGAGTGGTGATATTAAGCCCATTATTGAATGTATTCCTATGCTACTGCACTCAGTGCGTTGCCAGAGGCATCTTGTGCAGATGGAGAAAGAAGCCAAAAGATTAAGGGATTGAGCTGAGGTCCAGCCAGGGGTGGTGGAGTGGTTCAAAATTGAACTCAAATTCCTTAAATCCTTGAATATATTATTCTAAATATTGCACTTAATCCACCACCTTCAATATTATGTACAAAACCAAAAAACCTAAAACTGCAGGGGTGAATTTTTCTTTCCAGTTTCTGACTGTGAAGAATTTTCAGTGGTTACACATTTGCCAATAGGCATAATTCAAGGTCTCTGAAACACTGGGTAGCTGAAAAATAACTAGTCAGTTAAATAATTAATTTAAATAACAGTAATATCCCCAGGGTTTTCTTCGGGTACCTAATCTGGAACACTGCCTGGGTCTCATATTGGGAAAACAAAAGTGGCCATCACTATGGCAGCTCTGGCAAACAGGGACATTTCTGTGGATGGTGTTTCTACTGGAATTTAAGGTAACTGAGGACGCCACTCTCAAAGGGAAAGTCTGCAGCTTGGAATTTTTTTTCTGTGACACGCCCAAGAAATCTTGTGTTTCAGGCTATTTTGTTCCCAGGGTCTTGGACTTGAAGGGCTGACAGAAACCTTTCCACTACCCTAATCAATGTAGTATCCCACTCAAATGTGAGTTCACATAGAATTCCATTCTACCTACCCAAGTAGTCTTGACCTGGACTATACCAATTAGTCTAACCTTACTGGGTTTTTTCTTAACTCTAGAAAAGAGAAACATAGCTGTGCAGGTGACTCTCAGGTTGGGAGATTAATATTAATTGGTTATTAACATAAAGAGTCCCCATGCTAGGCACTTTCTCTGTGTTTTATATATGTAGATATTAGTCTCACTTTACAGGTGAAGAGACCAAAGCTCAAAGGAGTAAAATAACAAAGATATGAATGCACCAGTCTGTTTAATTCCAAAGTCATCATAATTTATAATGATTTAGAAGATGTTGGCTAAAAGTGGGGCTCAGAATTCATAATCACTAGAAAACATTGAACATTTATTAAGCACTTACGGCATGCCAGGTACTGTGTACCAACTCAGCCCATCCTCCCTACAATCCTGCAAGTTACAGGGAGGGCTGTCATCTCCATTTACAAATCAGGCAAAGAGGTTCACTAACTTGCCAAAGGCCACACGGTTACTGACAACAGTGTGATTCAAACCATGGCAGTCTGGCTCCAAAGCCCACACTCCTCATTCCTGAACGCTATGTTCCACTTCAGTGCTGGCCACTGAACCTTCTCCTGCCACTTCTAGTTTCAGGAGCTTCACTAGGATCTCACCTACACCGTAGTGCCGCTGTGAGTGAGGCTTTGACAAAGTTGGGTTTTGACTGAGTGCTGTCAAAGGCTCTTCTCAACCCAAAGGACATGCTCTGAATTCTGTCTCTCTTTAGTCCAAATGGCTCCTGTCCTTTGTCTCTGTAGGGTTGAATCTAACTCTTTCTCTCCTGCATTCCTGTTTCAGATTGTATTGCTAGTTGAGATAGAGACTTGCTCTTTCCTTCGGGTGTTGTTTGAGTGCAGAATTGTGTCTCTGTAGGATCAGCCCATCCCCCTTCCCCACACTACTCTTCTGCTTTGAGACCCCATGATTGGATTTTTTTTTTTTTAGACTACTGCCCAGGCTAGAGTGCAGTGGCACCATCACAGCTCACTGCAGCCTTGACCTCCTGGGTTCAGGTGATCCTCCCACCTCAGCCTCCCAAGTAGCTGGGACTACAGACACACCACCATGCCTGGCTAATTTTATTTTTTGTAGAGACAGGGTCTCATTATGTTGCCAGGCTTGTCTCAAACTCCTGGGCTCAAAGGATCCTCCCATCTCAGCCTCCCAAAGTGTTGGGATTACAGGTGTGAGCCACCACACCCAGTCCCCCATGACTGGATTCTCATACTGCTATTCATCTCTGGTGGGTTACTCCTTTCTTCAACCTGAAAGTGATGTTATATTCAAAACCACCAACAGCCGGGAGCATCCCTAGACACTTCCATTGGCTTTAGAGAGTGTTATTTTTGTCTCCATTGGATTTAGAGAGTGTTATACATATGCATATGTATATATATACACACAATATATATATACACACACACTACACACACACACACACACACACACACACACACACACACACACATATATTTTTTTTTTGAGTCAGAGTCTCACTTGTCACCCAGGCTGGAGTGCAGTGGTGCAATCTCGGCTCACTGCAACCTACACCTTCTAGGTTCAAGTGATTCTCCTGCCTCAGCCTGCCGAGTAGCTGGGATTACAGGCGCCTGCCACCATGCCTGGCTAATTTTTTGTATTTTTAGTAGAGACAGGGTTTCGCCACATTGGCCAACTGATCTCAAACTCCTGGCCTCAAGCAATCCATCCACCTTGGCCTCCCAAAGTGCTGGGATTACAGGTGTGAGCTTTCATCTTTATTTTGCACAGCAGTTTAGTAAGGAATTTGTTGAAATTATACTAGACTTATATTCAGTATTGAGCCTTGGATGTTTAATACTTTATCTTTAGAAAATAAAAATTTTCAGTTGAAGAACAAAGCATATCAGTATTCCATTAATATAGTTTTCAGTATAACAGATATAACAGTGAAAATTGTTCAATGAAGATTCCTTTCCTGCAAGTGGTAGAAATACAGCCCTCACTAATTTAGGCAAACAAGGAAGGGGGAAATATCATGAAAAAGAATATTAAGTCCCAAATGGCAGCATAGCTATTGCCTAACTAATTTAGGCAAAAAGGGAAGGGAGAAAGGCCACGTAAAAGAATATAAAGTCCCGGATGGTGACATAGCTATTGGGGGAAGGTAAATTCCTACATGAAGGAAGGTGGGAAGGGCAGACAGTGCCTTCATATGTCCACAAAACATATGAAATGAGATGATGTATATGAGAAAGCATCAAGTGGATAAAATATACCTCTGTCATGATTGTTGATTTTTTTTTTTTTTTTTTTAGACGGAGTTTCGCTCTTGTTGCCCAGGCTGGAGTACAATGGCGCAGTCTCGGCTCACTGCAGCCCCCACCTCCCGGGTTCAAGTGATTCTCCTGCCTCAGCCTCCCAAGTAGCTGGGACTTCAGGCATGCACTGCCATGCCTGGCTAATTTTGTATTTTTAGTAGAGACAGGGTTTCTCCATGTTAGGCTGGTCTCGAACTCCAGACCTCAGGTGATCCCCCACACCTCGGCATCCCAAAGTGCTGGGATTACAGGCGTGAGCCACTGCTCCCAGCCCCATTGTTGATTTTTAAAACTTAGTGTTCAACAAATATTTATTGAGTACTTAATACATATGCATGCTAAGGAAACAACAGTGAGTGAGACAAAGCCCTTTGTCTTATGAAGACTCTGATGAAGCTTACGTATTAAGACTCTCAAAACATGGTCAGAATGTCCTTGATTAGCCTGAGTTGCCAAAAAAGAAAAGAAAAAAAGAAACTATTTTAAAATTAATTTTTATTGCTTTCTGTCTTTCATTTTTTCTTCCTATCATAGCACTAGATGAAGTTTTAGATATAAGCTTAAAAGCCTGAGTATTTGATTTCTCAATGACCGAAGGTTAATTACAGCTCATAAAAATATTAGAATTAACATATAATATTCAGCCTAAAAGATATAGGAAATATATTGTTCCTTTGATTTTAAATCCCTTTCAGTGGCTCAAAGTTAAAATAAAGTTTGCAGACGTATCAGTTGGTTTAAAATCAATATTTTCTTCATTTTAGGCATTTTCTATTTGCCATTCAAGGGAGAGGAAAACATTAAGAATCTTTTTTCCCCCAGCCACTAACACAGCAATAGATCTACATATAAATTGTTAGTTCCCTTCTTTTGTATTAATATCTCTATACTCTTGTTCACTATTTTCCAAAGGCATTGAGAAGTTAATCAGAAGTTTATGAAAAAGGAGACTTTCTAATCACAGAAGGTTGGATAACACTGAGTTAAACAGCTTTATAAGTCACAGGCCTTTTTAGAACCCTTAGTTCATTGTGGATCCTCAATTATAACATAATGTAATGTAATAATATAATATATGGGAGGACGCTTCCCAACAGTCATCCCTTTTCCTGGTAACAATATCTTGATTGTCCTTTAGGGAACCTATTCCTCATTCTTAGTCCCTGAGTTCTGGTGAATCTGTCCCCCATTCCTGGCTTTAGAAATGTTCATATGACAAGTGATTCATTGGTAAGTGTTAAAAACCAATTCTAAAAAAAAAGAAGAAAATCCTTGATTTGTAGCATTTGACATTTTCCATGGTGTAAATACTTTTACCATGGCCAACTTTAAGCTACCAAGGTGAAATCACTAAACATGGAGTTGGGAAGAGAGGCACATCATCAGCTCCTGGGAACCTGCAGCGCACAGTGTCAGAGATGACCCAGTCTAAGTGAATCAGACCATTTATCCCTCTGGGCCTAGGACTCAAGCCAGACCAGCTCCTTAGGTCCAATTCCTTTGATTTTTTTAAAGAACTGTTGTGGAAGAGGCACCATCTTTCACTGCGTTCGTTGAAAGGAAGGAATTGGAACCAATTCTGGTGATCTACTTTCCATGTGGTCTGTTTGGAAAGAGCCTGGCTGAGAATGCAGACCCTCAGAGAAGTGACTAGCAGAGCTGAGAGATGGAGACAGACCAAATTCTGGGATCACTGTTGGAGTCCTTGGATCTTGTCCAGCCTGAACCTCTGGACATTGCTGTTACATGAGCCAATAAATCCCCTTCGTTTCTCTGTCTCTCATTCTGTTTCTCTTCATCTCCCTCTTATCCATTATTTGTTTATTAATTTTTCTTTTATTAAAGCTGTTTGGTTTTTATTTCATTGAAGGAATATGACCATTCTGTATTTATTTATTTATTTATTTATTTATTTATTTATTTATTTATTTATTTTGAAGACTGAGTCTCACTCTGTTGCCCAGGCTGGAGTGCAGTGGCATGATCTGGCTCACTGGAACCTCCGCCTCTTGGGTTCAAGCAATTCTCCTACCTCAGCCTCCCAAATAGCTGGGACTACAGGGGCATGCCACCATGCCCAGCTAATTTTTGTATTTTTAGTAGAGCCGAGGTTTTGCCATGTTGGCCAGGCTGGTCTCGAACTCCTGACCACAGGTGATCTGCCCACCTCAACCTCCCAAAGTGCTGGGATTATAGGCATGAGCCACCACCTGGCCCAACCATTCTGTATTTCAAAGAGCCTGCCATGAGGTTAATATTCCCCCAGAGCAACTTAGGAACTGCCATTCTAGCTCATTCTCTCCCTACACCTCACAGAGACTGGGTACTATGAGTAACTGTCTTCTAAACATCTGATCTGACTGCTTTGTTGTAAAGGCTGTTCAGATTCAACCTATTCAAAATTGAACTGATATTTTCTGCTGAAAACACACTTCTCCTATGACTCTCATTTTCATTAACTTATGTACAAATTATGTGCCTGACCAGGGATATAACAGTGAAGATGATAAAGTTCTTGCCTTCATGGAGCTCTCATTCTAGAGAGAGAAAGAGACCATGCATAAACACATAGGTAAATAATGTACCAATGGCAACTTGAAATAAGTGCTTTGGAAAAAAATTAAGTGGGTTTAAACGGATAGAGAATGACAGGGGTTTCTATGCTAAATGGAGTAGTTGGAGGAGGCCTTCTTGAGAAGGAATTTTTGAGCAGAGAGGGCTAAATGAAATGAGACAAGGGCCTATGGGAGTTTCTGGGGGACCAACAGGCACATGGTTGGCATGTTCCAGAACTGCAAGGAGGTCAGTGTGGCTGGAGTCCAGAAGCATGGGGAGGTTGGAGAGGTATCTGGGGGGCCAATTAGGTGGGATGTTGTAGGCAGGATAAAGGACTCTTGAATTTCTTCTGCACATGATGGCAAGATTTGGAGCATGAATCCCTCTGCCACATGTGTGAGGAGTAGATTATAGGGGTCAAGAAGAGACACTGCACTGAGGGGCTGAGTAGGGAGTGACCATGCTGGCTAAGACCACCCTCCTAGCTATGCTGGTTGGGCATCATCTATGACTTTTTCTTCTCCTTCATTTGCTACATTCGTGCATACATGCCCAACTGGGGGTTTTGTTTTTATAATGCACCTTACAGCCATCAGAAGCAGGTTGAGCGTCCCAGGATACAGACTCTAGGACAGAGATTAGTGTGGGAGAGGTTTATTGGGAGTGCTCTTGAGACAGTAGTTTGTCAAAGAGAAGGAAAGAAAGCACAACTGGGCAGAGAAAGAAGTTCAACTACAATGTGGTGAGTTCTGAGGCTGAGATGGCCCTTCAGAGCTGTCCTGAGCTGTGGTGAGAGGTAGGGGCCTTTATATCCCCAGTGATGATCAGTCATTGATGCCACCATCCCAGGAAGAGGTCATGACCTTGGCCGAAGGCCCTCTTTTGGCAGCATTCCCAGTGACTTGGATAATCTGATCATTATTACTGAAGGGGAGGTCTGGGCACCATATCGCAACACCCTGGTACCACATCACCCATTTTTACACTTGTTACTGAAACTGCCTTGATTTAATTTCTCATTCTTCTTGCTCAGATTATAGCCCACCATTCTATCTCGAGTTATACTCCAAAGTAAAAGTCAAATTAGTCTTTATTGCCTACACAATGACATTTAGACTCAGCACAGCATTGAGACTCTTCAAGAGCCAGATGTCATCCCCTACTGCAGGGTTCACTGGACTGTGGCCTGTTAGGAACCCTGCTCAGCAGGAGGTGAGAAGCAGGAGGCTGCTCAGCAGGAGGTGAGAAGCAGGCAAGCGAGCATTACCACCTGAGCTCCACCTCCTGTCAGATCAGCAGCAGCATTAGATTATCATAGCAGTGTGAACCCTATTATGAACTGCACATGTAAGGGATCTAGGTTGCATACTCCTTATGAGAATCTAATGCCCGATGTGATCTGAGGTGGAACAGTTTCATCCTGAAACCATCATCTCCACAACCCCAGTCCGTGGAGACATTTTCTCCCATGGAAACTGGTCCCTGGTGCCAGAAAGTTTGGGGACCGCTGCCCTACTGTGTGTCTTACAATCTGGGCAGACAAGCCTAATTGGCACACCCTAAAATCGCACTGTTGCTTGAATCTGAAATGTTGTCTTTCCACTCTATCTATTAAAATCCTATTCTTCAAGGCTATATCAAATTCTACCTCCTCTTTCCGAAGAATCTTTATTCTAATATTCATTTCATTCTGCCTAGAGTATGTTGCTTATTTGTTAGCTGGGTAAGTGCAGTAATGAGGCCCTCATCATTTTATTCCCCCTTAGTTCTTTACAGCATTTAATATGGTGGACTCCCGATAAGTGTTAGTTGACTTAGTTTGTTTCAGCCTTCGTCAATAGCTAGATGATATCCTGAGTGGCAGTATAGCAGAGGGGTTACCAGCAGAGATTCTGGACCCATACTATCTTGATTCCTCACCATTTAATAGGTCCATAACAGTTAGATAATTAAGCATGCTATACCTTAACTTGCCCGTCTGTAAAATGAAGATAATAATCCCACCCAGTTCTTAGGGCTATGGTTAGGATTAAATGAATTTGTCTAAGTAGAGCATTTAGAACAGTGGCTGCTATTTAATAAGTACATGTAAGTGTTGGCTTATAATGGTACCTAAAGATTATTAGGGGACCTGCCCAAGTCACCAGTTCCCAAGGTAGCCCATGTTCATCAAGATTGTCCCAGAAGAGAGTGTTGTTCTTGCTGAGATTCTGTGGAGAGGACTTCATACAGTTCTTCTGTAGGAAAATATAATAGAGTTCTTGTTTTCCTCTTATGAGCATACCTTTAATGAGTGAGGATTTTCTTGCAAAACATGTTGGAATTCTGTGCTTTCCTGAGGCTTTTTCGGTCTGGACTTAGACTGGGTTTTAGAATGAACATTATGCACTTTCCCGGTGTTGCAAGAAAAAAAAAGTACAAAGCATCATATTTATAAGTGAATAGATTCATGGACACTTTAGAACTTAGAGTTCACCTATCGCAGGAGACAAGAAAACAAAGAGATTCAGTGACTTGCCTAATTAAAGGACAAAGTTACTTAATAACGTTAGCCAATTTGTGTCTGAAGATGCCATTTTTTCAGCATGTATAATTCAGACAAAAGTAGATCTAACTTGCTAAATCTCCACAGAACAAAAAAAGAACTCTTGTTTAATTTTAAGGCTATTGTGTTATTTAAAATTTATCCTAGATTTGGCACAATACTTACTCTTCTTATAATTAATTACCTTTTCTCATGAGCAAAAATAGTTACCATAATTATTCATTCGTTTGTGTATTCATTCATTACTCAAAAGCCATTTGTGAGCCTCTTTTATGTACGAAGCACTGAACTAAAAATTGGAAACTTTGAAAATGAATAAGCCCTAGTGTTCTGTGACTGGCTCACATCTGTAGAATCTGTGTGTCTCCTGAGTAGTCCAAATTTAAGCAACTTCAAAATGTGGGTGTAGGCTGCAACTTGATCTTCATCAGCCAAAGGTTAAATATTGTTAGCCACAACGTCAGTGATCAGATTCAGAGCCAAGGTGCTGCTATATACAACCAGTTATCATTAAGTGAGCATCTTTCACTAGAAACGAACAAATAGTATGCACTAGTCGGCTGGGCACAGTGGCTCATGCCTGTAAGCCCAGCACTTTGGGAGGCTGAGGCGGGCGGATCACTTGAAGTCAGGAGTTCGAGACCAGCCTGGCCAATATGGTGAAACCCTGTCTCTACTAAAAATACAAAAACAATTAGTTGGGGGTCGTGGTGGGTGTCTGTAGTCCCAGCTACTTAAGAGGCTGGGGCAGGAGAGTCACCTGAATCCGGGAAGCAGAGGTTGCAGTGAGCCAAGATTGTGCCACTGCATTCCAGCTCAAAAAAAAAAAAAAAAAAAAAAGCACTAGCCTCCTTCTCCTCCTCTCCTTTGCTCCTACTGATTGAGCTGTACAAAAGCCAGAAGAAAAAAGATGACATGACATTACCAATTTTGTAGCACAATGTCTTGTTATCATAATGCAATATTAATGCAGGCATTATGTTTCTATGAGATGTTAAGCATAAAGTGAAAAAATATCCCATGGTCAATGAATTTGGAAACTTCTGGTTAAACAACCTTAAAAATGTGTCTTTTAGTGTGCTTCCCTTTCTGAACTTTTAGCATGCTAATATGCATCATGAACCTCTAAGAGAGGCCTAAAACATTTGACCTAAGTCAAACTAACTTGCCTGTGGAATCTTTTGTTTGCAGGGAGGGCATTACCCATGAGTACTTTCAAACCGAAGGTCAATTTTGTAAGTTTCTGTGGTTCATCATCCATTAGGTATTGCTTTTTTCTAATAAATAGGATTGTTTTTACTATAGCTTAAGCCCACTTTATCTTTGAATATTATTATGGAGAAAAACGATTCAAAATCGTCTGTATAAGAATCTTGTCTTTACTTGTATATTAGTCTGTTCTCACATTACTATAAAGAAATACCTGAGACTGGGTAATTTATAAAGAAAAGAGGCTTAATTGGCTCACAATTCTGCAGGCTATACAGGAAGCATAGCAGCTTCTGCTTTTGGGGTGACCTTAGGAAGCTTCCAAACATGCAGAAGGCAAAGAAGGAGCAGGTGTCTTACATGGCAGGAGCAGGAACAAGATATATAGAGTGAGGGGAAGGTGCTACACACTTTTTAAACAACCAGATCTTGCAAGAACTCACTCACTGTCATGAGAACAGCACCAAGGGGAGAGTGTTAAATCATTCATGAGAAACCTACTCCCATGATTCATTCATATCCCACCAGGCCCCACTGCAACATTAGGGATTATAATTCAACATGAGGTTTGGGTGGGGGCACAGATCCAAACTATTGATTTGAAAATCCTTATAAAGCACCCCTCAACATTTGTGCTACCACCTGTTTATCCAGAGCTTATGACAGACATCTCCAGTCTATCCTAGTGCTCCTTCTGTGCGGGCCTGAAGGGGGGTCAGAATATCTTTCCAACGCTATGCTTCAGGCAGTCATTTCCAATCCATGAAATGTAACCTGCTGGATTGAAATGAATTTGCCATGGTTGTTAACAATAGCTACCCCTTAATAGCACACCTACTACATGCCAAGCACTTTGTGCAGCCTTTTACTTAGAATCTGTTATTTCATCTCCATTTTAACTACCATCATAGTCATCTAAGTCACCATCATCTCTCACCCAAACTGTTGTGATCACATCCTAACCAATCATACTCCTTCCCTACACACTACGAAACAGTTCAAACTGTGTGCATGGTCTATATAACCTGCAAGATGTGGCCGCTGCAACTTTCCCCATCTTTGTTTCTGTCACTCTCCTGTGTTCTAACCATTGATCCACAGCTGGATTGCAGGTTTGGAAATTCAGCCTTATTAGTTCACTAGAAGGGAGCAAAACCCTAGAGAGTCAAGTCACACTAATCAGCTCACAAGAGCTTAATGTGTAATGCACAATACCAATTTACTAATTTAAAATGAGAAATGCAACAATTAAACCAACCAGATATTTGTGTTGCTTGTCTGTGACTTCTTTCTGGAAGCTAGAAGTAGCCATTAGGAGCTTTTGAGCTGGAATCAGACTGCCTGAGTGCAAATCTTGACTCTCTGCTTACTAACTAGGTGATCTCAGGCCAGTGGGTCAGTGTGCCTTTCGATGTCTACTTCACCATCAGTAAAGCAGGGGATAATAATGAATCCTACCTGTCTGCGTTGTTGTGGTTAGGAGTGAATGAGAAAACATACCTGTTACATATTACCATATTACTTAGAACAGAAGTTGATGCATAGTAAGCATTCAACAAATATTAGCGACTGTTCCTAGAATGAAAATCTACTGAAAGAACTAACTTAATATCAGAGCAAATGAAATTAAATAATTTTAAACAGAATTTCTTTTGCCAGCGTGTTGACCTTGTAAGTTACTGTTTATGCATTCATCCCATTCAGTAGTTATTGACACCCAAATAATTTCAGACATGATCAGATGCACTTGGTAGTCCCTCATCGCATAAATATAAATGAATGACTGGATGAATACTGAAATGTAAATTTACAAATCAGCATATATTTTTGCACTTTCCTGATTTTGTCACCACTCCCACCCTATTTCCCAGTCCTCTTTTTGCCTTCAGTTTAAAAGGCTTAAAAAGCAATCAAGGGGCTGGGTGCGGTGGCTCACACCTGTAATCTCAGCATTTTGGGAGCCTGAGGGGTATAGATCACTTGAGGCTGAGGCAGACCAGCCTGGCCAACATGGTGAAACCCCGTCTCTACTAAAAATACAAAAATTAGTCGAGCATGGTGGCATATGCCTGTAGTCCCAAATTACTTGGGAGGCTGAGGCAGGAGAATTGCTTGAACCTGGGAGGCAGAGGTTGCAGTGAGCCGAGATGGCACCACTGCTTTCCAGCCTGGGCAACAGAGTGAGACTCCATCTCAAAAAAACACAACAAAACAAAAAAAAAGCAATCAAGGTAAGCCAACCACTTAAAAGCCCGGCCTGCCACTGCATCTGGTCTTCACTCTCCCCTCTGCTTACTCCTGTCAGCCACACTCACTGTCTCTTTTCCTTACACATGCCAGGCTCCTTCCCTCTATAGACTTCCCTCATGCTATTTCATCTGCCTGAAATTTGTCACCCCAATTCTTGGCCTGGCTCATGTCTACTTGCCTCAGACACTCCTCCCAGACCCCCCGGACTGGTTAGATTCCGTGATTGCAATTTTCATAATTGTCATTACATGGCCATTGTTTACCATGGGTATTCCTTCCCAGTAAAATCAATGAGGACAAGGACACTTTTTTGTTTCCTGCTGGATCTCCAGTCTTCAGCACATGGGTAGGTAGTCAATCAATCATTGTTGAATGAATGAATTTAATCTTCTCAACAATTTTCTGTAAGGGAAAGTCAAGGCTTTGAGCTGTCAAGTGACACACCTCAGTTACACAGTCAAACTGAGAGCAAGTTCGAACTCAGGTCTTTCAACGAAAGCCCTTTACTACCCAGCACTGCTGCCACTTGGTTTCTGCAAGTTACCTAACTATCTACACACACCATCATTTTCCTTAGCTTAGACTATACTCTACTTTGCATGCTGACGGTCACAGTCTTTTCCTAAGCTCTGGACTTTTGCTTTCATTCTTGAGCCTATCCAAACCTTCCCTGTAATATCTATACACATTGTTTTACCTCTATAGCTAGAATATGTTATATTTCATCCTATCAAGACATCTTTTGTTCCCCTGCAACCCTGCAATTCCACACCTACGTATATACTCAACAGGAACTTGTGCATGTTTTCACCAAAAGGCATGCACTGAAATTGTCACAGCATACTATTCATAATAACTCCAAACTGGAAACTATCCACATGCCCATCCAAGCAGAACAGATCAACTGTTTTGTATTCATATGTCATATTATATAACAGCAAAAATAAATGGTCTAAACTTAACAACACAGATGAATCTCACAAATGTGATGTTGGAGGAAATAAGTCAAGAACATTCTATTTGATTCCACTTAGAAAAAGTTCAAAAACTGGCAAAACTAATTTACAGTATTAAAAGTCAGGAATGGCAGCTACTCTTGGAAGAGTAGTGATTGGAAGGGGATGGTGGGGGCCCCAGGGTACTGATAATGTTCTTAGTGTTTAGCTTATAAAAATTCACCAATATATACATTTATGATATATGCACTTATATTTATGTATATTATACTTTAAGAGGTTTTATAAAACAACTTTGTATCTGTTTGTTTCTGATTACTTCAATTTACGGAGACAAGTTTGCAATCTGATGCCGTTGTCTGATGTGCTGGTTACCCACCGTTTGCCCAGAGAGAGCTTCCTATACATGAAAAGAGACCACTCTGAATTGTTTAAAGTCTAAATTGTGACAATTGTGAAGAACACAGGGCTGCCTGCCATAGACTGTCAGAAATCCACTAATGGCTGTGCTGAGTCCATGGGCAGCTGTGGTTTGGGGCACAAATTAACAAACACACATTACACAGTCCGCTGATCCAGAAAATGTGCTGGACTGGTTTCCCACCTCTCATATCTCTTCTCCATCCTCTGTAGGACCCAGAGGCCCCCCACCTATAGGCTCATCCCTGCTCTGGGTTCTGGGACCAATCTTGTCCTTAGGGGGAAATTTAAAGAGACAGATTTGGGTAACTGAGGTGACCCGGGCTCAAGTCGGTTTAGCTCAGATACTTGGAATGGTAGGCCTGGAAAGGAACCTTGTGAAGATTGCTCTTTCTAGGATTTATTCCTGTGTCACTGGTTTTGCATTTTGTTTGAGAAAGAGATACAGAGGAAGGTGATGGGGGAAGGGCATCATAATGCTGTGGAAAGACCATGGCTTTGAAATCAGACTGCTGGGCCCACATACTAATGCCGTGGTTTAATCAGCCACGTGGCCTGGTTATATTCCTCCCTGAGCCTCTGTTTCCTCATCTCTATGGTAGGGATAAAAGAACCAAATTTAAAGTTGTGAACCTCAAAAACCACCTTGCTGGTCTAAGTCACTATCATCTCTTGTCTGTTATTGCAATAATCTGCTAACAGTCCTCTCTGCTTCCTGCTTGCTCCACTGCCATCTGTGGTCAACATCATATCCAGAACAATCCTGTTTAAAAATGTAACTTGGATGATTCTTCCTTTTGCTTAAAACCTGATCATGCCTTTCAATTTCTTACAGGTAAGAGCCAGAGTTCCTATGATTATCTAAAACAGGCATAACCTTGCTCAACCTTGGCACTCTTGACATCCAGAGCCAGATAATTTTTGGTTAAAGAGGGTTGTCCTGTGCATTATAGGCCTAGCTTTCCATGACAGACTTGCCAGCATTTTCTTGGTTCCACTTGACTATAATGCGAGCCAGCGCTGGGACTCATAGAAACGTGACACCATCCGATAAGCAAACAACTACAAATGCCAAGAGTGAAAGAAGGCTTAGAGGCTTGGCTGGTTGTCATTTTTAATGTGTTAACGTGACATTAGACAGTTTCTTTGGCAGGTATCACAATAGTGTCAGCAGGGAATCATCTGGTTACAGTAGTTAGTTGCCTGTGATAAAGGATCAAGTAATCAAGTACGTATTATTTCTATCTCAGATTTTCTTCATGCCTGTTATAGGGAGGGATTCGGGGCAATATTCAGACACATTCAAAGCACAGAGTTGTGAAAATTAGTCAAGCAACACTGAAACTAAATTTTTAAGTAGAAATGGATCGGACACAATCCTAAAGTGCTCACATAAGCAAAACCATTGATTGAACCATACTGCATTTGTCTGAGATAAAATTGGAAATCATTTATCAAGCTGTCAGTGGAATCGATTTGAACTGACACTGATGACACAAACAGATATTGAAGGTTATAAGAATTTCTTGAAAAGCTTAAGACATTCAAAGACACCAGTTAAAAAGATTTTTATGATTTGGTTTCTAAACATCTGGTCATGGTATTCAGCCAACTCATTCTCCTCCCTCTCCTTTCTTCTCATCCTGACTTAATGTCTGAGTATGAAGCTAACAATGGAGGAGGATGTAGTGCTGATTGATGGAAAGAAGCAGATATTTGAAGCTACGTTTTGAGTATCTAGATCTAATTGTAAATGGAGCCCTGATTTCAGCTGACTGACACCTCTCGCTCTGCCTACCCACCTACTCCTTCCTTTCTGATTATTCCCTACCCAGCTCTCAGGACTTCCATTTACCACACCTGGGCAAATCTCCCCGGTGCCAGTCATCTGCCTAGACTGCCCCTTCACCTTTTCCCACACTGTCCAGATAGTGCCTTGCCTGCCTAGTCTTCCTCCCACAAGAACCTGCACACCCTCCTCTTCCTGCCCACTGACTGATAGCATCCCCACCTCCCAGACACCTTCCCAGAGTGCTTCTCTCCAGTTTTGACATGTCCTGCCCTGTCAACCAAGAACTTCATCCTCTCAAAAACCATGGACGTTTTAGCTCTGTAACCAATGTTTGTTTTGCTTAACACAGTTTGAATTAAGTTTCTGTCACTTGCAACTGAAATAGCCCTTGATCTTCATTGGTAACAGAACTTAATCTTTTTAAAGCAGATTGGTTTTGGTTTTATTTTTTTGAAAGAGCTAAGGGTCACTTAGAATCAGGCTTTTTGAACAACATAGGCATTTAAGCATGAAAGTATCATTTGTGCATAAAATATTTTGCACTAAAATGTAATGAATATAAACTCAAATGTGATAAAACTGATTTCATACATGCTTCCAGGAATTCCAAGGAGGACCCTCCATGGTGCCTTCTTAAATTGAAATGACATTTATTTAAATGCATGTTATCACATGACTGTTAATCAAACAGTGGCTTTAGAGTGGCATTTTTCCAAGGTGTGGTTAACAGACAAGCTGCATTGGTAACATCTAGTTTAAAATTCAGATTCCTAGGACCCATCCAAGGCCCATTAAATCAGAATCTCTGAGAATTGAGCCTGAGAATATTCTTTTATTTTCCTTTTTCTTTTCTTTTCTTTTTCTTTTTCTTTTTTTTTTTTTTTTGAGACAGAGTTTTGCTCTTGTTGCCCAGGCTGGAGTGCAATGGTGTGATCTCGGCTCACCGCAACGTCTGCCTCCCGGTTTCAAGTGATTCCCCTGCCTCAGCCTCCTGAGTAGCTGGTATTACAGGCATGGACCACCACACCCAGCTAATTTTGTATTTTTAGTAGAGACGGGGTTTCTCCATGTTGGTCAGGCTGGTCTCGAACTCCCAACTTCAGGTGACCCGCCTGCCTTGGCCTCCCGAAGTGCTCAGATTATAGGCATGAGACACCACGCCCAACCAAGACTACTCATTTTTGATAAAATTCCAGGTAACTACTAGACACTATTTCTTTTTTTTTTAGACAGTCTCACTCTGTCGCCCAGGCTGTAGTGTGTAGTGTAGTGGTGCGATCCTGGCTCACTGCAAACTCTGCCTCCCGGGTTCAAGTGATTCTCATGTCTCAGCCTCCTGAGTAGCTGAGATTACAGGTGTCCACCACCACACCCAGCTAACTTTTTAAAAATATTTTTAGTAGAGACAGGGTTTCACCATGTTGGATAGGCTGGTCTCAAACTCCTGACCTCTGATGATCTGCCTGCCTCAGCCTCCCAAAGTGCTGGGATTACAGGCGTGAGCCACCACGCGCAGCCTAGACACCATTTCTTTAAGACACGTTTCATATATATTTTTTTTAGTTCACCTTCAAGTGTACTGTCCTAACCTAAAGAATAATTCCAAGAACACTTCCTCATTTAGACAATCAATACAGAATGAGTACACCTGTGAAAAGTGGTAAAGGTTCAGATAATTTAGAAATACTTAGAAGTAGAAGGCATTAGTCACCTTAGGCTCAGTTGGCTGTGGTAACAAATGATGCAAAATATTAATGGCTTACAATTTCAAAGACTTATGTTTTATGCATTTACATTTCCATTCTAGGACTCTCCAGAACTCTAAGATGTCAGAACAAACTTTGGGACATAGCTGGTCTTGTAGCAAAGGATACAAAGAATAGATGAACTACACCTGGCTCTTCGAGTGTCTGATAGAAGAAACACACCTTACCCACAGCCATGTTACATTGGCCAAAACAGGTCACGTGGCCACACTTGGGGCCAGTGAAGTAGAGAAGGATAATATTTCTACAGAAAAGGGATACCACAGGGAGGAGCAGCCAACATTTTGAACAGAAATATAATCTGCTATATAGGACATTTCATAAAGTAGGTCAAATATTTTTGGAAAAAAAAAAGAGGGGAGTCTATGTATGGTCAGTTAAGTTTAGGAACTCCTACATAATACCCATCTCTAGAGCTATGCAATGTAAACCAGCACACCGAAGGCTCTCAGAAGTCCTGCAATAGAAAAATAAAATCAAGATTGTTTAACCCCAAGTTTCCAAGCTTTGTTTCCATGGAACATTTTCCAAACACCATCTCAACATACCTCAATAATTTGAGGTATACTCACCAAGAAAGTCAATTATGTTATAGACAAAATACTGCAACACTTTCTTCTACTATAAAGCATTCATTTGAGCTATTCCTAATAGAATGTTGCATAATAAACTCTGTGTAGCTTTGAGCTATTCGTGTGTTTTTAAAAATGTGATATTCTACTAGGTCATCCAAAAACCTGGGGAATTCTATGCAAATATCTTAATATTCAACAGTTACAGGCTGTTGAAATTTAATAGTGTTAATGGAGAACACATAAGAGGTGACTCTAATAAGCTAGCTCTTCCAGGTAGAAGAGTGTTCCCAAAAGGATTTTAATTTTAAATCCTTCTCATTACTATGTTTGGAATTAGGCAATTCCTGTAAATTGAAGCAATGCACTTTTTTCCCCATTTATGGGAATCTGTCATTTTAGAAGTTCATAAATAAGTTCTGCAGTTATAAATTAGTATAAAAGTACTTAATTCTATGAGAGTCATCATCAGGGAAGCTCATTTTCTACTTTTTCTCCACCTCCACCCAAATGCATCCTTGTACCTCCTCCACTGGGATACTCATAAGGTGCAATGTGATTTATGCTGCTGTGGAAGTGGAGGTTCTTGTTTCTCAAAGTCACTATGGCTGGAGTGTGCCACAAACAGAGGTGGCTGTGGTTGCCTCCTAATTCCTCCAGTTTTAAGTCATTGTGGTGATCATCATTTTGAAAACCCATCCTCTCTTCTCTCCCTGCCACCTTCCTTTCCCTTATCACTGCCTCCCAGTCAAAGTTTCTCTGGCTCTTCCTCCTAGATCTACTCCTTAAATCATGGGGTTCCTCCAAATTCTTCCCTTGACACTCTTTTCAAGTCACTTTCTACATCTGCCAGGGTGAATTAATCTGCTACCTGGCCTTCTGCCCCACCTAGATCTGTCTCCACCCCACATTGCTCCTAGCTTCGGTCCCGTATTCTAACTGCCAGTAGGTCATCTCCACCTAACCTCACATCTGCCTCAAAATTAATGTATCCCAAGCAAAACTCGTCATTTTCCTTTCCTAAACCTGCTCTTTTTTTCCCTCGTTCCAATTCATTGCTTCAGCACCAATTGAGCCTCTTCAGTAAAGAATGAGGCATTATCTGTGGCTCCTCCATCTCTGTCACCCCTAAGCTTCACCTCATGCCCACCTTCAGCCTCTGCAGCCCCATAAATATGAGACTCGAGATGTTCTTCTCTATCTCCGTGTGCTTCAGATGCTTATTACCACTTTCTAGGCTTCTGAGAGTGGGATATGGATTCTGGCACCCAGACTGCTTGGGATGGAACTCTAATGCTACAATGTCTTTGGAGTGACTTAGCCAAGTTATTCAACCTCTCTGTGCCTCAGTTTCCTCATCTATAAAAAAAGGATCATTACAATGTCTACCCCAGGGGGTGGTTGTATTACTTTGGTAAATAGGTGCAAAATGCCTCACACATGGTATGTGCACAATAAATAGTGGTGGTTAGGATTATAAAAACGCTTTAGCTGATTTCCCTGGTACTAGCATCATTCCCCTCCTATTAGAATCATCTTTCTAAGAAAAAAAAAAACTTATCAGGTCACTCCTTAGCTTCTGCTGGCTTTCTACTATTTAAAGACTAAAACTCAACTTTCCTAGCAGGACGTTTAAGACCCTTTGAAAATCTGTTCCCAGGCTACCTTTCTGGAGTATTTCTGGCTGTCTTTCTCTAAACGCGGAGTCTACACTCTCAGCCAATCTGAACTTCTCACCATTCCGCAACCACTCCATGCCCTTTCATAGTCCTGTGCCTTTTCAGTGACTATTTTTGTGTTAATCAGCTTTCCTAAGGTACGCTGCTGTAACCAGCATCCCATGTCTTGGAGGTTTTCAACAGCAAGGTCTATTTCTTGCTTGTATATTACACATTGGCTGCAGGTTGGCCTCAGCTTTATTCCAAGAGTCTTCTTTTTTCTGGGACTGAAGTGAAATGAGCAGGTCCTTTCTGGAAATGGTTTTCTCACATGTCAGAGGGAGAAGAGTAATACTGGAATGTCACGATGAATTTTGCTCATAAGTGACACAAATCACTTCTGTTCACATTTTATTGAGCTGAGCAAGTCACATGGCCAAAATTGACCTTAAATGGGGCAGGGAAATATAAACCTGTCACAGGGAGATGGAACAAGTAATTGGAAACAATAATGTGATCTCGCACAGTATCCTATATTTGAAATGCCACCACACATTCCTCCTTTTCCCCATTCTTCAAACCTTCAAAGCTGCATTATCACTTCCTTTGTGAAGCGTTTCTTTTGCCACCAGGTAGAGTTAGCTCACTTCTCCGCATTCTTGCAAGCCTCACTTCTAAGAATGTGCTTATTACACTGGACAAATGACCACTTCTTTTTTTTTCCTTTTTTTTTTTTCTTTTTTTAGAGATGGTGTCCTCTCTGTTGCCCAGGCTGAAGTGCAGTCTCATGATCATAGATCACTGCAGCCTCGAACTCCTGGGCTCAAGTGATCCCTGCTCCTCAGCCTCCCAAGTAGCACGTGACACCATGCCTGGCTACAGCCTTTTCTTGATTTCTCTGTCTCCAGTTCCAAGCATCTCAGAACATACTGACAGAATGAATAAATCAGGCAGTTTGTTGCTTGGCAATTTATTAGACAGGATTGGGAACTAATATGCAGAGGTAGGTGACCAAGTAAATCCTTCAATCAGGCAGAAAGGAGTTGGAAGGATCAGTGAGACTCAGTTTGGTTTTTTCTCCATGTTCACTAAATACTTACATCGTTTTCTTATTTTGCCCTCAGTCTGTTGCTATGCAAGAACAAATACCTTAGAGATATGCTATTTATGCAAACAGCCTTGGGCATTTATATATATATAATATTCAAATTAAAATAAATTATGCACATATAGTGTTTGTTAAAACTTTGCTTCACATCAAGTGATCTATTAAAAAGACAAGGCCAGCAAAATTATCTCCATGAACCACCAGTAAGCTTCATCTTTAGTAACCTTTTTGGACAATACTAAATCAAATTGCTAGGTTTTCAGTGTTACCTCCAAAGTACTGCAGATTCATCCCCTGCCAGCATTTCACTGGCACTGTCTTAGTTTCGGTTCTCATCACTGTTAATCTGCACTTTTATCACAATGCTTACTTGGTTTCCTTCTGCCCAGGGAATTCCCTGCTGCCACTTCCTCAGCACCCTTCAATCAAGAAGCTATTCATCAGGCATTGCCTTCCTTCTGAAACCTCTCTGACGCCCTATCTTCACCGTCCTCCAACAGAGTTAAATCCGGTCTCTGTGTAACTTTTTATCATTGTGTTTGATCGCATTGCATTGTAATTATTTGTTTATTTGTCTGTTTCCTCTTGATGGAATAAGAGTCGTTTGAGAACAGGCACTGCAGTATGCTAATTCCTCCCTATACTCAGAGCAGAGTGCCTTGCACATACGTAACGTGTTCAATTGATGCTTGCTTGTTACGTAGAGCTGCTGTTGAACTGAAGGCCAAAATTATGAGTTATAAATTTCATGATCAGTAATATGGTACAACTTATAACACTTTTTTGATCTTGCATTCTAACATATGCTAATATTTTCATGATACATGGAGAATGGAGTGTTTCTAGTATTAATCATATGCTTTATGTTAAGTAATGTAGATTTTCACTTTCATATATAAGCACCATGCAAGGCTTTTTGGAAACGAACCAATTCTCATGAGAACTTATTAGTGTATTAAGAAAACACTGACACCAAAAGTTCAGGCTAAAAAAGCAAAAATAAATAAATGAGACTACAACAAACTATAAAGCTTCTGCACTGCAAAGGAAACAGTCAACAAAAAGAAAAGGCAACCTACAGACTGGGAAAAAGTACTTGCAAAACACGTATCTGATAAGGGGTTAATACCCAAAATTTATAAAGAACATTTATAACTCAATAGCAGAAAAATAAATAACCTGATTTAAAAAGGGGTAAAGAAGCTAAACAGACATTTCTCCAGAGAAGACATAAAATGATCAACAGGTATATGAAAAGGGTACTCAACATCACTAAACACCATTGATATGGTTTGACTGTGTCCCCACCCAAATCTCATCTTGAATTGTGACTCCCATAATTCCTATGTGTTGTGGGAGGGATCCAGTGGGAGATAATTGAATCATGGGGTTGGTTTCCCCCATATTGTTCTCATGGTAGTGAATAAGTCTCATGACATCTGATGGCTTTATAAGGGGTTTCCCTTTTCCATTGGCTCTCATTCTGTCTTGCCTGCTGCCATGTAAGATGTAACTTTTGCCTTTCACCATGTGAGGCCTCCCCAGCCATGTGGAACTGTGAGTCCATTAAATCTCTCTCTTTTTTTTTTAATTAATTACCCAGTCTCGGGTATGTCTTTATCAGCAGCATGAAAATGGATTAATACAACCATGGAGATGCAAATTAAAGCCACTGTGAGACACCATCTCATACTCATTAGATACCATTTCACACCCTTTTGATAATAGGACTATTATTGAAAAGTCAAGAAATAACAAATATTGGTGAGATGGTAGAGAAAAGAGAATGCTTGTACAATGTTGGTGGGAATTTAGATTGATACAGCCATGAGGGAAAACAGTATGGAGGCTCCTAAAGAAATTTAAAAATGGAACTACCATATGACCCAGCAATCCCTCTTCTGGGTATACACACAAAGATGAAATCACCCACTCATAAAGATACCTGCACTCTCATGTTCATTGTGGTACTGTTCCATAGCCAAGACATGGAAACAACCTAAGTGTCAACAAATGAATGGATAAAGAAAATGTGGTATATATGCATATACACACATACACAAACACACACACTGGAATATTATTTAGCCTTAAAAAAGAAAGAGATCCTAATGCTTGCCACAACATAAATGGACCTGTACACTATGCTCCGTGAGTAAGCCAGACACAGAAAAAAAAAATAGTGCAAGACCTAACTTATATGTGGAATCTTAAAACAGAAAATCAAATAGACAAGGAGAATGAAACAGTGGTTATGGGTCAGTGGGGAGAAAATAGGGAGATGTAGGTCAAAGGATAAAAAGTAGCAGATAAGTAGGATGAACACACCTAGAGATCTCATGTAAAAAATGGGGACTATAGGTAGTAAAATTGTATTGCATTAGGGATTTTTGTTAAATAAGTAGAGTTCAGCAGCTTTTGTCACACACACACACAAAAGTGACTATGTGAGAGGATAGATGCGTGAATTTGCTTCATTATAGCAACCGTTTTACTATCTATTAATACATGCATCTCATCACATCATGTTGTAAGCCTCAAATATACACAGTAAAATTTACTTTTTAAAAAAGAAGAAAATGCTTTCCAAAGAAATATTCTTCATAGGATATTGTATGATGGCTAAAGAAAAATTAGATGATGCCATAAGTGTTTTTATTATCTTTGTAATAGAATACAAAAGCTAAAGTTTTACTTAAATCAAAAATTAAAGAAATAAAGAGAATTTAAGTTGCGTGCTTTAGAAAAACAGTACAACATACTGACTTAACCAGCTCTTCTAAAAGAAAAGAAGTCAAGTACAAATTACATCCATTTAATTAGCTCAAAGATGAAAATTTCAGTTTTAGTAACTGTAATACATGTTATGTAAGAGACCATGAGGAACAGATCAAAAGGGGTTGTAATTAAAGTGAATCTTCCCAGAACCTTGGGTTACATCAGGAACCTGGCCAGAACAAGCAAGGCTACTGACTTTTGCCAGGGTCATGTTTGGAGGTCGCTTTAACATAGCTCTTTGCTTAAAAAACATAATTTGGGCATAAAAGGGCTCCCAACGTTCAATGATCTCCATGTGCTTCCCATTAGGGTTAGAAGAAGAAATGCTGTGGTAGTTTCTTCAAATAAAATGGAATGGGATTTTCAGAACTCTTTCCAACTTGGCAAAACAGGATGTGTGTCAACCTGGACATCAGGAAGGCCCAGATATTTCTAAAATAGAGGGACACACAGTCATTCAGAGTCACATATGAACCATTGTAAATGGTAACCTAGTTGCTCATTTTTTTTTTCATGGAGGAAAGCATCTAGGTCAGCTCATATGGCTATCTACTTTACTCTAAATAACATAATAATTTTAAAAAATATAAGTCAATGGCAAAATATTGTCCGTAAGTTCCCTTGCTAGCTAGGCTATTATAGACTTGGAAGTTGCCAGAAATGACCTGTCACATCTTCTCTTCTTCATCCACTCCCCACCAAGAGAGCATGATTGATGACCCAGAGCAGTCAATCCCCTTCTGTTTCCCATCTGCAACTGGGCTAATAGGAAGCAACTAAGCCGAGTGTAGCATCACTTTTGGTTACTTATCCGGTATCCGCTTCCCCTTTTCCCCACTTCCCCAGCCACTGAGACATAAGTAGATATTTGCCTGGGGTTCTGGTAAAAGCTTTTGGTTTCCTTTTTTCTTTTCTTTCTTTTTGTTGAGACAGAGTTTCACTCTTGTCACCCGGGTGTCAATGAAAAGCCCCCATTTTAAAACATCGGCTCTGACCCATGACATAGCAACATTATGGCCTCGTTCCTTTAACTCACAGTTTCTTCCAGTGCTAAGAATTATGACAAACTGTCCTACCTATGTTAAATTTTCAGCAAAGTTTATAACTTAAGAGACCTGGTCAGTTGGAAATAAAAGAAGTCTCACACTTATAATGTTTAAATAAAAGAAGATACAAGTCTGTTACACCAAGCTGTACATAACATGGTCCTCATTATGAAAATCCTACCTCAGAATTCTAACTGTAGTTAGAGTGTTCACCTTTCATTATTCATGTAGAAGCCTCAGATGTAAGACTTTCATGTGGATTCCATAATTATCTTTTGCAAATTTTGTTTTTATGTGATACTCACTGTAGTCATTTTCCAAGTGCTAACATGTAGATTCCTATAGGCACCACTCATATTTCTGTTTAAAAAACAACAGAAACGTTCAAACTGGTAACATCTGATTGATAGACTGGGTTAGGGATGCTTACACCTGGAGTGTAGCCAGACCCGAGGCCCTTGCAAACACACAATTATACTAGATCCATCACATCAAAGCCATTTTCTGTGTTGCTTCCAATTTTAGGTCTGGCACATTGTTTCAACTCGTTCTGCTTTAAAACTCTCAAATAGTTTTCAGATGAATGGGTGCAAAATGGCAGCTTGCATATCTTCCTTTAACTCTCCTTTTTGGAAAAGTGTCCACCAAAGAATTTAGAAATGAAAGAAATCCATCAATTAAGCATTTGTGTTATTAATAATAGCCACCATTGACTGAGACACTGTGTGCCAAGAATTGTGCTGATCTACATTACCCTTCACCAGTCTATAAGGTAGACTGATGTTGGTCTCTCGATATTAAATCCTTCACTCATCCATTTGGAGAGTTTTATGAACAGCCACAGGACTACACCCTGGGAATACAGTACTGAAAAAAGTAGACCTCCTGCCCCTTACCCCTCCCCACCCCAGCCCTCTACAAACACACAAACATCCCATGGAGTCTAATGGGGAACAGACATCCCAATGCAGTGAGTGTCAAGAAAGAGGGAAACTGAGGAGCATATACCAGGGGTCCTAACCTAGACAGGGATGGGAAGAAAAACCTCACGGATAAAAAAGATGTTTAAGCCTGGACATTAAAAGTTATTCCGGCAAACAGGGAGGCGTTACTGGTGCTGGAGGTGAAAATCACTCCAGGCAGATGAGACAAGATGCTGTTGGACAAGACGGCCCAGGAGCAAGAAAGAGTCAGGTAGCACTTCCGAAGGACTGAAAAAAAAAAAAAGGCCACTATTGCTTGAGCTAACAGAACTAGCAAGAGAAGACTGGTGAGATAGGCAGGGACCAGATGCTGTGGGCCACATTTGGAACTTTATCCTAAAGGCAGTGAAAAGCTATTAAAGATGGTGGTGGTGGTGGTTGTTACTGTTTTAAAAGAGTGTACGGGATGGGGGACAAATAGGGAGAAGAATGATCAGATTTAAACCCAGAATCTGAGAAATAACATTGCCCAAAGTCACTTTAAAGCTGGAGTTTGAACCCAGCGGGCTAGATTCCCACCTTTTGCTCCTAACCCATGAATCTCTATTGCCTTCTAGTTTTACCAGCTTCATTCTAGTCGGGGCAACTTATCAAAATCCATCAAAAGACCCTTCAAAAGCACATGTATCTAGTGCTTACCATGTGCCTGGGCCTACATTAGGTGTAGGGATTCAAAGGCCCTGGCCTGGAGATATGCCCTGCCTTCTGTTCCTTCTCAGTTGCTACTGTAGAATTTGGAATCTGTATTTCTGACTCTATCCATTAATACATATCACAAGGCCTGTTTTATTTTTGACCTAGAGCAACATTATATCAAAGCATAAGTTAGCTGCAATTGGAGGTTGTGAGGGAAACCATTCTCTCATTAGCAAAATCCCCAATATTCAATATAATGCCAACATTAACATGTGACATGGATACCCAGTTGCAGATGAGTAGACTGAGGTTCTGAAGGTTAAGCCACTAGCCCAAGGTCACACAGGTGGAAAGTTCTAGGTTGAGAGGCCTAGAACTGTCCTCTGGGAAACCAAACTCTCAGGGCTACACAGTCAAGCAGGTTTTCTCTGATCAGGTGCTCAGTCTGAAAAGGAAGGAAGGGGAGAAGAAAGGGCTTGAGGAAGAATTTTAATATGAAGGACACTGTATGCAGGATGATGAGACTGTCTAATCATTCCCCGTGGCTTTAAATACTTTTATTGACCTCATTGTTAAAAATCCTCACAGAAGTCAGTATTACAGAGAAAAGAAATTAATTTTCAATTTTAACTAAACCTCATTTTTCTTCCCTACTTGTTTTTTAAGTTAAATGTTACATGTGGTTGGAGTTGCTAGTAAGTTATGCAATTTTGCTCAGACAAATAAGTAAAGAATAAAATATTTATAAAAATCAGAAGGTATATTTGCTTAGGTCTTTGAATGTCTTTTTCAAAAGGCCTTAAATCCCTATGGATTAATCAAGCACATCTCAGATATTGTCCTTACAATGCTCAGGAAAGAAATGACCCCTAATAGGATAAAAGGCACATTACGATCTGAACTTGAGAATTTGCCTGGAAATTTTTCTTTAGAACTGGAATTACTCTAGAAAGTGTATGAAACACTCTGAGCTTTTCATTATTTCCCCAAATCATCTATCTATAGGTTAGCAATGCATTTATACATTTTACCCATAAAAATAAAGTAGATCCAATTATGCATATGTTTATTGGTATTTATTGTACTTCTACTTTGAAGAGCTCTATGTTATTTCTTTTTTTTTTTTTTTTGAGATGGAGTCTCACTCTGTTGCCGAGGCTGAAGTGCAGTGGCGCGATCTTGGCTCACTGCTAGCTTGGCCTCCTGGGTTCATGCCATTCTCCTGCCTCAGCCTCCCAACTAGCTGGGACTACAGGCTCCTGCCACCACGCCCAGCTAATTTTTATTTTTTTTTTGTATTTTTAGTAGAGATGGTGTTTCACTGTGTTAGCCAGGATGAAGAGCTCTATGTTACTGATCTCATTTTAAAAATCATATTCTTTGGGATACTGCCTCCTTTAAGTGTAGGGCTAACTCCTTTCCCCATGTTTTTTTACAACTTAGCTACTGATCATGTTTAAACAAGAAATAGTAATGCTTATGTTATACTTTAGAGGACTATGAATATCAAAGTGAATGTTCCTTAACTATTAAAAAAATAAAATGGATGAAAGTAATTTTGCTTATTAAAAATAATTCAACTTTACAACAGCTAGTTCTCAAGTGAAATTGAATCCCAAATTAATCCCAAGTGATTCTTGAAAATGCTATAAAATTCAAATCTAGTACCATCAAATTTAAAAAAATGGGAAAAGGGTTAAGGATAAGATTTGATAACCTTATTCCATTAAATAATAGTATATGGAAAGTACGGAAATGGGATTTTAGAATTATTAAAATTTAATTCCCAAATTAGAGTTGCAATAGCAAAGGGTCAGAAGGCAGAGAAGAAAATGTGTGTGTGTGTGTGTGTGTGTGTGTGTGTGTCCTCCCTCCTTCTTTGTCCTCGAGCAGAAAGTAGCTCCACCACTTGTAAAGGGAGTCCCTAGAGAAAGGAAAAGCCCTTAGCTACATTTCCCAGATTTGGAAACCTGGAAATGCTAGAATTGTGAGGGCAGGGTGTGGCAAAATTTCTACTTTTCACTGTTTAGAAACTCTCTTATCTAATTGGAACCAAACCATCTATGTAGTTAACTCATTTAATTCTTACAAACCCGGGACACGGATCCCATTTTGATTATTCCTACCAAACCAATGGTTTTTCTAAGACATAATTTACCAAGTAATTTATCAGAGGTGACTTAGTAAATGCAGGACCTAGAGTTAGCCTCAAGTCTTTTCTATTATTTTCTCTTCCTCTCCTGAATACAGAAATATAGGCTTTGATCATTTACATTCTCTGAACAAATTATTTCCACATGAGAACAGATTACATCCTTTGACTATGATGAGTAGAGACAGATCCTCTGGGGAGGCTGATTTGCAAGCTGGGTACTTGAAAATCCCCAGGGAGGACTGGTCAAAAAGCCAGAAGACCATACAAGCATGGGGGGAAGGGACTGGGAAGTAAGAGGGAGATGAAAGTAGGGAGGTGGGAAAATACTTGGTAACTTTTCCTTGGACCCTAGAGACCCGTGTACCATTGTAAACATCATTTGGGTATCTCCTTTGACACTGCCTCTGTTGTCTGTGCCTGGCATAACATGGAAAGGTAAAGCAGTGGTCCTGTGATATTTTAGGTAACTAAGGACCACCTATGACTGATAATCAAGAGGCAAATACTGTTTCAATGATGACCGTGAATAACAATTAGAAGAAGAGCTATTATTTATGAAGAGCTTATTGCATGTCCACCGCCACCATCATCATCATCAAAATTCATTAGCATGTATTGAGTCCTCACTATGTACCAGACACTGTTCCAAGCTCTTTGCAAGTATTATCCCACTAAATTTGTACAACTATTCAGTCAAGTAGATACCATTATTATCTCCCCTTTATAGAAAGCAGGAACTAAGACAAAGGCAGAAACATTACTTGTCCAAGCACACAGCATTCAAACCCGGGGATCTGACACCAGTGACTGCAAATGACTTACACATTTCATTCAAAAGATTGTTGTTGACTCCCTTTTATATGCCAGGTTCTATGAGGAGGTGGTGAAGCAATGTTGAGAAAAAGTTGACATAAATCCTGTCCTTATGGAATGTACAGTCAGCTGAGGGACAGTAGTCAAATGATGATATAAATAAATGTAGAACTGTAATGGTGCCAAGGATTCTGAAGGAAGGGCTTGCAGCACTGTAATAGTATCTGTCCAGAAGACCTGCCCTAGTTTCATTTAATCTTCACAACAACCCTATCCCTATTTTGTACATTGGAACTGCAGAAGCAAGGTTTAGGGAGAGACAGGAAAGCCCTCTAGGCACTTGCCTAAGGGCAATCTAGTCAAACCTTCCCAAGTTATGAATCAATTTTTTCACTCTGGGCCATGTCACATTTTAGTTGCCATTAGCAAATCATTTCGCTTAGAAGCCTAAGTGGTAATTATGTGCACATTAAGGGATCCAGAATACTGATTTTACTTTAGTACAACTCACACTTTTTTGTATGCAAAGATTTCCCACTGCTCATATAACAGACACCAGGCATTTAACTGACTGCTCACATGGGCATGCAGGCAAGAGGTATTCAGCTGAGGACTCCACACTAATGTTTTGGACTTAACGTTATGCTTTAACTTTTCATCTGTTTTGTAGAATGTAGAATTTGGCTTAATGACTATGTTTATTTCTGTTCAAAGCACTGGAAATAAAAGGTTTGTGCAGATGTTTGAAGGACACCATATAGACTATTCACAAACTTTTGTGGTCAGTTTAGCCACCATGGTCAGGCCCAGTGACTCACTCTAAACTGAGTTTTGTTGTTTCTTAAAATATTGTTTTGCTCTTGTCCTCAGGAAAGTTGGTGTATTCGTCACAAACATTGCTAGGTGGGAGAAGGGGGTGACAGGAGGTGGGATAATGTGAAACAGTCTGTGTGACGAAAGTTTGTTTCAACTTTCCTAGTTATTCCTAAGACTGTGTTTGACCTAAAGAGCATTTTGATCTAGAAGACACCTTAAATTGGAGGGTCTAGTGAAAACCTGCATGCTGTGAAGCAGAGAGCTGAGTCTCTGAGAGATTCAGTGATATCACCAATGCCCTGGACTGGTTGGTGGCACAGACATGCTTACCACTAACTCCAGCCTCCCAAGAACCACAATCCATAGTTCCTTAACTCCACTCCATGCTGACTCTTGGACTTAAACTCTTAATTTCTTTTGGTGTTATTATTTCTTCCCTTCTCTCCTTTTCATGCCTTAAAGGTGGTGCCACAATCATCTGAACTGACATATATTAGCCCACTAACTATGGCCTTGTAGTTTTTGCCAAATAAAGCATTAGTTATGTAACTCTACTCTGTTTTCTGGGAGTATAGAGTTTTAAACAGAAAATTTTAAAGAAATTGGAAATTTCTTTAAGAAAAAAAAAGAGGAAAGAATTAAAAGGTATAGACAAGCAACATCAACTAGCTTCATAAATTAAAGAAATTTTAAGTACATTATGTAAGGCTGGGCACAGTGGCTCACGCCTGTAATCCTAGCACTTTGGGAGCCTGAGGTGGGCAGATCAGCTGAGGCCAGGAGTTTGAGACCAGCCTGGCCAACATGACAAAACCCTGTCTCTACTAAAAACAAAAAATTAGCCAGGTGTGGTGGCACATGCCTGTAATCTCAGCTACTCAGGAGGCTGAGGCACAAGAAATGCTTGAACCTGGGAGGTGGAGATTGCAGCGAGCTGAGATTGCGCCACTGCGCTCCAGCCTGGGCGACAGAGCGAGACTCCGTCTCAAAAAAAAAAAAAAAAAAAGTTACGTGAGACGGCACCATATGTGCACATTTTTTCTATTTTTTTAGAAAAAACTAATAGTTTAATTAAATTAAACTAATACTTTTAAAACTATTTTTAGTTTGTATGGATATATAATGGTTGTACATATATTTGCAAATTTAATGGTAATAAATGTGACGGACATAGTAGCTGACTATTTCAGCAATGGGGTCAGGAACAATTGTATCTTTCCTGATTAGCCAGGAAAGAATCAAGGAGAAGGAGCAGCTGGGCGTGGTGGCTCACGCCTGTAATCCCAGCACTTTGGGAGACCGAGGCGGATAGATCACGAGGCCAGGAGTTCAAGACCAGCCTGACCAACATGGTCAAACCCTGTCTCTACTAAAATTACAAAAATTAGCCAGGCATGGTGGTGCACGCCTGTAATCCCAGCTACTCAGGAGGCTGAGGCGGGAGAATCCCTTGAACCCAGGAGGCGGAGGTTGCGGTGAGCCGAGGTCGAGCCACTGCACTCCAGCCTGGGTGACAGAGCTAGACTCTGTCTCAAAACCAAAAAACAAAACAAAACAAAACAAACAAACAAAAAACATAAAAAAGGCAGGGGAGGGGAAGATGTCCAGTATGAAACTGGGGGGGATGTTAATGAATTCTGTTAGAATGGGGAATCTGGCATAGGTAAAAACTTAAACCTATGCTGTCTAATACAATTGTTGCTTGCCACATGGAGTTAAGTTTAAATTATTCAAATGAAATGTAACTTAAAAATTCAGTTCTGTCACATGAGACACATTTCAAGTGCTCAATAGCCACATGCAGCTAGTGGCTATTATATTGGACCACACAGGTGTAGAATATTCTCATCATTGCAGAAAATGCTTTCAGACAGGGCTGACATAGAAGATGCATCAGAGAAGAGGAGGGGGATAGACGGGTGGGTAGATGAGAGGGGCACATAAGGTAATTGCAACAGAATGAATGTTTATGTCTCCCCCAAATTCATATGTTAAAATCCTAACCCTTAATGTGATGGCATTAGCAGGTGGGGCCTTGGGGAAGTGATTAGATTGTGAGGGTAGAGGCCTCATGAGTGAGATTAGTGCCCTTATAAAAGGGACCCCAGACAGCTCCCTTGTCCCTTTTGCTATGTGAAGACATGATAAGAAAACGGTCCTCTAAGAACGAGGAAGTGGGTGCTCACCAGGCTCTGATTCTGCCTGGTGCCTTGATCTGGGAATTACCAGCCTACAGATCTGTGAGAAATAAATGATTTTTGTTTAAGCTACCCAGACTATCGTATTTTTGTTACAGCAGCCTAAACAGAAAAAAATAGAAACGTTTACCAGGAAAAGTATATGCTAGATGGATAAGGGGAAACAAGAGAGACAGGACACACGGACGTGATCCAGGGAAAGGTCTTGAATTGGGTTAGAGCTTGGATTCAAGGCATTGGCTGGCTGCGATAAAACCTTTGCGCATGTTTTTTTAAATGGTGTTCCTCTGGGCAGAAGCATCCTGTGGTTTTGGCTAGTAGACAGTTCTTTGTGCAAAGAAAAAAGTGTACTTTCCTCAAAACGATGGAGATGGTTAAAAGATCAGTGGTTGTCAGGGCCTGGAGAAGGCAGGGAAGAAAAGAAGGATGAACAGATGGAGCACAGCAGAGTTTTAGCAATAGCAATGAAGCTATTGTAAGATACTATAACGGTGCATATATGTCATCACACGTTTGTCAAAACCCATAGAATGCACAACACGAAGAGTATACATAGTATACATAGTAATGTATACCATGAACTTTGGTTCATACTAATCTATTAATATTGATTCATCAATTGCAACAAATGTACCACACTAACATAAGATGTTACTAACAGGGGAGACTGGGAGTGGGGTGGACAGGGTGGGCAGGGGTATATGAAGCTCTCTGTACTTTGTGCTCTGGCTTTTTATAAACCTAAAACTGCTCTAAGAAATAAGGTCTAGTAATGAAAAATAAAAAGGGAAGCTATTTAACTATTTCTCATAAAATATTTTCAGGCACTCTAAAAGTCTTCATGTTCACATACACAATGACATGACAATAAAACACACTAATCTGGTTTTAGCTGATAATCTAATGTAGTTATATGTGATTCTATCAATATCTGACATGGAAAAAAAGCGAAACAATGTACCTTCCTCTAGGTTTCCACAGAGCAGCTTCAGGCATTCATCTTGGTGAGCAGTGTGCAAGCTGGATTTTCCTAACCACTTGCTCTCTTCCTCAGGTGTCTGTGCGGTGCAGAAACTGTACAACTGTATACAGTGACCATTTCTACTCTGGGTCTCTAAACAAGGGCTGGTATCGTTACAGAGACTGAAGACTGAGGAAGACCATCTCTGTAGGATGCCAAGGATTGACTGGAGAAAGTCTGGGTAAGTACAGGTCACAGGAAACCACACAAGAAATACACTTTTGTAGGACAAAGAGGTAAGGTCAGAGCCCTGAGAGACCCTCACAACTGGTATTAAAGCAGAGTGAAAAGAAATCTAAAGGGGGGACAGGTCTAAGGGGACATGGGACACAAAGCCAGGAAGGAAGGAAGCAAACCCCAGCAGTGCTGTACCTGGAGGGCGATGAATGAGTCGCAGAGGCTCCCTTTCTGAGCTGGGATTAGGAGTTGATAATGGTCTTGCAAGTGCAGTTCTGCAGAGCGAAAGGGCCCGGTGCCTTGCAGCAGAGACACGTTCTGGGAGAGAGGGTTAGGATTTGAGTAAGTTCACACTAGGAGGCTATATATACATGTGTGGCATTGCCCAGGGACTGGAGGGAAAGAGGAGAAGGAAATGCATCACAACAATGACTGGAATGCATCAGCAGTGCAAAACAAAACTCTTGGGAAAACCAAATTGTGTCTTGGATTGTGGTTCAAGGAACTAGTAATGGGATAAAAAGCTTTTGCCTCCAGGCCAGCAGCATGAGTCCAACCCAGGTTAGGAGTCAGCAGTGTGTTTCAGATGTCAGTGTGAAAGGAATCCATGGGGCCAATCTAACCTTCTAGTATTAGAGTAATCCTGAAAACCACAATAGGTCTTTTTTTTTTTTTTTTTTTTTTTGAAACAGAGTCTCGCTCTGTCTCCCAAGCTGGAGTGCAGCGGCTCGATCTCGGCTCACTGCAAGCTCCGCCTCCCGGGTTCCTGCCATTCTCCTGCCTCAGCCTCCCGAGTAGCTGGGACTACAAGGCGCCCGCCACCGCGCCCGGCTAATTTTTTTGCATTTTTTCAGTAGAGACGGGGTTTCACCGTGTTAGCCAGGATGGTCTCGATCTCCTGACCTCGTGATCCACCTGCCTCGGCCTCCCAAAGTGCTGGGATGACAGGCGTGAGCCACCGCGCCCGGCCCACAATAGGTAATCTTAGCAGCCTGCTTCATGAGATGACTGGGAAGGGAAGATGAATTGTGATACTGGCTCATTCTTAGCCACGGAGGGAGCCTCTTTAGAATAAGACTGGAGCAATATGGACAATTTGTACCACTCCTTTATATATAGGCCAATGCTCCTCGAAGCTTGATTCATGGACCAGTTGCACCCAAATCACCCTGGGCTGCTTATTAGCAATGCAAACTTTCCTGGGTCCACTCTAGACCAAGTGAATCTGCATCGTTAGGTATGGGATCTGGGAATCTGCATTTTAGCTTCTTATGTGATTCTTGTGTACACCGAAGTTTGAAGATTATTGGGGCAGATCAGAGGTTCTCAAACTTTAGCAAGCATGAGAATCACATCACTTAAAGGGCTTGTGAGCTTACAGGTGCCTGGGCCCCACCTCCAGAGTTTCCAATTCACTATCTGGGATGGGGCTTGAGAAGTTACATTTCTAAAACATTTCCAGGTCATGCTGCTGGACTAGAGACCACACTTTGAGAACCATTGCTGTAAATAGAGCTCTTTACCTGGCTCGGACAGTGTAAAATCGCCCTTACCATTCATCCACATAATTCAGCTAGCTTCTACCATCCTGTCATATAGATGACTAACACCCATGACCTCTTTTTCACCTTGTTAGATAACTTCCAGTTTTAAATTGACAATATGAAAAACGATCACACCTGGTCAACCCTAATCTTGTATATTGTTCTGGTTCCAAATGTTTATATTATTATCAACACTGTCCTTTCCTCATTTTTGGCGGTGACCTGTTCAACTTTGTGTTACCTTGGGCTTCAAAATGCAAAATCAGCTCCTTTCTTTGCTTGCCATAAGAAATGGCATGCAAGAAAAAAAAAAAATGCTTCCAAAATAGAGGAACCTGAAAATATTCTGAAATTCAGAAGGTGTTATTTTGGGGAGCCTTTCTGGGACAGGATGTCCCCATCATCAGCTAGAGGAAGCCCAGCTTCTGATAAACAAAGTTGTGCCTTGCACAGATCAAAGGGAGCCATTTATTGAAGGAAGGGATGGAAGTATTTGATGAGGCCCTTCTGCAGACTCCCTGTAAACAGGATAAACCCTATCAATGAAAGCTTATACTCAGCCAGGCCACAGTCCCCAGGAACAATGGAGCAACAAGAACATTGGGTGGTGAGGAAAGAGCCTTGGTCCAGACAAGATTGTTCTGCCAAGAGAATGGCCGTAAACAGGATTAGTTGTAATGAGATTATGAACTTAGGACCTGGAGGCCTGAGCTGGAGAGTTCAGTGTTACATAAAGAAAAGACACAGAAGTAGCTCGTGGGGTGAGAGGATGCCAAAAGGACAAGGACTTTTCCTTCCTAGCATCCCTCTAGCCCAGGGGTGCCATCTCTCTGGGGAGGAAAAATTAGTCACTGTAATTGCACATATTGCTTGTGGGAGTAGACAAACTAGGGACTAAAGCACCAAAGTAGTGGGCCTCAATTAGGGGATGCTGGCAATGTCTGAAGACATTTTTGGTTGTCACAACTGGGTGAGGTAGTGCTACTAGCATCCAAAGGCAGAGGCCAGGGATGCTGCTCAGTATCCTACAATGCACAGGACAGCCTTGCACAACTAAGAAATATCCAGCCCCAAATGCAGAGGTTGAGAACCCCTGTGCTGGAGTGACGGAGAGGGAATCCAGCTAGGATGCTGGTAGATGACCAGCTGGAGACGGAGCGTGGCAGTGGTGGGGAGGGAAGGGGCAAGTATTTCATGGGCTTAGTCTAGAGGGACTTCACATTAGCAGTCCTCAGAAGGTGAAAGTTGGTTGTTGAGTGGGGGTGCATGGAGCAAGAAAGTTATTTATTTTATGCATAAAGCACATACAGTGCATAAGGACATAGACAGCATTTCTGGGGTATTCAAGTTTCATGGGGATTGGTGGGGTGCTTGGGAAAATAATGTCTAAAAAGGCTCCTTAGGAGGTGATAATAAGAAAAAAAAAGGTTGAGAAACACTGATTAGACTCTAGAAATTCACCCACTTTCCCCAGCTGCATCCAGGATTCACATGGTGGGATCTTTCTAAGAAACAAATCTATGGCAGTGACTCCATGGCTATGACTGGTTTCTTATTGCCTTCAGGATAAAATAGAAATATCCTTGTATTTTAAGGCACCTCTTTTTTTTTTTTTTTTTTTTTATTTATTTATTTATTTTTTTTTTTTTTCTTTTTAGAGGGAGTCTCGCTGTGTCGCCCAGGCTGGAGTACAATGGTGCAATCTCGGTGCTCTGCAACCTCCCCCTCCCGAGTTGAAGCATTTCTCCCACCTCAGCCTCCAAAGTAGCTGGAATTACAGGCATGCACCACCATGCCTGGCTAATTTTTGTATTTTTGTAGAGATGACGTTTCACCATGTTGGTCAGGCTGGTCTTAAACTCCTGACCTTAGGTGATCCGCCTGCCTCGGCCTCCCAAAAGGCACACTTTCAATCTGGCTCCTGCCACATTCTACCTAACATTCCTAGTGTCAGCCATAGTGAATCACTGATAGCTGTTCCCAACCCACTGAGCTTTTTCTCTGCAGGCCTGCATCACCCGCTCCTGCCCCTTCCCCTGACACCCCTCAAGTGGCTAACTGCTACTCCTTCTCAGCTCCTCCACGAGGTCTGCCCTAACTTCCTCAACACTGGGCTGCTTACCCCTTTTCTGCACTTCCCCTAGCATAGGATGTATCTTACTCCTATTGTAGCATTGTTCCCACTTTGCTATAATAATTTACTTCCTTGTCCGTAAGGAACTCTTAGGCAGGCTTCTATGCCTAGCACAATGCCTGGTGCATACTGAAACCTCAATAAATATTGGTTAAAACCATAAGATAATTTGCACTCATTATCTCCTTTCATCCACTTAACCTCCTTTGAGATAGCTATGATTATCCTTATCTTGTAGAAAAGTGCATGGATTTCTCAGTTGAGGAATGGGTATAACCTTCTTCTATGCCCTCTTCTGGGTCCTAAACCTTATCTAGACCTATGGCCAGAAAAGAGAATGAGCAGGCTTCCCCCAGGAGCTGTTACCAGTAGAAAGAGCATAACTTAGAAATGAGTCACAGAAAAAACAAAGAGTAAAGACAGAAAGTGAGTCAGGGATAAGGGTTTTATAAATACAAGTGTTTCCCATTCTGACATCTATAGGATAAACCAAAGGCAGCACCTAGCTCTCCAGGAAACAGTTTGAAACCCATTGCCTTAAAGTCCTAGAGCTAAGATATGCATTTTCAATAGAGTGACCCCAAACTGGACTTTCTGGCACCATTACTGAAAGGGTCACTGGCTCAGTTACAGAATCCACAGGGTATGATAATAGTTGAGATGGAAGTCCTCAGGGTGCAGTTTGAAGCATAGACCTTGAGAACCTGGAGATCAGCGGGAAGGTCAGGACCCAAGGCACAGTTCAGGAGTCATCATTAGTACATAGGGCCTATGTTACAGGTGGTCTTTGAAGCTGTGAGAGTGAATGAAATTAGAGAGGGATAAAAGTGTGGAGTGGAAACACGGCTGAGTATGGAAAGTGCCAAATAATCTCCCACTGTCTTGCATTTTCAGTTACTTTTTTAATCTATAGCTTATCTTCTCAATTAGTTTACAGACTCCTTGGTGTTGGGGACAGCTTTAGGTACTTTAAAAAATTTTAAAGATGCTTAAGAATTTAATTAACAAATTAATTAAACCTTTTCCCTCCATCATTAAACTTCTGGAAATAGCTGTAAACCAAAAATAAAATTCTAAACCTTCTGACCATGTGAATGGCCTCATCCTCTCAGTAAGGGCATTCCAAAGTTAACCTGAAAAACTAGTTCAGGCCATGATGGGAAGGGAGGGTCAGACATGCCTCATTGTACCTTCCTCCCTTTTAGAAATACTGATAGAACAGACTCTTTAAGTCTGATAAGAAACATTTTTACAATCTATTCTCTCTGAAGCTTGCTACCTGGGGGCTTCATCTGTATGATAAAACCTTGGTCTCCACAATCCCTTATCTTAACCCAGACATTCCTAAGTCTTTAGACAATAACTTAACTCTTTCAACCAATTGCCAATCAGAAAATCTTCTAATCTACCTATGACCTGGAAACCCCCTGCTTCCAGTTGTCCCACCTTTCCAGACTGAACCAGTGTACATCTTACATGTGTTTGATTGATGTTTCATGCTTCCCTAAAATGTATGAAACCAAGCTGTACCCCAAGCACCTTGGACACATATTCTCAGGATCTTCTGAGGGCTGTATCTTGGGCCATTGGTCACTCATATTTGGCTCAGAATAAATCTCTTCAAATACTCTACAGAGTTTGACTCTTTGTCACCACAGCTTTCCTTTTGTCTTTACTTCCTTTAGTTTTAACTATTTGGGTTCTGCCAGCATCACAGGACTGAAATGTCTCTTTGGCAAGTTGCCTATAACTTCTGCATTGCCAAATCTACTGGCCTGTTCTCAAGTCACCTTCCGCAATCTCTGTAGCAATCAGCACTACTAGTTCCTCTCATTCACTGAACAGTTGCCATCCCTGTCTTTCATATCACTGTGTTCTCTTGGTTCTTTCTCAGACTTCTTTGCTGAATATTACTTTCAGCCTCCCTTCCTGGCTCCTTTTCCTCTCTTGGTCCCCTAAAAGAAGATTATTGTTCAAATTTCTCCTTGTCCCTCTCCTCTATTTTTTCAGGTTCTACCTTGACAGTCTCATCCATGGTCTCAGCTGTGGCTTCTAGGATGATGACTCAAGCCCTGATGTCTTTCCTGATCATTTTGGGCCTGATTCTCTGGAACTGCGGGAGGAAGCTGAATGCTGGTCCACCTTTTAACAATGTGGCCAGCAGCCCTGGGTTGATACTGGAAGCAAACATTAGTCTGGTAAACTACACAAGGACAAAGGTAGAACAGGACACACAGGGGTAACACTGACCTTAGAGGGGTGTTATGGACTGAATATTTGTGTTCTGCTCAAAATTCGTATGTTGAAACATATGTCTATCTCATGATTTCGCTCCCCTCTAATGTAATGGTAGTAGAAAGTGGGGTCTTTGGAAGGTATTTAGGATTAGACGAGGTTACAAGATGGAGCCTTCATGCATGGGATTAGTGTCCTTAAAGAGAGTCCTGAGAGAGCTTGCTTCCTCTTTCTGCCACGTGAGGACACAGGGAGAATACTGCTGTCTATGAACCAGAAAATAAGCCCTCTCTAGACACCTTATCTGCTGACACCTTGATCTTGGCCTTCCCAGCCTCTAGAACTGTGAGAAATAAAATGTCTGTTGCTTAAGCCACCCAGTCTGTGGTGTCTGGTTATAGCAGCCTGAGCTGACTACAACAAGGGACAGTCAGCCAGGACACAAACTTGAAGGACTGGAGCAAAGATGGGAAGAGAAAGAGATGCCAGGTGCAGGTGGGTCTGCTGTCAGTTCAGGATTTCTCTCCTGGACCCTGAGTTCCCGCCATGGCATAGCTCTTACCTGGATTTGTGTACTACTTATAGGGTCACGAACAGTACATCTGTACTGATTTCCAGACCACATTTCCATGAGGCCTTGCCAGATCCTTCCACTGGGACCTCCTGGCTCCTTCCTCCAAGCTCACTTGACTTTTGTTCTCCAGGGTTCTGCACTTGGCTCACATCTTTGCGTTTCCTTTTTCACTTTGCTGGGTGATCTCATCCACTCCCATGGCTTGAGATACTATTTTTAGGCTGGCAACTCCCAAATATGTATCTCTAGCCTAAACTCCAGACCTGTAAGTCTACCTATAAATTAAATAAGAACCTAAAAATCAATATACCCCCAACTGAAGCTATTCTCTTCTCCCCAAGCTGACTCTGTTCTGTCTCCTGTGTTCTCACTGCTGGATAATAACACCAATGTCCATCCAAGCTAGAAACCACCGCATCATCCTTGACTCATCAACCTTTCTCCGTGTGTGAGTCAATTTGCCTCTTAATCATCTGTCAATTTATTCACACTTTTCCTTCTCCATTGCCAATTTCTTGGCGGCTCTTTATCATTTTTCACCTGGATATTCCAGTCGTTTATCAACCAGTCACTTGTGTCCAGTTTCACAACCTCCCAATCAGTCCTCCAATGCCATTATACAATTTTCTTTAGAGTAGGAAGCTGATGATGTTACTCCATAGTTCAGTGACTTCTCATTGTCTCCTACCAGATAAAATCTAGACACAATTCTTGACATATACTCCTCTTTCTCTATGTAGGCTTATTTACAGACATTTTCCTAGTAGTACTTCATACCTTTGGTACAAATAGTGTTAGTCTCCATAATTGACCATGCTGTTTCACAATTCCACACCCTTGCACATGTGTGCTCACTACCTGGAATGCCCCTTCCCTTTATTCTGGTGGATTAAGTCGTTCAAGCCCCAGTCCCTCCATCATCTTCTCTTTGAGGCCTTCTCTTTTCTTTTTTTTTTCTCCATCTCTTCTTCTTTTACATCCATTGTATATACCTGTTTTCCAGCATTAGCGGGCTAAATTCTAATTCCTTGTTTAGGTTTTTATCTTGCCGTCTAAATTCTGAGTTCTTCAAGGACAGGGGCCTTATCTCATGATTTCACTCCCCTCTGCAGCTAGCACAATGCTTCTAAAACTGTATTCCTTGGATTGCTAGTCTTATTGTTACAGGTAGTTAGACAGGCAAGAGTGGAGCAGGAAAAGGATCTTCTTCCCCCACCCACTAGGAATGTCAGATGATGGTTCGACAATTATCACACTGACTCTCTCAGGAAGAGACAAGCTCCTGCTGATCCACAGCTGTTAACATTACAGTGTTAATTGCATGCAGACACCTGGGAAAAACAACTTCCTGGGAATACGCATTAAAAGACAAAATGGAGTATGACCTTCCAGGGGCACACCACTGGAGAAGGGAAGAGAGCCTCAGACGTGCATGCTTACAACTTCCTAAACATACTGCGCACGCTTAATTCCCAAGGGTAAGGCAGGCACTGTGCACGCGGGCCGCCCACCCGAAGGAAAGAATCACCCTAAGGGAAAAGGGTACAAGATGGCAGCCTATAAAGTCCCAGGGTCAAGGTTAAACACTGCACTTGTTCTCCAAGGCACCCACTGGATCTCTTCCACGTGTTCTTTCCTTTCTTTCCTCTTCTAAAGCATTTTTAATAAACTTCCACTTCTACTTTGAAACTTGCCTTGGTCTCTTTTCTTGCCTTATGCCCCTCAGTTGAATTCTTTCTTCTGAAGAGGCAAGAATTGAGGTTGCTGTAGACCTGTACGGATTTGCCGCTGGTAACTGAGATACCTTCCACCAGTCACACTATGAGTTATTTTAAAAGGTATTCTTGAAATGAGAATCTGTGGTCAAATAAATTTTGGAAAAACTGCATATTCACATTACCTGTGAGCTCAGAGAAGTCTTTCAGCAGAAACCTGTTTAATCTGGTTTAACTCTGTCCCTTCCAAACCCAAGGTCAGGGAAAGACCCTTAAGCAGATCCTTACAACGTATGTGCAAGAAGCAAAGGTAGAGATGCGCCCAGACAAAGGGTGATGTGGGAAAACAGAGAAGGGGCTGCCCCAGGGTCCAGGGGTTCTGGAAGCATTTTTGGAAAAAAATGATCTCCATCACTCACAAGAAGATAATGGCCAATTTAACCCTCAGAAAGAAAACTTCCTAGTTTTCTAATGTCTCCAGGGACTAAACTTCAGGATTGAATGTAACTATCCAAGGGTTTTATTACCCAGGAAGGTCAAGTCTTCAGGATGTTTTCTTCTCTTATTCATTCCTGTGGTCAGACTCAACTTTGAACTGGTCTACTCCACAGATGAACCACATCCTTCAACTCACTTAACAGCATCTATTATCCTATTGTTGCTTATATTTTTCTGGTTATGTCCTAATGATCTCCAGCCACAATACCGGAGGGCAGCCACTGGTCATTTACGCTGTCATCTCATGGACTCTAAGAGGCCCAAGCACATAGTGAGACTCAACAAATGTTTATTAAATGCAGTGAACACGAGCATAATCTAATTCTTCCTATTTGCCTTGAGGTGGCAGAGATGCAAATGTGGTGACCCAGAGCCTGAACTTGGGCACTTGGAGCTCATGTGGAGCATTTTCTGCAGTGGCTGAGGCTGAGCTGGGCAGAACTTTTCTTCGCTGCCTCTATCTAGAAGAAAGGAAATTAACTAGTCCTACTGAACTCCCAGACCTGTGGAGAGGAGAAAGGGGCAAGGCAGCAGAAAGGGGCAAGGCAGCGTCTCTGACTTGGATATCCAGCACATTCCCCCAGAGACAGCCATTTGTTTTGTAAACCAAAGGGTGTCTGAGACAAGTCTCAATCAATTTAGAAAGCTTATTTTGCCAAGGCTGGGAGTGGTGGATCACACCTGTAATCCCAACATTTTGGAAAGCTGAGTTGGGCGGATCACCTGAGGTCAGGAGTTTGAGACCAGCCTGGCCAACATAGTGAAACCCCATCTCTACTAAAAATACAAAAATTAGCTGGTGGTGGGCACCTGTAATCTCAGCTACCCGGGAGGCTGAAGCAGGAGAATTCCTTGAACCTGGGAGGCGGAGGTTGCAGTGAGCCGAGATTGCGCCGTTGCACTCCAGCCTGGGCGACAGGGCAAGACTCTGTCTCAAAAAAAAAAACAAAACAAAAAACAAGTTTATTTTGCTAAGATGAAGGACACCCCATGGCACAGCCCCAGGAGGTGCTGACAACATGTGCGTAAGGTGGTCGGTGTACAGCTTGCTTTTATACATTTTAGGGAGACAGGAGACATCACTCAATACATGTAAGATTTACATTGCTTTGATCTGGAAGGGCAAGACAACTCAAAGGGAGAGGGGCAGCTTCCAGGTCATAGGTAAATTTAAGCGTATTCTGACTGGTGATTGGTTGAAAGAGTTACTCTCAGTATTATTATCAGTAGAAAGGAATGTCTGGGTTATGATAAGGGGTTGTGGAGACCAAGGTTTTATCATGCAGATGAAGCCTTCAAGTAACAGGCCTCCGAGAGAATAGACTATAAAGGTTTCTTGTCAGACTTCAGGTTTGTGTTGATACTAATACTGGAGGGGTACAATGAGGCACGTCTGGCCTCCACTTTACATCATGGCCTGAACTTGTCTTTCAGCTTAAATTTTAGAGGGCCCTGAGGGGTGAGTTTTATTTTTGGTTTGCAGTTTTACGGACACTGGGCTATATTTCCCATTTTGCATAGAGGCAGGCACCACATAGAGACTAAGAGCAAGCACTGTGTTCAATGTACGGACTGGAATCCTTGCTTCACTACTTGCTCGCTTTGTGATTCTAGGCAAATTTCTTGACCTCTCTGTGCCTAAGTTTTCTCATCTGTAAAATGGGGGGTGATAATCACAGTACCCCTTCCTCCTAGGATTCTTATGAAAATTAAATGAGTTGCTATTCATGTAGAATTTAGAAGCAAGTGCTATTTAAGTGTGTGAAAGGAAAATAAATTTTGGGACCCCCAAATCACAAAGCCAAAGGGAAAAGCCAAGCTGGGAACTGCTTAGAGCAAACCTGCCTCTCGTTCTATTCCTAAAAAAAGATACCTGCTAAGATAAAAAAAGCTACATACCTTCCTCACAGGGAAATTCCCTGTGGACAAAGGACAGACAGAACTCAAAGTCACCCCTCTGCTCATGGAGGTAAATGCATAGCTGATTGTTTCCTTTGGAAAGGCTAATCAGAAATTCCAAAGATTGCAACCATTTGTCTCTTACCAACCCATGACCTGGAATCCCTCTCCTCGCTTGGAGTTGTCCCGCCTTTCCAGACAGAACCAATGTACATGTTACGTATATTGATTGATGTCTCATGTCTTCCTAAAATGTATAAAACCCAGATGTGCCCCGACCACCTCGTCGTCAGGACCTCCTGAGGAAGTGTCATGGGTATGTGTCCTTAATTCTGGCAAAATAAACTTCCTAAATTGACTGAGACCTGTCTCAGATAGTTGGGGTTCACAAGTGTTTGTGAAATCACTCAATCAATGTTAGTTGCTATGTTGGGGCAGATCTAGAATAAGACCATGGATAATGTGTGAGGCCGTTCTTGCATTGCTATGAAGAAATGCCTGTGATGGGAATTTATAAGAAGAGAGGTTTAATTGGCTCACCATAGCTCTGCAGGCTGTACAGAAAACAGTGTCAGCATTTGCTCGGCTTCAGGAGGCCTCAGGGAGCTTTTACTCATGGCAGAAGATGAAACAGGGGCAGGCCTATCACATGGAGAAAGCAGGACAGAGAGAAAGAGAGAGAGTGAGAAAGAGAGAGACAGAGAGACGGTTCCACACACTTTTAAATTACCAGATCTAGCCAGGAACCCATCACAAAGACAGCACCAAGCCATGACCCAAACACCTCCCACCAGGCCCCACCTCCAGCATTAGGGATTATAATTCAACAGGAGATTTGGATGGGGTCAAATATTCAAACTCTGTCAGATAATTACCTGCGAGCACAAATTATCTATATTGCCGGCACCTACTGTTTAAAAATAGTAATAAGAGCTGCTGCTTTCACATCTGATTCCATCCTAAACATTAACTAGAAGGTGGGCATTATTTCCATGTTTTATTGAGTAAACAGGCTCAGAGGTTAACATGCTCAGTGCTGCACAGTTGCATATTAGGTGGCAGAGCCAGGTTCCAAATTCATGCCTGTCCCACTGCCAAGCCCAATACCTTTCCATCAAGGACACTTTCTTTTTTTTCCCCCATGGGGAAAGTTTGGTTTAGAGGCAACCCAGTACATCCCCATGACTTACTTGTTGGCAAGTGGTTCATAAACCACTTACATCACACAATTCATATCATATCCAACCTGTGTGTTCAGAATTAATTAGTATTTATTATAAAAGTTAAACTGATATGCAACATTTGTTTTTAAACAAAAAAAAATTAATAGCAAGTCTCTTTCCTTCTTCACCTTTTCCATCCCCACTAGTTCCTAAAGTCTTAGGGAACATCAAAAATCATCTGTTCATTTGTAAACATATTTTTTAAAAATAGTATTTAGAAATGAGATTATACACTGTTTGGTATCTTCTTTGGATTATTTAACATTTATCTAAGCTATTTTAAATCCAAGCACTCATTCTTAGAATCGTCTTATATTTGTTGGGATGTTTTGGTTGAAAGTCTACTGATGGCACTTACAGCTCAGGGTCACAGCCTGTATGTATAACCAGAGCCTGTGGGCTCATTGTGCCTCGCATTTTCATCTAAGAAAGGTCCTTATCATATTCTATGTGCATCAGATACCTCCTCAGATCAGAGCAGGGGTCTGTGGCTAGAATTATAAAATCTTTTTTGTCTATCTGGGCTTTTTCAAAACAAAGCCTTCAATATTCAACATAGCTCTCAAACTCCCATCTTCACTCCCAGCCTTCTGTTTTGCTCTCTCTCTCACTCTCTCTCATATGCACTCTCTCTCTCTCTCTCTCTCTCTGTCATTCACAAGCTTTCCTTTCTCGAACCCTATTGAAAATTACCATGCATTCCTCCTTCTAGCAGAATAGAACGTCTTGCACAAGAGGAGTGGAACAGCGGTCAGAGCATTACAGCTGACTCATCTTGACCAGAGAAGGTTACAGCTGGAGGCCCCAGAGATTGCCCACTTCCCCCCTCCATTTGACAGCAAGGGAAACAATGGCCAGAGAGGATCTGGAACTTTCTCTCAATTTCAGTGAAGGCCAGAGGTAAAATCAGGATTGTCTGAAGACAAGTAAGGTCAGGTGCATAGGGTTATATGTAGGAGTATAGTTAACAGGTGTCAGAAACTTGGATTTAATTTAGAGGTGGTTAGGACATGCATAATATTTTTCAACTATGCGTGAAATCTGGGATTCTGCATTTATTTAAAATATAGGATTGTCCATTAATTCTTTCTCTTGAGAGGGCGCTTCTTTCAGAAATGATCTAGGCACTTACAAACATTTTAAAAATATATACACGTGAGATCATACTTTCATAGTGATATAAGCATCATTGCTCATATCCCTAATGAACAGATGGGGAAAAGGAGGTAGAGACAGAGAGAGAGACAGAGAGTCAGCAACTCACCACAAGAATCTCCTGGTTGCCTGTCTGGGCTTCTGTCAGCTCCATTTAGTTGAATTTCTATTCAATATTATTACTGAGGTCTTATACTTAAGAACATGTTCTTTGGGTTTCCTGCTTATCTCCAAGCTGAAGAATTTATTTTCTTCTATTTGCTTTTCCAATCTTCAGCTTCCATGACCTTAAAAAAAAAAGTACACAAACTGAGCTGGTCTAAGAGCAGCCTGTTTGCAACCTGATATGAGACCTGGAATGCAACCAGATAAACCTTGGTGTAGGGTTCTCTAAACACATTCAACATTTTTTCCAAGAGGCAATCGGTTTATTTCCTTTGAAATGCTTGATGATGAATTAACAGTACATTTTCGAAACTATTGAAAGAGCAGAGGTAAAATGGTAGTTATACATGTCGGAATGGGAAATAGAGAACTATGGAATTTATCTTACTTTGAAGCTTAAACCCCTTTTAATATTCCTTGTATTTAGCCACATGTATTTTTAAGGTGGAAATTAGTTAATGGAATATTCTCATAGTCCATACTTTTTATTAAGGTTGATGTTTGATGAACCAGATAATGTCTACTCACTTTCTGCTTTAAAGTTTATAATTCTTGATAAAAGGAAAAGTGGTGAATTATGTGAGCCAACCCTGGAAAGTATTTCCGTATTGAGTTTTGTTTGTTTCAAAGAACCTACTGTACATATGCAAAAAAATATGTCTTATCAATTGTTTTACCAAAGCCATGAGTCCCCTTGTCAGTGTAGACAGAATCAGTTGTCTTTCTGTATGAGAATATCATGGAAAAGCACAGATGTAACAAGCGTTCCTTCCAAACCTAAGTGGTAGAATTATGTGACTTAAACTGTGGAGTCAGGACTAATCTCACAGGCTTTCAAAATTGCTCCCTCTTATCTCTTTAACCTCCCTTTCCTCTTTTATCTAAGGAGGGAGAGTGAAATAAGTAAATAATCCTGGATTTGTGAGAGTGGAAGGAAAGGTATTATGACTTTTAAGGTCCTATTTTAATACCTTTGACTAATGAGACATTAATTACAGTGTTGAATAAATCTTGAGATGATTTCAAAGCAAAGCCTGCTCTTTTTTCCTTCCACTGATTTAATATCTAGGGAGTTCCATCCTATGAAGGGCAGTTTCTTCTCATTAGCTATCTTCAACAGTCCGGGCCAAATAGGACATTTGAGTCCTTTTAAAGCGGCCTTCAAGTCCCCTCTCAGCCCTTTTAAATGCTGCCTTGTCAGTTCATGTCCAGCAGCCCTAAGCAGAGTTCAGTCAACATCTTCCCTCTCCTCCAAGTCTTTGCAAATGCTCTTCTCCTCCTGGCTGCCTGGCATTGCTGCTTAACCCAGAGACTTAAAGTCTCTCCCACTGCCCGCTTGCTGAGCCACAGTCACAATCATGACCTTCAGAGTTTCTCTTGCTGCCTGGGCCCAAACTGCCATCTCCACCAATGTCTTCACCAGCACCACCATCCTTGCCGCCTGTTGCCAATACTCACAAAAGCCACAGCCTAACAGTCACCACTAAATTCTTCATCAGAGCTTCTGCTGTTAGCTCTAGGACAACGGTTCTCACCCAGGGGCCATTTTCTACCCACTCCCCTCAGTCCCAGGGAACATTTGGCAACGTCTGTACACATTTTTTCGTTGTCACAACTTGGGGAGGTGAATGCCACTGGCATCCAGTGTGTCAAAGGCAAGAAAGCTGCTTAAGAATTTACAATACACAGGAGGACCTCCATAACAAAGGCTTACCCAGCCCCAGATGTCAACAGTGCTGAGGTGGAAAACCTTGCTCTAGGAGTTAGTGGAGGCCTTTATTCTCTTTCTGTACCTTTGGCAAAAAAACAAAGATAGAAGAAAACAAAACACAATCTGTCCTCCAGGCACACAGCTAGAACCCTCTGTTCTCTTCCCTACTTCTCAGTTTAGGATTGGAGAGAAAACAAGTGGGATTTTGTAGAACCTGCCTTTTCATTTATGGCGTGGGTCCTCCCTCATCTGGGCAGAGGCTGGGACAGACAGGCTCTGTCTGAACAGAAGAACCCATTTACGCCAGAGGTTCTCAACACTGGCTGCACATTAGATTCATAACATCTAACATTTTAAAAATACTGAAAATACAGATATTCAGAATTCAAATGGAATTGGCCTGTGATGAGGCCTGGGTGATACCTTTTAAAAACTCTCTGGGCTGGGCACAGTGGCTCACCCCTGTCATCCCTGCCCTTTGGGAGGCTGAGTGGGGCGGATCACTAGAGGCCAGGAGTTTGAGACCAACCTGGCCACCATGGTGAAACCCTGTCTCTCCTAATAATACAAAAATTAGCCGGGCATGGTGGCATGCTCTTCTAGTCCCAGCTACTTGGAAGGCTGAGGCACAAGAATTGCTTGAACCCGGAAGGTGGAGGTTGCAGTGAGCCAAGATTGTGCCACTGCACTCTAGCCTGGGCAACAGAGTCAAAATGTGTCTCAAACAAAACAAAACACTCTCTAGATCATACTGACACGCAGCCAGAGCTAATAACCCCTTGGACCGGTCACCCACGCAGCGGGGAAGAGAACAGATACCCCTGAAGAACTGAATGAAGTTATTCTTCCAGGATCTTTTTAGTGCTAAAAAACATCTCATCTTCCAGTAGGAGGGAAGTCATTTAACTGTGTGGTCAGCATGGGTCATCTGGGCAGATACAGATTATTTCAGATTATTTGATGTTCTTAACTGGAGTCTTTCTATGGCTTGAATTGAAGCTTATTTTTAATAATAAAAAAGTTTTAATATTTATCAAAATCAGGAAAAGAGGGTAAATTAGATTAAAAGCCATCCTCATAATTAAGCACTCTATGCTAGCTATTTATTTGTCTTAGAAAAAAATGATTCTTTCCTCTTTTAGAAAGATACAATAATTCTAAATTAAAGCTTCGAGATAAATTATGACTTATGAAGAATAATGGGATAGTATCATAAATAAAAAACATTGTCTGCATGAAATATGACCACTCTAATTCTGTACATTTCCTCCCCATTTCAATACAATGAAGTTTTTACAAGGCAAATTAATCTAGCATTAACCTTGAAATGATTACCCTACCTTACTGATGAAACTGATAAAACAAAAATACTTTTAATGCTAAAGAATCTTGTTAAATTCTCTATAACTTAAGCAAACTATATCTAATTTCTCTTTTTTTTCCCCCATTCTTTAGCCACACACTTAGCATTCTGTAGCAAAATAATCACTGGACCCCAAGTGAGAAGCCTGAGTTCTGGTTCAGGCCATAGAACTGCTTTATAAAGTCAATTAACTTTGCTGGGCTGCTTCTTCATCAGTAAAGTAAAGGCATCACCAGGTGATATATAAGATCGCCTCCATGTTTAGGAATTAGTAGGAAGGCAGATTATTGGTTTGACAACCCTCAATCAAATGAAATGCCTGGTTTTCTGTCCTGGCATATAGTGTAGGAACACGTTATATGTAAAATATGGTATATATGCACATATATAACATACACACACACATATGTATATATAAAAATTAACATATATGTTATGTATATATAAATTAACATATATGTGTTTATATAATATATAACAACATATATAATATATATGATATATATATAAATTAACATTTACTGAGCACTCTGCTAAAGAAATAAGGTAGTGCTATGGAGAATTCAAAGAATTAGCAATTATATCCCTAAGGTTTTACTATAAAAATTATAATTTAGGCCGGGCACGGTGGCTCATGCCTGTAATCCCAGCACTTCGGGAGGCTGAGGTGGGCGGATCACTTGAGGTCAGGAGTTCGAGACCAGTCTGACCAACATGGTGAAACTCCATCTCTACTAAAAAAATACAAAATTAGCCCAGCGTGGTGGTGCCCTCCTGTAATCCCAGCTACTCAGGAGGCTGAGGCAGGAGAACTGCTTGAACCCAGGAGGTGGAGGTTGCAGTGAGCCGGGATCGTACCATTGCACTCCAGTGTGGGCAACAAGAGTGAAACTCTCTCAGAAAAAAAAAAAAAAAAAAAAAAAAAAAATATATATATATATATATATATATATAATTTAGTTGGGGATATAAACAGTCACATCAGATAAAAGTATTCAGAATTTCCAGTTGATATTTAATAAAATCAATCAACATTTATTGGATACCTACTGAATGATACCTACCTGATAAGTATCACAAATAACAGTGCTGATTTGTTTAGAATAAAGCTGGGACTTTTTCCTTCCTTTAAGTAAACTATGGTAACACATTACATTAAAACTTCAGTTAATGGTATATTTGTAATGTTATACTTCTAAAGAAGGCCTCTAAATTACATAGGCTCCGGCCTCACAAAACCTGGTTTTGCTCCTGATGGGGCAAACTAGGGAATAGAGCATGGAAGCAAAACCCACCAATGGCCTGGTGTCCCTAAGTTTGCATTTTGGCTGCTGTTGGGATCACTATACTATATCTGTGTTGGGTCAAGTGGGCAGTCATATTCTTTTCAGAAAAGCTTTCATTGTTCAAAGCTACATCTTGACCAATACACATGCACCTTAACCAGAAGCATGGTGAAACCCTGGGCAGTACATGGATAACATCGAGGTCAAGGCTAGGAACATGGAGTTTTGCCATGGGCACCACTCTGACCAGCAGAACACCTTGTGGGCAACGGGCTGAATGACCTAGCCAACCAAGAGAACATCTGGTAGACCCAAAAAGTTTGAAAAAGGGGAGAAAGAGTAAAAAAAGAGAGGCAGAACAGCTGCATAATTTGGAGGGTCCACTACAAAATAAAAATGTGGACCTATTGTTGAAAAAAATGTTAAGAATTTTTGGTAATGACAGCAGAGCATAAAGCCATGAGTGAGACCCTGGGAAGCATGAAACCCTGTTGAGTCACACATCTGTGAAGTCAGCCCTGAAGACAGCAAAAATCTTAGAAGGGTGCTCACATTATTGGGCATGTACTATATGCTGGACACAGTGCAAAAACACATTCACAATTCATGTTATTTTCAAAACAACTATGGGAGAGAAATATCAACATTTCATGGATGAGCAGAACTCTCAAAAAGGTTAAGCTATTTGCACAAAGACATATAGGTAGTATGTTTGTGTGCACTGAAGTGGAGGAGGAAGAGGACAGAGAGGGAAGGGACCCAAAGTCATTGCCCAAGTAATGGTTAGAACCAGGAACATTTGGGCGTCTGTCATTAAGATCATTTAACAGAGCCAAGATGTCAACATGGTTTGATTGCCGTTGTGAACGACAATTGAGGCAGTGAATAGGAAATTAAAAACACCATTGTCTTTTACTATTTCTTTGAACCATTTATCCCTGTGCTGCTGCAGGGAGGTTGTCATTCCAACAAAAGCAGACACATTTGGAAGCTTCTAGATGCTCAGCTTTTATATTTAGTTACTCTGGTTGGCTCAGGGTTAAATGACTACTGCTTTATTTGCAACTTATTTATATTAAAGGTGAAATGTCAGGTTCACACAGGGTAAAATAAAGGACTCTCTATAAACATGCAAACAAATGCAAGTGTTCGCTGCCAAAAATATCCAAACAAACCAAACCAGAGAAGAGAAATGTCGCCTCAGCCCAAATTGTAGCGCTCTTCCACATGACCTCTTCAGTAGATGAAAGGAAATCCTGAAATTCAAGACCAAGCTCAATCAAATGCTAATTTAATGTTGTTCCCTAGTAGATACCAAGTCAAGGGAGATTTGCCACTTATCTGGCTAATTTGAGCTCTGGGACACCCAGGGTAGAAACCGAGGCAAAATAAATCTAATAAGGGATTGGAATATTTTGGTACTTTGCCAACCGTCTTCAGAGTCACTTGGACACTGTCATCTTTTTCACTCATGCTTGTTTGTTTACATGCATCTATAAAGCATAATTAAGGATCCTTTGATATAAAAGTAAATTTATTTATTTAAGTACTGACATATCCACACATGCTCATAAATGAGCTTCAGTATAGAGGTGTTCTTAATCTGTGCGATGTTTTAGGAAAGAGGGTGGCAGTAGGACCTGCACACTCCTGGATCCTAGAGATGACAGATATGTGACTTTTAAAGAACATGTGGACTTGGCATTATTGATTGTCACTAAGGAGACCTGATCTTATATCAAGACAAGGAACTGGAGTTAAGCCCATAATGCACCTGTGCCAACTCAGTGGCCCTTGAAACTGGCGGAACGGGTTTGGTGCCTACTTTGATCTATGCACATGAAACTCAGAGCTCCCATTGAGAAGAGAGTTTATAGGATCATGGTTCTGGTATCTTTCCTGAGAAGGGAGGAGAGGGAAACTGTCATCTTTTCTTTCACCCATTCCACTCTATATAAAAGTAGACAGCAAGCCTGCAAATTATATTGCTCTATAGTTGGTCCTTCTATGGTAAGAGGGACCTGGTCAGCCTCTTTATCCCCTTGGCAAATTATTCCCAGCTTTTGAATGGCCAGGCTCCTTGGAGGCTGGTGACTGCTGTTTCCTGCTTAGCACTCCTCTGGGAAGGGGAGTGGGGAAATAAAGACCGAGCTCAAAAAGAAAAAGAAATAAAGACTGAGCTCAAAAAGAAAAAGAAAAGAAAGAAACAGCCCCCCATCAGTATGGAAACAGCATGCATGAGATGCTTAGTGGACACAGAGGTCTGGTTCTAAACCAGGGGTCTAGGTTATATCACAGCCTGATCAGTAACTTTGATGAGCTTTGATTTCCTCTATGACCAAGAGATAGTTAAAATCTTGTTCTTAATTCTAGGAGTAAGGAAAACCCTGCATTTCTTAAGCAAATGGCACAATATGTGAACAAAGCCCAATGCTTATTCCGGTAAATCTTAAATCAATTTATTAAAAAAATATATATATAGAATAAAGGTCAATTTGCTGACTTACTTAGAGGAAAGAAATCACTAGAAGACCATTTTTTTTGTAATCTTGCAGAAGAGGAAGTCAGAATATTGTTCTCATATCTGTTTATGTGGAATGTCACTACTGATAAGAGTGACACAACAGGGACATCACACTCAGAGCCCCTGACTCCTGCTTAGTGATAAAGTGCACAGAGCCTGGAGCCAGCTGGCTGGTTTCAAATCTCATCTCTGTTCCTTTCTAATTATGCTAATGTCTCTGAATCAGTCTTCTTATCTTTAAAATGGGGATGTTAATATCATCTGAAGGTGCTGCTAGTTTCTTACCCGGTAGCTATGCTATTTTCCTTCCTTTCTAATGATTTTGTCCAGTTCAGTGGTATTTCCAGTTAGAAACACTCATTTCCCAGACTCCAGTAGGGGTCTGTTTTACCCGGTTCTGGCAAATGAACTATAGGCAGGTGTCATTGGATGGGGCTATTCCCATGGAGATTGACTCAACTGACCATGTTTTTGCTCTTCAGGGTCCCTCTACCTGGGATGTGATTCAGTACCCAATGGTGGAGCGGTCGTTGAGGAATGAAGACACATACAAAGGGTAAAGGAGCAGGTAGGATTGGGAAACATCGCTCCTTGAGCAGCTGCAGGCATAATGAACTGCCCATTCCTCTATTCCTTGTTATATGAGAAAAGCAAAAAAAAAAAAAAAAAAAAAAAACCTTATTAAGTTAAGCCACATACAGCCAAATGCCACCGTAACTGATATACTACCTAACAAGATCAGCGTGAAGAATTTATGACAGTCAAAGTGTTTAGTACACAGCCTGGCACTGAGTATTTAGTAATAGGCATTTACACTGACTTTTACCTATGGGAAAGAACAGTCAGCAGAGTAAGAATGGGGGCTGTCCCTATCCATAGAGATGTGATTTCCTGCTTATGGGGATTGGGGTATGGGTATCTCTCCTCTGCCTGACTGCTGTGAACCAGCTGGCACAGCCTGTTGGTTCTATTTTCTTGTAGCATTTCCCCTCCCATGGCCTCAGGGAGACCCAAGGAGCTCTGATCCTCAGATCTCTTCAGCGCCTCAGATCTCCTGTAGTTTATCTTCCCCCCTTGCTGCCTCCAGGAGTGGTGCCACATTCAATATCACGCCAAGACTCCTGAACCCAATATGATTTTGAATCTCATTAAAATTCTTTTCTGTTTTAACTTCACCTCATAGGGGACACTAATGAAACTCTTAAAAGAACCAGATGTGGTATCTGGCACCAGTTCATAGCCCAAGAATTGAGCTAAAAATGGAATGTACTGACGAATGTTCCCCCTAATAACTTCCACACTCAAAGAGTCAGAAGTCTTCCTAGCATAGATAGATTCTTCTGACACTAGCAGTACTAAAATATGCAAGAGTTGTATCTCAAAGACACCACAAATGTAACATATGTGATAAACCTGATATGGCTTCCTTCTTCCCAGTTTCCCCACAGTTTCAAGATGCCTAAGAAGAATTTACAATCTGAATTAAACTTGCCCTGCCATCCAGATGCATTAATTTGGTTCACAATATTATTTTATCTCTTTAAAGATGTAGACCTATTTGTCTACATCTGAATTTGATCTCCTTTTAAACAGCTATCTTGAGGTATAATTGACATACAGTAAACTACTGGTTTAAGGTATATAATTTGGTAAATTGCAACGTGTGTGTGTGTGTGTGTGTGTCTCTCTCTCTATATATATATATAGATATATAGTCATAAAACTGTCACTGCAATCAATATAATGAACACTTACGCATTACACCCAAGAGTTTTCTTGTGCCTTTGGTAATCCTTTCCTCTGCCCCTTCCCACTGCCCACCAACTCCCATCCGTGTATCTACTTTCTATCACTACTTTGCATTTTCTATAATTTTAATCAATAAAATAATATAGTACATACTCATTTTGTCTGGTTTCTTTCAATCAACAAATTATTTTGAAATTCATTTATGTTTGCCTCTATCAATAGTCATTTCTTCTTATTGCTGTGTAGTATTCCATTGTATGAATATGCTATAGTTTGTTTATCCATTCTATGGTTGAAGGATATTTGAGTTGTTTCTACCTTTTTCCTATGACAGGTAAAGCTGCTATGAGCATTTATGTACAAGTTATTGTATGGACCTATGCTTATACTTCTCTTTGGTAAATATGTAGTGGTGGAATTGTTGAATTATCTGGTAGGTGCATGTTTATCTCTTTAAGAAACTGCCAGATTGTTTTCCAAAGTGGTACCATTTTTCATTCCTAGGAGCAGTGTATGGGAGTTCCATCTCTTCAGTTCATTTTCTAGTCTGTTCCATTGATCTATTTGTCTACTTTTACACCAATATTACATTGTCTTGATTACTGTGGCTTTATAATACGTCTGGAAATCAGTTAGTTCTCCAACAGTTCTTTTTCAAAGTTAGTCTGACTGTGAATTAACTTGCTCTTGTTTTTCTGTTTTTTTCAAAGTGAAAGCTGAGATTATGGGTTTGAGACTTTTCTTCTTTTCCAATACAGGTGTTTTTGTGTTATAAAAATTCCTCTAAGTACTGCTTTAGCAATATGTCTCACATTTGGTATGCTCTTTTTATATTCTTATTTACTTCCAAATACTTCCCAATACTTTCGATTTCTTTTTTGACCTATGTGTCATATAAATGTGTGTTATATCACATCCAAAAATTTGGGGGAATTTTCAACAGATGTTCTGTCATTAATATTTAATTTTAATTTGATTCATTAAGGTCATAGACTGTACAATTTATTGAGACTTGTTTGATGACCCAGAATGTAGTTTAACTTAGGTAAATATTCTGTATGAACTTGAAAAAATGTGTATTCTTCTGTTGTTAGGCAGAATGTATATAAATGTCATTTAGGTCAGGTTGGTTAATAGTGTTAAAGTCTTCTTAAAGTCGTCTGGCTACTTGTTCTATTAATTATTGAGAGAGAGATGCTGAAATCTCTAGCTATTTATGGGATTGTCTATTTTTTCTTGTACTTCTGCAATTTTTGCTTCATGTGTTTTGAAGCTCGCTTATTAGGTGCCTAGAAGTTTATGATGGTTATATCTTCCTGGTGAATTGACCCCTTCATCATTATGAAATAAACCTCTTTGTCCCAGGTAATATTCTTTGCTCCAAATCTACATTGTCTGATATTAATATAGCCAGTCCAGCTTTCTTTCGATTAGTATTAGCATGGTATATCTTTCCATTCTTTTACTTTTAATCAATTTGGGTCTTTCTAGTTAGACTGGGTTTCTTGTAGGCAACATATCATTGAATCTTACTTTTTTATACAGTCTGACAATTTCTGCCTCTTAATTGAGATGTTCATACCATTTATATTTTATTTCATTACTAATGTGGTTAAGTTTAAATCATTCATCTTACTATTTGTTTTCTATTTTTCCCATTTTTTGTTTGCTCCCCCTGCACCCCCTTGTTCTGCCTTCTTTTAGATTATTTTTTATGAGCATTTATTGCCTTCATTGGCCAATTAGCAAAACTCTTTGCTTTGTTATTTTAATAATCACTTTAGGGTTAATAATCTGCATCTTTAACTTATCTAATCCACATTAAAGATATAATGCCCCTTCATGAATAGTATAGAAATCTTACATTAGTCCAATTCTCCTCTTCCGTCCTTCGTGCTATTGTTGTCATACATTTTACTTTTGCATGTTACAAACCTTATACTACACTGTTAGGTTATGTTGTTGTTGTTGTTGTTTAAATCATCAATTATCTTTCAAAATGATTTAACCACTAAAAATAACTTACATATTTGTCTATGTAGTAACCATTTGCAGTTTTCTTCATCTCCTTATGTTAATGCATATTTCCAGCTGGTATTATTTTTCTTCTACCTGAACGGCTTTTATTGATGCTTCTTGGGTCAAATTTTGATCTGCTGTTGATGCATTCTTCCACTTTTCCATGACTGAAAAAAATCTTCATTTCACCTTCATTTTAGAAAAATAATTTTGCTATTGACATTTTTTATCTTTCAGAACTTTGAGGTGTTGTTCCACTGTCTTCTTGCTTACATTTTTTTCTAACAAGAAATATGCTGACATTCTTATGTTTGTTAATGTGTCTTTTTTCACTGTCTGCTTTTAAGATTTTCTTTTTGTCATTGGTTTAGAGTAAATTGATTATGATGTGTCTTAATGCGGTTTTCATTATTATTATTATTATGCTTGGAGTTCATTGATTTTCTTAGATCTGTGGGTTTACAGTTTTCATGAAATTTGGAAACTTTCTGGCCATTTTTCTTCATATTTTTATTAGTGATTTATTGCTGTGTAACGAATTATTCCAAAATGTAGCAACTGAAAACAATACACATGTATTATGTCTCTTTTTTTTTTTTTTTTTTTTTTTTTTTTGACAGAGTCTCTTGCTTTGTTGCCCAGGCTGGAGTATAGTGGCAAAATCTCAGCTCACTGCAACCTCTGCCTTCTGGGTTCAAGCAATTCTACTGCCTCATCCTCCTAAGTAGCTGGGATTACAGATGCACACCACCATGCCTGGTTAATTTTTGTATTTTTAGCAGAGATGGGGCTTCGCCATGTTGGCCAGTCTGGTCTTGAACTCCTGACTTCAGGTAATCCACCCACCTTGGCCTCCCAAAGTGCTGGGATTATAGGGATGAGCCACTGCACTTGGCCTATTATTTCACACTTTCTGTGGGTCAGAAATCTGAATATAACTTTGCTGGGTGCCTCTGGCTTTGGGTCTCTCATGAGGCTACAACCTAGGTGTTGGCCAGAGATGTAGTATCTCAAGGTTTGAATGGGGCAAGATCCATTTACAAACTCACTTTTGTAGCTTCTGGCAGACCTCAGAAGATCCATTTCAAAGCTCACCCACATGCTTGTTGGCAGCCTCAGTTCTTCACCACATGGACCCCTCCATGCGACTGCCTCACAATATGGCATCTAGCTTCCTCCAAAAAAACGGATTCAAAGAAAATGAGAGAGAAAGCCCCCAGATGGAAACCAGAGTCTTTTTGTAATATATTGTATAATACAAGTTATATAACATCACCTTTGCCGTATTTTCTTCATTAGAATTGAGTCAATAAATTCAGCCCGCACTCAAAAGGCAGGAACTAAAGAATAATATGAATACTAGGAGGCCAAGATCACTAGGAGGTAATCTTAGAGTCTGCCTACTACTTTGGGAACCCCTTCTTTGCAAATTGCAATTACACACATATTAGGCCACTTGAAATTTTCACAGCCCACAGATCATAAGTTCCCCTTTTTTTAAAAAAATTGCTCTTCTCTTTGAACTTCATTTTGGGTAATTTCTCTTGCTATGTCTTCAAGTTCATAATTCTTTTCTTCTAAAATATCTAAGTTAAATATCTTTTAATCCAATCCAATGCATTTTTTATTAATCTCAGACATTTGACTTTTCATCTCTAAAGTTCAAGTTGGGTCTCAGTTATAGCTTCCATCTTGCTACTTAAATTTTTGAACCTATGAAATAAAGTTATAATAACTGTTTTAATGTCCTTTGCTGTTGATTCTTCTGCCTGAAAAATCCTGAGTCATTTGACTGATTTTTCTGCTCATATTTTTCTGATTCTTAGTACTTTTTTATTGGATGACAGACATTGTGAATTTTACCTTGTTGGATGCTGGGTATTTTTGTATTCCTATAAAGATAATTTTTAGGACATTTTCCTAATTTAGGAACTTAATTTAGGACATTTTCTGGGACTAAATTAAGTAATTTGGAGAGAGTTTGATCCTTTTGAATATGCTTTTAAGATGTATTAGGTTAAATGTCCAACAACGATAGACTGGATTAAGAAAATGTGGCACATGTACACCATGGAATACTATGCACCCATAAAAAATGATGAGTTCATGTCCTTTGTAGGGACATGGATGAAACTGGAAACCATCATTCTCAGCAAACTATTGCAAGGACAAAAAACCAAACACCGCATGTTCTCACTCATAGGTGGGAACTGAACAATGAGAACACATGGACACAGGAAGGGGAACATCACACACCGGAGACTGTTGTGGGGTGGGGGGAGGGGGGAGGGATAGCATTAGGAGATATATCTAATGCTAAATGATGAGTTAATGGGTGCAGCACACCAACATGGTACATGTATACATATGTAACAAACCTGCACGTTGTGCACATGTACCCTAAAACTTAAAGTACAATAATAATAAAATTTAAAAAAAAAACGATTTGTTAGGTTAGAAGTCAACAGTATTCAAGGTTCAATAATTAGGGCTAATTATTTCCCAGTTCTGAGGGAAGACCTATCTGTATATTCTACCCAATTCCCTATGAATCATGGGGATTTTCAGTCTATATTGTGAGAATAGGCATTATTTCTGGCCTTGTGTGAAAGCTGAACACTATCACCTCTTATCTTTTTGGGTGGTTCTTTCCCTGGCCTCCAGCAGTTTCTCACATGTCTGCACTTATCAGCTGAATATTTACTCAAAGGGGTATTCTTTCTGGAGATTTTTTTCATTGGTTATCTCTCCTCTCTAGTAGTCTAACCACCTTGGCCTTCCTCATATCTCAGCTCCATCTCCTCAACTCAGGGGTTCCTCTGGGTTTCCCTTTTTTGCACCATGGCTTGTAATTTGTCTCAAAGCAGGTGAGCTGGGACAATTATAGGGCTCACCTCGTTTCTTTCCTGTCTTGCAAAGATCATTATTTTTTGCCACTTGATGTTCAGCGTCTTGAGCACCTTTTCTTAGGTATTGGGTTGTTTCAAGAGTGAAAATAATCCTGGTCGTTGTTACTCCATGTTGGCTGGAAGCAGAAGTCTGATCTCCAGGAAAATATTTTGAATGGACAACAGCAACATTGCTGAAATAGCATGTCAAATGTTTATTCTTCCCTTTTTTTTTATAGTGAATAGGGATAAAGGAGGAACCCTGGTGTGTATGGACACAGATTAGGGAAGGAGGAGAATAATTATGGGTTTTTTTTCCAAGCTCAGAACATGATTTTCACAGCCTCACCCAGATATGATTTCCCTAAAAATCCTCCTTCATGCTGTCATTGGATTTCTGCCATAAGTTAGCCGCCCATGGCTTTGAGGTCCCACAGATGCTCAAATCTTTTCCTTAGAACCTATAGCTGAGTTGAGGCCAGACTCTGGCTACAAGTGTCTCAGATGAGAATCTTTTTTGGCTCATGTGCATGAGGTTAAATGAAGAGGCTGATTCATTTCTAGTAGTTAAATCAAACCATTTGGTACTGTTCACTAGTGGCCATTTATATGTCAGTGGCGCCTCTGTATAAATCCTATCTTCTAGCTGTAAAAAGAATACTGATTAGTGACTGTAGCAGAATCCAATTAGCTTTCCCTCTTCTTATCTAATTTTTAATGTAATCATATTAATGTGAATTTTAATAGTGATTTATGGTAATAGCATTTCTTTACCTTCTCATGAAACTAGGTAACTTCTTTTTGAACTCAAAGTGCAGCAAGAGCTGCCTTGCCCGTAATTCTCATTTTTTCCATTTCCTGTCATAATATTTTTAATCCTCTACTTTTAATCATATTTAACTGCGCCCCATTCTTGGGCTGACTTAGTGTACTCTTAATGTCAGACTTCACAAAGCACATGTTTCCTGGAAAGGCTGTCCTTCATTAGTTAGGAAGGAGAGAAAATGTTCATGTCAGCGCTCTGTGAACCATCATCTCCTATGGACAGAGCGAGAGCGTTCACACCAAGTTATGTAACCAAGAAGGTTCCTCAAATGTTTCAGGCAGGGCAGGGGAATAGTATCAGCTTAAAAACAGCTTGGACATTTCTGAAGCAAGGAAAGAGCTTTGATAAGCATATCTGATTAAATATTTTTTTCTGCCCTGGAATTTGTTATGAACACTGACATTTGTCTTAGTAATACACTGCTTTTACAGTCCATACAGATAAGAACTCAAAAATTACCAGAAAAATAATGCCATAGTGTGGGAAATGTCACTCCCAATCAGAAAGGGCCAATGTGCATTCTCAGGCCTTGGCTGGAGGAGAGAAGAAGATGCAGGGAGAGGCAGATATAACAGTCTAGAAGCAAGAGGAGGCATCCTGGAATTGCAAGAATTTAAGGCAGTCAATATTGCTGTGGTTAAGAACCCAAGTTCTGGATCCTGACTGCCTAGGTTCAAACCTCAATTCTGCTCTTTCTAGCTGTATGAACTTGGGCAAATTACTCAACCTCTCTGTGCCCTGATTTTTGCTCTCATAAAGTGGAGGAAAAATAGTATATAGTTCATAGATACTATTTATGTTACAGGATTGTTGTCCTGTAACAACTAAATTAAAATGAGCTAATACATGGGAATGCTTAGACCAATGACTGACGTATACGGACATTAGCTGCTGTTATTCCTGAGAGATCTAATCAGGGTTAGATCTGTGCTGTCCAGTATAGTACCACTGGGCACATGTAGCTATAAAGTATGTGTCAAGTATGGCTAATGTGACTGAATGATTGAATTTTTAGTTTTATTTTATTTTAATTAAAAATAATACTTGATTCAGTTATTGCTATAATTTTAAATTTGTTTGGAACAGTTTAGAAATGTGGATTTATTTTTTCAGTTATAAATTTTATGAAATCTACAGATTCAGTATTTCTAATAAAAATTTAGCATCCAGATTTTGATAATGAAGTACAAGAAAAAAAGGCTGTAAAATATCTCATAAATTTTTAAAAAATATTGATTGCATCTTGAAATGACAATATTTTGAATACATTTGGCTAAATAAAATATATTAAAATTAATTTACCCTGCTTGTTTTTACTTTTTAAATATGGATACTAGAAAATTTAAGACCAGATATGAAGCTCAAATTGTATTGAACAGTACTGGGCTAGATTATGAGGGACTTTATTTACTATGCTAAAATGTTTGACTTTTTTCCTAAAAGCCATGGGAAGATACAGTGGAAGAAACAAGACCCAATTTACATATTTTTAATTTATATATCAGAAAATTTATGCTGGCAGCTGTGTGGGAAACGAATTTGAGGGGAAAAAGACCAGAGTTAGGGAGATCAAATTAGTTGCAAAAATGTAGGCAAGAGAAAATCATGGTCTGAATGTGAATGGCCGCGTGCATGGGGGAAGCAGACATATTGAAGAGGTAGATTTCCTCAGCAAGACAGGATAAAGTGAGTCCACACTGATTCCCAGGCATGTAGCTTGAGGAACTGAGTAGATTTTCTGAAAAGGTGCCTAGAGGATAAGGGATAAAATGTAATTTAAGTATTAAACTAAGTCCCTTTAACAAAACCACCCCTGATTCCTTTAGCTCAGTTAATCAGATTGCAGAGGCTCCCACACTTGGGAGCCTCTTGGCTGGTCTACTTTTTTTTTTTTTTTTTTTTTTTTTTTTGAGACGGAGTCTCCCTCTGATTGCAGTTGCAGTGGCATGATCTCGGCTCACTGCAACCTCCGCTTCCCGAGTTCAAGCAATTCTCCTGCCTCGGCCTCGCAAGTAGCTGGGATTACAGGCACCTGCCATGACGTCCAGCTAATTTTTGTATTTTTAGTGGAGGCTGGGTTTCACCATGTTGGCCAGGCTGGTCTCAAACTCCTGACCTCAAGTGATCCGTCTGCCTCGGCCTCCCAAAGTGCTGGGATTGCAGGCGTGAGCCACCGCGCCCGGCGGCTGGTCTATTCTTGTCCAGACCTGCTCCTCAATTAAGAAACACTAAATGAAGTCTAGAAATTCTCTCTATCTCTACTTTTAAAAACAACAACAAACAAACCAGACATATTCCAATATTGTTACTACCATCTGGTAAACACAGTTAAGTCTTCCTTACTTTGTACTCAAAAGGCTTCTAGAATTCAAAAGGATTATTTTTGAAATGAGGATGACAGAGAAGGTCCTTTGGAGAAGTTCTTTATTAAGAAAGCAATGCAGCCGTGTGGAAAGAACACAGGCTTAAAATCCAGACACATCTAACCCTGGATCCTGGTTCTACCACTTTCTGATTCTAAGTCCTAATACGTGAAAGACTCACAGTCAATATTTGCTAAACACAGGAAGTTTACTTACCTCCTCTGAGCCTCAGTTTCCTGATCTGTGTAAATGAGGTGATTATTTCCACTGTGAAAAGTTGTTATGTGGATGAGATAATCCTGTACATAAAGTGCCTGACACTTAATTAATACTCATTAAATGATAGCATTGATGATTACACTTTAGAATAAAGTAAAAACAGGGCAAAACTATTTGTGGCACTTAGTCCATCTTGTATTACTATCAAGGAATACCTGAGGCTGAGTAATTTATGAAGAAAAAAGGGTTATTTGGCCCACAATTCTGATGGTTGGAAAGGTCAAGATTAGGCATCTGCATTGGTGACGACCTCAGGCTGCTTCCACTCATGGCAGAAGGTGAAGGGGAGCTAGCGTGTGTAGAGATCCCATGGCCAGAGAGGGAGCAAGAGGGAAAGGGAAATGGCCAGGCTTTTTTTTTTTTTTTTTTTTTAGCATATATATATTTTTTTATTATTATACTTTAAGTTTTAGGGTACATGTGCACAATGTGCAGGTTAGTTACATATGTATACATGTGCCATGCTGGTGTGCTGCACCCATTAACTCGTCATTTAGCATTAGGTATATCTCCTAATGCTATCCCTCCCCCCTCCCCCCTCCCCCCACCCCACAACAGTCGCCAGAGTGTGATGTTCCCCTTCCTGTGTCCATGTGTTCTCATTGTTCAATTCTCATCTATGAGTGAGAACATGCGGTGTTTGTTTTTTTGTCCTTGCAATAGATTACTGAGAATGATGATTTCCAATTTCCATCCATGTCCCTACAAAGGACATGAACTCATCATTTTTTACAGCTGCATAGTATTCCATGGTGTATACGTGCCACATTTTCTTAATCCAGTCTATCATTGTTGGACATTTGGGTTGGTTCCAAGTCTTTGCTATTGTGAATAGTGCCACAATAAACATACGTGTGCATGTGTCTTTATAGCAGCATGATTTATAGTCCTTTGGGTATATACCCAGTAATGGGATGGCTGGGTCAAATGGTATTTCTAGTTCTAGATCCCTGAGGAATCGCCACACTGACTTCCACAATGGTTGAACTAGTTTACAGTCCCACCAACAGTGTAAAAGTGTTCCTATTTCTCCACATCCTCTCCAGCACCTGTTGTTTCCTGACTTTTTAATGATCGCCATCCTAACTGGTGTGAGATGGTATCTCATTGTGGTTTTGATTTGCATTTCTCTGATGGCCAGTGATGATGAGCATTTTTTCATGTGTCTTTTGGCTGCATAAATATCTTCTTTTGAGAAGTGTCTGTTCATATCCTTTGCCCACTTTTGTTTGTTTTTTTCTTGTAAATTTGTTTGAATTTATTGTAGATTCTGGATATTAGCCCTTTGTCAGATGAGTAGGTTGTGAAAATTTTCTCCCATGTTGTAGGTTGCCTGTTCACTCTGATGGTAGTTTCTTTTGCTGTGCAGAAGCTCTTTAGTTTAATTAGATCTCATTTGTCAATTTTGGCTTTTGTTGCCATTGCTTTTGGTGTTTTAGACATGAAGTCCTTGCCCATGCCTATGTCTTGAATGATAATGCCTAGATTTTCTTCTAGGGTTTTTATGGTTTTAGGTCTAACGATTAAGTCTTTAATCCATCTTGAATTAATTTTTGTATAAGGTGTAAGGAAGGGATCCAGTTTCAGCTTTCTACATATGGCTAGCCAGTTTTCCCAGCACCATTTATTAAATAGGGAATCCTTTCCCCATTGCTTGTTTTTCTCAGGTTTGTCAAAGATCAGATAGTTGTAGATATGCGGCATAATTTCTGAGGGCTCTGTTCTGTTCCATTGATCTATATCTCTGTTTTGGTACCAGTACCATGCTGTTTTGGTTACTGTAGCCTTGTAGTATAGTTTGAAGTCAGGTAGTGTGATGCCTCCAGCTTTGTTCTTTTGGCTTAGGGTTGACTTGGCGATGCAGGCTCTTTTTTGGTTCCATATGAACTTTAAAGTAGTTTTTCCAATTCTGTGAAGAAAGTCATTGGTAGCTTGATGGGGATGGCATTGAATCTATAAATTACCTTGGGCAGTATGACCATTTTCACGATATTGATTCTTCCTACCCATGAGCATGGAATGTTCTTCCATTTGTTTGTATCCTCTTTTATTTCATTGAGCAGTGGTTTGTAGTTCTCCTTGAAGAGGTCCTTTATGACCCTTGTAAGTTGGATTCCTAGGTATTTTATTCTCTTTGAAGCAATTGTGAATGGGAGTTCACTCATGATTTGGCTCTCTGTTTGTCTGTTATGGGTGTACAAGAATGCTTGTGATTTTTGTACATTGATTTTGTATCCTGAGACTTTGCTGAAGTTGCTTATCAGCTTAAGGAGATTTTGGGCTGAGACAATGGGGTTTTCTAGATATACAATCATGTCGTCTGCAAACAGGGACAATTTGACTTCCTCTTTTCCTAATTGAATACCCTTTATTTCCTTCTCCTGCCTAATTGCCCTGGCCAGAACTTCCAACACTATGTTGAATAGGAGTGGTGAGAGAGGACATCCCTGTCTTGTGCCAGTTTTCAAAGGGAATGCTTCCAGTTTTTGCCCATTCAGTATGATATTGGCTGTGGGTTTGTCATAGATAGCTCTTACTATTTTGAGATACGTCCCATCAATACCTAATTTATTGAGAGTTTTTAGCATGAAGTGTTGTTGAATTTTGTCAAAGGCCTTTTCTGCATCTATGAGATAATCATGTGGTTTTTGTCTTTGGTTCTGTTTATATGCTGCATTACATTTATTGATTTGTATATATTGAACCAGCCTTCCATCCCAGGAATGAAGCCCACTTGATCATGGTGGATAAGCTTTTTGATGTGCTGCTGGATTCGGTTTGCCAGTATTTTATTGAGGATTTTTGCACCAATGTTTATCAAGGATATTGGTCTAAAATTCTCTTTTTTGGTTGTGTCTCTGCCCGGCTTTGGTATCAGGATGATGCTGGCCTCATAAAATGAGTTAGGGAGGATTCCCTCTTTTTCTATTGATTGGAATAGTTTCAGAAGGAATGGTACCAGTTCCTCCTTGTACCTCTGGTAGAATTTGGCTGTGAATCCATCTGGTCCTGGACTCTTTTTGGTTGGTAAGCTATTGATTATTGCCACAATTTCAGCTCCTGTTATTGGTCTATTCAGAGATTCAACTTCTTCCTGGTTTAGTCTTGGGAGAGTATGTGTCGAGGAATTTATCCATTTCTTCTAGATTTTCTAGTTTATTTGTGTAGAGGTGTTTGTAGTATTCTCTGATGGTAGTTTGTATTTCTGTGGGATCAGTGGTGATATCCCCTTTATCATTTTTTATTGCATCTATTTGATTCTTCTCTCTTTTTTTCTTTATTAGTCTTGCTAGCAGTCTATCAATTTTGTTGATCCTTTCAAAAAACCAGCTCCTGGATTCATTAATTTTTTGAAGGGTTTTTTTGTGTCTCTGTGTCCTTCAGTTCTGCTCTGATCTTAGTTATTTCTTGCCTTCTGCTAGTTTTGAATGTGTTTGCTCTTGTTTTTCTAGTTCTTTTAATTGTGATGTTAGGGTGTCAGTTTTGGATCTTTCCTGCTTTCTCTTGTGGGCATTTAGTGCTATAAATTTCCCTCTACACACTGCTTTGAATGTGTCCCAGAGTTTCTGGTACATTGTGTCTTTGTTCTCGTTGGTTTTAAAGGACATCTTTATTTCTGCCTTCATTTCACTATGTACCCAGTAGTCATTCAGGAGCAGGTTTGTTCAGTTTCCATGTAGTTGAGCGGTTTTCAGTGAGTTTCTTAATCCTGAGTTCTAGTTTGATTGCAGTGTGGTCTGAGAGACAGTTTGTTATAATTTCTGTTCTTTTACATTTGCTGAGGAGAGCTTTACTTCCCAGTATGTGGTCAATTTTGGAATAGGTGTGGTGTGGTGCTGAAAAAATGTATATTCTGTTGATTTGGGGTGGAGAGTTCTGTAGATGTCTATTAGGTCCGCTTGGTGCAGAGCTGAGTTCAATTCCTGGGTATCCTTGTTAACTTTCTGTCTCGTTGATCTGTCTAATGTTGACAGTGGGGTGTTAAAGTCTCCCATTATTATTGTGTGGGAGTCTAAGTCTCTTTGTAGGTCACTCAGGACTTGCTTTATGAATCTGGGTGCTCCTGTATTGGGTGCATATATATTTAGGATAGTTAGCTCTTCTTGTTGAATTGATCCCTTTACCATTATCTAATGGCCTTCTTTGTCTCTTTTGATCTTTGTTGGTTTAAAGTCTGTTTTATGAGAGACTAGGATTGCAACCCCTGCCTTTTTTTGTTTTCCATTAGCTTGGTAGATCTTCCTCCATCCTTTTATTTTGAGCCTATGTGTGTCTCTGCACGTGAGATGGGTTTCCTGAATACAGCACACTGATGGGTCTTGACTCTATCCAATTTGCCAGTCTGTGTCTTTTAATTGGAGCATTTAGTCCATTTACATTTAAAGTTAATATTGTTATGTGTGAATTTGATCCTGTCATTATGATGTTAGCTGGTTATTTTGCTCGTTAGTTGATGCAGTTTCTTCCTAGTCTCGATGGTCTTTACATTTTGGCACGATTTTGCAGCGGCTGGTACCGGTTGTTTCTTTCCATGTTTAGTGCTTCCTTCAGGAGCTCTTTTAGGGCAGGCCTGGTGGTGACAAAATCTCTCAGCATTTGCTTGTCTGTAAAGTATTTTATTTCTCCTTCACTTATGAAGCTTAGTTTGGCTGGTTATGAAATTCTAGGTTGAAAATTCTTTCCTTTATGAATGTTGAATATTGGCCCCCACTCTCTTCTGGCTTGTAGAGTTTCTGCTGAGAGATCAGCTGTTAGTCTGATGGGCTTCCCTTTGTGGGTAACCCGACCTTTCTCTCTGGCTGCCCTTAACATTTTTTCCTTCATTTCAACTGTGGTGAATCTGACAGTTATGTGTCTTGGAGTTGCTCTTCTCGAGGAGTATCTTTGTGGCGTTCTCTGTATTTCCTGAATCTGAATGTTAGCCTGCCTTGCTAGATTGGGGAAGTTCTCCTGGATAATATCCTGCAGAGTGTTTTCCAACTTGGTTCCATTCTCCCTGTCACTTTCAAGTACACCAATCAGACGCAGATTTCGTCTTTTCACATAGTCCCATATTTCTTGGAGGCTTTGTTCGTTTCTTTTTATTCTTTTTTCTCTAAACTTCCCTTCTTGCTTTATTTCATTCATTTCATCTTCCATCACTGATACCCTTTCTTCCAGTTGATCGCATCGGCTCCTGAGGCTTCTGCATTCTTCACATAGTCCTCGAGCCTTGGCTTTCAGTTCCATCAGCTCCTTTAAGCACTTCTCTGTGTTGGTTATTCTAGTTACACATTCGTCTAAATTTTTTTCAAAGTTTTCAACTTCTTTGTCTTTGGTTTGAATTTCCTCCTGTAGTTTGGAGTAGTTTGATCGTCTGAAGCCTTCTTCTCTCAACTCGTCAAAGTCATTCTCTGTCCAGCTTTGTTCCATTGCTGGTGAGGAACTGCGTTCCTTTGGAGGAGGAGAGGCGCTCTGCTTTTTAGAGTTTCCAGTTTTTCTGCTCTGTTTTTCCCCCATCTTTGTGGTTTTATCTACTTTTGGTCTTTGATAATGGTGATGTACAGATGGGTTTTTGGTGTGGATGTCCTTTCTGTTTGTTAGTTTTCCTTCTAACAGACAGGACCCTCAGCTGCAGGTCTGTTGGAGTTTGCTAGAGGTCCACTCCAGACCCTGTTTGTCTGGGTATCAGCAGCGGTGTCTGCATAACCACGGATTTTTGTGATCCACGAATGCTGCTGTCTGATGGTTCCTCTGGAAGTTTTGCCTCAGAGGAGTACCCTGCCGTGTGAGGTGTCAGTCTGCCCCTACTGGGGGATGCCTCCCAGTTAGGCTGCTCGGGGGTCAGGGGTCAGGGACCCACTTGAGGAGGCAGTCTGCCCATTCTCAGATCTCCAGCTGCACACTGGGAGAACCACTGCTCTCCTCAAAGCTGTGAGACAGGGACATGTAAGTCTGCAGAGGTTACTGCTGTCTTTTTGTTTGTCTGTGCCCCGCCCCCAGAGGTGGAGCCTACAGAGGCATGCAGGCCTCCTTGAGCTGTGGTGGGCTCCACCCAGTTTGAGCTTCCCGGCTGCTTTGTTTACCTAAGCGAGCCTGGGCAATGGCGGGCGCCCCTCCCCCAGCCTCACTGCCGCCTTGCAGTTTGATCTCAGACTGCTGTGCTAGCAATCAGGGAGACTCCGTGGGCGTAGGACCGTCTGAGCCAGGTGCGGGATAGAATCTCCTGGTGCGCCGTTTCCTAAGCCCGTCGGAAAAGCGCAGTATTCGGGTGGGAGTGGCCCGATTTTCCAGGTGCTGTCTGTCACCCCTTTCCTTGACCAGGAAAGGGAACTCCCTGACCCCTTGCACTTCCCGAGTGAGGCAATGCGTCGCCCTGCTTCGGCTGGCGCACGGTGCACTGCACCCACTGTCCTGTGCTCACTGTCTGGCACTCCCTAGTGAGATGAACCCGGTACCTCAGATGGAAATGCAGAAATCACCCGTCTTCTATGCCGCTCACGCTGGGAGCTGTAGACCGGAGCTGTTCCTATTCGGCCATCTTGGCTCCTCCACAGCCTGGATCGGCCAGGCTCTTTTTAACAACCAGATCTATGAATACTAATACAGTGAGAGCTCACTCATCCCAGAGGGAGGGTGTGGTGTTTTACACACACACACACACACACACACATATATATATATACACACATTGATTTTCATCCATGGTTCCCGCCTCATAACTCCCATAGTCCTTGTTACAGTCTTTTGTTATAATGTTGGCTGTGTTAAGTCTTTGGAAACAGAATCTTCTCTCTCTTGTCCTCCTTTCCCCTGCCCCAAGACAGGACTCTAATATTCCTTCACCTTTCTGATTGTGTGACTTAAGACCCTCCTCTGAGAGGGTCCCACCCCAAATCCTGGGGGAAGAATTGCTGACATCATGAAGTTCCTATAAAAATCCAAGAGGACTAGGTTCGGGGAGCTTCTGGATAGCTGAACACATGGAACCTCCATTCCCTTGGAGGGTAGCACATCCTTGGAAGGGATGGGAGCTTATGCCCCCCACACATACCTTGGCCCACCTAGCTCTTCATCTGTATTCTTTGCAATATCCTTTATAATAAACAACTAATTATTTTTCCCTGACTTCTGTGAGCTGCTGCAGCAAACTAATTGAGCCCAAAGAGGGGTTTGTGGGAACCCCAACTTGAAGCTGGTTGATCAGCAGTTCTGGAGACTGGACTTGTGACTGGTGTCAGGGGGCAGGGAGCAGTCCTGGGGAGTGACCCCTCAACCTGTGGAATCTGACACTATCTCCAGGTAGATCATGTTGGAGTTGCATTGTCTCCCCAGGACAATGCAGGGAGTTGCTGCATTGTATTGGGGAGAAACTCCCACATCTTTATTCACAGAAGTCTTCTTCTGTGTTGCTGATTGTTGTGGTAATGTGAGAGCAGAGGGAAAATGTGGCTTGAGAGAGTTTTTCCTGAGACAATTGGTGTCAGAAGTGGGATTTGCCACTCATTCTGACTAACAGAAACATGTGGTTTGGGAAGAGAAAGGATAAAAGGGCAGGGGATGAAGAATTTTTGAGTCCTGGGTGGCTACGTGGTCACCTATGGTATGAAGCCAAAGCTGTGGGATCAGTTACTAAAGGTAAACATTACCAGTGGAATTTAAAGATGGATCTAACTCCCATGGGGTTGGTTCACTGGATGCATAAGGAAATGCAAACTCATATGAAAAAATAAATAGTTCCTTGGTTATTGTTACCTATAATAGCCAAAATAAAAGTGAAAGAGAGTGCTGGGTCAGGCTTTGAGGCTGGATCAAGCTCAGATGTGGGTCTGTCTGAGCTCAGCCCACTAGTCTCAAAGTCATCAACAAAGGAGAAAATTTTATGCAGGGACAATACAAAGTACCACTGACACCCGTGGTTACCAAGAAGGTAGTCAATGTGGAGGAAGGACAAAACCAGGTAACTACTGAAACCAAAGAGAATAAGTGAAGGAATTGCTTCATTTTGTAGATCAGTATCATCAGCTTCCAGAGAACCCTTTACTAAAATAGATTCTGAAAGTGACTAATTTGGGCACAGTATCTTTGGTTTTAAATGCTGCAGAGTAGAACAGCATGCTCAGGTTGATGGAAGACGCACAGCTTACTATTGAACAATCACAGATGGGTATATATATGATCCAGACACACAGGAGGTTATTCATGAGGTAATAGCCAGCTTGGTGGACCCGATAAAAGCTACTGTAAGATTGCTTTACCCTGAGAAGGGATACTGTCCAACTCTACCTGTAAATGCCAAGTGGAGCACCCCAGATAAAGAAGCTGAAATGCTTCATATGCAAGCCATGTGGGACTGGTTTTATGATGGCAGCAGTATTCATCTGATGAATATGTCCATAACCCAGGTCATGGTAAATGCCGTGGTTAAGGGGACCCCTTCTACATTGGCACGCCATGTGACATTACTCCTTCAAAATCAAACAGCGTTTTGAGAAGCTGTACCAAATTTGCTGTCTCAGCTTTCCCTTATGGGTCATACAGATGCTAATAAAAATATTAGGTTAGTTAATGTTTTTATTAATTAACCTAATGAGACCAGGGAAAGACAAAAAGCAGAAGCAGAATCAAAGGGCTCATCCCAAGAAGGTGGAAATTCTTTTTTTTTTTTTTCTTTTTTTTTTTTTTGAGACGGAGTCACTCTGTCACCCAGGCTGGAGTGCAGTGGTGCAATTTTGGCTCACTGCAAGCTCCACCTCCAGGGTTCACATCATTCTCCCGCCTCAGCAGCTCCAGTAGCTGGAATTACAGGCACCCACCACCACGCCCAGCTAATTTTATTTTTGTATTTTTAGCAGAGACGGGGTTTCACTGTGTTAGCCAGGATGGTCTCAATCTCCTGACCTCATGATCCACCTGCCTCGGCCTCCCAAAGTGCTGGGATTACAGGCATGAGCCAAGAAGGTGGAAATTCTTAAAAGGTTATTTAAAAATGAGGTGAATAAAAAAATATTGATAGGGGTGAAAATAAGAAGAAAAAGAAAGGAGAGTCATAGAACTTGTCCAAACAGGAAGGAAATCTTTAGATGGTTATTAAAAAACAGAATGAATAAAATGGAAATCGATGAAGTTAAAACAAAGGAAATCAATGGGGTCAATACAACAGTATCAAAGGTTGAGTGGACCAAAGGGAGCCTCTGCTAATTCCCCAATATTAAAGGGCTTCAACCCAGTTTGCTCTATTTCCCCCAGTTTAGAGAAATTGTAAAAGCCAGAAGGCAGAGATTCTAATGAGAAATCTAATCAGACTTTGAGAAACTGTCTGGTACAATAGACAGGCAGGTTAATCAAAATAAAGATTGAAGAAAGACCAAGGTCCTTTGGCTCAGCCCTTGGCTGGAGACCCAAAACCTTTTGCACAAAAGAGGATAAAATGGTCTGGGGGTGGAGAAGAGAAGTTCCTAAAACTAGAACATAAAAATGTAAGGACTGATAGGATTATGAAAGTTGATATTTATTTGAACACACTTCATGTGAAGTTGTTGCATCTCTTTTACCTAATTGTAACCTGGGAAATGACATTGTGTCTGATTGGGAAATATTTCCCCTACCTTGTACTGTAAAACAGAAGGCATGTAAATCTGCCCTTCAAGGAATATTACTTTTACGTACTAAATGGGAACCAGTAAGCTTGCCCGAGCCCACACAGTGCAGAGGAGAAGCTAGAGCACCTGATAAAGATAAATTCTCCATTTGACAGCACTCTGTGGCGCATTTCCTGGGGCTTATAGCAAAATCCTGTGAGCATTTCCTGCAATGACTACAGAAACTTTGGACTAAAGAATTTCCAGTTGAGGGGCATTTACTACCTTGCTAAGGGAAGTTAACTGAAGCTAATCCTATGACTGAAGGACATAAAATGATGTTGACACCTGAAATACCAATGCTATCTGTGATGACGTCAGGGAAATACTCTAATGAAGATAGTAATGCCAGAAGAATTCCATAACAAAATGGAAATGGTTTATTCAGGATTATGCTATCTGGGAAATGCAAGGAGATACTCACAAGCAGGTAGCCTTTTTACCCCCAGTACTGACTCTGGAACTGTGTGAGGTGCTGCTGACTCTATCAACACTTGGACAGTACACTATGAACAGTTCTTGATTGACCAAAAAGGAGCTGCTTGGTTTACAGATGGCAGTTTCAAAGTGAATGGACAACATCCTGTTTGGAAGTCAACTACTTTTTTTTTTTTTTTTTTTTTGAGACGCAGTCTTGCTGTCGCCCAGGCTGGAGTGCAGTGGCGCGATGTCGGCTCACTGCAGGCTCCGCCCCCCGGGGTTCACGCCATTCTCCTGCCTCAGCCTCCGAGTAGCTGGGACTACAGGCGGCCGCCACCTCGCCCGGCTAATTTTTTGTATTTTTAGTAGAGACGGGGTTTCACCGTGTTAGCCAGCATGGTCTCGATCTCCTGACCTAATGATCCGCCCGCCTCGGCCTCCCAAAGTGCTGAGATTACAGGCGTGAGCCACCGTGCCCGGCCTGGAAGTCAGCTACTTTAATCAAAGAAGATAAAAATGGATCAGCTTGGTGGGCTGACTTGCATGCTGTTTTTCTAACAGTGATGGAAAAATTGAACAGTGGTGGAAGCCCCTGTGTTTGGGTTTTTACTGACTCATGGGTGGTGACAAATGGCCTGGCCACATGGTCAGGCAGAAGGGCAACGGAAACCTGGCCTATTAAAGAAATGCCCACATGGGGTATGGCCCTATGGAAATTTGAGGGGTGTGTTAAAGTAGAACAAATGCCCATCAGAAGAATTCCCTTCCAGGTCTGGAAGGTGACTGGAATCAACAAGTAGGTATCCCTGTGTGCTCCCTGGAGGTGGCCACCTGGGTCCATGAAATGAGGGGACATAGGTCACTGCAGCGGGCAGAGATGGGCTGAATTGAGGCATGCTACCTTTGCACCCTCTCTGGCACATAATGCAAGTAAGAATTACTCTGCTTGTTACCAACAGAGACAGAAATTGTGGATAGCTATGAGACAGGTTTCCTGATGGAAAGGCCCTCACTGATAAGCCTTCACGAGTGTGTGCTCACCCCGAACATGAACGGGGCTAGTGTCCCCACTAGATTTTTTCTGTTTTTCTGATTGATGTGGGGAAGAGCAGGTAGGGAGGATGGATGCTGCTATGGCTATGCCATCTTGCCAAGGGAGGAGTACCCTGGTATAACAACTATACATATATATTAGAAACCCTGTCTCTACTAAAACAACTATATAGATAGATAGATGATAGATAGATGATAGATAGATAGATAGATAGATAGATAGATAGATAGTTGTTATATCAGGGTAATAGTTATGTAACTATAACTATAAAACTATATATATATTTTTTCTTCCCAAAATCACCTCAAAAAATTTTTCTTTTTCTCCCCTATCTGATGCAGTGGTCCTAGGACCAAGGCTACAAAACTCAGAATTCCTGAGGGCCTGATGGAGGTGGGCTGTGCCTTCCTCCCATCTAGCAACATTGGGGTTAAGAGCGAAGCAGCCATATTTCCTGGTGGTAAAAATAGCTCACTAGCTCTGTACCTGTGTAACCTTACACTATCTGAGTGGGAGTGGACTGAGGAGGAGGTACTTGCTAGACCTGTATTGCTGCCTGCAATCTAGGCCAGCGCAGTGGCGATTCTAATGTCCCTTCACAAGGTGAAAAGGTTTGGGTATTCCTGGAGAGAAGGAGAAATGTCGCTGAGTGTAAAGAAATGAATAAATAGGTTATTAATTGAGGGAAATTCAATATTACATTAACAACTCAAAGGAGTCCCAGAACAAGAGATGACATTGTCTCTTAGCTCAATTATTCCAGATGCCTGAAAGGGTGTATATGTTTTACCAAGATCACTCCTGCTTTTGGAACCTAACAAAATTGAAAGGAAATCTTCAAACCTGTGTGGTCTCACTCTGAGAGACATTCACATATGATGGACTGGACTAATTATTTATGATTATGTATTTTTTTTTGATGTAAGGGGTCCATGGTCAAAAATCAGAGTGTGGGCCGGGCATGGTGGTTCACGCCTGTAATCCTAGAACTTTGGGAAGCCGAGGTGGGTGGATCGCCTGAGGTCAGGAGTTCCAGATCAGCCTGGCCAACATGGTGAAACCCTGTCTCTACTAAAAACACAAAAAATTAGCTGGGCATGGTGGTGCATGTCTGTAATTCCAGCTACTTTGGGAGGCTGAGGCAGGAGAATTGCTTGAACCCGGGAGGGGGAGGCTGCAGTGAGCCAAGATCATGCCACTGCACTCCCACCTGGGCGACAGAGCCAGACTCCGTCTCTAAAGAAACAAACAAAAACCAAGGGTGTGGCCTGTGGTGTTTTTATACATATATATTTATATAGGTATATATAATATATACTGGCTTTCATCCATGGTCCCTGGCTCATAACTCACATAGCCCTTTTTATAATCTTTTGTTAAAATGTTGGGTGTGTTCAGAAACAGCATCTGTCTCTTACCCTCTTTTCACTGCCCCAGGACAGGACTCTAATATTCCTCACCTTTCTGACTGTGGGACTTAAGACCCTCCCCTGAGATAGTCCCACCTTACACCCGCAGGGAAGAAATGCTGATGTCATAAAGCTTCCCTAAAAACCCAAGACCACTGGGTTCAGAGGGCTTTCGGACAGCTGAACGCGTGAAGATTCCTGGAGGCTGGCATACCTCTGGAGGGCATGGGAACCCGTGCCTCTTCCCGCATACCTTGCCCTACCCAGCTCTTCGTCTGTATCCTGTGCAATATCTTTCACAATAAACCACTAATTGTGTTTCCCTGAGTGCTGTGAGCTGCTCCAGCAATTAATTGAACCCAAAATGGGAATTGCAACTTGAAGCCAGTCAGTCAGAAGTTGTGGAGGCCTGGTCTTGTGACTGGTGTGTGGTGGAGTGGGCAGCAGTCCTGGGGACTGAGCCCTCAACCTATGGGATCTGATACTATCTCCAGGTAGATCGTGTTGGACTTGACACCCAACTGGTGTTCACTGCTTTGTGGTGGGGAGAAACTCCCACACCTTTGGTCACAGAAGTCTTCAGTGTGTTGATTGTTGTGGTGGTGTGAGAGTGTTAGGGGTGGCGAATATCTGGGTTATTGATGGGAAATACGTACAGGTCTGCAGCAACCTCAATTCTTGCCTTCCCAGAAGAAAGAGTTCAACTGAGGGGCATAAGGCAGAGAAAGAGACTGAGGCAAGTTTCAGAGCAGGAGAGGACGTTTATTAAAAAGCTTTAGAGCAGGAAAGAAAGGAAAGTACACTTGGAAGAGACTCAAGTGGGTGCTGTGGAGGTCAAATGGGACATTTGACCTTTTGACTTGGGGTTTTATAGGTTGGCATACTCCCGGGGTCTTGTGTCCTTTTTCCCATGATTATTCCCTTAGGGTGGGCCACCCGCATGCACAGTGGCCTGCTAATACTTGAGAGGTGAGCATGCTCAGCGTGTTTACTGGAGTTGTTCAAATTCTTGACTGTGGCATTCTTCTCTTTTCCAGTGGAATGCTCCCAGAAGGTCATACTCCACCATTTTGTCTCTTAATGCGCATGCCTGAGCCTACTCACCCAATTCCTGAGCTGCTGGTTACCAATTTCAAATGTTTTCATCTGTTGTGAAATTGCCTCTCCCTTGCACCTGCAACCAATTATCATTTTTAGAGAGGTAGTGTGACAACTGCCGGACCATCACCTGATGGTCATCTGACATTCCTGGTGGGTCAGGAGGAGCCCTCTTCTGCCTGCTCATGCCTGGCTAGCTAGCTACCATAACAAAATCAGAGGAAAAATGCAGTTTCGGAGAGTTTTTCCTGAAACAAACGGTATTAATCTGTTCTTGGGAAATCTGCCCGAATGACCCAAACACCTCCCATTGAGAATCACCTGCAACATTGGGAATCCAATTTCAACATGAGGTTTGGAGGGGACAAATATTCATACCACAGCAGGCGTGTTTCAATGACTGCACATGGCCCATTTTGCCTTCAGACTAACATTCTGTGCATTTCCCAGTCAGTAGGGGTATGGCTGACATAGATCTAAATCTTGAGGTGATCCTAAACCCAGAACTTTTGTTATGAGCATCGACTTTCACCTTCACTCCACCAAGTCTCTAGCAGGGCTGGGTTACCAACAACATTGTCTTTGTTCACTGTCTTCTTTTCTCAATCCTCTTGCCTCTCCTTCATCCCTCCTGGGGAAGAAATCTTAGAAACACAAAATGCTAAAAAGAGAGAACAGGTGGGACCTCAGCCAGAACAAACGTCCTGGATTGCCCATATACTGATTAACTAATGTTGGCTCTTCTGGAGGTGGCAGCTGAATCTATTGCATATTAGCTGAATTGATCACCCTTAGACTGGCCCTCATTTGCACTCTGAGTTTATAGCAGCACTTTCCAAGTTTGGCTTTTTATCACAGCTTAAACAAATATTTCATGTGTAAAGTACAGAAAAGTGGGCCAATTGCTCTTCTCTGCCTTCTAAGAACAATGAAACTCCTCTCAAACATTTTGCAAGAAACTAACATAATCTCCCCGACTGTGCTGGAAACAGAACACTGAAGAGCCATTTAAGAGTATGAGGCAGCCTGTGTGGTGGCACTGATGAAATGGCCAAGGAACAAAACGCTTGCCCAGATGAGGACTCTTGGTGATAATGTTCCCAGAGAAACAAGGTTCTGAACCGAACCTTTCATCCATTAAACCAGTGTTTGCAAAGTGGCTCCACTGTATCTCCCCATGTCTGATCCTACTGGAACATATGATCCTTCTCCTAAGAGCCTTATCCTTTACCAAGCAAGACAAACACACCCTTGAAACAAATAGAAATCGACTAAGTACTTAACTGAATGATATTGACTCTAAGTGAAGGAGAGTTTCCAGGAAGGGGAATCAACGTGGGCTGAGATGCTGAAAAGGTCTACATGAAGAAGACAGAGGTTAAGCTAAGCTGTGAAGCATGAGTCAGCTTTCAGTAAAGGGAGGAATGAGGAAAGGGCATTGGAGAGGGAGAGAGAGAGAGAGAGTGTGTGTGTGTGTGTGTAAGGAGCAAAGAAGATTCTAAGACAAGGAAGTGCTAATAAGTATGATATACACAATTCACTCAAAATCTTGAACTTCTCCTTGTATTTCATGCAGTTCTCTGCTCCAATTCCTTCTTCTCTCAAGCCCCACCCAACAATTCTATTTTGCTAACTAAATTTTTTTTTACTGTATCTTGTATCCACCAGCCTTATTAATATATGAACTTCAAGTCATTTCTAATGTTTCACATGCAAAAAGAGAGAAGATTCTTCTGTCTTCCAAAAAGAGAGAAGAATCTTCTGCTTTCCAAAAAGAGTGAAGATTCTTCTCTCTTCCAAGAAAGAGAGAAGATTCTTGTGAGTTCCCAGTACAAGGCTGATCACGTGCTCACTAAATACCACCCAGTGGCTGAAATTGAATTTATTTCCCTCAATTGCACATCTCTGAGAGGACCAAGGAGTTTCATGACTGCTATCCTAGCATTTTAAAGAGCAGATGTGAGGGACCAAAATGTTGGTAACAACTATAGAAGAATTTCTGTGAGAGACTAAAGCTCTGAAACTGTAGGGTACATTCAATAACTGGCATTGAAAAGAATGATTTTGTCTTTCTTTCCCTCTCTCTGTCTCTCTCCTTTTCTTTATTTCCAGAATTTTCCACAAATGAGTTCATTTATAAAGAGAAAGGCAAGCTTTGATGACAACACCTTCACAAAATGGAGGCCTTTGAAAACATTGGTCTGGATTGAGGAGTATGTTCCCCTGCCCGGATCTTTCAGTTCCTCCCTACAGTGTATTCAGCTTGATTCCAGCCTGAGTGTCCAGGCAGTTGGTACCCACAGCCCCTTCTGGGCCCCAGGGGAAGGCATCCTTCCCCTCCCTCCTCCCTGAGGCTCTGAGGTGGCTGGCCTCCTGCCTGGCTGTGCCAGAAAGCAGCATGACCACCAGCACTACTGTGGTTAGGACAAGAAGAAAATCTCGGGCATTCACAGCTAAACTATGGTTTGAGAAATGCTGGCGACTAAGGGTTGGCTGGGTAAAGGAATAAGAATAGCAGCTGCAATGCACTCTTTGACTCTGCCTCTCCCAAAACAGTCCCTAAAAGGACCATAGAAAGGATCACAATGTTCACGGCTGGGCTTGGCATAGTCTTAGTCCTGGGGTGAGGGCTGGTGAGAAACCCACAAGGGTTTCTTTTGGGGTCTTTCTGAGGGTACTAAAGGGAGTCTCATGGCCCATCCTACTTCTAAGTAGCACTCTTTTGGCCCTAAGAAAGACCTGCTGGAAGTCAGGATTTTTTTTCAGTCCAGTTTAAAATCCCAGATGAAATTAGCCGAGTGTGGTGGCATGCGCCTGTAATCCCAGCTACTTTGGAGGCTGAGGCAGGAGAGTCGCTTGAACCCAGGAGGCAGAGGTTGCAGTGAGCTGAGATGGCGTCACTGCACTCCAGCCTGCGTGACAGAGTGAGACTCTATCTCAAAAAAATAAAATAAAATAAAATCCCAGATGTCTCTTCCATTGAAGACAACGAGGAAGCATTGTCCCCTTTATTTCAGCCCTTGAGTCACATCAGCATGTGCTGGTGGGACCTTAGGGTCCGCATCACCAAGTCGAGTAAGGAATCCGTCCATGTTAGTTAGGTTTTTTCTTTCCATTGGTTCTTTTCACAGTAGAACCAAAGTAGAACATGCTTCTGCCACTAGTACACATGTCTGGCTTCTAGATAAGGAAACTAACTTTTTCTGTCCTAACTCACAGCTGTATTTAGGCTCTAAGGATCTGGGAAACAGAGATGTGACAGGTCCCCTTTTTCTGCTTCATCTTCTCTTTAAAACAAATAGGACTGGACGTGGGCAAACATATCTGTAGCAAAAGATTGAACACTGAATCAGGGTCATGTGCTCCATGCTCCTTAGTTATTTTTATTCATTTAAGGGAATGAGAAAAAGCAAAGGAGGCCCTCAGGACATGAAAATTAAATGTGGCAGCTGAAATTGGCATCTGCAGGCGCAGCTCAAGCAGGCTGGCGTCCGCTAAGCAAGGCGTTTAAAAGGAGTTGAGGCTGCTCTAACCAAACTGAAGAAAACCTGGGCAGGGGCTGTTTAAAGGAAACAAGTTCCCTCTCTTCTTAGGACTAAGCTTGCGTACTGTCTTCCAGCTAAGGAGAATAAGGGGGGCTTGTTTAAAGGGCATTCAATGTCAGTGACTGTTTTTTCTCCATAAAGACTGACAGTTTAAAGAGAATCTGTTGGCAGGCTGATTGCAATCTTGTTTGTACCAGAGCAATAGGAATCTTGGTTATAAATATGCAAAGCATCATGAAAAGATTAAGGCTCAGTGGCTGGGGTGCAAATTGGTCTGGGCTGTTTACTGCATGAGGAATGCCTTCCCTCCGTCCTCCTCTCCCAGTGCAATCCCACACACAGAGACAAATACCTTGCCATGTCCCACTCTCCTGCTTCCCAGGGCTTATTCTGGTGTGGGCCTGGCTCTGGGGAAAGATTCACACCTGGGCAGGAAGGACAAGGTGGAGAGAGGGCAGAGAAGGAAATGAGCTCCCTGACCCAGGACCTGGCCTGCTATAATTTTTGGCTCAAATAGAGTGGGTTGTTATTGGACTAACCACGAATTTGGGCCTGCTTCAGTGATTTCTGAGAGATGAGAGGAAGTAGTGAAAACTCAGTGTTCACTCCAGCCTGGACAGGTATCCTTAGGGCCAGGCCAAATTCTGTTTTAGAAAAGGGAGATTAACTATGTGAGGAAGTCCCAGGGTTGGCATCCTGGTTCTGTCATTTAGGGGGCCCTGGGTCCTTGGGCAAGTAGCTCGGCTCGTCTCCTCACACCACCTTTCTGTGTCCTGCCAAGGTTGTTGTGTGTGAGGATGAAAGGAGACAATGAGTATAATGCATCATGCCTGGGACATGGGAGGCACCCAGTCAATGGAAGCTATGACTAGAAGGTCTGAACAAGGAGTGGCAGCGAATGGTAGGAATTGTAGGACTTTCTCCTCAGTTCAGCTAAAAACTGGGTCCTTGTCACATGACCAGTTAGGCACGCAGACACTTCGAAGGGTGATGGGGTTATGAAATTTATTGGGCGAAAAGGAAAAAGACTCTCAGCAAAGTGAGAGGGGTTCCTGTTAACAGGCCCCCATCTCACAGATTGAATTCCAGGTTACCACACAGGAACAGGAGGGCCAGGCTCCTCCTTCCTGCAAACGGGGTCAATTTCCATGCCTCCATTCTGTTTTCCCAGTGCGCAGACCGATTGGAGATGCGATTCTCCGGGGACCGTTTATACTTGGCTGTCTCAGAATGGTCATTCACTGCACTGTCCATCTGTCCTGTGGCTTCCCAGGAGTTTAAGGAGTTTACTTAAAACCCTTTTCCTGGCTTTGCTCTGTTCTGCTGTTCAGTCTCCCATCAGCCTGGGCCTGCTTCTGCCTGCTGCCATTCTTATGCCAAGTCTTAATGTGCACTCGCTCCCTTCACGAGCACCTTTGAATTTCTAATCCTTTTGTCCCCACATCTCCTGCCTTGTCACTTTCCTCAAGGAAACAGGTTATAAAGCACTGGAATGGGGTGGAGACATTGTCTCCTTCATTCAGTTCAAAGTTCTTTTAAATCTTTGAGTGCCAGATCCCAGGAATTTCTTAGCCTACATTGGTGAAGGGATTGGCTCATGGATGCTTCGCTTGTTTCTGTAAGAAGCGAGTCTAGAATTTAGTCTCCTAAATGTGAAAGAGACAGCAAGAAGAATCATTCTATCAGGGCAGAGTGTAGGGAAACCCTAAGGCATAGTGCAGTAACCTGGAGCAAGTGGTCGCTGAAGATAGTTAGCACCCCTAAGCCAAGAGGGGCCGGGGAGGGACTGCCTGGCAGGGGGTGTGGTCTGCCATGGAGGGAGGCTGACAGCCTGGGTCCACCTTACTAGAGAGGAAAGAGGGGAAAAAATACCCTAGCCTCACTCTCCCCACTCCTCAGATCTGCCTGTGTTCCCTATGGGCTGAATCCCACAGGAGTTAGAGGGAATGGACCCCTGTGGCAATCCCTATGATCAGCCTTCCTCTCAGGTTGGAGAAGAATGAAGTGCACATCAACCAAACAGAAGAGAAGCAATTTGGAGGAGGAAAAAATCAGTTCTTCATGAAAGGATCACATTGATCTTGGTAAGTGTAAACTCTAGATGCCCATATGGTTTGGCTGTGTCCCCACCCAAATCTCATCTTGAATTGTAGTTCCCATAATCTCCATGTGTTTTGGGAGGGGCCCCATGGGAGGTAATTGAATCCTGGGGGCAGTTATTCCCATGCTGCTGTTATCATGATAGTGAGTGAGTTATCATGAGATCTGATGGTTTTATAAGGAGCTTTTCCCCACTTGCTTGGCACTTCTCCTTGCTGCTGTCATGTGAAGAAGGACATGTTTGCTTCTCCTTCTGCCATGATTGTAAGTTTCCTGAGGCCTCACCATCCCTGCAGAACTGTGAGTCAATTAAACCTCTTTCCTTTATAAATTACCCAGTCTAGGGTATGTCCTTATAGCAACGTAAGAACAGACTAATACACCATGTCAGTGAGCCCTCACCCTCTGAACATACAATCTACTAATTCCTACTAATTTCTTTTGCAGAGTCTCTCCAGCAAAATATCAAATTTCCATTGTACAATTTCTTGTTTAAAGAGACTGTCAGTTGTTTATGACTATATTCAGAAATTTACAAATAAATAAACTAGAGTTATTACAACAAACAAAACACTGTTTGGCAAGTATATCAGTAAAGATTGCAACAATGAAATGACCAAAGTCACCTACCTAGTGAGCAAAGAGCCTTACTATGATATTTTTCCATGTGGCTTACCTCCCTCAGAAAAGCTGAGGTATATCAAGCACACCTACCCCTGATACCCTATTCTTTGTAACACCTCCATCCATGAATAAAGTGGACATAGAGTTCCCAGTCACTTCCTTTCCTGACATGCTCCCTTTTTCTTCGCAACCACTGTCAGGTCAACCAAAGCTTGCAATTTCTAGTTTTCCCATCTACTGGATTAACAATGAAGAGCATAGACTTTTCTCTGGCAGCATTTTTTCGCTGTGCTGATTGAAGGTTAAAAATCCTTGTATGGAAGCTTTTTGTAGGTTGGGTTTCCTGGAGACAGACCCTGAGACAGAGAGTTGCATGCAGAAGGTTTACTGGGGGAGTGTTGGGAGAAACAATGTCAGGAGCTGAGGAAGGCAGGATTGGACAAAGACAGAAGCTGATCCACAACATAGCTGCAATAGGAGTCTCAGCCCTTCCTGTGGGAAGCTTGGGAGCTGGGATGGCCTTTCAGAGATGTCCTAACTGAAGCAAATGTGCCAGCCTTTGTTTCTTCACATCAGTCAGTTTCCTCACAGTCAGATGGCCACTGGCCATCTCTGGGAGAGAGTGCAACCTTAAGTGAAGGAGTTCTCTGTAGCCAAGGGCAATTCCCAGTGAGCCATGTAGTCATGAATTGTCAGCAGCTGAGAGTCCCAGCAGCTGGAACATGAGTGCATTGCCTCTTAAGAGAGAACCCTGATAGAGCCCCATAGCATCCCCTCATCCCACATAGATCCTCTCAGGTTCCAGTGAGTCTTGTTCCTTATGAAAACTTGGACACTCCAGTGGGATGAGCTCTAGCCTTGCTGCTGCAGCTGCCTTCACATTCGTAATGGAAGCTCATTGTCTTTATCCTCTACCACTCATTCTGGGTTTGTCTCACCCTCAGCCAGCACTTCCGTTGGTCTAGGTGGCTAGTCTGGGGGAGTGCCTAGACCCTCAGCCCTGGGGAATCTAAGGCCCTGGTTATCAGGTCCTTTTCAGGCTATGGCTGCTTTACCTGAATGTATACGCTAAATGTAGGCAGGGAAGAGCCACAAGACAGCACAGCCAAGGCCTTATGGGCAGGAAAGGCAAGCCCATGCCTAGGATAAGTATCAATCCTAGTCAAGATGAATTGTTCCTCCATCTAGGATTGAAAAGATTCAAACGGATTGATTTGGTACCAAAAGACTGGTTGCTTTCATTGAGTGAGGGTGCCATATTGGGAACCCATTACCCTTTGTTGCTGGCAGGTTGGATGGACACTCAGCAGCATCCATAGTTAAATCAGCTTTTGTGAGTGTGCTGTTGGGGCTATGCATGAGCCTTCATTTCTGCCATCATGGCTACTCTGCTCATGAATCCACTGTGTAAGCACTGGGGTGGAAAAGAAAAGAGGCTGCCTGATGTCTACTAGCCAAGTCAGTTTGTTATTTAGCGCCTCTTCTGCAGTATATGCTATCTGGTGGGCATTAACAAAATCTTCACAATTTGTGTGCACCCCCATAGGTTCATCCCAGTGCCTCCTCTGCAGACAATCTTGTCCTCAGTCTTTCAATTGTTTTCTTCCCATGCCCTGACAAGCGAACCAGGTAATTGGCTGCATACCCTGTCTCCAAGGACCATACCAACTCTCTTAGGTTTGGTAGCATGGAAACCAGACTCTGAGACAGAGAGTTGTAGGCAGAGGTTTATTTTGGATAGCACTCATGAGATACAACTTTAGGGAATTGAGGGAAGCAGGATTGGAAAGGGGACAAATTGAATGGGGTTTGACTTCTTTATCCTCATGTCAGTCATCGGCCCCAGGCTGCCCCAGGCAGGAGCTCATAATCTTGAATAAGACATAGCTTCAGCTTAGATGGCAATTTCTAGTAAGGGACATAGCTATGTATTGTCAACAAACAATATTTTCAATAGCTGGGAAATGGTTGTGTCAGCCCTGAAGAAGTGATCTAGGTAGTATACCACAGTATCCACTATAATGTTATATTATCAATTTTTTTTTTCCAATTCTGGTTCAGGTTTTATCTATCGCTGTGTAAGAAACTACCCAAAATTTAGTGACTTGAAACAATAATAAACAATTATTATTTTGCACTTTTTGTAGATCAGGAATTTAGGAGCAGCTTACCTAATGGCACCTGGTTACCTAATGGCACCCTCAACAGCTTACCTAATGGCACCCTCACTTGGTTCTGGCTCCGGGCCTCTCACAAGATTGTACACATGATGATGGCCAAGTTTGCAGTCATCTGAAGTCTTGACTGGAGCTGGAGACTACATTTCCAAGATGGCTCACTCATATTGCTAGTAAGTTGGTGGTGTCTGTTGGCAAGAAACCCCAATTCCTGGTCATATGAATCTTTCCATAGGGCTGTGATGAGAGTCCTCATAACAGGGCAGCTGGTTTACCCCTAAGCAAATAATCCAAGAGAGAGAAACGCAGAAGCCACAATGTCTTTTGTGACCCAACCTTGGGAGCCACATACCATCATTTCTACAATGTCCTGTTGCTTATGCATGTTGGCACTATTCATTGTGGGAAGAGACTACACAAGGACATGGATACCGGAAGGAAGCGACCACTGGGGTCATCTTGGAGACTGGCTACCACAAGATGTTTGACAGATCTAGAAGTCTTGAACCAAAGGTCGTTTTGTCAAATGCTCTTGTCATTTTGATAATAAACTCAGTGTCTTAGAGGTGCTAACAAAAAGGTTATATGTACCCAGAAATTGAAAGCGGCTGGAATTCAACTTCTTGAGTGCCATCATGTTTTTTTCCTGCTACATGGTTTAATAAAGTACATATAACTGTGTTTCTATAAAGCCGTCCATCACTGCAGTAATCTCCCATTACAGCAGATTTTGCCACAAATTTAAAAGATATTATTTCTTACCCTAGAAATAGTTTGCAAAATCATGTCATTGTGCTCAAGGAGCTTGTACCATGAAATTGCAACCTTTCTGATTTCTCACATTTTCCAGGATTCTATAGAGAAGCTTACATGTCACCATCTGGGAGATCTTTATGATTACTTTACCCTTTTATTCAGGATGAGTTATCTAAGTTTATGATTGGTAATTATACTTATGAGCAGTGATTAAGCTCTGCCAGCCAGCTGAACTTTGCCTGAAGGGCACTGCAAAGAAAGAAAAATACATAGGTCTTGCTCTTAAAGACATTAGTATCTTGTGAAAGCAAAAGCACAAATCCATTGTGAGCCCATAAGAACTATGCAGATGGCTTGGTGTGGTGACTCATGCCTGTAATCCCAGTACTTTGGGAGGCCGAGGCTGGTGGATCACCTGAAATCAGGAGTTCGAGACCAACCTGGCCAACATGGTGGAACCTCATCTCTACTAAAAACACAAAAAATAGCTGGGGGTGGTGGCAGGCACCTGTAATCCCAGCTACTCAGAAGGCTGAGGCAGGAGAATCACTTTGAACCCGGCAGGCAGAAGTTGCAGTGAGCCAAGACCACGCCATTGCACTCCAGCCTGGGCAACAAAAGCTAATTCCGTCTCAAAAGAAAAAAAAAAGAACTACGCAGCTGTAGCAACTAAATGGGAAGCTTCCATGGGAATGAAATCTTAGCAAAGCTCTCCTGGCCTCTATCTCTCAGCAAAAGCAACCCGATTTGAAAATAGAAGAGCAAATCTCTCAGCTAGCTTCATGTCAGGGATGGACTGGAGGAGAGGAGAGGAGGGGCCAGTCTTTGCTGCTTGTCACCTTAGTGGCCTGGAGGAGTCAACATCAGCTATAAATAGAATGCTGCCTCCATGACGCCCTCTCTACCCACCAGATCACACCACATCCCCTTGACTGAGGGATGCCCTTTTGCCCAAGGCTGTAATTCATTTCCATGACTACCAGGAAGGTCAGAACAAACACATTTCTAACAACAGGAGCCACATTTATTTTGAAGATAGAAAATCAATATCCTTATTATGTGGAGGTATGTACATTGCTTTAGAAGCATTGTACTCAGGTCTGATAGAAAAAGTCTACGTGACTTGAACTTAGTTTACATGCTGAGCTTGGAATTGAAAGGGATGGTATCTTCCATTTATCCACTTAGTCATTCAACAAATTTATTGCTCATGATGGAACTGTGTTAGGCACAAAGAATCACCCAGAGCTTAACAGGATAAATAAATAGGGTGCCTGTCTTAAGGAACTCAAACAGGTGGGTAAACAGATAAATACAATACAAATTGATACATCCCATGATAGAAATATGCACTGAGCTTTGGGGGAAAATCTTGAATTCGATAGGCAAACAAGGGGAAGAAAGTGTGCTCTGAGCAAAGGCAGCAGCATTTTCTAAGACACAGAAACCAGAAAGAACGTGATTTGTTCAGTTAATTACTATGGCTAGAATTTCAAGAATTTATGGGGAAGGGATACTAGATGGGCTTGACATGGGTCTGTCAGGACAGGTGTAGGAAGCCCTACTTAAGAGGTGAGATTTACTCTGAAGGTAACTGAGAACTTCTGGAGAACCTTATGGAGAGTGTAATGATTAGGTTTGTGCGCCCCCCCATCCCCCCATCCCCCCCCCAGAAAACACTCTGGAAATGCAAAAAGTACAAGAATGGATGAGAATAAATCCCTAGGGAACTCCTGCATTTATGGGGAAACAGAGCCAAGAAGAGGACTTAGAAGTGGAAGCCACAGAAGTAAGAAGAAACCCGAGAGGGTAGTTTTATGGATTCAAGAAATAGGAAGAGACAAGAGTGCCCAAGGCCACAGAGCCCAAGAAAGGAAAGGATTGGGCTGGGTGCGGTTGCTCACACCTGTAATCCCAGCACTTTGGGAGGCCAAGGCGGGCGGGTCACCTGAAGTCAGGAGTTCAAGACCAGCCTGGCCAACATGGCGAAACCTCATCTCTACTAAAAATACAAAAATTATCCGGGCCTGGTGGCTTGTGCCTATAATCCCAGCTACTCGGGAGGCTGAGGCAGGAGAATTGCTTGAACCCAGGAGGCGGAGGTTGCAGTGAGCCGAGATCCTGCCACTGCACTCCAGCCTGGGCAACAGAGCAAGACTCCATCTCAAAAAAAAGGAAAAAAAAAAAAAAAGAAAGGCAAGAATTGAAGTGTGTTCATTGGATGAGCAACGAGGAAGGAATAAGAGCCTCAGGGGGAAAACTTTCTGTGAAGCAGGAGAGGCAAATGCAGGTAAGGAAGAAATGAGGAAGAGGAAGAGGAGACAGCAAGTGCCACCTTTTCTAAGATCCTGACTCTGAAGAAAAGAAAGTCTCTCTTTAGATGAAAATATGTACTTGAGAGGTTTTGTTTTCATTTTTTTTTAAAGATGGAGATTTGAGAACATTCCTGTGTGAGTGGAAGATACAGGAAAGAGTGTGGGTGATTACAGGAGCAAATTTCCAGAGATGTGGAAAGGAAGAGATCTAAAGCATGGGTGGAGAGCCTTGCCTGAGACTGGAGGAAGGACCCCTCTTCCGTTGCCCAATGAGAGCCGCCGGGCTTGGGGGAGGGGGAGGGGGAGGGGGAACGAATGCAGGTGAGGGAACAGGCTGCGTGGTGCTGCAGTGGGGGTGCTTTTGTTCTCACATCGTTGTCTGTAAGGTAGGGGGTAAAGTCCTCCCCTGGGTGTGCAAGGAAGTTGTGGATGAGCTTGAAGACATTGAGACAGGTAGGAAAGTTTGAAACAGACACTGTGGAGAATGAAAGAAGCTGTCCAGGAAAACCTGGAAGAATTCTCGTCTTAAGATGAGGTCTCCTTTCTTCAAATACAAGAAGGAAAGAGAAAGTTTGATTCCTTTAGATTCTGTGATGTTAGGCAATGTAGGTAACTTCCCAGGCTTTCTTCTTCCTTGTACGAATTGTTTCAACTTTCAGTTCTGTTTCTTTTCTACTCCTTAATAAAAAGAAAAAAAGAACTATACATCAGCTAACCGGCAGTGTGTCACGACCGAGGAGAGATGGCACTTCCTCTCTACGTGCCTGTAAAAACAAAGTGACTCAGCTTCTGGTATATTAATTAGAGACCAGTTTACTTCCATGGAAATAGAGTCTATTGTACCATCTTTATATATTTAAACCTTTAGTGACAACAACTTTTGGAATGCATCCAGAGCAAAACGCTGGAGAGGCTCTTAATGTACAACTCTTGTTTTCCAAAGTAGACAGTTCCATTCAACTCAATCAGCTGTTCGTGAAGCACCATCTATGCGCCTATAAGGATCTTGTATTATAAAATCTAGATTGAATGCTCCAGTTTTGTTTAGGGCACAAATAACAACTTTATGCCATTTTGTGCCTCATTTGTGGAAAATATTATGATCACAGTCATGGCATAATTCTTAAAAATTTAACTTTGATCATTCTTCCTTTTAGAATTCTTCCATGATTAAAACAAAACAAAACAAACCTCAAACCCTCCTCTAGCTGACACTGCTCTCTTCGACCAGTGCTCCCAAGAGTGAAATGAGGAGAGGCTTAAACACGAAATCAGTGCATGAGAATGGAGAAGAAAATAATAAACTTAAATCCCCAAACCAATTATTTCTCAGAAACAAAGCCTGTGTCTCTTTTGCTTGCTTTTATTTCTGAGAACACAGAATCCCTGGGCTTGTTGCAAGGGCCATTCCCACTGAGCTCTCAGGAAACTACCACAGCCATTACTGGTTCATGTGGGGAGCCTGACTCCCCGGCATGGTGGAGTACAAAATCCCAGTACTTAGAATAGTGCCTGGCACAAGGAGGGGCTCAATAAGTATTTTCTGAATTAATTAAATAATTCAATATAGAGGTCTCGTGTTGATTCTCTTTTCACAATCATGCATTCCCAGAATATCAGGATGGGTAGCGGCCCGGATTCCTGAACATCTGAAAACCACAAAGTTCCCAGCTCAGATGGTGGAATGATGCTTTCTCTTTCGTTAGACTCATGGCTAAGAGTGTGACATTTGTTATTATTCCTGCCTGTTCCAAATGAGGCTGAAGAGACCTTGGAGGGGTTGTTGTCCCTTTCATTCTCATGAGATGAACAGTTGTTTTCGGTAATGTCAATGGTGTCGCAGAATCATGTATTTGCAGGCTAAAAGATCATCTGCTTAAGCCAATTTCACAATAATAGAATCTTTTGAGCCACTTTTAAACAGAGTGTAACCTGTCGAATCCATATATATTTCCAAAATCAAATCATGCTAGCTCTTATTAGAATAATCATATGCCTTATTTTTCAAATGGGATACTCAGATACTGAAAGGGAAAGCTGTTGATAATTACACAAGACAAAATGCATAAATTGAGACTATCCTAGGAAAACCAGAGTGAATATATGATTATTCATAAGCAATTGATTTACAGGATATTTAAAAACATGAGGTCCACGGAGAGAGAAATAATTGACAAGGGTGAGAAGCTTTTAAGGAGTTTTTCTTCTTTAGCTATTGGACAAAGTTTTTCATAAAGTATCTCTTGTTGGAAAGACCAGTCCTCAATCACTGTTGGGAACCTATTTTGACTTCAACAAACTCCTCGATATTGACATTCACATATTCTTACCACATCCAGCCTGCATGCTACATGTGAAGACTTACAGATGCCAGCAATCATCAATTCAGAACAACCTTTGTTTTTTCCTGAGCTAAATAAGTCCAAGACCTTTATACCACCTTCCTTTTTTTCTTATTTTTTAATCTTTTAATCAGACTTTTTAGTCTTCTTTGTGCCTTTTGTAAGTTCTCTCTGGGTCCCACTAATATTTGATATCCAGAATCACACCTAACATTATAGGAAGGATCTGGTTGGTGCTATTTCTACTCTACCATAGCTGTGAAAATTACCTTGCAAAGAGAATGCAGCACTTGATACTCTAACAACAATTATAGGTCAATATCAGGCCATGAACATTCTGTTAAGAACTGAAAACATCTTAGAAGCACCTGTTAAGCTTCTATCTCACTATTGTCTTTTAGAAGCAATTACAGCTCACTGCAGCCTTGACCTCCCAGGCTCAAGCAAGCCTCCTGCCTCAGCCTCCCAAGTAGTTGGGACTACAGGTATGTGCCACTACACCTAGCTAATTATTTTTTATTTTTGGCAGAGATGGGGGTCTCACCATGTTGCTCAGGCTGGTCTTGAGCTCCTGGCCTCAGGCAATCCTCCTGCCTCAGCCTCCTAAAGTGTTGGGATTACAGATGTGAGCCACCATGCCTGGCTTAACTGCTTATTATTAAACTTTTAAGTTACCATTCTTATCATTTGTGGTAAGGAGTTACCACAATGACCTCCAGTTTATCTTGTCTAAGGATTAGATATAAATGAGTTTTCTAATTTTGTGATTGTAGAGTGCTCCTTTCATAAGCGTTTGGTATGAAGAAAGCAGTTAGCAGACATTTGAATGTCACAAGGTTGAGAATGTGGGGATTGCATTGTGCTGGGGACAAACAGTGCCCAAAAGGCACACTTGCCAAGAAGAACACACTGATCTTTGAATGCGTGCATTGTACCCTCCTTGATTCTTGCTTGGCTGACCCAGGTACACAAACTCCAAGACTGGCAGGGCCTAAAGGGCCCCTCATTGGCAAATGAAATCCCCCCTTGTTCCAGGTGACAGGACTAGGCAGCAGTTTCTTCCAGTCCAGACAAACCTTCCTGAAAATGGAACATTGTGTCTCTACACATCATTTTGGTTTTAGTGAAGTCTGTGCCTCTCATCTGGTATGATTCCTTCCAAAAAGCAAGCACTATTCCTGTCTTCCAGATCTTTTTCAATGCAGAAGCTTAAAGAAGACACTAAAAAATGTGTTTAAGATCTCTTTAAACTGAAGTCTTCTGAACAAGTGAAGCAGGTATGTCACATTTTAATTCAAGCTGAAACAAGCCATTGAAGATTGAATCTTACCTCCTTTTACAAAGTAGATGGGTTCCAAAAACATTTGGGAGAGTTGAACTACCATATAAGGCCAAGGAATTTGTCATTTAAATGACCCTGTAGATGTCTTTTAGTAAAAGGAAGAATTTCTCTTTCTACTTTTACCTCATCCCCTTTCCTTTCTTTGATGTTTTGTATATCATATTTTCCAATATTGGGCTATGCAAAGTGAAAAATATTTTTAATGTTCCTAAGTCTGCAATTTATACTAAAGATAATTACTGTTATGCAAAAGGATGTGGAGGTATTTATGTCTTTTACACAGACCCTCCTTAGAAGACATTTATCTTCTTCCCTACCTGCCATCCTTTCTTCCCACACTCAATTCAAATGGAAGGTTGACCTTTTCAGGAGGCAAGATCATTATTCCAAAATCAGTGAAGTAATCATCATTTTCCTGGTGTGCCTTCTCTGCCATTCTTAGCTTTTGTGAGCAGAGCCCTGAAAACCAGGCTTTGCTTTGTCAGTCACACAGACAGAAAGTACATTTAGTCCTTTCATAGACCTATAGCTTATTGCAGACAGCAGGAACGACCCCAGATCTTGTTGGAAACAGCAACATAGAAATAGAAATCTATGGGATATGGCTTCCCTCTGTAGAGTTTTAAAATGAAGCCAAGAAGAAACAAGGTTCATATTTAAGGAGAATATTACCTCAAGGAACTCAACCCCACCTTAAAAAAATATCTAGTATTCATTTGACAAGAAATTAGCAGTTACAAGGAAGATCTAGCAAATGATGGTGGCTTTTCATTGTACATTCTTTCTTTTTCTTTTCTTTTCTTTTATTTTTTATTTTATTTTTTTTTTGAGGTGGAGTTTTGCTCTTGTTGCCCAGGCTGGAGTCCAATAGCATGATCTTGGTTCACCGCAACCTCCGCCTCCTGGGTTCAAGCGATTCTCCTGCCTCAGCCCCCCAAGTAGCTGGGATTACAGGCATGCACCACCACGCCCAGCTAATTTTGTATTTTTAGGAGAGATGGGGTTTCCCCACGTTGGTCAGGCTGGTCTCAAACTCCCAACCTCAGGTGATCCGCCCGCCTTGGCCTCCCAAAGTGCTGGGATTACAGGCATGAGCCACCACACCCAGCCCTTCATTGTACATTGTTAATACTATATTCACAGACCTGGTCCAGGGAGTCTCCCCAGCCTGAGTGAGCCAGAGCCACAGGCACTTCTGTGTTTGCCTGGAAAACGCACTGCTTTTTTTTTTTTCCTTTTATTCATTTCCTCCCTTCCTCCCTTCCTCCCTTCCTCCCTTCCTTCCTTCCCTCCCTCCCTCTCTCCTTCCCCATTCCTTCCCTCCCTTCTTTCCCTTTCTTCTTTCCATCTCTCCTTCTTCACATTTTTTTTGAAGAGAAAATTGTGGTGATAGGCAGTGAACAGAAGGGAGCTACCATCCCTGTAAAAACTTCTACTGATGTGGCCCACTGAAAGCTTGCCAAACTCTGTGGAGGCCAGCCAATGCCAAAGTTATAGATTGGTTCCTTTTATTTTCTCTAAAATAAAAATACCTAAAAGCCAGCAAACAAATCCCTTATATATGAGATGCAATGTTTTGCAGATCATGGGAGGTGGATAAAATTGGCTGAAGATTTATAGCATCTGTTGTTCACTTGTCAAGCTCCCATGTGCCCATATGACCTTCCCAATTTTGGTTTGGGAATCCATATAGTTCCAGAGAAGCTAGACTGAGTTAATCAGTTGATCCATACTTCTTTCTATGGAATGGTTACGGCTGAACGTGTGACCTTAACTAGTTCAAGCAAGTGATTCTCAGGACCTTTGCTGGGGATGCTGGGACAATGATACCCCTTAGTCTAGGTGTGAATGATGATGCACGTATTGTCCCAAGAGCTGCTAGCAGCCATCCGTGACCAACGGAATTACGAGATTAAGCCAATTTCATGGCAAGTAAAGCAGAGAGACAGAAAGAAATCAGGTCTTTGAGCCACTGGATTGAGCTTCACTGGAAACCACATCTACAAATAGATTTTTCAGTTGTGTTGAGTCAGTAATTCCTTTTATTGTTTAAGCTGAGTTGAGTTGGAGTTTCTGGTATATACAACCCAAAGATTATTAATTTGGATAAGCCACGTCTTTGACTAAAAGAGCCAATATGCGTGTGTTTGGCAGGCAGGGTGGGGGGATGACATACACACACAGAAAGAGCTCTTAATCTATTCACGATCCATTATACCTTTCTTTGGAGGACATACAGTGTATAAGATGTACTCTTGGTTGCAAGTGAAACTATTAGAAAATAATATGTTAGAACATATATAATATATATTAGAAAATAATCTATAAATTACATTCAGTGGTTAAAAGAAATAAGTTTTCAAATAAGAAGAAATCAATTAAAAAGGATGAGAGGCTTCATGGAGGAGGTGAGATTTAGGCAAGAACACGTAGGAGGTAGCTGGATGAAGGAGATCATCAAGCGAGCAACATGAGCCAAAAGGCTCTGGACTCTAAGACATCTTTAAAGTATTGTGACCCTCAAAGCCGCAACCCCCGTCACTTTGACTTTATATAGTATTCAGCATAGCTTCTGGTGATGAGATAATAATAAGCTGAAAGTGACCCTCTTTACTAAGAAAACCAATATAAGTCTCTTTGGCCATGCTTTATCACTTTCCCATATGCAAAAGTCTGGGTGAAATTCAACGGTCTAGTTGCTTTGCTCTCAGTTCCCTGCATAATTTCTGCCTCTGAGTTACAGGAAATTTCTGAAAAGCCATTTAGAGACAGATTGTAATATAATGCTCTTGAACATTTCACTCTAACAATCGATAAAGGCAGCACTCACTGCAGAAATAATCAAACACAGGATGGAATCTAATATGCACAAAGCTGATATTTTAACTAGACCCAAGAAGCCTTATGATTCTTTGCTCAAAGCTGTGGGCTGGTTAGTTTTCCTGCCTTTGTCTTATATTTTTATATACTTTCAAGAGCCAAGCTTTTTGAAGTAGCGTATAGGGATCTTATTCTATTTTAGTTGTTCAAGGTTGCAGTGAAGGTCAAATCTACATAAAAATAAGCATGCTGGCAACCTGCAAAGAATATCATATTCTAGGAAGAAATAAAATGACCATCATGACCCTGTATCCCCTGCCACTCCCTCCTCACTCTCCCCTTTTGACTCCTTAAGGAAAAAGGCTGAATGCTCATGGCCAGTATGTGCCAAGCAAATCAGGACTGCTTTCTTGAGAAGATAAGCTTTTCCAGTGAAAAGACATCCTGTAACTGTACTAAATCACAATAGGGTGGGGCATGGGGGAGATAGTGTGGAAACATTATTTTCATTCTATAATCTGGATTAAGAGCAAGATGAAAAGCGGCGTTTCCCATTCTTTCTCTTCTCACCATGATTATGTTCATCTTCTCTTTCTGGAACTATTGTCTCTGGATATGTCTCATGATCATCAGATCAACACCATCTATGAAGGATGCTTAATGTATCTTAAGTAATATTGAGTCATAAACAAAACATCCTTTGCATAAGATATCAAAAAAAGCATTCTCTCTATCATAATTGTTTTAATCTTTTGAAAATGTAAAAGAACTTATAGTAGCTAAAGAAATAGGATTGGCTGGGTGTGGTGACTCCTGCCTGTAATCTTAGCACTTTGGGAGGCTGAGGTGGGAGGATAGTTTGAGACCAGGAGTTTGAAACCAGCCTGGGCAACACAACAAGACCTCGTCTCTATACCAAATCAGAAAAATTAGCTAAGCATGGCGGTGCATGCCTTTAGTCCCAGCTACTTGGGAGGTTGAGGCAAGAGAATCTCTTGAGCTCAGGAGTTTGAGGGTGCAATGAGCCATAAATGGTGCTACTGCATTCTAGACTGGGCTGGGTGACAAAGAGAGACTCTGTCTCAGAAAAACAAAAAGAAAGAAAAGAAATAGGATACTTCAACTATTCTATAGCACTAGAAGCACTCAGAGGATTGGTGGGTAAAGGGATCTGGGTGTTGCCTTTAAGAAAAAGTTGGTGTTACGATGACTTATTAAATGAATGTCATTCTTTCCCTGACGCTACTCATTCCCACCATCTACCTACTCATATAATTATAACATTGGAAGAGAATAGTGAATTCAGATCTCTATGTATCTGAACTGGGATCAGGAAAGCTCAAAAGAGTATGATAGTGCAAAGACTTATTCCTTTGGGAGTGGGTTTTAAAGAAGTGTGATTTGCCCTAGTATATTAAAAGACCAGTGGCTCATCAGAAGTATTGAAGACATTAAAGGCTCAAGAATGGTCCAGGTAAGAGACCTTTTGTAAATCCTTACCACAGTTAATCAGAAATAGAATGCAAAGAATTACTACTCAACAAAAAAAGGAAATGAACTATTGATACTCAGTATAACATTGACAAATGTCAAAATAATTATGCTCAATGAAGCCAGACAAGAGTATATATCGCATAATTCCATGTATATAAATTTCTTGAAAATGCAAACTAATGTATAGTGACAGAATTTAGATCAATTGTTGTCTGGGGTAGGGAGCAAGTGTAGAGTCGGGAGGGAGAGATTACAATGAAGCAGGAGAAGACTTTTGGGGTTGAATCATATGTTCATTATATTAATTGTGGTGATCACTTCATAAGTATATTCAAATGTCAAAACCTATCAAATTGTATACCTTAACTTTATGCATTTTACTGTATGTCAATTTTACTGTATGTCAATCAACAGCTTAATAAAGAAGCTGTTTTTAAAATTCAGGAATTAAAAATAAATTATTAATAGATAACAGGGTGTGGGGAATTGACCAGGAGAGAAAAAAAGGCAACTAATTGACTGTTTTTCCCAGGGTCAGTCCAGACAATTTTACGAGTGTACATTCTTTTTCGGTTTCAATTTAGTGCCTCAAAAATGAGTTATTGTCCAGGTACTTTACTTTGTATCTCTAGAAAAGTGCTACACTTAAACCAAAACAAGTGGTTTATATTATAACCCTTTTTACTAATCTATTTTAAAATCTAAAGACATTCTTTTATTTTTACATGTATCATCATCACCTATGCCTCATCTACATATTAAGAATAGCTTATTTCTTAATACTTAATGCTTTCTATTTATTGCTAGGATTTTGGTGGAAGAGATTTTCCAACTCTTCATCCTCAAATAATACACATATAATAACAGTGGGTAACAGTGGAAAAATAAATGAGCACTAGGACTATTGATCGGGTTTTTTTTTTTTTTTTTTGAGACGGAGTCTTGTTCTGTTGCCCAGGCTGGAGTTGCAAGCTCTGCCTCCCGGGTTCACGCCATTCTCTTGCCTCAGCCTCCCAGGTGCCCGCCACCACGCCCGGCTAATTTTTTTGTATTTTTAGTAGAGACGGGGTTTCACCGTGTTAACCAGGATGGTCTCAATCTCCTGACCTCATGATCCACCTGCCTCGGCCTCCCAAAGTGCTGGGATTACAGGCATAAGCCATCGCGCCCGGCCCAATTGATCTGGTTTCTTAAAGAAATACTTGACAGGGAAGGAAAAGAATAGAAACAGACAGAAGAGGCCAGGAACAGTGGCTCACTCCTGTAATCCCAGCACTTTGGGAAGCCGAGGCAGGCAGATCATCTGAGGTCAGGAGTTCGAGACTAGCCTGGCCAACATAGTAAAACCCTGTCTCTACTAAAAATAAAAATTTAGCGGGCATGGTGGCATGCGCCTGTAGTCCCAGCTACTAGGGAGGCTGAGGCAGGAGAATCGCTTGAACCCGAGAAGCAGAGGTTGCCATGAGCCCAGATCGTGCCACTGCACTCCAATCTGGGCAACCCAGTGTGGGCGACAGAGGGGGGGAAAAAAAACAGACAGAAGATATATTACACGCAAATGTAATGAAAGGAGCCTGATGGGATTCTTGTTCAATCAAATCAATGGCAAGCTGACTTTTTTTTTAGGGGCATTTAGATACAAGTGTGTGGGAGATAATATTAACGATTTTTGTGAGTGGGAAATGGCATATGATTACACATGAAAATATCTACAATGCTTAGGTATGTCTACCAAGAAGTATGAGGCCAGATATGACTGAGGTCTGGGCTAAAACAGGAGCTAAAAATAAATTATTTAGGCAGTTAGGGTAAGAGAGTCTTCAGTAAGGTTTCCCTTTTAACAAAAAGCAGCCCCCAAATCATTTCTTTTCTAACAAAGAGCAGCCTGTAAAATCGAGCTGCAGGCATAGGTAAGCAAGCTAGAAGCTTGCACGGGTGAATGCCGGCAGCTGTGCCAATAGGAAAAGACTACCTGGGGGCCAGACATGTTCAACATGGAGGTTCCTTCTTCCGTTTTCCTTGTCAACCACGACTACAGTAAAGGAACAGGCAACATGGCGCAGGCAGCGTAGAGAACCTGTCTGCATAATAAAAGATCAGGGTGGGGTGGCCAGCTTCCTCATGTGCTATGTAAATGATACACCTGGTCCAACCAATGTTTGGGCCCTATGTAAATCAGACACCGCCTCCTCAAGCTCGTCTATAAAATCCCGGGCATTTCACTATGAAACCGGAACACCCGCCCAGGAGTCCCTCTCTCTCTCTCTCCTCCTGCCAGAGAGAGAGTTCTTTTCTCTTTCCTCTTGCCTATTAAGCCTCTGCCCTTAAACTCACTTCTTGTGTTTTGGAGCCCTCGATTTCTTTGGCGTGAGATGACGAACCTCGGTCATTTACCCCAGACAAGATGCCACTTCATTTCTACTTTTGTATATATTTGAATTTTTGCATAATTAAAAAAATTTAAAGGCTTTGTTAAACTACTAGTCACATTTTAAAAGGGGGATAGACAATCTTTATTTGTCAGATATTTTTAAATAAAGAAAAGGAAAAGGGGAGAGGATAAGTATGCGAGGTGTTAGATGTGTTAATTAGCTTGATTTAATACTTTGCAATGTATACATATATTAAAACATCACATCGTACACCATATATACAGTTTGTCAATTATATCTTAATAAAGCTGGAGGAAAATATGAAAAATTAAATTTAAAAAAGAGGAGAGGAGGAAATCAGTGATCACAGCAAAAAGGAAAGAATTGACCTGCAAATTAGAAGCCAGGTCGGGGAGGGGTGGAGCAGGGGGTGGGGGTGGGGTATGTGTATGGTACTGCCTCAGATCTATTTCCAGAATTGACCTAACCTGACTGAGTGACCTTGGAGAAAGTCCCTTACTCATTTTAAAGTGGGGGAAAATGCCTGGCTTCCCAGGTGTGTATGAGAGTTAATTGCCTTTTCTGCAGTCCCAGTGGATGGATGGGTGGAGTTATTCAAGGGCCTCCTATCCTCCTAAGTGTCTTTAGGAGACCTGATGGTTTTATTCCCTCTGAGCTGCCACTGGATCAGATGACAGGCGGGTGGGCAGCCTCCACATTCTGCTCCTGTCCCCAGTGAGGTTTACTTTCCAGGAGCCATTTAATCTCAGAAACACTGCCATCTTTCCAGCTTTTGAGGCTGGAAATCCATCTCTCTGTGTTGAAGCTCTTTATTCCTTGTGGTCCCACTCCCTGGAGCACTGCAGACAAGAACCTAGGTGACAAGAAAAAAATGGAATGACCCCAATTTAACAAGCTCCCCTCTACATTTACAGGGCAAACCGTGACTTTTCTCAAGGCCCACAAATTATAGGGAGGCAAAGGGTGGAAAAATCCAGGAAAAAAAAAAAAAAACAACCATACCACCCATACAAACATACCAGATGGAAGGAAAAGATGCCTATAATTCTCGTGGCTTTCAAAGGTATTTATTTAGTTCAGATATTTATGAAACAAACCCTAGAAATTCCAGGTATCTCTCCTAAACAAAAGAACCACGAATGTTTGCTTCTGGTCAGCATGAAAAATTGGTGAAAAACTAGATGTTAGACATAGGTTCATAAGGTAGATCTTTACAGCTCAGATACAGAGCACTGCAGGCACGTTTTCTTACCTAGTTGTCCAAGTCAGCATCAAACTCAGAGTCACCAATGACTCTGACAATGTTCAGGAGATGCTTTTCCTACTGATGTCAAGGGCAAGCTTCCTCCACAACAGCCATACACAAAAAAAGAAGTAAAGATAATTATTCAAATCATGGCACTGCTAAGATTTTCTAACTGATCTGAGCCCCCCAAAGAAATCCTGATTCGGACTATCTGGATTTTACAATGTTATCAGTCGTCAACAGACTTTGCCTTCCTTGAAAGTGCTTCCAATTGTTTCAGTGGCTAAAGGGACCTAAATCAACACTGGCTATAGCAAAGAAAACAAACCACTTATAAACTTTCCCATACCTGCCAAAACTGGAAAGCTATAAATAGGGGGTAGCAAACACTGTTCAAAAATATTTCTCAGGGAGCAAACAGGCGGAAAGGAGTGAATAATTTTCAAAGAAGTAAAGGATTTTTTTTTTTAAAGTTCATTTTGCAACTTGGAATTTCTGCGGCCACAAGGAAGTGAGGAAAACATAACTCAACCGTGATAATATGATTCCTAATGTTATAAGAAGCTAAAATGTTGTGTATGATTTAAGCAATTCCATTGCACACTATATTGATATAGTGTTTCATTATTCTTTGTTATTCCTCTTATTGCTTCTGGGAGAGGCAGGGCTTTTTCAGGATCATTAGCCCTTTCGTACCTTCCTGAAGATAGGCTCATTTTTCCCAAGAGAAAGTTCAGTTTGTCAAGGTTATTTAACATCTGAGCCAGAGCTGAGATTCAAATCCAAAGTTCCATTTCTGTATTCATTTGCACAATAATTTCTTTAATCATGGACTTTGTTATTAAAGCATTTAACTCTACTGTTAAGTGCTCACTGTTGTTCTAAGGAACAGAAAGAAATCTTTGGAGCTGAACAATCTTAAGTTTGAATCTTGTTTCTGCCCTTGCTCATGGTGTGACCTAGAACAAGGGCTTACACTCTCCCTGCCTTGGTTATTCTGGAAGTGGCGCATGCAGCTCCCTTCTTAGAACCTTATGATTAGTTGGTCTGGCAACTGATTCAATGATTAAAAATAAATCAAGTTAGAAAAAAATTCTGAGGGGATAAAATTGTGTCTTTAGTTTACAGAATCCTACCACAGCACGTAATTTCCTCTTTTATAAGTTGAAAATTAAATGAAAGTGTATGTGAAGTGCTTAACATAATGTTTGGCAATAGCAAGTAAGTATTTAATAAATGCTGTAGCTATTTTCAATAATAATAAACACCCTCTGATTAGAATGACAGATAAATCATTTCCTAGATTAAAATGACTTCATTTATATGTGCATATATGAATATCAAATGATAATAAATGGTATACATATGCAAATGAGATCATTCTTCTGATGGACTATTTGATCCAAGAATGTTCGTGAAGCCATGAACTTCATCTTCCTCTTCCATGGCACAGCCTTGGCAACCCCACTTCAAAATAGATGCTTTGTTCATTCCCTCAGCTAGTTTCCTTCCTTCTGTTTGTAATATGAAACATTGCTTTTTGGCTTCTGACCCTGTGAAGGAGGAGAAGACCACAAAGCCAAGAGTATTTGCAGCCTGGAATTAAATGCTGAGGTGGCCCTGGCCTTACATGTGCAACACCTGGGCCTTGCTGAGGTAACCAAAGGACTTGTCACTATTTAAGATGCCCTTCAAAGTCCAAAAGAAATTTAGCAGGACAAAGGACTGACAAACCCCAGCATGTTGTTGAGTTGTTTCCTTACTTTTGAAGGGCATTTTTGGAAACATGTTGTGGTGGCTCACGCCTGTAATCCCAGCACTTTGGGAGGCCGAGGCAGGCGGATCATGAGGTCAAGAGATCGAGACCATCCTGGCCAACATGGTGAAACCCCGTCTCTACTAAAAATACAAAAATTAGCTGGGAATGGTGGCGCGCCTGAAATCCCAGCTACTTGGGAGGCTGAGGCAGGAGAATCGCTTGAACTGGAGAGGCAGAGGTTGCAGTGAGCCAAGATCATGCCACTGCACTACAGCCTGGCTACAGAGCAAGACTCCATCTCAAAAAAAAAAAAAAATGTATTGTGTATGGTCCACTTATATGTACGTTCACTAGATATGGGTGGTTTGTTGTTTGTTTTGAGATGGAGTTTCACTCTTGTCACCCAGGCTGGAGTGCAATGGCACCATCTCCACTCGCTGCAACCTCTGCCTCCTGGGTTCAAGCGATTCTCCAGCCTCAGCCTCCCAAGTAGGTGGGATTACAGGCGCCCGCCATCATGCCCAGCTAATTTTTGTATTTTTAGTAGAAATGAGGTTTCACCATGTTGGCCAGGCTGGTCTCGAACTCCTGACCTCAGGAGATTTGCCCACCTCAGCCTCCCAAAGTGCTGGGATTATAGGTGTCAGCCACTGCACCCAGCCAATATGGGTGGTTTGAATGTTGTTTTTTTCATCCTTTCTTGTCTCAAGATCTGTAAGTCCCAGAAAAGCATGGCTGGAAGGTCTTGCTGTTATTGGAGGTGCTGCTCTCTAAAGGAGATGGGTAAGAAGTTGTGTTAATTTGGGACCTCTAAGAAGCAGATCCTAAAATGAGATTAAACATGCAAGGACTGAATAGGCTGGGAGAGCCATCGACTGCAATGCAAGCTTAGCAGGGAAAGAAGATTGTTGGAAGCTCCTGAGATGGCCTTGAAGCCTATAAAGACTCACTCAGACCATCAGGCAGTCCTTGAGTAAAAGTCAGCTGTCAGAAGAGGCCTATGTCAGCCAGGAACAGGCAAGCCTACCTTGTCATCCCTGCCAAGTAGAGTCATTGGTGTGAATAGCTTAGAGAAAGTGTGAGCTTAGTGCAAACAATGAGCTGAATCTCAGATGGCATCAGCTAGAGTCAGTTTTGCTCGCTGTAGTTGATGGTTTGTGAAGTGGATTCCGATGACTACTCCAGGAGATGGTCACTAATTGCCTCAGAATGTCCTATGGGGATCTCAGGCAGCTGCTGTGGAAGTGAGAGGGCTGTCTGTGGAACACAGAGATGGAACCCTTCCCAGGTCCCCTAGACACACACATGCTATGGACATATACACACAGTTCATGCACATTCACACTATGGGCACATGTACCTTGAGTGCGTGCGCACACACACACACACACACACACTATGGGAGACTACATATTCTGAAAGGCACAGGCAGACACCTTTCTACAAAATAACATGCATTAGAGAAAGTCCCCCACTTCTATGGGTATGTACTGGGACCACACTGTCATGTTGACCTGGTTATTCACAGCTGGTTTCTATGCAGAGGGTTTGGTTTACATTTTCCCTGGCCAGGAAAAATGTTTAAGCGGTGGGGTCAGTTAAGGAATTAAGGAGGAGAAAGGAGAGGAGGAGAAGGAGAGAAGGGCAGAGTGAGAGGGCGCTAAGAGTTTCTGATACCCATTACACAGCTGAGATCTGCCTCCTGCCTAAAGCAGAAAGAGACCAGCAGGGCTCTGGTTGGCACAGCCTAATTACCCACACAGAGGCAGCATTGGCAGTTTGGCGGCAGGAACTTCCTATAGTAGTGACAGTACTTAAGTCTGTGGTATGGCCCTGGGGAGCTTGGTGTGGTCTTAGTGGAGTACTTCTGTGTTGGCCCTTTTGGCTCTGGAGCCCACCCTAGTGGTTTCGCCCTTCAGGGTAGTCACAGAGTGGAGTGGAAGAACACACTTTCCCCAGGGCTGGATGCTGGCTAAACCAGGGAGCCAGGCTGAGCTGGCAAAGATCAGCCCAGAGTGGAAGTAACACCACAGGGATATGTCCTGCTCTGTACATGTTTGAGGAAAACCTTGCAATTCATTCAACACATGTTCACAGATACACTACCAATCTTCCTGCCGGGTTCTGCAAACACAAATCATTTTGAGCAAAAATAGAGGTCATTCTTGCCTAGATGGGGATACATTTTTAGTTGGAGAGATAAGCATTAATAAATAATCCACCTAAATGACAACAAATGACAACTACGGCATGTGCTCTGAATGGGGGGAAACCCATGTTTGTCATGGAAAAATGTAGTGGGGGAGGTTTTGTCTCTTCCAGAAAGTCAGAAAGGGGCCCCTGAGGAAGTCCTCCTAGCTGAGATGTAAGCCTTCAACCTCCACAGAGAGGAGCAACATAGAGAAAGCACACATGCACTGGCCCTTTGGTGGGAGAAAAAACAGTACCTGCGGGACCAGAATACAAAGGGTTGGAGGCCAATAGAAGTGCCGCCCAAAGAGAGGTGCAGATGCATGAAGGGCTGGATGAAGATCTAGTGGATTATTTTAGGCTTTTCATTTTTCTCCCAGGAGCAATAGGAGGCTACTGAAGGGCTTTAAAGAAGAAAGATGATGAGATTTGCATTCTGGAAAAAAATAATTGTTGTAGCTGCAGAATGGGGCTGAATTGGAGGCAGGATGAGAAAGAATTCAGGCAGAATAGGTAGGGAAAGAGATGACTGTGGCACAGACCAGGGTAGTAGAGGAGGGGATGGAGGGGAGTGGAGGGATTCAAGAGAGGATTTGGGGACCAAATAGAAATGACTTGGAAATGACTTCGATGTGGATTGAGATAGGCCTGACTCCTAGGTTTCCAGCTTGCACATTTGTCTGGATGGGAATGTCTTCACTGACAATGGAAACACTATAGAAGGATCAGGCTTGGGGCAGAAGTGGGACAGGGTCCTTTGGGACATTGAAGAAGAAATATCAAGTAGGCAATTGTACACATGGCTCTAGTTTCTGACCACTAAGGTGAGAAGGTAGCCTCTGTTGTATTGTATTGCACCATCTTTTGGATGAGTTTTTGGGGTTGGAGAGGCAGCCTGGAGAGGAGAGTCAGTGGGGCCTGGGCCAGGAGGGTATTTGCCACTCCTGGCCACTCTCTCCAGAGCAACTATAGCAGCTTTCTAGCCCAGGTACTTGAGTTCGGCTGCTTAAGAATTTTTGACACTGAATAAACAGGGCTTGAAAGAACCTAGTTAACAAAAGATCAGATGGGACCTAGCAGAAGGCTCATGAGTCCTTGACAAAAGAAAGTTCTGAGGCCTAATATTTGTTCTTCCTACCCAAAGTTGAGTTATAAACAGTGTACCACTATTGACCTTCACTGGGATTTGCTTTCCTGGGATCTGGAGAAGCACAGCGTGTTCCTGTGCATGAACATACTGTTATCTTTGGCTTGGTCTGAGGCTGTAGAACAGTCCAGATGGTGCTCCTGCCACCTGGAGGACAGAAGCGGAGGTGGAGGCTGGTCTCCTGCTATCTCCCCCACACTTTGGGGGCACAGAGAATCCATGGGAGGAAAACAAGGAACTGGTTTCTCCAAGAAGTTGTACAAACCAATGTCAACAGGTCAAGCCAGGGCTTTGGGAAGTCAGACATGGGCACTGATACATTTCTTAAAAGCCTGGGGGACAAGCGGATCACCTTCTCCCATAGAACACCCCGGGGGTTACTATCAGAAGGGGAATAATGGGTGGATGGACCATGGGACCTTCTGCTTTGTCTGTTTGCACATATCCTTCTTGTTGTTGGCAGGTGACTCACTCTTCCACCATGGAACAAGGACAGACCTAACCCCTGAATGAGATAAGCAACTGAGCATGGTGCCTCAGCTCCTACCTCTCCTCTTTAGGGGTCTGTCCACTTGCAAAAAGCATGTGTTTTCATCTGCTCAAGAGGTTAGCAGTAAAGACTCTGCCCCCGTGGGCAAGACCTGTGTTTTCCTGCTTTGCCTGTGACTGAGTGGATACATTTTATTCTGCAGCACAATTTTAGTAAGCTCATTTAGCATTCCTACTAAACCTTGCTGTCTAATATCAGCTTTAAATATTAAATGTGATTTTTCAATCTCCCAATATAGGGAGATTGAAAGGAACAGGAGTGTCACTCATTGGGCTTCCGAAAATCCCAACAAATAGAGAAAACTGTCTGGAATGCAGAGCCTTGAAGATCTTTGTATGGCTTTAAAATGTGACATATCCTCCCAGGTAGTTAAGAAAATTCAGCTGCTTAGAGAATTGAACTGGACCTTCTGATTGCCATATCTAATCTGGGTACAAGTATGTAGTAGATAACTTTCTCCCATCAATAAGTGTGAATTCATCACGTAGCCATTCCAATACAGGACAAACCAAGGCAAAACAAAGAAAAAGAAAACTGTATTTGTGCCTTTCCCGGGACTCACAGAGTTGCCACGCAAGGTTATTTTTGATTTGCCCCTCCAAATCCATTTCCAGCTTTTTTAGCTCTGCCTTGAGCTGCAGGAGACTGCCGGTATGGACTGTATCAATGGGCTTCTGGTGGTTCAGCCAGAGGGAGGCACTAGTAAGCGGTCAGAAGGTGGGAAAGAGAGATGTCAGTGTTTTTGACTCCCCTCTTCACTAGGGTATGGTGGTCCTGTTCCTCTACTGATGAGCAAACTCCCATCAAAGGCCTCCTCTCCCACATTACAGCTCTTACTGGGTTCTGGCACCTGCCAGTTCTCCCCTTGACCCTTCAAACCTGGGGGTGTAATGGCTGCCCACTTTCATCAGTCCCCTGGTGCCTCAGAGTCCCTTCTGATCCCATTTAGTCCTCTACAGATAGTCTTTTCTTTAATGTTCTTTGTACCATCCTGAATGCACTCTGTTTTCTGTTGAGACTTGAGTCAGAAATATTCACTACCAATAGTGAATTAAAAGCCTTCTGAATTTCAGTCCGAATTCTTGGCTATGTTCACACTTCCCTGCACTGGTAACTGGTGTACAGCGACCAGGTACTGTCTAGAAAAATGCATCTTTGGGATACTCTGATCCCTACATGCATCTCTCCATGAACAGACGTAGTTCATTGGTTGGCTCCCTTGAGTCAATGGGCAGGGAGAGCATTTCAGCATTGTGAGAATCGGTGCATTAGAAACACTTGCAGCTCCCCATGACTCAGAACCCATGGCATTCTAGAAATCTTTAATGCCTATTATATTCAGAGTTTTAAAAAGTTATTAATGTACTTTGGGAGGCTGAGGCGGGCGGATCACAAGTTCAGGAGTTCAAGACCAGCCTGGCCAATATGGTGAAACCCAGTCTCTACTAAAAATACAAAAATCAGCCAGGCATGGTGGCAGGCACCTGTAGTCCCAGCTACTTGGGAGGCTGAGGCAGGAGAATCACTTGAACCCGGGAGGCGGAGGTTGCAGTGAGCCGAGATCATACCACTGTGCTCCAGCTGGGGGGACAGAATGAGATTCTGTGTCAAAAAAAGAAAAGAAAAAGAATTGAGGAAGAATAACATGGAGTATGCTGAACATTTCTTTAGCAAGAATGTTAAAAAAGTAATGTTTTTATCCCCTTTTGAACCTGGCACTATATGCTATGAATCCAATTTTAGGATTCTTTACTTGATTAGAAACCATTTTACTCTTTGCTGAGTGCAAAAATGAATGAAATGTTTGAGTCAGATATGGTGTATCATTATTAGTCTTTGTCCATGGGGCACCTGATTTGCTTTCATAGTATTTGTTGAGCCTCTTAGAGCTAGGCAGGAGTGAGAACTAAAGGATCATTGTTTTTATTGGACATCTCCCTGTTAGCCCACAATGCAAAGGAGTTTGGCCTTGCTGATTCTGGGAAATTAAGAATAATGCACCTAAATACATAATGCACATATTATGCACCTAAATACATAATGCACATATTATGAGGCAGATGCTGTACTAGGCATTTTACATATATAACCTCCCAGTATTCCACAGTGCTGCAAAAGATTATTATCATCATCATTTTACAAATGAAGAAACAGAGGATTCGGGAGGTGAAGGGATTTCCCCAAGGAGCTAGAGCTAGTGAGTTTTGGTCAGGATTTGGCCCCAGGCTAAATACCTCGAAGCCTCTAAAACACTTATTGAATCTGCCATTTTGGCCCCTTTTTTTCTGAGCAAAGGTATTTGAACTTTGTCACAAAGTGGTTATGTGATGTTGGACAATTTTTTCTACCTCTCTGGCTTCAGTTTACTCCTTTGTAAAATAAAGAGGCAGGGCTGAAAGAAATATAAGCTCTATGATTATTTGATATTAAGGTTTATGTAAAAACATTCCCTGACAATAGACTGTATCCGTCAGGATTTAGAAGTCTCCCAAGTTATTTCAGCAGAAATAAATTTAATGCAGGGTTGCTTACAAAGGTAATGGGAAGGGCTGGGGGGGCAAGTGCTAGGGCATCTTCCAGGAGTGACTTCCAGAACAACCCTGCAGTTAGCAGACTGGAGTATAGGATCCCTAGACTACAGGCAGTGTGTTAAAGCAGAACGATTAAGATCTTGAAGTCAAACAGACCTTGAGAACAGCTCCAACTTACCCACTGATAAGTTGGGCAATGTATATAACCTCTCTGGATCTTAATATTTTAGCTATAAAATAACAAATGTGAAAATATTTATGATAGTGCTTAACAGTAGTAGGTAATCAACAGTAGTAGGTAAGTTTTGTCCTCTCCCCTCCCCCAGAGACAGAGGTATGTTTATTTGAGAATAGATGAAAAAATATACAGACAGGAACAATGGGAAATAATAATAATGAAGAAGTAAGATGGGACCAGACAATAGAGGGTTTTCCTTAAAAAAGAAAAAAGAGGCACGTAAACATCTTGAATTCTATAGGCAATGGGGGTTGATGGCAGTTTTTGGATAGGGAAATAACATGAGAAACTTGGCTCTTTGGCAAGATAAATATTGCAGCCACATTCAACAAGCAAGTTGTTCTTACGATGGTTAATATGAGATGAATGCCTTTGCCAGCCTCTTTAAAAGAATGTTCCCTTCCAATTTCATGGAAAATGCCCTTTGGGAAACCGCTGGAGGAGACTGTAGTCCTTATTTAGTGGGAAATATTTAATTGAAACAATGCCGCTCACTGTTAAGCTTAGAAGTAGATTTTATCCTCCTAGGTGCAGTATGGTGGGCCTGGGACATGATCCTCATGAGTCACTGGCAGAGGGCTGGGAAATAGAGGGGTTATGGTAAGACTCCCTCACTCCAATGACGTTGTGTCCCCAACAGGTACATGCCTGGGAAGACAGCCAGGGAACAGGCAGCTACATCAACCAAGAAGGCTGACAACATGTTCCATCCCACAACTATGTGGTAATTGCAAAGATGAGAAAATAGCAGAGATCCTCCAGTCAGCCCTGGAATGAGTTTAGGGGAGAGAAATCATGCAATCTCTTAGTAACATGGCATCTGTAAATTCACTTAAAGACCTCAAATGATTATAATTCAAGTGACCTCAGACACAGAAAAACAGTTTGTAATACCTTCCAACATCAAGACATTTTAGAACTAAAATTGACTATGAAGGGTAGTACTTGCTGAAAGTAGATGCTTAATATGTTTTGAGGGAATGGGTCTTTTTTTTTTTTTTGGGAGACAGAGTCTCGCTCTTTCACCAGGCTGGTGTGCAATGGTGCGATCTTGGCTCACTGCAACCTCCGCCTCCCGGGTTCAAGCGATTCTCCTACTTCAGCCTACCGAGTAGCTGGGACTACAGGCACACGCCACCATGCCCAGCTAATTTTTTTTGTATCTTTAGTAGAGACAGGGTTTCACCATGTTGGCCAGGATGATCTCAATCTCTTGACCTCATGATCTGCTTGCCTCAGCCTCCCAAAGGGCTGGGATTACAGGTGTGAGCCACAACACCCGGCTTGGAATAGGTCTTTTACACCAAAGCCCTCATGTTTTAATGAGGTAATTAAAGCCTAGAGGGCTATGTAATTGGCCCAGTCACCAACTAGATAGTGGCAGAGGTAGAACCAGAACTCAAGTCTCCTCACTTTCAATGTAACATTTTCTCTCTTACTCCATGTGGCATCAGGCTCCTGTTTCTGAAGGAAATCGATGTACATGTATTGTGGTGCTGTATATGGAGAAATGTTTAGCCAGTCTTTTTTCTGAGATCAAAACCAGGCCATGATAGCCATCTTCCTGGGTCTCTGTGAGGTTCTTGGGACCCAGAGTTCTCTATGATAACATCCTGGAGGGGAACTGACTCCTACAATGCACGAAAGAGATCTATACCAAGAACATGGCTCTCACAGACGAGCCAGAGGCCAAGAGCTAGGGAGGGGTTAGCTCAGTGTGCGTGAATTTCTTCTGAATTTTAATGGTTTTGGAAAATATTAAACATTTCTTCCACCGACTTCCTTTGGTTTCAAAACATGAACACTAGAGAGGCAAAGTGGAGTCATGAAATCCAATTGGTGGTGAAATCCCCCACAAGGGGGACCAAGAAAGTGAGAAAGAAAGAGAGAAGAGGAGGAAGAAAGGGAGAGAAGATACAAAATAAAGATAAGAGAAGGGAAAGAGTAAATAGATGCACACGTCCCCACAGCCGTCTTTTCCTGGCCACACTCTTCACAGGAATCTGAAAGCTGGGCTCTAATTCAGGAGCTCTGAAGCTGTTTTGAGTTTCTTTCCATAGTTTCTAGGCATCTAATCCATACCAAGGATTCCCATGGGGAAACTGTTATCTCTCAACTCAGTGAGGGCTATTGACAAAGACCAGTGCTCTTTCTTCTCTGTAGGTAAACAGTGACTCATGCAAGCCTGAGGGAGAAAATACAGTATATCTAAGAGTTAAGACCTCCCAGCTTCACATTCTGTTATAGCAGCTGCTTCATGCCAGTGGCAGCATCTTGCCAGAGTTCATTCCCATAGTGCTTCACTAAGGGTGGCCTTTGGCTATAGTACCAGAAGGAGGGACTCCTCTCACAGAGAGTAGAAGTTCCTCCTGTGAATCATGGAGACAACTGTTTGCACTTACTTATGACCCTATCTCTTTTAGGTGTCAGGGTCTCTCAGATCTTCCAGTATTTTCTGTTTTATTCAGCGGGAGGAAGACCACATAGGACTCTCAGCACCACCACGGAGGTCAACTCCCAGCAAGTCTCTGGAACTCTTTGATCAGCAATTCCACATATTTTTATATACCCTAGAGAAAAATCTCTTATGTATTCACAAAGAGGCCTGGGAGGCTATTCATTGAAGCATTGTTTTAATGGAAGAAACTTGAAAACAATGTAAATGTTCATCCATAGGGGATGAAATGAATAAATGTTCTTGTAGTGATACAATGGAATACACATGGTAGACAAAATTAATTAAACACAGCTCAAGGTAGCAATCTAGATGACTTTAAAAAACATAATAATAAAAAAGAAAAGCAACGTACAGCAATATCCCATTAAAATAAAGTTTGTAAGGATGCAAAATAATATCACTTATTATCTTTTGAGGGAGTGAGGAGAGATCTGCAGAAAGTGAGAAAATACACCATGGAGATATTTGGGGGAAGAGGGCTCAAGGTAGAGGAAAAAGCAAGAGCTTAAGGCCTGAGTTGAAAACCTGTTTGATGTGTTTGAGTGAGAACAAGCAGGTTGCTGTGACTGGAGAGTGGAGTATTTGGGGCATAGGAAGGATAGAAAATCAGGCCAGAGAGGTAACCAGTTTTTAGACCATGAAGAACCTTGTAGTTGCCACTGGAAAGTTTTGACCAGGGAATCTGTGGTGTAAGGTTTGAAATTAAGCCCCAGTATTATGTGCTGCCTCAACATTTGGGAAAAGTAGGGCCTCAGATGGCCTAATTACAAATTACCCTCCCAAATGTCCTCCCCATGCATACAACACTCTTATCAAATGGACCAGGTGCGGTTACCGCTTCTCTCTGAGAAGTGGGTTTCAGTTCCTTGCTAGCTTATGGAATTATTCAGCCAACAAATCACATCCTCCTGTGGGAACCAGGGGGCACTACACCCTCTTGCTACTGCAGAGCCTGCCTTCTACAGCACCTGATGGTCTACTCTGTTCTCAAGTGCAACCCCTGTGTGGCCAGGCGTGGCATGCAGTGTTCTCCTCTCCTAGACTGTGAGTAGAAATGACTAATCAATTGTGTCAACCTCATCTGTCCAGTGTTGGATGCCATGTGTATACCATTAGCCATGCCCATAACCCTAAAGCCGGAATCTCTCCCTCACCAAGGAAATGAATAGGAGGCAACATGAGTCACGTCACCTGATTCGTGCTTTAAATTGGGACTACATTAGTATGTACTATTTGTGCTTTACTATTGAGAATAAACTATGAGGAGCTAAAACCAAAAACAGGAAATCTAGGTATGAAGTCATGGAATCATTCAGATATGATGGTGGCTTAGATGAGGGTGGAAGTAGTGGTAGAGAGATGTACTTGGCTGGATTTGAGAAGTATTGTGAAGGCAGAGACAGTGGGCTTTGCTCAGAAATAGAATATGAATGGGGAAAAGAGGAGTCAATTTTTTTTTGCCTGATAGCTGGTTGCCATTTATTCATGTGGGGGAAAGAGAGAGAATGGCTGTTTTTATAATGCTTCTCCCTGTCTTACACAAATTGTTGCACTAATTAAAAATAAAAAGGAGAAAGTATACCTCATTTTGTGAGGCTTGTATGGTCTTGATACCAAATCCAGTACAAGAAGAAAAAATTGTTCATTGATCATTTTCACTTACCATGAAAGTGAAAATCCTAAGTGGTAGAAATGATCTAACACAATCATCAAATTTAATTTTAAGATTTTAGATGCAATTTCCTTTATAGTTAGGAATAAGACATGTATAGCTTGGTGTCATTGCCACACCAACAAAATACAGAAAGCCCTGATCAATGCATTAAAAAGAGGAGAGAAGAAAACCAAATTGTTATTATTTATAGCTACAATACCAGATGGAGATCAGATGCATGGGAAACCTGAGAATATCAGTAAAATATTAAAATTAATAAGGGAGTTCAGCAAATTTGTTAGATTTTAAAACAATATACAAAACTCTGTGTTCCCATAAAAAACAATAATTTAATATAAAATACAATACAAGATATCATTCACAGTAGCAACAAAAACTATAAAGTATGTAGAGATTAACCAAAGAAAACACAGGATGTTTACAGAGAAAAAATTTAAAATTATGAAAGCACATACCAGAAAACCTAAATAAACGGAACTCTAAATACCATATTAACAGCTTGCTTTAACCTTGTAATTAATTTTTCTTAATCTCTAAATTCAATGTAATTACAATTAAAATCCCAGAAGGATTTTTAACATGGAAAACTGATTCTGAAATTTATGTGGAAAAAAGAAATATTTTCAAAGAGTTAAAGCAAAACCAAAAAAGAAGATATATTAGATATTAGGATATATTACAAATGAAGGAAATTTTTATCAATAAAACAGAAATGGCAGACTAAAAGAAGCTATTGCCAACTACAGCAGAAAAATAATTGTTTTAAAATTTATATCTATATAAAGTATATAGTTAAAATATAAGAAACGTTTGTTAATGCAGTTAAGTCAATATTGAAAGTGAAGTTCAAAGCAGGAATTTGGGGAGAAAAATTCACCCTATGAGGTAATCAGGCAAATTAGAAAGTCATAATTCTGCAAACCAGCAAAGTTAGGAAACAGCAAGAATAAAAAAACGGGCAAAGGTATGGCTAGGCCAATCAAAGGAAGAAAACCACATGGCTAAAAATTATATGAAGAATGTTCTACTTCACTGGCAACCAGATAAATACAAATGAAATAAAAAATGATACACCATTTAAAATGTAGAGATTGGTAAAAATTAGAAAGTCAGACCATAACAAGTGCTAGTGAGGATACAGGGAGTTGTAAACCTCATACATGACTAGGGGAAGCTTAAAGAGGTGCAGCTTTTCTAGAAAGCAACCTGGCAAAACTTGGTGAAATTATGACTGCATACACACTGTGAGCCAACAATCCAATTCCTGGGCATACAATTCAAATAAATTGAATATCAGCGGGTACAAAGACATATTAGAAGATGCACATCCCAGACTGTTTGTGGTAACAACGATCTGAAGGCAATCTACATGTCTGTTGATGAGGGAAATTGATAAGGAAAATATGTGATATGACGTATGGAATACTATGAGTTCATCACACATAATGAACAAGATTTATTTACACAGAGCAACACGGATGGGATCTCAAAATACACTGTTGAGTGCAAAAAGAAAAAAAGGATGAGATTAGAAGCTTCATAGCATTTATGTAAATGAAAACCACTGACACTAAATAACATTATTTTTCAAGGGCATATTTGTCTAAATAAACACGGGGAAAGTGGATTGCAAAGACATAGAGTAAATACACTATAGTGAATGCACATAGCAGGAGGGTTGTGATACAGGAGATGAAGAGGAAAAATGTGAAAATAATATGAGGGGCTTTACATAGACGAGTGTCGATAATGAGTCATGAAAAGAAGAGTTGACTCAATTCTGCCCACCTGAGGGCTAAGAAAGATAAAGCAAAGTAAGGAAAAGAAACAAAATGTGTGTTGAGAAACCCTTCCAGCTGATCTCTGTCTCTGTTCTGAAACCTCTGTTCCACTTCTTCAGAAATGAATTAGCCCATTCATTAGGATCCAGTCAAAGAGAAGGTGTCTTCCTTAGGATAGTTGCTTAACTTGTTAAGCCTTAGTTTCTTTACTGGTAAATAATGCCCTCACCTTCCAGATCTGATGGGTAAATTAAAAGGGTGACCTTTGTAGGTCCCCACAAAGTCTCTGGTTCAGATAGGTGCTCAGTATCCAGCAGCCATTATTACATGTAAACAAAGAATGCTAGACCCTGACAAAATCTGAGAGGTGAACGAGTTAATTCTTATTCCATGAATGCGGGGCAGGATGACAGGATGGAGTCTGGGACTTGCCTACAGTCCACAGATGGGGGGTTGGGGATTGAAACAAGACCACAGCTCAACTCACTCCTCATCCAGCTTTTTCCACTACCCCTCATCACCTCCTCGGGCTCTAGAAGATATATACAAACTCATTTTTCTGGGACTAAAAGGAATTTTTATTCATGACATGTTTAAATCCATGTAAATGTCAACATTTCTGGCCAATGGAGTGTTGTGAAAGGAATAAACAATACAGGAAATAGAAAAGGTTATTTATCCACATCCGCTCTTTTTAAAGGCTATAATGCTGTTTCCAAATCATGCCAGTGCTTGTCAGAGATTATAAGGAAAAGTGCCTACAGAGTTGGGAAGAGGAAATCACAATGCAGATGATTATGGATCAGGGTATATGTGATGGTTAATTTTGTTTGTCAACTTGATTGGGTCAAAGATACCCAAATAGGTGGTTAACCATTATTTCTGGGTGCATCTGTGAGGGAGTTTCTGGAAGAGATTCACATTTAAGTTGGTGGACCGAGTAAAGCAGATGGTCCTTTCTAATTTGGGGCAAGGGATGGGTGGCGGGCATCATCCAATGCAGTGAGTATGGAACAAAAAGACAGAAGAAGATTAAATTTGGTATCTGCTTGACTGTATGAGCTGGGATATCGATCTTCTCTGGCCCCCAGCCCTCTTGGATCTCCGTCCTTCAGATGCAGGCTGGAAGCTACACCATTAACTGTCAGGCTTTCAGGCTTTTGAACTACACCACCGGCTCTCCTAGGTCTCCAGCTTGCAGACAGCAGATCACGGAATTTTTCAGCCTCCATAATTTTGTTCCAATAACTTCCAGTGAATCTCTTTGTATATTGGTTCTATTGAATCTGTTTTCTCTGCAGAACCCTGATTCATTCAGCTTACTAAACCAGTCAGCAGGCTATGGATGGCACTTTGAAGGCCATAATTTTGAGACCCTGCAAAGCAGGTGAAGGAGAGAAATTTATAACTAAGGCTCTTCACCCATTCTCCAGAAGAATGCCTTTATTTCTTTGTCTCCAAAATCTAATGTAGAAGCCAGCAAGCTGCTGCCAACAGCAGGGAGCCTGACATGAGATGGAACACTGCTGTCCCTGTAAAGGAGTCAACACCATGAACCGTTTTGAATACATGAGAACAGCCAACAGCCACCAAGGCCATACAATATCTGGCGACCCAGTCAGGATGAGAATATTGGCTTTAGCCATGATAAAGATAGTGACAGTTTATATGAGGGTTAGCATCAAAACAGGACAGTTTATAAGAACCCCAAAGCTGAAAATCTTTTAAAAACCCTAAGCCAAAATCTCGATGATGTGCTGGTACAAGGGGCGTTATTATTTAACTAAATATTAATAGATTCCTGTCCTTTTGGCTTACTTCTCTGCTCCCTCTCTCCTTCAGCTATTTTCTATTATTTTTTCCATACACACAAATGCAGAGCTTTTTGGTACTTGCTTTGTAATCCAGTGCATAGAGATGTTGATTCCCATCTCTAGGGGCAAACAATTGTACTATGTTTTGTTTTTTTCCCTATTGTATGCCAAAAGAAAACAAACCTATTCTGTTCTCTGTTTATAGAACTGTCTTTGTCTAGCTGTCTGTCTACTTATCTATCTATATCTATCTATCTGTCTATCTATACCTACCTATTTTATACATATTTTTTATTTCAATAGCCTTCGGGGGTACACATGGGTTTTGGTAACATGGATGAATTGTATAGTGATGAAGCCTCAGACTTTAGTGCACTCCTCAACTGAATACTGTACATTGTACCCAATATGTAGTGTTTTTTGTTTGTTTGTTTGTTTTTAGACCGAGTCTCGTTCTGTCACCAGGCTGGAGTGTAGTGGTGCCATCTCGGCTTACTGCAACCTCCGACTCTCTGGTTCAAGCAATTCTCCTGCCTCAGCCTCCTGAGTAGCTGCGATTACAGGCATGCGCCACCATGCCCAGCTAATTTTTGTATTTGTAGTAGAGACGTAGTTTCACCATGTTGGCCAAGATGGTTTTGATCTCCTGACCTCGCGATCCACCTGCCTTGGCCTCCCAAAGTGCTGAGATTATAGGCATGAGCCACCGCGCCCAGCCCAATAAGTAGTTTTTTTATTCCTAGCCCTCTTTCCACCCTCCCTCTTTCTGAGTGACCAGTGTCCATTCAGCACTGTCTTTCTAATCACAATTCTTCCTGTGAACTCTGACTTCTGTTGGCTATCTGTTTTAGCCCTTTCAACAGAAATGAAAATACAGAAAGATGTTCAATTGGTGGGAGAATTGCCTGAGCCTGGGAGGTGGAGGTTGCAATGAGCCGAGATCACGCCACTGCACTCCAGCCTGGGTGACACAGTGAGATCCTGTCTTAAAAAAAAAAAAAAAAAAAAAAGATGTTCAATCTTTTTAGGGTGACAGAGCAAATCTGTAACTCTACTTACAGTCAAATACCAGGTACTGATGTCCCAAAATTTCTTCTTGGAAAGAAGGAACCATTTTATTTTCATTGGCACCAATCATAGGATGTTTTCTTCACTATTTAATTTTGAATAACACAGTTCTTTTCAGGGAAGACACATTATCCTGAAACACCCTGAATTAATGCTAGATTTGAATGTCTATAAGTAGGATTTGTGAACTTTGATAAATATTTAATCATTCTTTCATTTGGGTGAATGGCCTTACATTTTCAAGAATGGGTGTTAATGTGAGTGAGCCTTTTAAATATCACTTTTTTGAAGTATTACAGTAAGTGATTGCATAGTAAACATTCAGAATATGCAACTTCAGGAAGAATGAGAGAAAACTGTCCTAATACTATGCTGTGGCTTGGGATAAAATTGAGATATGATGGAGGAAAAATATGTCAATTACCAGATATCTTTATGTGAAATATAAGATAATATATAAAATGGGACTGGGCATGGGGGCTCATGCCTGTAATGCCAGCACTTTGGGAGGCCAAGGTGGGTAGTTCTCTCGAGCCCAGGAGTTTGAGACCAGTCTGGGCAACATGGTGAGACTCCATCTCAACAAAAAAATATACAAATTAGCTGAGCATGGTGGTGTGCACCTATAGTCCCAGCTATGTGGGAGGCTAAGGTGGGAGGATCACTTGAGCCTGGGGTGGCTGAGGCTACTGTGAGCCATGATCATGTCTCACATGATCATGGCAGTGGCACTTTAGCCTGGGTGACAGAGTGAGACCCTGTCTCAAAAAAATAAAAAGTTAATATGCTTATATAAAACGATATTAACACATCAATTTTATAAGTATATATAAAATGATTTATAATATGTGTATAACTAAATTAATACATTAACTATTTTTAAGCAGATGATTCATGATTTTTAGCTATGTTCCTAGAATTTTTGGTGACGGGAAGGGGAGCATTTACTTGGGCAATGGGAGTGTCTCATATTTGACATTGCCTTATATTAGGGCATATACTGTAGATGCATAAACAATGGTTGAATCCTAACCAAGCTTGGGGTGGGGGGAGGAAGAACAATGAAGACATTCACAACAAATTATTTTCTTTTCTCTGTGTTATCAAGAAAATGTGTTTACCAGTCTTTATCTTGATTCCAGATCCACAGCAAATGATGACTCTTCTCTATGTATGACGATGATGGTTTGTGAACCAAACTCTGGATCATATAAAAATGAGTGTTTGAAATACTACTTCAAAAGTAGCCACTTCTGAAGATTCTATACATTTATTCAGAGAATGACAGTCATGGGCCAAACTGCTTGGGAACGCCTCTTGGAGGACTGCCTTCAAATCATCACTTCACAGGCTGGACGACAGGGCCAGGCTCCACACTTTATAGACAGTCTTTTTGTTTTCTTTTTTTTTTTTAACCCCAAATGGTTATACTCATGCCATTGACCAGCTTGGCCTCTGGATGACTTTTGGCTCTTTCCAGAAATCATTAAATTCACTGTCTTCCACTGACTCCCATCCCCCATCCCACCCCAAAGGAAGAAGACTTGGCACAGAGTAGGACTTTCAGAAAAATGCTCTGCAGGCTCTGAAGACAATTCTGCGAGAGGAGTTCCAAATGTTTAGAGGAAAAACAAGACAACTAGAGTCAGTATATGACCTCCCAACGAGAATGTGCTGAAAAGAGACAAAATTCCTTAGGGTTTCTAAGTTCTAGAAGATTACTTTTTAAATATCATTTTATGTTCCTATGCCACATTTAAAATGTACAAACCTTGCATGCCATACCAGGTAGCCAGATTGAGCAAATATCTTCACGTGTTTTCTACTTCAATCAAAATAGAAAACCTTAAGCTTTTTTGCTTTTGAGACTAAGCCTATAAACAAAAGTACAATTTATAAACCTGCTATGCACATTGGCAGGAACCTATGACATAAAATGAATATTTAAACTTGGGTTATTTGGCAAAATGGTGGTACCATCCTCCCAGTAACAATGCTAAACATCAGAACACAAGCAAGCTCATGATGCAATCAGCACAGGGGTGCGGGATCATTATCTTCAGTTGTTCACTTGCAGAGGGACTGAAAGCTCAAGTTATATAGACTTGCCTCATCTGTAGGCCTGGTGAATACATCTTCCATTTTACATTTTGGCTCCAGGATATGACATTCTCTCCATATATCATCTGCTGGTTTTCTTCTTTGTTGGACAGTTATTTTGTTAGGAATTCATAACTCTTTATGTTTTGACACAAGCTCCCAGCACATAAGCTATTCCCTGATTGGAAATGAAGCTGTTTAGAAACTTGTTTTAACTCTTTCAATTCATTAGGGTGTTATTTAGTAAGTTCACTGAAGCAGTAATTTCCCAAGTAGAATTAGCTGGCCCTTTATATGTTGTCAAATAGCCAACTTTCGAGCTGGAACAATCCAACAAATGCAGTTATAACGCAACCAAAACCAGTTAAGAAATAAGTGACTTTGGGGATTTAAAAAGAGAAAGTGAGTCCAGGGAAATTTGCTAATTCTTTTGGAAAGAACTTAAAAATTAGGGAATGAAGGAAAACAAATTGGACTTCACATATTTGGATTTCAGAACAACATTTGATTTAGAATAGTAATTCTATGGTTAGATTAATTCAAGCCATATTAATTATTTGAAGATTGTAATGCATGATTCTAATATGATGCTCATTCGATTCACATTTCCCATTACCTCTGAAGAGTACATATCTCCAAACGGAGTTATTTGGAATAAGTCTTTTACTGTGCACAAGTTTAGAAAAAATTTCCAGGAATTTATCCCAAAGGAAAACCCAATAGAAACAAAAACAATTTGTATTTGCCCACACTAGTGCATTTCTCTGCCTTCTGCCAGACATTTTTTAGATATTCTCAAATCAAGTTCTCATTTCTGCCTCTGGCATCTCACTGCAACAGTACCAGACATTGATATAGTCTCGATAACTTTCAAAAGCTTTCTTTGTACATCGTCGGGTCGGATCTGTGCAATTATTTTGTGGGTTTAAAAATGCTTCTCTACCTAAATGTAAGCTCCTAGAGGGAAGAACTTTGTCTATCTTGCCTACTTTTGTATCTTCAGAATTCAGAAACGTGTCTGGTACGTAGAAAATGTCATTAACCATTTGTTGAATTCTGTAGATGAGGAAACTCAGGGCCTACAAAAGAGTAATAATGATGCTTTTGTTTAGCTCCATAAAGTCTTCAGACTGCTATCTTATTTATTCTGTTATTGTAGAGTTCCATATTTTATGAGGACACTGCCTTCCTTTTTTGTCACAATTGCACATTATACACAAACACACACACACAAACACACGTACATCTATAGCTGTTCCATGATTTTTACTTACGCCTCTTTTTGAGCAATTATATCTATAAAATCATGAGTTTTATGTGCTAGTTATATTTTTTCCTAATACACATAAGAACAAATAAATCATTTTATATAGAATTAAAAAGTAGATAAAAACTGGATTGTGCAAAATCATCTCACATCATACAAATTGCTATCCCTACTACATTTGGAGCAAGTCTGTTATGTTGGATCCTTTTAGTAAGCCCATGAGAGAGGCCACAGGAGGTAAGCAAAGCAGGCTTTGTTAGCTCCAATTTACCAGGGAATAAACTGAGGTGAGTGCGCACAGGGTCACACAACTACTAAGTGTGGATCTAGGACTCTGGCCCCCAAGTCTCCTCACTGCCTGTTTAACATCTTCTACTATCTTCTACCCCTCCTCCAGCATTCCTGGGGAAATCTACAGCTAAGCTGATATTTGCTCTCTCTGTAGATGGCTCTCTGTTCTGAGAGTCTAGCTTAGAGCTATTTGGAAACAATCTTATGAGGATGAACTAGGGACAAAGAGGTCACCTTAGGCAGGTCTTAATTTGTAATTTTATTCAAGGGAGGAAGTACATGCTAAGAAATTGTTGCTGAAAACTGTGTCTAATTGGTAATAATGAGAAAAGGGTGGGAAAGGATGGAGAGTTGGATGATAAGGGAAAAAATAAAAATTGGCTTAGAGAAACATGCTCCCTGGAAGCTCATTTGCATGTACTATAAAACCATGTAAGGCTTGTTTTGTGCAATGATATAATCATAGTTAAAGTCGATGAGCATACCTACTACAAACCAGGTGTGTCACCTGCATTATCTCATGTATCCTCATGGCAGGTAAGTTTCTTGCTTAGAGAGTAACCTGCTTAGGATCACACACCTGAGAGGGGGCAGAACCAAACTTTGGACAGAGTCCCTCTGTTTCTTAGAGTGCATTTTCTTTCCTTTTCGTCTGCATGACTGTGTTGATACTAGCTCAATTGTGATGAAGGGCTCACATTAATTTTCAGTATATGCCTACATTTTGGCCAGATGATAAATTCAAATAATGCTGTACATTACAGAATAAAAGCCTACACGTGTCCTTTAGGCCAGTTGAGATGGGCAGCTGTGAGGTGTGGTCATGGTCTTGTAGTCCATATTCATCCGAGATCTGGCTTAAGACTTGGATCACTATGGGGCAACTATAGGATCTTTTTTTTCCCACCACCCTACCTGGAGTGGACCTAGGGGTCCTTACTGAACTGTGCAGTAAAGATCTGAAGTTGGCTAAGGTGCCCATGAAATCTTTAGGACTGGTCTAGATGAATAGAGTAATCAAATGTCAGGGGGCTAAAGTCCAAAATAAGGTCTTCCAAGGCTGCCATAATCTTGGTCCATATTTTTTAAAGTGACTTGGAATAATCTTGACATTGGGTTCAAGAAAAGATGACAAGGAGAAGTGCAAAATCTGTCCTCCCAGCAGTTGTTCTTCTGGCTGATAGCTCCTTGTACTTTATGCAGCTCTGAGCTCTCCTGTGCCATTTAGCATTGCATTCTGATGGACTGTAGATGTTAGAGAATAGACAGTCTAAGGAGCAAGAGAAATATTTTTTCCTAACTCATCCCCTGTCTTTAACCTTCAAGCAGGGTATGTATGAGAAGATGTTATAAACCTACATTGTAAAAAGCACTTAATATCTTAAAGCAAAAAGAACAGCAAAATGTTTTTGGCGATGCATCCCAGTTCATATACCTCAGGGTCAGGAAGTCTTGAAAAAAGACTAAACAAAACCTTTTCTGCAATATCAGTCCATTGATCTATCATCAAAAGAAAGTAAAGAGCAAGCTCTCCCAATGGGAAACTGCTATGGTTTGAGTTTGTCTCCACTGAAACTCATGTTGAAATTTGATCTTCAATATGGTGGTGCTGGGAGATGAGACCTAGTAGGAGGTGTTTGGGTCATGGGGCAGATCCCTCATGAATGGCTTGGAGCCATTCTGGTGGTAGTAAATTCTCCCTCTTGTGAGACTGAATGAGCTCTTGTGGGAATGTTTCCAAGATATCGGGTTGTCATAAAGCCAAGGTGCCCCTTGGGTTTTGCCTCTTGGCATTTGTCGGCTTCTCCTTTGGCCTTCCACCATATTTTGATCCAACACAAAAACCCTCACCAGAAGTTAAGGAGATACTGGTGTCATCCTTCTTGTATTTCCCCACCTGCAGAACTAGGAGCTAAGTACACCTCTTTTCTTCATAAATTATCCAACCTTGGGTATTCTGTTATAGAAACATTAAATGGATAAACACAGGAAAAATCTCACATTTTGAAAGGTCAGAGAAGTTTCAATTGACTACTTATGGAAGAAGTGGAGGAAAGTGAGGATCTCCAGAACTTACAAAAGGCTAGTGGCTCTGTATGGCAAGGAAGAACCACCACCAAACAGTTTGATGTACAGAGTTGGAGATGAACAAATTTTGTACTGAGAGAAGGATGGAGATAGTGTATATAAAAGAAATACAAGGCCTCCCTTTGTCTGTTCAGACAAGCTTGGCTTGGAAAAGCTAAACTCATAAATAGATGCTTATTTATTAAATTCTCTTACAATTATGTATTGCCTCAGAGTGTGCCTTAATGGTTATTTAGCTATTTTTTTAAAAACTTCTCTTATCTAGTTTTTTTTTTTTAATTAACTTAAGTTTTTAAAAAGCCAACTGTTCTCATGAGAAGTCTAGTGGTTCTTTTTTGGGGGGGATGGAGTCTTGCTCTGTGGCCTAGGCTGGAGTGCAGTGGTGCAATCTCGGCTCACTGCAACCTCCATCTCCCGGGTTCAAGTGATTCTCGTGCCTCAGCTTCCTGAGTAGTTGGGATTAGAAACAGGTATCAGCATGCCTGGCTAATTTTTTAAATTTTTTAGTAGAGATGGGGTTTTACTCTGTTGGCAAGGTTGGTCTCGAACTCCTGGCCTCAAGTGATCTACCCGTCTCAGCCTCCCGAAGTGCCAGGATTACAGGCATGAACCACCACTCCCAGCCTAGTGGTTCGAATTCAGAGATTATTGGTCCAAGACACCACTGTTCACCTGATTGCAGCCTACCTATCCTCTTTGTGGACAAAGTACCTAGAAGGAAAAATGAATCTTGATCTTCTAACTTAGGCTAGAAAATGGGATCCAAAATCATAACCTTCTATCAAAGAATTAGTGACTAAAATGTACTCCAAAACCCCCTCGGCCACGCAGCTTGTGAGAGAATATTCAGGGAAAACAAGTACCAGTCAGTATCAGTAGCTCTTCTTGTTTGCTTTCACATAAGGGGTTCTAACCGCCATGTTCCCTAAGTCTCTCCTTTCCCTTGGGATGCCAACATTGTTCTTGAATTCTCTATGGTGGTTTTTAAGTTCCCCGGCTATAAGCCACCTTTGGTTATCCCAACTCCAACTCCTGGTGGCTTACCTTAGTTGCTGCAGCTGCTGTTACTTCAGTTTGACGCTGGAGTTAGATCTTGTTGCCATTTTTGTGTCAATATCATTCCCTCCATTTCTGTGGGGTCCTTTACCACTCTCTCCTTCGTGTTGGTACAGGATAGCTCCTTTGCCATAACTGTGCTGTTTCACGAAGATGCAGCAAGGAGAAGGGACAGGAAAGGAGGGAAGAATGAGGAGAGATCGAGTTTTTACCCATCGGTGTCGCAATTCTTGCTAGGCTCCTCAAAGTTGGTTTTAACTCTCCCAGCTTCTTACTGTGGCTATACGGATCACTAGACTCTATTCTTTCATAAAACACTGTTCTCTTGGGGAATTTTGAAAATGTTCCCTTGGACATTTGGGGCTTTCTACACAATGTCAAACTCCTAGGCTCTCTTCCCAACAAATAATCTGCGTGATGCCTTGGAACTTTTCCCCTTTCTACTCCAGGATGAGGTATTGCTCTTCATCTCTTCTCCTGAATTGTTGGTGGCAAGCCTATTGGATCTGTTATGGGGACCCACCTTCTCATCTTGGGGATGTTCTTTGCTGTAATGTGGGTTTACTCTCTTGACTTTCCTTTCTGAAACTGTATTGCTTTCAGCATTTTCTGAGCCTCTAGCTGGTGACTCCAATTTGCCTGCATAGGAACTGCTTCCTATCCTCCAGAAATTCCTCAATTCTGAATTCACCTCTGCCCTCTAGAGTCAATAGCAGACTGCTCTTTACAGTAGCCGTCTTCTAGGTTGAGGCTCTGCTGAAATGCAGACAGTCAAAACCTTCCTTTCCTAAATGTGTCAATCTGACCTCCATTGCTGGCTTCTCCTGTACTGCCCCTTTCTGCCGTCTCTCAGAAGACTGGGCCAGCACAGTCCATTTGGATTAACTGGACAAAAGCAATGCCAAAAATGACCACATTAAAGCACGTTCCCCCTGCCCTGTCCCCCCAACACACTACACACACATTCATGCACATACAAACCATGCTTCATTGTGTGACAGTAGCCAGCTGCAATACTTAACTTTTTTTTTTTTTTTTTTTGAGACATGGTCTCACTCTGTCACCCAGGCTGGAGTGCAGTGGCCCAATCTTAGCTCACTGAACCTCTGCCTCCCAGGTTCAAGTGATTCTCCTGCCTCAGCCTCCTGAGTAGCTGGGACTACAGGCACACACCATCACCCCTGGCTAATTTTTGTATTTTTTAGTAGAGATGGCGTTTCACCATATTGGCCAGGCTGGTCTCGAACTCCTGACCTCATGATCTGCCCGCCTCTGCTTCCCAAAGTGCTGGGATTACAGGCATGAGCCACCACGCCCAGCCAATACTTATCTTTTAAGAATTGGTGGAAGCTCTTTAATTAGGAACATTCAAAACCAGAAGAGATTCCACATCAAAAGGAAATAATAACAATTTTGAAATATTAACAATTTATGCTTCTACAAGTCCTTTCACAGCGCTCAAAGGACTTTATGGGCATGCTCACATTTATTCTTTGAATTTAAAAAATCTTTAATTATGGTAATTTTCAAACACAAAATACAGCAGTATCATGAATCCTTATGAACCTAACAACCAGTTTCAACAATTATCCATTCACAGTCAATCTCATTGACTGTCCTAGCCTCACTGAATTATTTTGAAGCAAATCTCAGCTATTATATCATTTCATCCACAAATATTTCAGTATATATCTTTAAAGGATAAGCATTCTAAAAAATTACATCAAAAAATTTGAAATAATTCTTTAATGTTACAAAATACACAAGTAATGCTCAAATTTTCCCCAATTATTTCATGAAATTGTTTCCATAGCTACTTTGTTGCAATCAGAACCCAAAAAGTTCACTCATTCCATTTTGTTGCTGTCTCAAGTCTAGTAATCTATAATTCCCTTCCTCTTTTCTTTTGTCTTTTCAATTTATGACTTGAAGACACCATGTTATTTATCCTGCAGAATTTCCCACTGTCTGGATTTTGCTAATCTCATTTCCATAATGTTGTATAAGTTGTTTCTCTGTCTCCTATTTCCTGTAAACTGAAGATGGATCTAGAGGTATGTATGATCTAATTCCAGTTCCATTTTTTGTTGTTGTTGTAAATACTTTGTAGACAGTGTTGATGGTGTTGTGTGTTTTCTTCAGGAGGCACATCATTGTTGTTTCTCTTTTTGTGATGTTGGTAGCCACTGTTTATTTTATTTATTTATTTTTTGAGACAGAGTCTCACTCTGTCACCCAGGCTGGAGTGCAGTGGTGCAATCTGGGCTCACTGCAACCTCCGCCTCCCGGGTTCAAGCAGTTCTCGTGCCTCAGCCTCCCGAGTAGCCGGGATTACAGGCATGCGCCACCTCCCCAGGCTGATTTTTGTATTTTTAGTAGCAACGGGGTTTCATCATGTTGGCCAGGCTGGTCTTCAACTCCTGGCCTCAAGTGATCCTCCCACTTCAGCCTCCCAAAGTGCTGGGAGTACAGGTGTGAGCCACCACATCCAGCCTATTGTTTATTCTTAAAAACTACATACACCCATTTTTTTTTCTGAGATGGCATTGTATGGATTTTAAAATATTTATTAAAAACACTTTCATGTTTATGTGGTCTTAGCTCATTTTCATTCCCATTGGTTATATAACATTCTTTCTTCTAAGCATCAGCTTCCCAAATTCCCATCAATTATGCTAGTGTACCATTTTCTCTACAATTAGATGGTTCCTCTTGCTCCATTCTTCCTTCCTCCACCTCCTGCCCAACCCCTACTTCCCCAAGGAAAGGAATATGAATATCTTTTATGTATTTCTTTTAGAGTATTGTCTTGTTTTTACAGAATTTCCCTCTACCTGTCTCATAGAGCCTTATTTTCCAGACCAGTAAATTTGCCTTTCTTTTCTTTCTTATTTTATTTTTTATTTCTCATTTTTATTTTTATTTTTTCCTGCCCCCAGCATTCATGATACATGTGTGTGCTTCACTTTTAGCTTCAGGTGTCTACTGTTTCACAGGCTAGAGGTCTTGACTCAGCCCTTTCTTTTGTTTGTCTCCAGCTTCTGGTGTAATCCAGACAATGTTGACCACTCCCTCCTTACTGAGGCCCCCTTCATTTTCTAGGCAGCTCCCTCTCCTGGTTTCCCTCCTCCCTCACAAATCACTACTTCCTGGTCTCCTGCAAGGTCACCTGTCCCTCAGCCCATTCTTGAAATATTACCATTGCCCAGGTCTTTGTCTGTGGCCTGCTTCTCCTTTCACATGATGCTGAGTGATCTCATCTACCCCCTTGGCTTCAACCACCAACATAGGATGATGCCTCCCAATCACAGACCTTTAGCCAAGGCTTCTCTTCTTAGTTCTAGGATATTGCACCTAACTGTTTACTAGAATTCACTCCCAGACCATTTCTCCTCGATATGTACAAATAGAACCCATCATGTCTCATTTCTGACCTTCTGCCTTCCTCCCCTGCCTCATCCTCTAGCTCTGTGAAGTATATCATTACCAACCACAGTCATCAAATCAGAAACTGGGCTCCTTGTGGATTATTTCCTCTTCTTTCAAGTCTGACCAATCACCTTTCATGCCGACTGCCTCCTATTCATGCTTTCTCATACATGTTCCCTGATATGATTTGGCTCTGTGTCCCCACCCAAATCTCATGTTGAATTGTAATCCTCAATGTTGGTGGAGGAACCTGGTGGGAGGTGATTGAATCATGGGGGTGGATTTCTTTCTTGTTGTTCTCACGATAGTGAGTTCTCATGAGATCTGGTTGTTTCAAAGTATGTGGCACCTCCCCCTTAACTGTCTCTCTCTCCTGCCACCATGTGAAGATGTGCTTCCTTCCCCTTCACCCTTCTGCCATAATTGTAAGTTTCCTGGGGCCTCCCTAGCCATGCCTCCTGTACAGCACGTGGAACCGTGAGTCAATTAAACCCCTTTTCTTTATAAATTTCCCAGTCTCAGGTAGTTCTTTATAGCAGTGTGAGAACAGACTTATACATCCCCCTTTGCCATGTCTATTATCTCATAATTGCCTAACTTATTTTCCTGCTTCCTAAATTGTGCCCCTTCCATACGTTCTTTACACTGCTGCCAGAATAATCTTTCTAAAATCATGTATCTGAGTTACATAGCTTTTCCATATAAAGTCCAACCTCCTGATAGGGCAGTCATCATCCAAACTTTGGCCACTGTGTCTCTAGTCCACACTACGCATGCCCCAAAGATCCTATGCAGCAACACATGTCAAATTGCTAATAAAGGGCCTGGCTCAACATACAGAAGCTATGTTCAATTTTCAGCCTGGAGATTTGCTCTTCCTCTTATTTCATTTACCACTTCATGCTGCTATGTCTTTGCACATCCTCTCCTATCCTTCCACTCCCTTTCTTCCCCTTTCCACCTAAGTAGTGCCTATTTATCTTTAAGCCTCAACTTAACTAACCTATTTCCTTGAAACCTTATGTAGTTAAACATCTCTTCTTGGTTCTCCTGAGGGTCTCTCTGTTGCTGCTGTCATGGCCCCTATGTTTAGTATTTGTGTTAGTTTGTCCTCGCACTGCTATAAAGAAATACGTGAAACTGGGTAATTTATAATAAAAAGTTGAATTGGCTCGTGGTTCCACGGGCTTTACAGCAAGCATGGCTGGGGAGACCTCAGAAAACTTATAATCCTGGCAGAAGGTGAAGGGGAAGTAGGCACATTTTGCATGGCTGGAGCAGGAGGAAGGGGGTGGGGGTGCTACACACTTTTTGTTTGTTTGTTTTTGAGACGGAGATTTGCTCTCGTTGTCCAGGCTGGAATGCAATGGTGCAATCTCGGCTCACTGCAACTTCTGCCTCCTGGATTCAAGTGATTCTCCTGCCTCAGCCTCCCAAGTAGCTGGGGTTACAGGCATGTGCCACCACACCTGGCTAATTTTGCATTTTTTTTTAGTAGAGACGGGGTTTCTCCATGTTGGTCAGGCTTGTCTCAAACTTCCGACCTCAGGTGATCTGCCCGCCTTGGCCTCCCAAAGTGCTGGGATTACAGGCGTGAGCCACCACGCCCAGCCTGGTGCTACACACTTTTAAACAATCAGATCTCATGAGAACTCACTATCACAAGGGGAACGTCTGCCCGCATGATCTAATCACCTCCCATCAGGCCCTCTTCCAACATTGAGGATTACAATTCAACATGAGATTTGGGTGAGAACACAAATCCAAACCGTATCAGTATTGGCTTACTTGGTTCATCTATAGGAAGCCATGGGTGGTAGGTCATGAGCTTAAATTTTTGTATCTCTAATAACAAACACAGTGCTTGGCCCACTGTGAGTGTTCAATAAAGGCAAAAACGAATAAAGCCCAGTCATTTCTACCGCTCCACATTCATGGTAAGTTCAGTCCTTTATCATCTATACCTGGACAAATTGAATTGCTTCCACACTGGTTTTCCTGACTTCAGTCTCCATTCTGGTAATTTATCTACTAGCGCTGATCCCATCCTTTTGCCTCCTAAAGATCTAGCACTCCACAGTTCTGATAAGACCCCTCAGCAGGGCCTGTGTCTGTTGAGAGCTGAGACTGTTGTATTGTGCATATCAATGGTACGGAGGCAGAAAATTGGTCGAGAAACGCTAGCCTATAAAATAAAATTCAGATTTCCCAGTGTGGCTTCTATAAGGCCACATCATTTTGTTTCCCTTGTAACTTCCAAATAGCCTTAGATGCAGCCATTCCAGACTTTCACATTGTCACCTCAACCAAAACGCCCCCAGCTGTCCTGCGTTCATGCACTTTGCTAAGAAGGCACTTTAGGAAGCCTTGAATTCCTTCCTCAGTTCCTCCTTCAAGATCTGGCCAAAAACCACCTCCTCTCTGAAACCTTCCTTGACACTCCCCATATTCTCCCAGCATGATACAAGTCCCATCACTCCTCTATTTAAAATCCAGACTCAGGCTGGGTGCGATGGCTCATGCCTATAATCCCAGCACTTTGGGAAGCCAAGGCAGGTGGATCACTTAAGGTCAGGAGTTTGAGACCAGCTTGGCCAACATGATGAAACCCCGTCTCTACTAGAAATACAAAAATTAGTTGGGTATGGTGGTACATGCCTGTAATCCTAGGTACTCTGGAGGCTGAGGCATGAGAATCACTTGAACCTGGGAGGCGGTGGTTGCAGTGAGCCGAGATCACACCAGTGCACTCTAGCCTGGGTGACAGAATGAGACTCCGTCTTAAAAATAATAATAATAATAATAATAAATAAACAAATACATAAATAAAATAAAATCCAAACTCCTATTTTAGTGAGTACATTTTAGGTTTATGCAACTCTGTATCTTACAATAAAGACTGCTGTTGCTATCACTCTCTTCCTCACTGGAGTATAACATCCTTAACGAAGATGGAAGACATTTATCTGACTCACTTTTGCAGTGTTACCCATGCCCAATCCCTCTTCTAGGCCAAAGCACCCAGCACAGTTACTGGAACTCATGATTCCCCTTATCTGTGAATGAAAATCCCAAAAATATCTTTCTTCTCCCCTCTTTCCCACAGTGGGCCCTTGCCCTTATCTTTCTTTGAATTCCTGAATTCTTTACATTTCCTTGCACCATAATTTTCCTCTGCTGGCAAAGAAACATTCTACTCTAATCCCTTTTGGAAGCATTGTCGTCACAGTGTGGTCAAGATTTCTTCCATCTCATTCCCCTATGTGCTTCAGATGCCACGTCGGTTTCCTCTAAGAGGCCAAGCATACCTGCTTATATTTTGAGCTGTTAATAGCTCCCCATTTTTGTCTCTCACCCCCATCCCAACAGCTTCACCATCTTTTTAGATCTTGACTCTTTAAAAATTTTTATCGTCCATCCATTCCTGTGTTGTCTCCCCAAAACAAGGATGGGAAACAGGTTTCTCTTCTCTGATTAAAACACTCTGTTCCAGATAAAGCCCTGGCAACAGCATTCCCATCTTCTTCACCAGGATGCAAGTGTTATCATTGCCTTTAATCACATTTGTTTTATTGCATTCATAAAGCAATAAAACGTCTCAATCCACACACTATGCAAACAGTTGGCTGCAGCCAGCTATAACTTACGAAGATAAAAACTTGTTCCAGAGCTATTGGATGAGGCCAGTTTGGGCTGCAGAGGACATTTCTCCTGCAGTTTTCTTTTTGTCTCACCTTCTTCCAAAGTGTTCCTCTCTCGCCTTGGCTTTTTCCAAGTTTGCTTTTGCATCGTGCTTCCTGTTCATTTGGATTTTAATTGGGCCTTGCTTTCCGTTTCATTCTCCTTAAATTTGCTTCTGCCTTGCACATCTCAGACTGTGCTGGGGTTACTTGGCTCAGGTCTCTTGCTGCATATTCACTGTAGATTTGGTGTGGTCCATTCATTGCCATTGTGTCTGCAGAGGGAGGACAGCATGCAGATTAAGTGTCCTGGTTCAGGCATCAGCCTACATTGGGATGTTCTGCCCCTTTCTAGTTGTGTCATCACAGGCCAGTCATTTAACATCTCTGAGACCCAATTTCCTTATCTGTAAAGCAGGTATAATAGTGGTATTTAGTGCATAATGAACATTAATGGTAGCTGTCATTAGTATCAACTTTTCAGACTCCAGCTAGGCTTATGGAACATGGATCTTTCCTCTCGTATTTGTGTAACTATATAAGCCTTTATTCATTCCCTCTCCTGCCATTTTTTAAACAGGCATGTGTGTGTGTGTGTGTGTGTGTGTGTATGTGTGTGTCTATGGGGGTAGAGGGTGTCTCTGGCAATGCAAAAAAAGAGTGGATTGCATATCTATTCCTGCCTTGAGTATTTGAGCCATAGATCCAGGGGTTTGTGAAGTTTGGGGGCATATCCATAAGCTCTAAAATCACCCAGGAAGGCTTTGGAAGTTGTGATTGGTTGGCGAGATCCCCTGAAAGTGTGCAGGGCTACCTTAGTAGCCATGAGCAGAACTGGGGGTGAGGATCTAGCACTCTCTGCCCTCTGTGAGATGTCATCCATCCTCCAGGGATAAACAGAGTTCTAACTTCCAGGGGAACCCCAGAATCCATTCGAGGATTCAGGGCTGGGTCCAGAATCAGCCCAAAGCTGGAACAACAAGCATCCTCAGCCAATTTCCAAAGACTGGGACTCTGGGTCTTCAATTAGGAAGGGAGAAAGAACAATTCAGAGGATTGAGTGACCAGAGCACAGTAACTGTGTGACTCCAGGCAAGTCGCTTTCCCTCTCTGAACCTTGGGTTTCCCAATCTACGAAGGAGAGGGCTGGATCTGTGAGATGACTGAATTAGTTGACTGTTAAGGTCTCTTTCTTACATGATGAGCATTTTGTGATTTTATAAAGCAATTCTTTCTCAGCCAGACCACAATCTTTTACTGGTTTTGTGACTTCAGAGATCCATCACCTGCCTCCAGGAGGTCATTGTAAAATGAGTCCATTACTACCTGCTCAGCAATGGTGTGAAAATCAAATGAGACCACGGGTGGTGAAGTTCCTTGAAAATTATGTGAAATACAAATTAAGGGATTGTAGTCAGCATTTAACATCTTGCATATTATAGTCACTTATTACACATTTTTTCAAATTGACCTTAGACAAGAAGCAAACAAAAATTAAGAGAGCAGAATGGCATGTGAACTTATCTAGTAGGTAATAATGGTAGCCCAGCTGGGTTAGCAATAGGGGAAACTCAAAGCCATCATTTCCCAAGCCCATGGACTTTTCACGTGATCTGCTCTAAATGACACATTTTCCTTAATGTGCATTTCATGTGGAGCTGGGTGACGAGTTGGTCCAAACCACAGGCCTGGGCTCTGGAGACAGGTGAGGGAGGGAAATCTGTGTCTACTAAAGGCAGTAATTCCCTCAAGCTGGCCTTGAGCTTGGGGACAAGGATCAAAATTGGTGCCAGCCAGAGCCAGGTCTTAGCTAAATCTAAATAAGAGACATTAAATATCTGCCTTGGAAAAAATTCTTGAGACTAGAAACTTAAGAGAAGTAATCCCTGGTTTCACCCCGAGTCTGAGGGTAAGCCTGGTCTAGATTGTTGCTACTGATTTACACAGGTGACCTCTCCAGCCCCAACCTACCATGTGCAGAGGCTTCCAGCCTTGCTGCTACTCACTTCAAGCCCTGCTTAACTCTATTGACTTAAATGAATTTGTGAGCCTCTGAATGGGAGCAGTATCCCTTTTTTAGTAATACATAAATAAATAAAATAAACAGGTCCTACTGGCTTAGAGGAATCCCTGTGAGCTTCCAGGAACCAATGTTCCCTGACTTCATTTCATTTTCAGGAGGGAGGCCTAGCCTACGTGAAATAGAGGTGACTTGTTTGGACAGCATCTGGTTTGTGTAAAATTAGTAGGAGTGGGCCCACTGGGTCAGCAAGGGCTACTGAGAAACTGTCTGTGGCCAAGGAGGAAAAATAACACCACCACTTCTATATTAAAGGGAGAGAAAGTACGGGCTCCAAGTGAGAAATGTAGAGTCAGCATTATTGAATCCCCACATATTTTTATAGGGGGGTTGAAAGCAAAAAATTTACCAAAAACTCCCCACAGGCCCAAACAAAGCCACAGTGTGTTCCCATTTACTGCCAGCCTGATAATCACACCCTTCACATCTTTTACAGTTAGGCTGTGAACTCAGTGAGTGTAAGGCGCTTCCTATAAACAAAGGCTAGCAGAGATCGCATTACCTTCTTCCTCCTCTTTCCCCATCTGCAGAATGAAGGGGTCAAGCAATGGCTTAACCTTTTGTGTTCATTAACGTTTTGGCTCCCTGTTGCAAACTAAGAGCCAGAGATAAACGATAAATGAACTGGTAATTAGAAGTCAGGAAAGGAAGCTTCCAAGCAGGCTGTGGGCGGCTCTGTGTCAGACCCACTCATCCCCAAAGCTGGATCTGTAAACTGAAGCTGGGGTTGCTATCACCTCCGAGACAGCAAGGCTTGACTCTCCATAGAACCCAACGCTGCTCTGCCCACTGAGCCCAAAGCAAGGGGGCAATGATTTCTGGAAGATGGTGTTTGGTGTGTAAGATGGTAGAAACTCAGAATTCTAACTCAGAGTTAACTGTGAAAAAAGCATCTCATGCCACTCAGGACCCTTCCCTCCTCGCCTGACCTTCGCTCGAGAGCAAACCCTCTTACTTCATTCTCTTTCCTGTTTATTTTATGAACCTTCCTCCTACTCCTCAAAGTTCAGCTCAATTTCCCGTGGTCTCCCCCACTTTTTCATTATCCAGTGTTCTCACTCACCTCTGAACTTGAAACCCTGAGTGACTTGGCTCTTGCTTGAGATCATCTTAGTGTTTCTGGGGGTCTTGTTTATTACCTACATTTTACCATAAGGGAAAACCATTTGTTTCCAAATTCCCTGCCCTCCTTTTCCGCCCCACCTGCCAAGGTCCATGAAAACAGCTACTTAACTGAATGTCTCAATATATCTGCCTTAGCCCATAGGATATTTAACATTTGAAAAACAGCTGAGTATCTTCTCAACAAAATGTTAGCTTTCCACATTCTCTCCTTCTCTCAAGGACAAGCATGGGTTCTGTTGCATCCATGAATTTCTCTGCCACTATCAAAACGGCACCTATCTCTCACTTTTCTGTCCACATTATTCTTTGCCTCTTTGATGCATCTTGTCTCATAGGTTCTAGCAGACGTTGGGATCCTAAGAGGTCTTCTAGCCACCTCTCCAGCAACTCCACAGAAGCTGGCCATCTGGCTGCTGCTTTGCTATTTGTGACTCCATAAGATATAGAATTATGTTGTGATAATACTGTTTTCTGTGTGTATATAAATTTTGGGTTTTTAGAAAACTGTGTGGCTAGGGTTGTCAGTTTACATCACGCATAAGGATCACCAGGACAGTCATTAAAATATATAGATTCCTACCATCACTCACAGAAATGTTCCTTCCTTGGAGTCAGGCCTAAGAACCTGGATTGGAGGACTGCATTTTGAAAAAGTTACTCTCAAGATATTTATGTAGACAGGTCTTAAACAATTTCTGTGTCATCCATGGTGGTTGACAGGGCTGAGCTTGGGGAAGATGGCTGTCTTACAAAGACTCATCAGATCACTGATTAAAATAAAGTAGGATCCTCCACTAAGCTGGTCTTCTGGGCCAACTTATCTTCTACTGCAGAGTTCCAAACATTCACCTGGAATCCAAACATTCAATGACCTCTACAAAGCACATCAGGAAAATCCCTTAAATTCCAAGCTAATTGACAGAGATTCCAGGGATAGTTAGCAAATACTTTTCTCTCCTCTATTGAGAAATAACAAGAACAATAGTTTGGCTTTCAGCCTACCCAGCAAATATCACTCCACCAAGGTTCCCTGCAACTTTTCAGCCTCTTAATACAACATTTAGGGGAATAGAGTTTCTCTAGAACAAAATTCAAAGCATAAAAGAGAAAATTTTATGTTACTTGGAGGCAGACCATTCAGATGTTTTGAGTTGATTTGGCATAGCTGAAAGAATTTTCACACTTGCAAAAATATCAAAGTTCATTTTTGGCCTCCAAAGAGCTGAAATATAGCTCTGTTTTCAAACTCTAATGAATTTGGCATGAACACCATTACTTGTAATTATTGTGTTTTTGGAAGACTAAAAAAATGAAGTTTGATCTAATGTAATAGCAGATTTCAGAATGCTGGAATTAAAACAGTGCTAGACATTACCTAGTCCAGTTCTAACTTTTAAAGTCGAGGAAGATAACCCTTTGTCTTATATTTCTAATTAACAAAATAATAATGAAAACCACAGTTCCCAAGGGCTACTTTACTCCAGGTATGAGATTTAAGCAAAATACAAATGAATTAGACATAGGACAACATAATTTAAAGAACCTTTAGCACAGTCAGATATTCTATGAATGCAAGATGATAGAGAATATAATAGAACAGAAAGAATGTTAGATTGGGAGACAGAAGGCATGGGTTCAATGTCCTGTCTTGGCCTTGTAGAAATGTCAAGATACTGGGCATGTCATGACTCAGCTTCAGCGTCTTCTGCAAAATTGAGGTGATAATGTGGGCTGTTTTAAGAATGAAGTTGAACGATGTATGTGAAAGTACATATTGTCCTAGTCTGTTTTCTGTTGCTACAATAGAATACCTGAGACTGGGTAATTTATAAAGAAAAGGTCTTTATTTCGCTCATAGCTCTGGAGGCTGGGAAGTTCAAGATTGGGCAGCCATATTTGGTGGCTACTGGTGAGAGCTTTGTGCTATATCAAAAACATGGCAGAGAAATAGAAAGGGAACTGGGTGCATATGAAAAAAGGGCAAAACACAAGAACCAACCTCACTTTGTAACAACCTACTCTTGAGGGAACTCATCCACTTGTACAAGAGCTAACACATTCCCAGGAGAACTAATCCAGCCTGGAGAGAAAGACATTAATTCATCTTAATGACCTAATCATCTTTCAAAGGCGTGACATCCTAACATCACCACATTAGGGTTCAGGCTTCAATACAAGTTTTGGTGGGGACAAACCATATTCAAACCATAAGAATAATAAACTCTCAAATTCTATTATCTCATTGATAAAACAACATGCATGGGGATTACATTCAGTTTGTCTGCTTAGAGTTAAATCTTCGTATCTCCTTGCTTTAGTTTCTTCTGCCTAAATACCAGTCTGAATCTTTTTTGATCCTGCTTTTTTTATGGCTTTTTTATCTTCTTTGGTCCCACCCTGCCCAAAAGAGCATTCCTTGGTCAAGTGATGCCCATATCCAATCTGGATTCAGAAGAGGAGAAGCACAACCCTGCCTCTTCCCATTCTGTCTCCCAGCATCTACATGGTTCTCCAACTCATAGCACTTCCCTGGGTGTTTATCAAACTGTATTGAAGGAAATAGAATAGAATAAAAAGAAACTGAATTGAATTCCTGAAAGTGAATTCGACTCTTCCCTTCCTGAACTCTGGGCTGCCTTAAGGGAAGACCAACTAAGAGGGTCTCATCTGAGTTTTACCCATTGCTGAAGTAAATTGGGAAACAAATTTTCTTTTTGAAAAGAAAACTGAACTTTTCTCAGGTCTACTGTCTATGTTGCCCAGCAGAAAATGGTTCTCTTTCTTCTAGGAGGAAGTGCATAGGTCTTCCACTTGGGTAATGGTACTGATTTGCCACAATTTTTTTTTTTTTGCAAACTCTCATTATGGGCAAAAAAAATCTTTATTATTATTATTTTACTCTGGTGGCTCTGAGGTTTTTCTAACAACCATGATGAGGAGGCTCTTAGAAAAAGAAGACAGCAACTTGGAGTAATTGTTTTTCTGGTTTGCTTTTGTTGTCTAGTCTAGAAACTGTGGCTCTTGTCACATTCCTATCTGCTAGTCTGGGTCAACGCTCCCCAAAAGGAGGCTCTGATTTAAGCATTACCACAGTACAAACAGAGCTCAGCCAAACCTCCAGTGGCAGGTATAAAACATTGACTATGTCTGAGTCAAAAATGTTGCAAAATGTATATATGCCACAAAGATGTATCAGCTTTTCCAACTGGTCTGGGTTTATGGCAACAAGGGCTGGGTATCAGATTGTGATCTCTCCTTTGAGATCTCAAGTCTTGACCTGTGGGTTGAACTCTTCCACCTTTTGGCATACATGGAATATTCTGAAATGTTATAGGATGTCCTACATGCTGGCAATTCTCATAGCCTCCTTAAGATAAAGTCTTCCCACCGAGCTAGCTGCAGGAGTTTTTTTTGTTTGTTTTTTTTTGTTTGTTTGTTTGTTTGTTTTTGTACCCCAGTGGCACCTGGAACACCATCAAAACAGAACTGCTTACTCCTCTGGGAAGGGGGCTGAAGCCAGGGAGCCAAGTGGTCTTGCTCAGCAGATCCCACCCCCATGGAGCCCAACAAACTAAGATCAACTGGCTTGAAATTCTCGCTGCCAGCACAGCAGTCTGAAGTTGACCTGGGATCCTCAAGCTTGGTGGGGGTAGGGGGGCATCTGCCATTACAGAGGCTTGAGTAGGCAGTTTTCCCCTCACAGTGTAAACAAAGCTGCTGGGAAGTTCAAACTGGGTACGGAACCCACCGTAGTGCTGCAAAGCCACTCTAGTCAGATTGCCTCTCTAGATTCCTTCTCTCTGGGCAGGGCATCTCTGAAAGAAAGGCAGCAGCCCCAGTCAGGGGCTTATAGATAAAACTCCCATCTCCCTGGGACAGAGCACCTAAAGGAAGGAGTGGCTGTAGGTGCAGCTTCAGCAGACTTAAATGTTCCTGCCTGCTGGCTCTGAAGAGAGCAGCGGATCTCCCAGCACAGTGCTCAAGCTCTGCTAAGGGACAGACTGCCTTCTCAAGTGGTCCCTGAACCCCGTGCCACCTGTCTGGGAGACACCTCCCAGCAGGCGTCGACAGACACCTCATACAGGAGAGCTCCAGCTGGCATCTGGTGGGTGCCCCTCTGGGATGAAGCTCCCAGAGGAAGAAGCAGGCAGCAGTCTTTGCTGTTCTGCAGCCTCTGCTGGTGTAGCCAGGCAAACAGGGTCTGGAGTGGACCTCCCGCAAACTCCAGTAGACCTGCAGCAGAGGGGCCTGACTGTTAGAAGGAAAACAAACAGAAAGCAATAGCATCAACATCAACAAAAAGGATGCCCTGACACAGAAACCCCATCCAAAGGTCTCCAACATCAAAGACTAAATATAGGTAAATCCAAAAGTTGAGGAAAACCAGCTCAAAAAGGCTGAAAATTCCAAAAACCAGAATGCCTCTTCTCCTCCAAAGGATCACAACTCCTCGCCAGCAAGGGAACAAAACTGGACGGAGAATGAGTTTGACAAATTGACAAAAGTAGGCTTCAGAAGGTAAGTAATAAGAAACTCCTCCAAGCTAAAGGAGCATGTTCTAACCCAATGCAAGGAAGCTAAGAACCTTGATAAAAGGTTACAGGAACTGCTAACCAGAATTACCAGTTTAGAGAAGAAAATAAATGACCTGATGGAGCTGAAAAACACAGCACAAGAACTTTTTGAAGCATACACAAGTATCAATAGCCAAATCGATCAAGCAGAAGAAAGGATATCAGAGATTGAAGATCAACTTAATGAAATCAAGCATGAAGACAAGATTAGAGAAAAAAGAATGCAAAGGAACAAACAAAGCCTCCAAGAAACATGGGACTATGTGAAAAGACCAAATCTACGTCTGATTGGTGTACCTGAAAGTGACGGGGAGAATGGAACCAAGTTGGAAAACACACTTCAGGATATTATCCAGGAGAAATTCCCCAATATCACAAGATAGGCCAACATTCAAATTCAGGAAATACAGAGAACACTAGAAAGATACTCCTCGAGAAGAGCAACTTCAAGACACATAATCATCAGATTCACCAAGGTTGAAATGAAGGAAAAAATGTTAAGGGTAGCCAGGTAGAAAAGTTGGGTTACCCACAAAGCGAAGCCCATCAGACTAACAGCAGATCGCTCTGCAGAAACCCTACAAGCCAGAAGAGAGTGGGGGCCAATATACAACATTCTTAAAGGAAAGAATTTTCAACCCAGAATTTCATATCCAGCCAAACTAAGCTTCATAAGTGAAGGAGAAATAAAATCCTTTACAGAAAAGTAAATGCGGAGAGATTTTGTCACCACCAGGCCTGCCTTACAAGAGCTCCTGAAGGAAGTACTTAAGGAAAAACCGGTTCCAGCCACCGCAAAAACATACCAAATTGTAAAGACCATCGACACTGTGAAGAAACTGCATCAATGAATGGGCAAAATAACCAGCTAGCATCAAAATAACAGAATCAGATTCACACATAACAATATTAACCTTAAATGTAAATGGGCTAAATGCCCCAATTAAAAGACACAGACTGGCAAATTGAATAAAGAGTCAAGACCCATTGGTGTGCTGTATCTAGGAGACCCATCTCACATGCAAAGACACACATAGGCTCAAAATAAAGGGATGGAGGAATATTTACCAAGCAAATGGAAAGCAAAACAAAAGCAGGGGCTGCAATCCTAGTCTCTGATAAAACAGAGTTAAAACCAACACAGATCAAAAAAGACAAGGAAGGGCATTACATAATGGTAAAGGGATCAATGTAACAAGAAGTGCTAATTATCATAAATACATATGCACCCAATACAGGAGCACCCAGATTCATAAAGCAAGTTCTTAGAGACCTACAAAGAGACTTAGACTCCCACACAATACTAGTGGGAGTCTTTAACACCCACTGTCAATATTAGACAGATCAACGAGATAGAAAATTAACAAGGATATTCAGGACTTAAACTCAGCACTGGACCAAATGGACCTAACAGACATTTACAGAACTCTCCAACCCAAATCAACAGAATATACATTCTTGTCAGCACCACATAGCACTTATTCTAAATTTGACCACATTATTGGAAATAAAACACCCCTCAGCAAATGCAAAAGAATGGAAATCATTAACAAACAGTCTGTCAGACCACAGTGCAATCAAATTAGAACCAGGATTAAGAAACTCACTTGGCTGGGTTCAGTGGCTCACGCCTGTAATCCCAGCACTTTGGGAGAGCTGAGGCGGGTAGACCACGAAGTCAGGAGATCAAGACCATGCTGGCTAACATGGTGAAACTCTGTCTCTACTAAAAATACAAAAGTTAGCTGGGCATGGTGGTACACGCCTGTAGTCCCAGCTACTTGGGAGGCTGAGGCAGGAAAATCACTTGAACCCAGGAGGTGGAGGTTGCAGTGAGCCAAAATCATGCCACTGCAGTCCAGCCTGGTGACAGAGCAAGATTGTCAAAAAACAAAAAAAGAAAACAAAAAAAAAACCTCATTCAAAACCACACAACTACATGAAAACTGAACAACCTGCTCCTGAATGACCACTGGGTAAATAACTAAATTAAGGCAGAAATAAATAAGTTCTTTGAAGAATAAAGACACAACGTACCAGAATCTCTGGGACACAGCTAAAGCAGTGTTTAGAGAGAAATTTATAGCACTAAATACCCACATAAGAAAGCAGAAAAGATCTAAAATTAACACCCTAACAACACAATTAAAAGAACTAGAGAAGCAAGAGCAAACAAATTCAAAAGCTAACAAAAGACAAGAAATAACTAAGATCAGAGCAGAACTGAAGGAGGTAGAGACATGAAAAACCCTTCAAAAAATCAATGAATCCAGAAGCTGGTTTTTCGAAAAGATTAACAAAATAGATAGACTGCTAGCCAGAGTAATAAAGAAGAAAAGAGAGAAGAATCAAATAGATGCAATAAAAAGTGATAAAGGGGATGTCACCACTGATCCCACAGAAATACAAACTACCATCAGAGAATACTACAAACACCTCTATGCAAATAAACTAGAAAATCTAGAAGAAATGGATAAATTCCTGGACAAATACATTCTCTCAAGACTAAACAAGGAAGAAGTCAATCCCTGAATAGAGCAATAACAAGTTCTGAAATTGAGGCAGTAGTTAATAGCCTACCAACCAAAAAAAGGCCAGGACCAGGCGGATTCACAGCCAAATTTTACCAGAGGTACAAAGAGGAGCTGGTACCATTCCTTCTGAAACTATTCCAAACAATAGAAAAAAAGGGGACTCTTCCCTAACTCATTTTATGAGGCCAGCATCATCCTGATAGCAAAACCTGGCAGAGACACAACAAAAAAAGAAAATTTCAGGCTAATATCCCTGATGAACATCAATGCGAAAATCGTCAATAAAATACTGGCAAACTGAATCCAGCAGCACACTGAAAAGCTTATCCACCACGATCACATCAGCTTCATCCCTGGGATGCAACGCTGGTTCAACATACAAAAATCAGTAAATGTAATCCATCACATAAACAGAACCAATGACAACGACCACACAATTATCTCAACAGATGCAGAAAAGGCCTTTGACAAAATTCGACACCCCTTGATGCTAAAAACACTCAATAAACTAGGTATGGATGGAACATATCTCAAAATAATAAGAGCTATTTATGACAAACCCACAGCCAATATCACACTGAATGGGCAAAAGCTGGAAGCATTCCCTTTGAAAACCAGCACAAGACAAGGATGCCCCCTCTCACCACTCCTTTTCAACATAGTATTGGAAGTTCTGGCCAGGGCAGTAAGTCAAGAGAAAGAAATAAAGGGTTTTCAAATAAGAAGAGAGGAAGTCAAATTGTTTCTCTTTGCAGATGACGTGATTGTGTATTTAGAAAACCCCGTTGTCTCAGCCACAAAACTCCTTAAGCTGATAAGCAACTTCAGCAAAGTCTCAGAAAACAAAATCAATGTGCAAAAATCACAAGCATTCCTATACACCAATAATAGACAGAGAGCCAAGTCATGAGTGAACTCCCACTCACAATTGCTACAAAGAGAATGAAATACCGAGGAATACAACTTATGAGGGATGTGAAGGACCTCTTCAAGGGGAACTGCAAACCACTGCTCAAGGAAATAAGAGAGGACACAAATGGAAAAACATTCCATGCTCATGGATAGGAAGAATCAATATCATGAAAATGGCCATACTACCCAAAGTAATTTATAGATTCAATGCTATTCCCAGCAAACTACCATTGACTTTTTTCACATAATTAGAAAATACTAGTTTAAATTTCATATGGAACCAAAAAAGACCCCATATAGCCAAGACAATCCTAAGCAAAAAGAACAAAGCTGGAGGCATCACGCTACCTGACTTCAAACTATACTACAAGGCTACAGTAACCAAAACAGCATGCTACTGGTACCAAAACGAGGCCTCAGAAATAATACCACACATCTACAACCATCTAATCTTTGACAAACCTGATAAAAACAAGCAATGGGGAAAGGATTCCCTAATTAATAAATTGCGTTGGGAAAACTGGCTAGCCATATGCAGAAAACTGAAACTGTAACCCTTCCTTACACCTTATACAAAAATTATCTCAAGGTGGATTAAAGACTTAAACATAAGACCTAAAACCATAAAAACCCTAGAAGAAAACCTAGGCAATACCATTCAGGACATAGGCATGGGCAAGGACTTCATGACTAAAACCCCAAAAGCAATTGCATCAAAAGCCAAAATTGACAAGTGGGATCTAATTGAACTAAAGAACTTCTGCACAGCAAAAGAAACTATCATCAGAGTGAACAGGCAACCTACAGAATGGGAGAAAATTTTTGCAATGTAGCCGTCTGACAAAGGGCTAATATCCAGAATCTACAAGGAACTTAAACAAATTTACAAGAACAAAACAAACAAGGTCATCAAAAAGTGGGCAAAGGATATGAACAGCACTTCTCAAAAGAAGACATTTATGTGGCCAACAAACATATGAAAAAAAGCTCATCATCACTGGTCATTAGAGAAATGCAAATCAAAACCACAATGAGATACCATCTCACACCAGTTAGAATGGCAATCATTAAAAAGTCAGGAAACAACAGATGCTGGCGAGGATGTGGAGAAATAGGAACGCTTTTACACTGTTGGTGGGAGTGTAAATTAGTTCAACCATTTTGAAAGACAATGTGGCGATTCCTTAAGGATCTAGCACCAGAAATACCATTTGACCCAGCAATCCCATTACTGGGTATATAGTCAAAGGATTATAAATCATTCTACTATAAAGACACATGCACACGTATGTTTATTGCAGCACTATTCACAGTAGCAAAGACTTGGAACCAATCCAAATGCCTATCAATGACAGACTGGATAAAGAAAATGTGGCACATATACACCATGGAATACTATGCAGCCATAAAAAGGATGAGTTCATGTCCTTTGCAGGGACATGGATGAAGCTGGAAACCATCATTCTCAGCAAACTATCACAGGAACAGAAAACCGAACACTGCATGTTCTCTCTCATAAGTGGGAGATGAACAATGAGAACATATGGACATAAGGAGGGGAACATCACAGACTGGGGCCTGTCGGGTTCGGGGGCAAGGGGAGGGATAGCATTAGGAGAAATACCTATTGTAGATGACGGGTTGATGGCTGCAGCAAACCACCATGGCACATGAATACCTATGTAAAAAACCTGCATATTTTGCACATGTACCCCAGAACTTAAAGTATATATATATATATATATATATATATATATATATATATATATATATATATATATTTAAAGTATATATATATATAATTAAAGTATATATATAATTAAAGTATATATATATAAAGTATATATAATTAAAGTATATATATGTATACACACACACACACACACACACACACACACACACATATGAAAAGACAAAGTCTTCCTTCTTTTCCTAAGGAGCAACCTCAACATTTTCACCTAAATTCCCTCCTTCTCCACCCACAACAGAACCAGGCCCCTTTAGGTATGAAAGACTAAGCCACTATCCGAAAACACATTAGCACATATTCTTATTTTATCCAAGAGACACTCAGGAGTCACTAAAAGAGAGGGGAATGACACCTGAAGAAGATATTTTGGGCTGTTCTGTGCAATGACTGGGCCCGTATTCATCTTCATAATCCAATGGATATTTGTACTAAATACTGTTTATAAAATACTTTTCACAGGCATGAGCTCATTTGAACATCACATGCTGTGATGTAAGGACATTGCTGTCCTCACGTTAGAGATGAGGTAACTGAGGCTCCAGGATGTGTCTTCAGATCCAGTGCTCCTTCCCTCCCCCTACCACCTCAATCCTCCAGCAATTATGGTAGAGTTCTACTGGAACAGGCAGCTGATCAACATATGTGGCCAGTTGATCACCTCTCAGCAACGCTGGGAAGGAAGGACACAAACCTGAGCCCTGTGTGTCAGGCAGCAGCCAGATATTTCCTGTACATTTTCTCCCCCAATTTCCCCAACTTACACTCCCTGGGTTCAGATCACAGCTCCAGCACTTGTTAGCGGTGTGGCCTTTTAGGCCAGTTTAACACTCCATCTGTGCCTCGGTTTCCTCAGGTATAAAATGAGAATAATGCTATGTCCTCTTTGTAGTGTGATGAGGTATAAATGAGCTAACCCACTAAAACATGTAACCCTGGGCTATAAGAACCCTTGCATATGAACTATTATTATCATTGCTATTTCCCCTTATTTTATATGTGGGGAAGAATGTTCATAAAGATTAAGGGGGAACGCTCCTGAGATTGGAATCTAAGTTTGACTCCAAAGACCTTACTTTTTTGCTGCCTTCAGGTACCTTTGCACTTTTCTACTCTCTGCTCTTTTTCCTCCTCCTTAACCCTTCTTGGTACAGGTAGCCCATTGCCCTTAAGCAGTGTTTTTGATCCTAGGCTGCCTGCATTAGAATTATCTGAAACCCACTCCCTATGGACCAAATCAGAATCTCTGGAGCTGAGGCCAAGGAATCTGCATTTTCATAAGCAACACAAATGATTCTCTTACACCCAGATAGAGGTCGAGAGGCACTGACTCAGACTGTCCACTGGAGCAGCTGTCCTTGCCTGGGCCTGCCCGGCCCCTCCCACCTCCCCTTTCACCCAAGAAGTGCCCCAAAATTTTCTTGCTGCAAACCCGCCGTCCCATGCACATCCCCTATCTGCTATTTCCTGATTAGGAATACAAGGCCGATGTCAGCTCACTGTGGGGCTCCTTATCTTTCCAATCCATTGTGAATAATGGCTTATTAAAGTAATGGCTTATTTGGCCTCAGCATCGGGCTGGCTCAAGTCAGAGCAGGGAAAGGGTGGGGGCAATGGGGGAGGAGAGGCAATGGATTGGGCAACATAATTCCATGCACGAAACCCACCACGTACAAAGATGCAACAGTTATTCATCTAGAAACTTGCAAACTGCAGCAGGGTCAAGCCTACAAAAATGAGATAACGCGGAGCAGAGCAGGTAAGCACAAAAGGGCAGAAACTAAGTCAGTATTTTTATTAGAGCTTTATCTTATCTCTCATGCACAGCAGATTCCTTCCAGAAAGGAGGCTTGTGTCAGTTACCATTTGCTTTCACTTAATCCAGCTTTGCAAATAGCAGTCAACCACTCTCACCTCCAATTCATGAGTCCACCAAAAAACTTTTGCTCAATGCTCTTTGAGGCTGCTATGACTGAATCTCAGAATGTGACCCCAAGGCAAACTACATTTCTGGCTTTCTTATCCTGATTTTTCTGTGGCCTAAATTTCTCCTTCAGTTGGACTTAATCTCTGGTTATGTAAACAGCTGGAGATATCATAATTCCTGAGGGGATATCAAAGAGCTGTAATGAGTGGGGAAAGGAGTTGTGGGGGTGGGGAAAAATAGAAGAAAACGAGCATTAATTATTAAATGCGTAGGAGATTTTAAAAATCACATACCATTTGGCACTTTTCCTCTCCACAGTGCTCTATCCCCATTAAATGGAAGGAGAGCCAGGCCTCTCATCATGGCAAATTTGCTTAATTATGTTTTCTGTCTCTCCTAAAGTGGGAAGGGCTTAAAAACTTGCTTCCTATGGTGGTCACCTTTGCTCTGAATGAGAATGCATTTGCCCTACCTAGAACATTGAGGCCATCTCATACTTTACAAACTGGATTTGGAACCACTTAACAAAAGGCAATATGCAAACACATGTGAATAAGATGAAATCAGCTAAGAAGTCCAGAATCCTGGGTATGATTTTATAATAGGACAGATACACCACTCTTGGCTTTATTTTGCTTGCTGGAGGAGAAGTTCAGGGACTGGATGTCAAAGGAGAGATAGGGTGATAGAAATATAGAAGTTCATGAAGTGCCTCACCCTCCACAAGAGAGTGGGTCTGGATTTACCCACCTTCCATATCATTGAATTTCTGGAGTAGGGTTGATGTTACCATTACAACTTGTTATCACTCAGTGATTCAGGTAATGGGTGTTCTGATTGGAGGCTTGGAAATCCAGTCACTACAATCATAGGTGCTGCCTTCTTGCCACTCACATCCCAAGTAGGAATAGCCCAGGTGAGTTATGCCCCACACCCTCTCCTAGAAGCTGGGGGTTCACCCAATGTCAGAGGCCAAATCATCCTCAGATACCATCTGGTTGAACTTCCTAATTTTACAGATGCCAGTAGTCCAGTGTCACGATAATACAGTGAGTTGGTGGCTACATAGAAATAAGGATTTGGGTCCTGTGAATTTTGGTCCAGGAACTACCATTTTGCTCTTTAATAGTGTTTAAAGGACACAGAGGCATATTTTCTAAAGTCTGTATAGTGTGTGTTTGTGTGTGTGTGTGACAGTCTCACTCTTTTACCCAGGCTGGAGTGCAATGGCAAGATCTCAGCTCACTGCAACCTCTGCCTCCTGGGTTCAAGCGATTCTCATGCCTCAGCCTCCCAAGCAGGTGGGATTATAGGCACCCACCACCACCCCTGGCTAATTTTTGTATTTTTAGTAGAGATAGGGTTTCACTATGTTGGTCAGGCTGGTCTTGAACTCCTGACCTCAAGTAATCCACCGGCCTCGGCCTCCCAAAGTGCTGGGATTACAGGCATAAGCCACCGTGCCTGGCCAAAGTCTTTATAATCTTAAAAAGGAGAGAGAGGAAAGAGATAAGTGTAAGAAGGAAGGCATAGCTAATTAATTGGAGGGGGATGGTCTAAGTTCAAGCTTTGAAATGAAACATAGCTGGATCAGCCACTTAGTTGATGTGTGAACTTGGACATACACCTAAAGTTACTGAGTCTTAGCCCGCATCTTTTAAACTGAGATGGTAATAGTGCCTACTGCACAGGGTTAGGTAAGGATTAAAGAAGATAATGCACAGATCCTGGCACTGACAAAATGCTTAATAAATATTGGCTATTATTATAACTCCAGTGCAGACACCCAAGGACTTGGATAGACTGCCAAGAAATCAGTCCTGAGGGGGCCTGTCCTTCAGCCAAACTTCCTCCCTTCCAGCTCCTCTCTTCCAGCCTGGGCTGCTATGCTGCCCACATCCTCCACTCTACTCCTCCAAATAAGTGGCAATCATGACATTTTTAGTATCCAGCTTCACACACAGATCTTTCCAGCAGAGTAACAGGGTATTGACTAAAAATAAAGATGTAAAAGGACCAGGGATAAAGGGAATTGGTAAGGAAATGAGAAAAGAGAAAGGAAGGAGAGCTATGAAGAGATTCCTTCCATCTTTGATCACAGTGCTGGATCATGTATAGGGAATGTGAAGTACAATCAGTATACCATTTCTCCACGGAAGTTACACTGCTAGCAAAATGAATGCTCATCACTTTTCTCCTACCCTGCCTAAATAATTGAATACTGTGGATTACTGTGCAAGTTTCTCCATGCCCTAAAACCATGAAAACCGTGTCCTATAAAAAGCTGGTTTCAGTGGCATTCTAGTCACTGACTCTCTGCTCAGGACTGTACGAAGATAATATTTATCAAGATGACTGACTCAACAATGGTCAAATAATATTCAATATAGTTTTAATGAGAAAAACATGTGATCATATTCTGAGTCGGAAAGTCAGCACCACATCTTTAGCACATATTAACCAGAACATCTTATTTCCTGGCTGTATCAGAACAGACAACTTGCTCTCTCTTCAGTCGGAGCTGCAGTTTTCCTTTTACATCTCCATTTGTCTTCTTGTGGAATATGGGCCTGAAAGGACAACAGGGTCACTTTTTCCTAAGACAGTATATGTTTTGCAGAGTGTATCTCTGATGCTGGCACCACCCAGCAGCTGGAGACCTAGGTGCCGGGAGTCTGAAGTTCTAACGTTGCATTTCAAACCCCAAAGTTCAGTGGATCTTCATCTTAGTTGCAGAGAAGTCATTATCTTCATTTTTTTTTTTTCTGGATGCAATAGTTGCCCCCTGCCAGACATGAGAACAAACAGAATGTGTTCTGTCTTTTCCAAGATTGCTTCATCAGCATGTATTTTCCACTAAAGCTTTTCAGTATTTGACTTACACATTTATGAACACCCCCAAATGGACTGTTAGGGTTTGGTTTAATCCCCAAGAAAAGTGGCATTAAAATAGATCTTTTCCCAGCAATAATAATCTAATTTATGATAAAGTATTCTATTCTCAGTACCTTTGAGACACATGAGAGCTTTTATGTAATAAAAAAGCCATTTATTTCTGAATATTTTAATGCATGTTTCCATATTTTTCTCATTTTTAATGCAAGGGCCGTTGACAGTATTGTAAGAGAATGTCTTTTAAAAGCAACTTTACGGCAAATGTTCCAGTGAAATGGATGGCAGCGTGCATCGTTGCAGAGCTGTATTGCTGAATGGAGCAGGGCAGAGATGTTTTAATTCACATTTATGTGCATAAAAGGGTAACCTCTACAGAGAGAGACAATGTTATTCAGTAAATTGATAAGATATAGTAGACTTGGCTTCAGTTTGGGGCTCCATCCTTTGATTTGCTGTACTTACTTAGTTATTGCTGTGTCTCCTCTGCCATGTCTGAAATACAGAAGGAACACATGCTGGAGAAGGCTATGACAACTATTGGGGAAAAGAAAGTAAGTCAGAACCTTAGGTGTGAACTGGAAAGACAGGCTATTTTAAAAGGACAGAGAATCAAGGAGCAAACAGAGCGTCTTTGGACAGAAATTAGACTATCTATATACATATATACGTGTGTGTGTGTGTGTGTGTGTAGTGTGTGTGTGTGTGTGTGTGTGTATATATATATACACACTCACTGCAGCCTGGACCTCCCAGGCTCTAGCAATCCTCCTGCCTCCTGCTCCCAAGTAGCTGGGACTACAAGTGTGCTCCACCTCTTAGAGACAGGGTCTCACTATGTTGCCCAGGCTGATCGGGAACTCCTGAGCTCAAGCAATCCTCCCACGCTGGCCCCTCAAAGTGCTGGGACTACAGGTGTGAGCCACTGGGCCCAGCCTATTTTGATTTTTTAAGCTTTCATTTCCAGAGCTGTTCATTTGGATGGATGCCCACCATCTAAAAAGCTACTAGGATAATGGTTGTTGACTGGGAAGGTAGAAGCAGGGTCTGGAAGTGGGAACAGTGTCTGAATCAAAATACACACATCCCTGGTTCTGTGATTTTAAAGCCATCTTGAGAAATCTCAGAAGTGTAATTCTGATACTCTCCCTGATCAAGAGCCACTGCAGTAGTATGAGTATGAGATTTAACCTCAATCATATGTGCTTACAAGAGATACGAAAATGCATATTTGACATGAACAGAACCACACTTCTGAGATAAGAAGCCAACTTTTCACGGATGTCTTACTGATGCTTTTTGATAAAATGCTCCGTGCTTTTTTTTTTTTTTTGAGATGGGGTCTCACTCTGTTGCCAAGGCTGGAGAGCAGTGGCACAATCATGGTTCACTGCAGCCTCAACTTCCCTGGACTCAGGTGATCCTCCCGCCTCAGTCTCCCAAGTAGCTGGGACTACAGGCACACACCACCACACCCAAATAATATTTGTATTTTTTGTAGAGACAGAGTCTCGCCATGTTGCTTGGGCTGGTCTCAAACTCCTGGGCTCAAGTGATCTGCCTGCCTTGGCCTCCCAAAGTCCTAGGATTATAGGCATGAGCTACTGCACCCAGCCACTCTGTGGTTTTAATGGACATTGATAACAGCCCTCTGTAAGACAAAATCATGATCCAAAGTCAGACACTGGATACCTCATAAAAGGGCTGGGTGAAGAGTCTGCAGAGCAGGGATCTCGTTTTAGTTCTGGACAGATGAGCTATTCTGGCCTTGTGGATGTTGCCTAAGCCACTCTAAATATGGTATCTAGGTCTCTCAGCTTCCCTCAAGCAGATAGAAAAGGGTGAACAAAAATATCAAGAGAAGAGGGAAAGGATAAGTTAGTATCGGGATGATGTAGGGAGAATAAAAGCTAGAAGGAAGTAGTAACACTGGCATTGCCGCCTGCTCAGGGCCAGGCACTGTGTTGAGTACTCACACCATTAGAATGGAGACTTCTAACAGGGAATACAATGGAGATAAAGGAAAGAAGACTTGGAGAAAAGCCAGAATTAAAAGGGAATCCATTTTACACTTTCTAACCTCAAGATTTCAAAAACTAAAAACTGAACAGGTGTTTTATGACTAGTGAAAGCTAGTACTCACTGTGCCCTTAACTGTACTGTGTTTTACATGCATCAGCTCACTGGATCCTATGAAAAGCCATATTAGGCAGGCATTATTATTATACTGTGGTGCTGACATAGAAACCAAGCCTTGGAGAGTTTAGATAACCTGCTAAATGTTCACTCCTGTTGGGTGATGGTGCTGGGACTTGAAGCTGAGGAGTTCAGGTCTGTTGTGTGGACTCTGCTCTGCTAGTAGCTGAAGGTTACTGGTGTGGACTCTGCTACTGGGCTGCTCAAAATGCTTCAAGGGTTCTGATCTTAGAAAGTCTCTTGGAGGTTTGGGGAGAAGATAAGAGGTTGGGCTGGCTCCCAACCAAAAGCCTTGGAGACACTTTCAAGATAGTCTGGGAGCTGGGACCACAAACAAGGTAGATGAAAACAGGTAGCTGGGGGCTGAGGATGCACAGCTGGGTGACGGGGTAAGAAATCCTGCTACATTATAGCTACTGGGAGCATGGCCTTGGGAGGTCGACTTCCTGGGTTTGAATCTCACCTTAACCACTTCCTAATGGTGAATTCATGGACACAGATATGAAATGGGCTAATACTAGTAGCTGCCTCAAAGGGCTGTGCGAATTAAATGAGATATATAGAAAGTGCTTAGTAAGTATACATAGTGAGCCCAGCAATAAATATTTGCTGTTATTTCAGTAAACGAGTTTTTGGATGAAGCTCTCAAGTCTTTCTGTCACCCTCATTGCTGCCTGCTTCCTACAAGTATGGTGAATTGGCATGTTTGGAGTGTGTGATATGTGGACCCACTCGTGAGCAAGCCAGCTTTGCCCTGTGGGAGAAGGAATACATGTCAAAGGAATAATGCTGGCCGGGCATGGTGGCTCACGCCTGTAATCCCAGCACTTTGGAAGGCCAAGGTGGGCGGATCACAAGGTCAGGAGATCGAGACCATCCTGGCTAACACGGTGAAACCCCGTCTCTACTAAAAAAAAAAATACAAAAAATTAGCTGGGTGTGGCGGCGGGCACCTGTAATCCCAGCTACTCGGGAGGCTGAGGCAGGAGAATGGCGTGAACCCAGGAGGCAGAGCTTGCAGTGAGCCAAGACTGTGCCACTGCACTCCAGCCTGAGCAACAGAGAGAGACTCCATCTCAAAAAAAAAAAAAAAGGAATAATGCTATGACTTGTGACTTCTTCCTTGGGACGTGAGGGGGTGTTGAGATAATTCACAGCTACTAAGCATCTCCTGAATGCTTGCCAACACAAAATGTTGGGGTCAGCTTGACCTCCCTTTGCCCATGGTGAAGAAAGAGCACCTTTCTTGAGAGGAGGACTCTCCCCCAGGACACCACCCTGTGGGCATGGCATGAATGGTCTGGTATGGCAGGATGGACCAGCAGTGTACCTAAGAATGCCTGTCCCAGGTGGGCTGGCTGGAACAGTACAAAGGGTAGAGGCAGGATTGGAGAGCCTCTGCTCATCATGGCCAAAGAGTGGGCTGTCCGCTGCAGGTCGCAGAGGAAGAGCACAGGGAGCTTCTTTGGCCTCCTAAATAGAAACTGCTTCTACTTGCAATTAATTCATCCTCACTGCTCAGTCTTTGGAATGGACGTTTAGAAGCCAGAGATACTTGAGGGTGATTTTCCCAGACTTGGTGCATCTCCTAGGAGGTGATCCTGGTTGGAGGTCAGGCCAAAACGACTACTGGGAAGTGAATTCTATCATGACCAGTGGGAGCCAAGGAAGCACTTCAGAATGAGAGCACTCTGTTGTTTTGTGGCATGAGGGAACAGTCAAGTAGGGTTGATTTGGGGCTGGAATTAAAGAGAAAGGAGGTTTGGGACCAGACCTTGTAAGATGGTCTCCCTTTTTTCCTGTTTCTCAATCATAGATTACATGTTACAAACAGCCTGGACTCTGAGACTTGGAGCAGAGAAAAGCAGGTCCCTGGATATTCCTGGCAAGAATTATAATAACTCACAGAGGAAGAGATTTTGTATCACAACAGGGAGTCTCAAATTAGTCAAAGACTTGGAATGGTTTTCTGATAAATGAAATGTAATCAATTATGGTGACTTCTTTTGGGAATTTTATTGACTTCTTCCTTCCTCCTTGTTTACTTTGGATTGCCACTTGGGTCAAGTGTGAAGTTGTTGATCTTACCCCATCAGCCTGGAATATGTGTGAGCACATCCATGGCCATGACACAGAACACAAATGGCCTGATATAAAATGTGGTGCTAAGTATACCAAATAGCCAAAGAGGTACAAACTGACAGTCATCTTGAGCTAATAGGAAGTGATATTTTATTTTTTATTTTATTTTATTTTATTTTTTATTTTATTTATTTTTTTTTGGAAGTGATATTTTAAGTGACGGTTTGAAAAAGAATATGGCAGCACTAAATGTTGAAGCAACCACAACTCTCCTTTATGGCTGGTGGGAATGTAAATAAATGAGAGCACTTTAGAAAACTGTTTGGCCATTTCTCCTAAGGTTGAACATGTGAATGCCTTATGTTCCAGCAATTCCAGTCCTATGGCGTGTATCTGACAGAAATATATACACGTGCACAAGAGAGATGTACAAGAATGTTCATAGCTACACTATTCAAAAAAGCCAGTATATAGACACCTGTTTTGCACAGCTTCAAAATCATCCTGTCCTGATTTTTGCAGGCGTTTGTTTCTTGCAAGTGTAGTCAGTGATGCCTTGCCTGGGGCCTGCACCATACTGATTTCCTGCAGTGCAGCTTCTTTGACTTGGGATTTTCCAGGGCAACTCATGTATGTGCAATCTAGAACAAGAGAATTTTGCTGGTGGCATCATCCTTGACCAATGGGGGGCAGGAGCAGATGGACAATGGACAAATGTTTCCATTGTCCATGTTTCCATGGTAACATGGCTGGTGGTAACATGGCTGGTGTAAATGATCCTATGGCTGATTTCAAGCTACCATTTAACACGTGGCCCACAGCATTTCTGAATACTTTATCATTGGCTCTTGTGAGCCAGTATGATCTGGCTCAGCACACCACCTGCTCTAACCAATAGCTGCCATGTGAGAAAGTGGTTCCAGTGTGTCCTCATCTTGGATTTTTTTTCAAGGGGAGCCAGAAATCTGGATTTGCATGTGAAAACTCCTGATTTTTAAATTGTATCAGCTAGTTCAAATTTTTCAAAATCACTTGACAAACCAAGAAAAAAAAAACCCAACTACATCTGCAAACTAGATTTAGCCTATAAAATGCCAGTTGTTTTTTTTTTTTTTACCTTTGATGTACAGACTAAACCTTTTGAAGAGGGTCTGTCAGCCTCAGTGACGAAGCACAGTTTTTTGCGTAGACAGAGTTCAGGACTTAATCTGCATGGCCATATGGTGTGATGAACTCAGTCTTAACTGGGGATTGAGTGACTTGGGTTCTAGTTTCAGTTTTCTATGAAAATTACTTTACTTACCTGGGCCTCAGTTTCCCCATATGCATTAAGATACCTTCTGAAGAAGTTCTTCTCATATCAGAACACCTAGGATTGTATATTGAGCATAAAAGTACGTTAGGTGCTTCTTTGGGACTAGACAAACTCCTCAGCGGGGCAGGGAGAATTGAGGGATGCTGGTTGTGGGACAGAGATTCCAGGCTTGTAGGCTGCAGCTGTCTCTCCTTCCACTCCCTTCACTCATAAAAGAGAAGCTGTGGCTTTCCCCAAGCCATCGTTCTAACAATATCCATTTGCCTGCTGGGGAAGTCCAGGCCTGATGCTTTGCGGTCCTCAGGCTTCTTGAGAAAAAGTCCACTTTCTTAAAATAAAGCATGATGTGGCAGGGAGACTTCAGCCCTGGCGTTTGTTACCCTGGGCTTATGATGTGGCTCTGCCACTTCTTAACTAGGAACTTCATCTTCACTTTTGTCATAGGACTTCCTGCCTCATGGGAATTGTGACAAGAAGCATCCACTGTTTCAAGTGTCTAACATGGCCTCTGGCATATAGTGTGAAATGAACACTAATTACTACCATCCTTGTGATTTATTAAGGCATTCACCTGTTGAGAAGTGCTGGGTAGCCAGCAGCCCAAATATTCATTAAAATTTGATCTTATGTCTCCTTGTGTTTAATTTGGTTTAGTTTACTCTGTTATTTTAGAGATTCTGCCAGCATTAATATTTCTGCAAGATCCAGACAGGTCTGGACACAGAAATTTTGATCTAATCCAAATTTGTGGGCTCAGGAATGCTTCTAGCGAGAGATGCTACTATATATTCTGCTGAAGAAGATTCACATACCAGGAAGAAGAAGATTTCAACTTTGATTATTTGAAGAGGCAACGAAGTAGTCTAATCTGTGCTATTAATTTGTTTAAAGATAACATGTGCAAGTTCCCTAAAGACAGCATAAGTAACTATATATTAGAGTCTGAGACAAAGGGAAAAAGTCAGTAATACTGATCTTGTCTTTATTTAAAATTTTGATATTTTGTTCATTCATCATGGATTTTTGCATTAATTTTGATTTATAAAATGTTGCATTTAACTCGTTTTTTTTTCTTTTTTCTTTTTTCTTTTTTTTTTTTGAGACAGAGTCTCACTCTATCCCCTAGGCTGGAGTGCAGTGGTGCAATCTTGGCTCACTGCAACCTCCGCTTCCTGGGTTCAAGTGATTCTCATGCTTCAGCCTTCTGAGTAGCTGAGATTACAGACATGCACCCACCATGCATAGCTGATTTTTGTATTTTTAGTAGAGACGGGGTTTCCCATGTTGGCTGGGCGGGTCTTGAACTCCTGACCTCAGGTGATCCGCCCGCCTCGGCCTCCCAAAGTGCTGGGATTACAGGCGTGAGCCACCACATCCGGCCCCTAATTCTCATTTTAATCTTAATGTGCTAAGCAGCTTGATATATGACTAGGCTTCTCTGGGATTGTGTTTCTTTGATTTTAAAATAAAATATAAGTACATTTATACTTTTTGCAAAAGCATTTTTGAATACCTAAATCCTTTCTAAAATTATTACATGAAAATTTCATTTTAATTACTGAAGTTTGGGTGTTTTTTGTTTTGTTTTGTTTTGTTTTTGCATCGCCTATAAGTACAAAGACAATTAGTAAGAGTTTTTGGTTGCAAACAACAGAATTCACTGTAGCTACTTCAATTGTAGTCACTGAACTGTATTGGTTTTTACACAGAGTTGGACAATCAGGCTTGGAGGCTACTGAGCTGGGTAGAATACCTCAATTATTGCTCCAGGAGAGTCTCTGCTGTTACAGCACAGCAGGGGAACTACCACTGGAACCACCACAACCTTTGTCTCTGCAAACTAAGTGTCTCTCTGTCACCCTCATCAGAATTCCTCCACTCCGCACTCTTTCTTCCACAAGGCTCTCCTACAATCAAAGTCTGGCATGGTCTATCTGAGGAGGCCAGGGCCATGCTTGTGTCCAGCTATAGACAACTTAGGAAAGTGAGTTTCTGGTTTCTTCCTGGAGAAGTGGGATTCATAAATCTGGAAATCTTCAAACCAGGGAAGGGTACTGAGAAAGTGCTGGCAGCTGGATGACTAGGGTTCATATGAGTACATTTTTTTCTGGATAACTTTGCAGGGTCCCACATATAATTGTGCAAGTGGTACAATATATACAGGCCCCATTGTAGTGGGGTGGTTTCTGCCAGCTCAGGCAGCATCATGGGCATGTGTGCAAATATGAGGACAAGGGACTAAATGTACACGTGGAGAATCATTCTCCTCTTCCCTGAAATCACATTCATACTTCAAGCCACCCCTTTCCCCTGCCCCTCCTGGGAGAAAGTTGGAAGCAAAAGTGTTTGTGAAGATTCAGGCTGAGATACTTACTTCTGGTGTCCCCATCGCTCACTTGAACCCATAGATATCCCCCATTTCCTTACCGTAATCTGCTAATAACATGACTGTCCTGCCCCACGGGATGCTCTCTGGTCTCATTAAGTCTGAAAATGCTTGGGAAATGCATCTGCCAAGGACTACAGCCAACTGTCATTATTATCATCTGCTTACAGACACTCTCCCAGGCAGCAAAATATTTTCAAGCTCTAAAATCCCGGCCCTAGCCCGTCCCTTTATTTTCATCTTACCTAGCCTGCGTAGATTATCTGAAGGACACACAGACTCAAAATCAATGTCCCATCTGTCTCTTGTTTACAGCTTATCAGGTGTTGTGAAATGAAACAGTGAAATCCCTGGGAGCATTTCCTCTTCTGAACTGATTTAACTTTAGCTCTCTGAAGCTTTCTCCTCCTTTGGCTTCTGAGAATGGTGTGCTGGTCTGAGAAGCAAGAACTTTTCATTGGCATAGCTATTAATAGTGACTAATATGGACTTCTTGTGCCTTGCTCCAGTTTGAAATTTATAAGGATGGCTGCCTCATTGCGTGTGTGTGTGTGTGTGTGTCTGTGTGTGTGTGTTTGTGTGTAATTGCTTTGCTCCTTCTTTTGCATGTGAGTAGATCAATCTTAAGGATCAGGACTCATCTCTGTCTCCCCACAACAATGCCTCCAAAAGGGGGGGGGTTCATGACTGTTTCAAAAATAACTTATATTTTTTATGCATGAATCTTCTTTGCTCCTTCCTTCCTTCCTTCCTTCCTTCCTTCCTTCCTTCCTTCTTTCCTTCCTTCCTTTCTCTTCCCTCTCTCCAATCTGTTTCCTCTTTGTCTCCCTTTGCCTCATCCATGCCCCATTCTTTCTCTCCCAACTCCAGGATTGTGTGACTTTTTTCTCTGACCTTTTATCCTCACTGCTTCTTTGGCTATGATTTGAATCTGGGTCACTAGAATAAGCGTGTCCTTCCTTTCTCTGTAGACTATACAGGTTGACTGCTTTGTAGATTTTGGCATTTTGTAGGACATCATATGAATGCAATTTTTCTGGATAACTTAGCAGGGGCCCACATATAGTTGTGCAAATTGTACACTGCACACAGACCTCTACCGAGTGAGCGAATGGGGCAAAACTCTAACCCATGCTACTGTCCCCAAGCTGTGTATCCTGGGAAAGTGCTACATCCACTGAAGGAAAAGTCATGCTTTTGTAATTTGGTGACTAATGCTCAGTCCTAGCAACCAATTATGCACACACAAATAGGCACTGCATAATTGTTTACTACACCACATTCCCTCCAGTCATCTGAATTTACATACTCTCAAAACTCACATGGCTTCCAGCAGTGCACATCCCCACATTCCCTTCCAAGGCAAGTTGGTGTTTGAAAATCACACTGCCATGATTTCACCCCATCACATTTCATCCTATGTGAGTTGGTTTTTCTACAGAAACGATGTGACAAGCAGTGATTATATCCTAAGGGTGACATCACAATCACCTATTTAAGCTATTATACTGTTGAAAATTGTTTATTGCAAAGGAAAGAAATAAGAAAACCCTATTTTTCTATATTACTATTTAAACAATCATAAAAACAATAATCCTAAGTAAGATGTTATTTTGGAAAGATTACATAATTTGAAAGAGGCTGGCCTTCGAAAGAATAGCAGGATTATTAGGAGAGCAGAAGGAGGCAATCGAAACCTCTGTGGGGATGCTGATATACGCTATAGAAGTAAGATTCTGAAAAACTTCAGAGGATGCCAACTAGGTTCTTTGTTTAATCTAATTTCATTGCAAACCCCAGGGTAGTTAAATCTCTAAAATTATTCCTAGGTTCATTAGGCTTAATACAGCTTATTTCTTGGATCACAAAAGGGACCAAGAAAGGAGAGGAAATAACATTTTTTGAATGAGGTAAATAGGCAAGAGTTAGAAGAAACTAAGAAGATAATTGAAATGCATGTCTCACCATGCGTGAGAAGGAAATTAGCTAGCATGGAAATAGCTGAAGTTGAAGCAGTGAGTGTACATGCTCGTCATGAAGTTAGTGGAGCATATTAGTCCTTCTCACACTGCTATCAAGAACTACCTGAGACTGGATAATTTATGAAGAAAAGAGGTTTAGTTGACTCACAGTTCCACAGGCTGTACAAGAGACATGGCTGGGGAGGCCTCGGGAAACTTACAATCATGGTGGAAGGTGAAGGAGAAGCAAGCACCTTCTTCACATGGCAAAGAAGGAGAGAGAGAGCAAGTAAATGAGGAAGTGCTACACACTTTCAAACAACAAGATCTCGTGAGAGCTCACTCACTATCATGAGAGCAGCAAGGGGGAAATCCACCTCCATGATCCAATAACCTCCCACCAGGTCCCTCCCCCAACACTGGGGACTACATTCAACATGAGATTTGGGTGTTAACACAGAGCTAAACCATATCACAGAGGAGACCATGTAAGGCCCTGGAGAACATGTGGGGCTGGGAAGGGCATAGGTGTAATGTGCTGGGACTGATGTTCCTGAAAGGACCATGCTGGCTGCTGTGTTTGTCAGGGATCAAGGTGGAATGTAAGCAATGAACTTGGTTGTAGCAGAATCCAGAATATGAACTGGGTTATATTCTGTATAAATTTTAAAGGTAGAACCATCAACATTAGCTGATGGTTAGTGGTACCTTTGACCCAATGGATTGCTTAACTACAGAGGAGTAGAAGGGAAAGTAAGGAGGAAGCTCTCTGGCTGGGGTTCATGGAAAATGCTGAGGACTAGAGTTCTTTGCTCAGGGCTCTGTCTCCCTGTCTTGACATAACTGCAGCAGTGTGGGCAGAACGGAGTGGTTGGGCTCTGAACTAGACTTATCCACTCGTCTCTCTTGTCTTTCATTCACAAGTACTTAGTGAGGGCCTACTATGTACCAGGCACAATGCTGAATTCTGGGAAGAGAGACAGCTAGTGAACAGGTTCCTCACCCACGGAACTCACAATCTAACCAGAGTCATGCACCCAAAATGACATTTTGGTCAATGACAGATCACTTATACAGTGGTGGCCCCATAAGATTACAATACTGTATTTGGACTGTACCTTTTCTATGTTTAGACATGTTTATATACATGCAAATATTTATATTGTGTTACAGTTGCCTACGGTATTCAGTACAGTAACCTGCTGCACAGGTTTGCAGCCTGGGAGCAAGAGGCTACCCTATATAGCCTGGGTGTGTAGTAGGCTATACCATCTAGGTTTGTGTAAGTGCACTCTATGATGTTCACACAATGTCAAAATAGCCTAAGGACAAATTTCTCAGGGCATATATCCATCATTAAGTGATGCACACCGTATACTGGATTGCTTTATGGATGCAAGTAGGATTTCCCCACGTGCCCTATACCTTTTTACTTCCATTCAATTCTTCTCATGTTATTTCCACCTATTAAAATGTTTTCCTTTCCCTGAGGCCTGTTTTCACCTGTCAAAGTCCTCTCCAGTTCAACTCCCAAGCTGTCTTCTTCATGAAGCCTCCTTCATTTTCTACCGTCCATTTTCAAAGCCCTTTATGGCTACCTTCCCTAGAATGCTCATTGCACTAGAAAGTGCCTTTTCTGTAACTGACTTTCCTCTCTTAAAAGAATCTTGCAACTTATCTTCACCTGGGCTGTAGCTCCTAGCACATAGTAGATAATCAGAAATGACAAAAGAAAGCATGAATGTATTTTCCCAAGAGACAGAATGCAAAGTTAGAAGTGTAGAAGGCCAAGAACTTAGGCAGTATGATAGAGGTGGGGAAAAAGATAATTCAGAGAAAAAGAGAAGGTAGTCACAGAAAGGTCAGATGCAGGAAGAAACCATATTAAGGAAGGGAGGGGCAACGAATTAGCAGAGAGGTCACTAAGGGGTCTCTCTGCAAGGATGGGGTCACTGGATATCTCAGATAGGGTTTTTCTATTAGGATGGTGGAACAGAGGCCAATTTGTAAGAGGGTAACAAATGGATGCAGTGATTGTGGCCAGGTCCAAATTAGCTGTCATTTTCTCTATATTACTACTTATCTGTAGAAGTTGTTAATTAGTCATCCAAAGCATCTTTGTTTCTCAGAGTAAAGTGCAGAAAACAGAAACAATTAGGTATTTCAAGCAGGAGGGGCTGTGGGGGCAGAAGTCAGGAAGCTGCTGATCAAGTGTAGGTTTCAAGGCCAAACCGTGGGTAGCATCCAGAGAACAGGCTGCTGCTGCTTTCACAATTACCAGGGCTGCTGCCTCAACCACCTCATCCCTTGAAGCAGAAGCTGGAGGTCAGCTGTCGAAACACCCGCATCTGTTGGCGCTCACTCATCAGCTGCTATAGCCATGGAGAATGGCCTCTGCCTCCTGTCTGCCTCCCATATCTCTGGCAAGGGCAGCTCTCTGGCTAAACCAAGCTTTCCTGTAGAGCTTGAGTTCCAAGGCAGCGTTGGAAGGCTTTCAGCTTTCCAACCGTTCCAGATAGAAAGGGGATAAAATGGAGGTTGGGGGCGCTCCTCCAAATGTGTGCCATGGCCTCCCACATGGCTGGCAGGTGTGAGGGCCTCTGCCTTGTTACTGTCCCTCTGGGTGGAGGCTGGGTGGGCCGGGGCAGGTGCTGCGACACAAATGGACTTCACCAGGAAGCCTTTCCTGTCTCTCTCCTCCGACTGCAAAATGTTGTTCTCCAGCTCCCTCCTTTGCAATTTCATAGCTCTTTTCTTAATTATACTATGTATTACATCAGCCTGAGTTTTTTGTTAATTAGATATATGTTGTTGCTCTTCTCCCCCGATGACTCATTTCTCAAAATGTATAGACTCAAAATAGAGTTTAGTCACAGAAAGTGTTGTATTATCATTATTGTTATTGTCTCCATTTATCTCTTTCCTAAATCCTAGCCATTCTGTGAGTGCTTGATCTCTGCTTGTTACATTAAGTGGATCCTCAATGCTCCATCTTAATAGGTGGTAATTCCTCCTAAGGACCCCTCCCCCTACCACCCCAATTGTCTTAGTCCGTTCAGGCTGCTATCACAAAATACCATAGACGGGGTAGCTTATAAAAAACAGAGATTTATTTTTCACAGTTCTGGAGGCTGGAGGTCCACGATTAGGGTGCCAGCATGGTCAGGATATGGTGAGGACTCACTTCTAGATTGCAGACTGACATCTTCTCACTGCCTCCTCACATGGCAGAAAGAGGATGAGAGATTTCTTTGGGGGCTCTTTCATAAAGGCACTAATCCCATCCCTGAGGGCTCTGCCCTCATGACTTCATTAGCTCCCAAACCCCACCTCCTAATAGCATCACACTGGGGGTTAGGATTTCAGCATATCAATTTTGGGGGGACACAGTCTGTTGCACCAATACACACATACATAACACCCTCACCCACACACACACACACACACACACACACGGTGACTTCCCTGGTATCATGCCTCCTACCCCCAGGTACATGGTTTTGGGAAAATAAAAGGGATCACCCCTTTACAAAAAATGTGGGGACATCTGTTGTAATAAAATAATATGTTTAATTTTCCTTGGGTGGCCAGAGAGTTCTCAGTCCACACTGACTCCAAGGAGTGACTAACTCTAAGTCAGCAGTGGGGGTTGGCTCACTGAGTAGGATTTGCACCCCCTGCTGCTGTTGCCTTACTCTGTGTTTTGGGGAATGCTGCTGAAGATGAATGAGAGATTTATTGAGATCAACCTCCACTCCCTTGTACCATGCAAGACCTGGATTTGGTTGCCAGTATTTCCTAAATGAGTTTATGGCAGAGTTGCTGTAACACATTTTTATCAAACTGAATATTTTATACTGAAACCTATGTGAATACCATTAATATTATACTGTATCATACTCTGAAGGTTCAGTCTAATGACACAAGCATCTTTTTTTTTAAACCTCATGAATGACGGACTAGGTCAGGCTTCCACATGGTGAGGAGGCAAAGAGAGACGCCACTTGGGAACAGGATTGGCTTTTCTATTGGGTAGTTCTCTGTGATAATGGGTTTTGGTGACAGGATTTTGCACAGCTGCCCTTACTAAGGAATCAGATGAGGTTTTGCTCACTTAAAGTGCCTCAAAGGTATTTTCTTAGTATAATAGGATACAATAATAATAACTGAACAGCTGAATTTGGAGGTAAAGTCAAGACAATATGATTATCATCTTTCTGTCTAAGGCATCTGATTTGCTGGCGTTTACGTTTATCGCCAGCTGGAGGTGGGCATCTACCGTTTTTGAGGGCTCTTGACATCTCCTCCTCCTTCAAATAAGAATCAACAAATCTAGTCCGAAGGGGACACTATGGGTCAGGGCTGTGTTATGTACAGGGTTTTGCCCTTGGGAAGGAGATTGTCTCCCTGAGCAGGGAAGGAAGCCCCATAGCTTCACCGACAGCAGGCAGTAGTAAGGACCAGTTAGGTCCCTGGGATTCCCCAGCCAGGCAGCCCACTTTCTTTACTTTTTTTCTTTTCTTTGGCAAGACCCCTCTATTTGTCCTCTCAGTACAATGCAAATACCCGAGAGAGAGTCACATGGCCTCTCCAACTATTCTTGTTTCCGCCTGAGTTTGGAAGTTCCTCCAGGGCCTTTCTGTAGCAGGCATTCATCCCCTTGGCTGAAAAGGAGTTCCCTGGGAGCTGTGTGGGATCAGCGCCAGGGACACTAAGGAGTATATAAGACGAACAGGGGGTCTTTTCTTTGAGAACACAGTCCCATGGCAACCCGCCGGGAGGTCCCTGCTCAGAGCCAGCCTGCCTGGCAGAACTCATTTACTTAGCATTGCCTTGAATTATTCATCAGCTCTTGCAGAGGAACAAAATGCAGAGTCATTTTGTCTCCTCCAGAACTGGCTGTCCTACTCTTTGACCTCAGGAAATCTGAAAATTCACCGTGAGCATCCTGAACTCTCCAGCGCACTTTGGACAGGGACAGGAAAGGGTCTTATCATCTTCCCCTTCGATGTAAGGATGAGTCCTGCTGAGCGGGTGTCTCTGGCTACTGGGGCCTTTGGGCTGTGCCTTGTTCCTCTTCTCGCTGTTCATTAGGACAGGCTGTATCTCAGGCCTCCCACTGGATGGCCCTAATATCTTGACAGGTACTGGAGGTTGGAACACATTCCCCTTCTTGACCCTGGGGCCATGCTTAGCCTCCCAGGCTTCCCTTCCTACAAGCTCCACACTCCTAGGCCCGGGCAACCCTTCTTCACATAAGAACATACATGGGAAACACAGAAGGGACCTTCTCCCCATTGCCCCTGAACTTAAGCCTGCAACAACCCCACCACCTTTACTTTCAGTCCAAGCCCTTGAATTCTACTTCTCCAAGGAAATGTGATCCACCAGGCAAAAGCTCTGATTTCCTCCCTCTGCCACTAAACTTACCCACTGATACCCACTGTCTTCATACTTTTCTCTGTCTCCCTTTTTGACTGAAAGAAATATTTTCTCTTAAAACATTGCTGTCTCTAGCTATGCCCTGGAACATCTCCCTTTGCCCGAAAACCCTGCTCCTTCACTCATGCCCTGCTCGCTTCTGTTCAATCCTCTTCCAGAGAGGCAATGTGGCATGCTAATTAGGGCGCTGGTGGCCTGAGAGTGAGTGCTAGTGCTGCCACCTGCCAGATGTGTGACCTGGGGCAGTTGCAGAGTGCCTTCAGCAATGTAGTAGATATTAGTAACTTCTGGTGATCAGAGGTAGAGCAGTCCTTGACAACCTCTAACAAGCCTATGTTACCATGACAGCAAGTCTGAGGTCAAATTCAGATAAAAGTACAAATATTTATTGGCAAGCAGGCACCAAACTACCACAAATCTGTTATTGCAAGCTTGGTTTCTGCTTGCTGTGTCCTCAAGCACTCTGACAAGCACCTTGCACATAGATGGAACAATACTCTGACAGCAGGACCAGTGTATTAGTCTATTTTCACACTGCTGTAAAAAACTACCCGAGACTGGGTAACTTATAAATAAAAGAGGTTTAGTTGACTCACAGTTCCGAATGGCTGGGGATGCCTCAGGAAACACAATCATGGCGGAAGGCAAAGGGGAAGCAAGGCAATTAAGTCTTACATGGCGGCGAGAGAGAGAGAGAGAGAGAGTGAAAAGGAAAGTGCCTTGCTTTTAAACCTTCAGATCTCATGAGAACTGTATTATGAGAACAGCAAGGGGAAGGCCACCCCCATGATCTAATGACTTCCCACCAGGCTTCTCCTCTGACACGTGGGGATTACAATTGGAAATAAGATTTGGATGGAGACACAGAGCCAAACCATATCAACCAGCAGGCAAGACTGGGGAGAAGGGGCCTGGGGGACATAGCCACCTTTGGGGTATAGGTTTCTGATTAGTAGACTTCGAATGTTAACTACCTACCCCAAGGGCTAAGTTATATATACAAATGTCGCACTGAAGTTTACGTTGAATTTATTTATTTATTTATTTTGAGATGGAGTCTTGCTCTGTCACCCAGGCTGCAGTGCAGTGGCATGATCTGGCTCACTGCAACCTCTGCCTCCCAGGTTCAAGTGATTCTCCTGCCTCAGCCTCCCAAGTAGCTGGGATTACAGGTGCCCAGCACCACGCCTGGCTAATTTTTGTGTTTTTGGTAGAGATGGTGATTCACCATGTTGGCCTGTCTAGTCTTGAACTCCTGACCTTAGGTGATCCACCCGCCTCGGCCTCCCAAAGTGCTGGGATTACAGGCGTGCACCACCATGCCCGGCCTACATTGAAATATTTTAAAGTAAATTACCATACAAACAGTATAGCAGTAAATGACTTAACCTTTCTGTGCCTCAGTTTCTTCATTCTGTAAAATGGCAATAATAATGGTGTCTACCCTACGGCAATGTTAGGAGGATTAAATGAGTTGGTTAATACATATAAAACATTTGAAACTGAGCTTGGCACATAGTAATTACACACTCAGTACCTTCGTTGTTATTTTCTTTCTCTAACTCACTTATTCCCAGCAACCCACAGAATTCTTCCTTAGACCTCACGTATCTTTACATCCTCTTTGCTGCCAAATTTCTTCAAAGCCTAAGCTTTACTCTATGCCTCTATTCAATCAATTCGACACCAATTTTCCACTTGATTGTACATTTTTATCATAATACCTTATTTAATTCACCAAACATTGCTAAGTTAACAAATATACTGGGCATCCTGTGCTAGGTGCTGAGAAGGACTTCAAGAGATGTATTTAGTGAATGTAACTCTTTAAGGAGCTTATGGTAGAGTTAGAGAAAAGAATGCACAACTGAATTCCTTGAAGACCGGGGCCTCGACTTAAAATGTGATTATAGGGAGTGGAGTGGAAGGGGTCAAAATGTAAATATAAAGTACAAGTAGGACTGTTTATTTCTCACATATGGAAAAGACTCACTACGCTTAGCACAACAGACACCACATGTTAACATTCCTAAGAGTTATGAAGTTCTAAAAATAGGGGGAATAGAAGAATACAGGCTTTCCTCAATTCAAGGGTGTTTTATGTTTGACATAAGATACTTTCACATATCTTAGGACCCAAAGAAAGGCAAAATCTAATTAAATGACCATTTTGAGCAGAAGTTGAAATTTTGCTTGAGCAGCAAAAGAATGAGTTATTGTCACCTGAACATAAAGGCCATGGCTGAGGGGCACCACTTTTGAGTGTTCTCAAGATTGAGGCAGCAAGTAAGAATCTAATAAAGATCTAGGCCAATATCTTTGATTGCTGTGCAACTTCCAACAAGCGGAGAAAGCAATGCAAAAAAAAAAGTGATGCCCAGAAATTGACAGATTGACCCAGATTATTCCCCAGCTAAGTCTTATTTCAGAAAGAGGTAGAATTGGATATAGAAATGTTTAAGAATATCAACTCAACAGTATTACTACTTTTGCGTTAGGAATCTGTGCACATTTGGTATTTTAGGCATGTGAGTTATAAATAGGTCAGTCTTGACATTTCAATTAAAATGTTAATTAACTAATTTAGAGTTTTAATTTTAAGTGAAAATATTACTAAGTTTTACCTAATATTGAAAAGTAAAAAAATAAAATAAATAAATAAAAATAAATAAAATAAAAAAGCAAAAAACTAAAAACTTAAGCTTAACCATACTTACAAGGTTGTGACTTATTAACTTTTAAGAGGTTATTTCAGTAATCAGGATAATCAGATAATTTTGTTAAATCAGGCAATTGAATTCCTTAAAAAGGAAATAAAATATATTAAATTTGTACATGCAGCTTAAAATGTTTAAAGGCGTTTAACTGAATTTATAAGTGATACAAAATATTAATTTAAGGACTTCAAATGTAATTTTAAAATTTGCTAGGCTTGCAGATCTTGTTCTATTTATAGGTAGAACTTAAAACCTCACAATTAGGAGCTTGAGTTTCACATGTGTAATTTGATAAATTGAATCTTTTTCTAAAAAAAAAAAAAAAAGGCCGGGCACGGTGGCTCACGCCTGTAATCCCAGCACTTTGGGAGCCCAAGGCAGGTGGATCACGAGGTCAGGAGATCGAGACCATCCTGGCTAACACGGTGAAACCCCGTCTCTACTAAAAATACAAAAAATTAGCCGAACGTCATGGCGGGCGCCTGTAGTCCCAGCTGCTCGGGAGGCTGAGGCAGGAGAATGGTGTGAACCCGGGAGGCGGAGCTTGCAGTGAGCTGAGATCGCGCCACTGCACTCCAGCCTGGGAGACAGAGAAGACTCCGTCTCAAAAAAAATAAAAATAAAAATAAATATAAATAAAAATAAATAAATAAAAACATGGTCTCATTCTGTGGCCCAGGCTGGAGTGCAGTGGTGTATTCACGGCTCACTACAGCCTTCACCTCCTGGGCTCAAGTGATCCTCCCATCTCAACCTCCTGAGTAGCTCGGACTACAAGTGAGTGCCACTTTGCCCAGCTAATATTTGCATTTTTTGTAGAGACAGGGTTTCTCCACGTTGCCCAGGCCGGTCTGGAACTCCTGGGCTCACGCAATCCTCTTGCCTCAGCCTCTCAAAGTGCTGGGATTACACTTAAGAGCCTAAGCTTCACTCTATGTCTCTACTCAATCAATTCTACACCAATTTTCCACTTGATTGTACATATCCATCGTAATTTCTTATTTAATTCCTCCATACATGGCCGATAAATTGAATATTAAATAAATGAAAACCATCAAAAGCCCTATTCCCCTGAATGATTTCCCCCCCCAAAAAAACTGCCCTTAAAGCAGTTAAACAACTATTTTATTATCCCACTGTGGAATACCTAGGCTTTGCCATCCAAGTCTTTATATTACTTTGAGTATAAATCTCATTTCTCTGACAAGACCATAAACTCATTTGGGGCCATAAATGTGCCACCTATTTCTGTTGTATCCCCCAGAGGACATATATACGGTAGATGCTTCTTTTGCAACTGCTGTATGGCTTTGGGCAGGTCACATTATCCCTCCAGCCTCTGGCATCTGAAATGGAGGGGATGGGACATGATGGTAGAGAGAAGGACCCGTGTCTATATTGTGGCTGCTGTATTTCTGGGGCCCACACCTGTCTGAGGCACATGGCAGGTACTGTACATACATCATTGTATGAATGGACAAATGCACTAGTTACTTCTAAGACTTCTTTTATGTGTACCCCAACTGTTATGTCCCTCAATGTCTAGAAAGACTGCAGGAGCAGTCCATTAACAGAAAGAAGGGAATCTTACCCATGACAGATTAGATTACAATTGGAATCCAGGAGATGAGGCAAATTTTTCCTTAACTGTTCCCATGTGGTCACCTTGCAGCCCAAAGTGATTCTCCTGCTGGCTTCCATCAGATCTGCTCCTGTCCCAGAGGGTCCTGCTCCTGCCTTTGTTCAGGGAAACCTAACATTCTTCAGAGTGGAGCACGGTAGGCATGAACATTAATGGCATCCCATTAATTAAAGTTGAAGCAAACCTGGGCAGTGTGGTGTGGTACAGAGTTTTCTTCCTGACTCTGCCTCAAATTCTGTTCTATTTTGAGCAATTTCTATCCTCTTTTTGGAAGCTTACTCTGGAACATAAGACCTGTGGCAGCAGTTCTTAAACTTTTTGTTCTCAGGACTCTTTTATACATTTAAAAATTACTGAAAACAACCAAAGAGATTTTGTGATATCTACTGAGTTATGTCTATTGATATTTACTGTAGTACACATTAGAACTGAGACATCTTTAAAACGGAAGAACACACAAGCACAGCTTCTGTTTGTCATCAGAGAGAAGATGTCACCATATATCATGGAGCCTCTGAAAATCCCATGATCCACTTGAGGGAGAGTGGTCATGAAAAAACATCTTAGCCTCATGGTGGAAATAGCTTCCAGCTTGCTGACTTCAGACTCCACCTTGAGGACACCTGATCTAAAGGGCTGTGGTGCAGTGATACCTGCCCATCACGAAGGCTTAGGTTTCATTAAGAAAAAGGAAGACTGAAGAGCTTATTGTTTTAACTCCAAGATGCAGAAGCCACCTCACACTCTCACATATTTCCTTTGGCCTTCAGAGCCATGGGGACCACAGGGCTGTGGCTGCCTAAGAACTCCCTTCATTTCCATGTGTCCTATTTGTTGTTGCCAACAGGGTGTGTCAGTGGGTCTGACTATCTCCCCCAACTGCCTCATTCCTGCCAATCCAGACCCCAAGTCAACACTCAGGGACACAGCCTGACTTTATGAGAACTGGGCACACCATGGAAATAACTTCTGGAGCACCTGGAAAACTGACATAGGATGGGACTGGCTTTTTTCTTAAACCCAGAAACCCCAGTGCACCTTCTGCCAAGTCAGCATTTGCTGGCAAAAATCCTTTGCGAGCGGCCAGACTCTGGTGAGCCATGGGAGACGAGATGGCAATGGATGGAGCGGGCAGCACTGGCAGAGGGTTGATGAGGGCAAGGAGAGGGCTGGGCAGGCACCACCAACAGGGATAGTTAAAGGCCCATCTGTGCCTGGGAGGCTGAGGCATGGAGAAACCTGAATTTGGTGCTCAGAGTCTCCTAGGGCTCTAGACAGTGAAGGACAAGAAGGTCATCCATGTGTCTTATCCATTCCATCATGCAGTTTTATAACACTACATGTTTTCATCTGTCTGGCAGCTTTGCCAAGATTTTAGCATTCCAGGACATCTGATTAGCTGCTCCCCTGCCATATCCCACTCCACCAGCTCTTTCTCCTGTAGGGTATTGACACTCCAGGATGAACTGCACAGTACTATACAGAGTCAAGGACATACCACTGTAGTCCATTGGGATGCCAGTTTGAGCAAATACTATGCAGAATGAAGTGTCTGTACTGGAGGTTCACCTGCTTCATATTCTCTTAGAAAGCCAGACAAGATCCCCTCACTACAAGGCAGAGGCACCCCAGAGAGGCTAGGGGACACAGGTAAGGGCCCTGCCCCTGGGCAAAATTCCAGAGTCGGCAGTCCCTCCTCTCCCACCCTGTTCCCTTTCCACATTCATCTCCTTCTTCCTAGGGCAGAGCTGGACAGGATGCTTTGTTCTGGGACCTCCTAACATTTTTGGAAAAATTATGTATCCCCATCACACATTTTTAAATTATCGTATAAAATTTTTATTGCAGGTTTAAATAATTAAAGAGGATATAATTTCTGGCACATTGACTTTTAAAACTGTTAAATCATTCAATTAAATGTATTAAATACCCACCTCCTTGTATTCAAAAAGCACATGAATAAGCTCTTTTGTAACAGTCAGAAATTTTCCATTATTTATTTTTTTCTCCTTGAACTCATATTTCTATCTTATGTTACTCACAGAATTTTATTAGTATAAGATCCTTTTAAACTTGATAATCTTTTATTGAGCACCACATCATAATTCTTGGCAGCAAAATAAGTTCATAAGTTAAAATTTAACATATTTAATTTTTTCTAGATTGAATATTTATTATTATTAATACAAAATTAGTTGAAATTTTCTGTCACCAGAAGACTATGCTTGTTAATAAATATTCTGCATTGATTTATCATTACAATTTATATTAGCACATACTTGGGTAAAATAAAGCCATTATAATATAACATTTTTAAATAACCATTAAACATACAAAGGAAATTAGTCTTTAAATAAAAAGATAAATTGGTGTATCATGAATGAATGTTGCTTATTGCTAGAATAAGATGATATTTTGTGGAAATTATTAGCAAAAAAAGAGGAGCCATCGTGCCACTAAATCTACAGAAAAGTTGAAGCAAACAGGAGACTTGTATCCAAATTTAAAAATAAACATGAATTTACAGTACACAATCTTTTGGCAAAAGTTGAAAGAAATGGTTCACCCGTGAGTTTGAGTAAATGTTTAAGAAAATATGTCCATCTAGCTTGCTTTAATTTGAAACTATAATGTTAATCTTTCACCTCCTCCTACTTAAAATCAATGCAAAATATGTATGTGAGACACAGGCATTGGTATTTCAGGTTGACCCTCTCTGGCACCATCCAGGGCTTTCCTCTGGGGGACAGTACATCCTAGTGAGATTTGGCATGCATGACAGGTAGACTTTCCTTTTAAAAAGTGCCACTGAGGCCATTGCACAAAAGGAATCAAGTATGAGAACTAGCATGACAGCCAAGGGGTGTCCAAACATGATCAGTTTTGAGAAAGAGTATATATGGAAACTAGGATTCGGAATGTAATTCTCTTAAAATTACCCATGCCCATGTGCCCCTTGAGACTTAGTAATCCCTACCAGTGGGCTGCTCTGGGGCACCCTCTGTCAATCATCAGTTCTTTGACTGCACTTATCCCAATGTCCATTTTCTTCAAGCCAAAGATCTAGGGCCCCCATTTCAACAACACCACTACAGCAGTCTTCCTCTCTCCCCACCCTCAATCTTCCAGGCACAACTCTCATTCTTGGGACTTCAGACCTTGGTTTCTGATTTGTCACACAATGACCTGAGTCCATCCAAATATATCATTTGCAACTGAGAGGTAGACAGTTTCTAAAGGCCTTGCCTCTTGTTGGTGAGGTAGTTGGGGACACTCCTATGCTCTTACCCACTGTGTCCTTTCTGCCTTTTTTCCCATGTACCCCAGTCTCTTCAGTATCTCAAGGTTGCTATACACAATAAGCTGCAATATACACAAATAAGGCAGCAACCAGAAAAGTACCCCAAATATAACTTCAGTTTGCTGGGTAGTTAATCTGGGTCCATAGCTCAGAAGCACCTTTAAAGCCCAGTTTCTGGAAGGAGAGATGGAGGAAGAGGAACAGAGTTACTCAAGTGTGGTCATGACAAAAGTGCAGAATTGGAGGGTGCTAGATTGTCCAGATGAGCAGCTCAGGTGCTAGAACCAAGGGATCCTGCTGGTATTCACCTCCATCCCCACTACGCTCCCTCCCTTCCCATTGTTCCTGCCACATCAGAATTCCCAGAGTGGAGCAGAAAGAACTAGATATGGAAAAGTGAAGGAATAAGGTGGTAATTCGTCAGTCTTCAGCTATACTTCCCATGACAAAGGGAGAAGGAAAGGGATTGACCTTAGACACTATCTCTAGGCAAAACAAGATTTCCGTGGCATTCTCTCACCTTCTTTTCCCAATTTCTCATCCCGTCTCTCCAGATGGCTTCTTTCCTACTCCCTTCCCTGGCTGCCAGTAGAGGTATTTTTAGGTCTGGGGGCCTCCCCTAGTGGCAACCAGGGAAGAGGAACGCCCAAGCACCTGGGTTTCCTGTGGTTACATTGACTCAGGAATTCAGGGGTTCCTCCTTCTTCAAGCCTCAGCCTGACAATTCAAGAAACGCCAAGAACTTTCTGGAAGTGAAGCAGGCTGACCCATTTGATCTGGAATGAGTGATCTGTTGAACAATTCTGTAGCTATAAAAAAAGTATTCATTTATAATTGTATCAAGTTGTAGTTTATAGTCTGCTTAATGAGGCCATTAGCTATATTACAGCATGTTGTGCCCAGCAGAATCTTTAATGACTTCTGCGGACTAACAAGACAGGTATTGAGTGTGATGTCGGTGTTATTATCCTCATTTACAGAAGAGAAATAAGTAGTGGGCCCAAATTCCCAGTCTATAGACTGAGAGGTGACTCGGCGGCTAAAGTCAAGGTCTGCTTTGAGCCATTCTTAGTTTGCCTGTTTGTGCTTGATCAACCTATGGCAAGGTTTTCCCTCTACCACTGGGGTTCTTCCATCTTCTAACAGTGAAAGGAACAATTAAAGGGTTATATGTTAGCATATATATATGTGTTTCTCACCTAGAAGAGTAAAACCTTCTTGAGAGCAGAATCCTGGTTTGGCCTGATTCATCTTTGCGTCCCCCATATTATCTGACACCACATGAGCTGGCATTGTGCCTTGTAGGTAGCAGACACTTAATATATATTACATATTTGTGAAAAAATAAGTAAATACCCCCTTTTCCTGAAACAGGTTATTGCATCTTGATTATCAAGCATCATTTCACAATTTTCCATATACATAATGTGTTCTGATAGATAATTTCAAGTCACACACAGTGAGTCTCAGAAATATACGATTTGGCAACTGTGGGTTATCTAAAAAGCAGATCTGTGGAAATTAAAACAAAACAACCAAATGAAAAGCATGTCATATTACTAAGTTCCAAGTGTTCTTATCCTAGTGCCGTATTGTCTGTTTACCAACTACAAGTCCACAAAAGCTGATGGTGTAAATAAACATCTGCTACCTTCTTGGGAAAATTACATTCACTGAACTTTAAAATCCTGGATTCCTAACAAACAGAATATTTGGGAAGAGCTAGGGATGACTAAATTGAGATAAGAGAATACAGAAAGCTAGATTGGTAGGGGATGGTGGTCACTGAAAAATGCAAGGTATTATGTCTGTTTGCAATGTATTTGTAATCTCTTGGGGTCAATTAGACTTATAGAAATGATATTTAAGAAGACTTAGCTTGGCGTCTAGGTTCAAATGACTGTTTGGTCTGGTTCTGGTCAGGGAAGATTTGAGATCTGAGCTGGGCATTAAAAACTGTTTAAAATTCGGGGAGGAGATGGAAGGTCTATTGGAGAGGGCTGAGGGTGAAGCAGCCAAGAGTCTAGAATCAGGGAGAAGCTGACTTCGCACAGGTGGTATTTTCCCACCTCTGCACACCTGCCTCTCTTTGCCAGTCTAAGTCTTGCCTCTCTACTCACATTTACTTCTGCTGAACTGCACCACCTTTTCCTCCCATGCTGGTAATTTCTCAGCCTTAGTGGAAGGTGGAGATTAGCTGTCTGTGGCAGAGACTGCTGGTCAACATGATATCTGTTCTCCTTTTTTCTTCTTGGAAATAAATCTAAGTGCTGGCCAATGGGATATAAACAGAAGTGGCATTCACCTTCTGGAAAATGTCCTTCAAGGGAAGTGGTTTATCACATTCCCACCCCATCTCCTTCCCGCTGACTGGAACGCAGATCATAAGGTAGAAGCTGTCACCTAGGATAACAGAGTGATGAGATTAATAAAGCACAAGTTGCTGACAATACAGAGTTCCTGGCAGCCCTGGGCTATCCCCAGAATTCTTTTATGTGAGAAAGAAAAAAGAAAAAAGCCAGTGTTAATATTTTTATTGTTGGATTTTTTTTTTCATTTCTGTCTTTTGCAGCTGGGCCTTTTATCTTTTACACTCTAGGATTAGAGCTAACTTTACACAAGGAAAATTAGTTTTGTTAAATTAACAAAAGGATGATTGTACAATTTATAAATTTAAAAAATGCAAATAGAAATCAGGAGATGCCATTGTGTCTGCTAAAATTCTTAAAAAAAAGAAAGAAAAGTGATAAAACTCTATGGTGCTAAGGCTTCAGGGAAACAGGTAGGTTAAAGTGGACTTTAACAGGTAGATTAAAGGTTGAGAGTTGGTATAAGTCTTCTAGAAAACACTGGCCACTTAAGTCACTTGCCTTAAATATGTTACCCGGTGATCTAATTCTTGAAAGATTGGAAAATACATTGTAATCAATGACTTAAAAATAAAAATGTATAAAGATGATCATAGCAGTTATTTAAACAGCAGAAAACCAAAACTGCCTAAATGTAGTACTACAGGGGAATGGTAAATGATTGTACATTAAATTGATGGAGAACCATCCAGCCATTTCAAATAATATATGATAACTACCATGCAATAATTTGCAAACATACTTGTAAAATAATGTTAAATTAAAAAAAATATCCCGGATGCTAAATATATGTTGGGATGGTAGCTGTCAAATTTTGGCTGTTGACTCAACCTTGTTCCTTTCATCTCATTTTACCCATCCACATAGCGTCCAGGGAGAACTGAGCGTCCCAGATGTGTTCATTGCAAATTCCTGGACTCTCCCTATATTGCTACCTTTGCAGAAACATTCCCTTCTTCTTTATTTGAACCTTACTTATTCTTGAATTTTGGGTTTTGTGTTTTACAAAGTGATTCCCAATGGAACATCTCAGGTAGACAAAAAGGCTTTTAAGAATCATCAGGTGTTCCACAGTAGCCAGACAGGCCCAAAGCAGTGAGAGACCACTCACAAAAAGAATTATGGACGTGGCTTTGGAGCATGTGGTGGACTTAAGTAAAAATAATAGAAGACCTATATTTTAAAGAGAATTTTACTGGGGTGTGGTGGGGGCGGGGGGCGCGGTGCAGAACTTAGCCAGATCGGAGTAAAAGGCTCTGAGATTTCACAAATTGAAAAATGACTTTGGGTCCCACAATTTTTTTGAGTAAAGAGTAGGCTCAGAAGGCTATTCAGCTGACAACATGGGCTATTTCTATGGAAAAAGAAGGTTGTCTCAGGATGAAAGGCCCAGAGCCCAGGTGGAGGAGCCAAGAGTAATGGAGAACAATGGACTGGGAGCTACTCCCCTAGAGCGGAGTGGATCCTGCTGTCAGAATAGGGGGACCGGGCAACATGTGCCGAGCAGGATTATGAATTGGAATTGGTGACTGCTATATGTCTTCTTTTAATTCCCCTTTTTAAGGGACGTATTTACTGCCATTGTCCTATCCCTTTCTCACTATTGTTTGTTGAGTGTGTGCAGAGCATATAACTTATCTCTTTAATTTACAGGTCTCTGGATCCAGGGAAGTCACAGCCAAGGAAGTGCATGTGAGAAGCCTAACCCTCATTTGGACTTGACAGAAATCACAGGATCCTAGACTTTGCCATAATTGATGCTATAATTGAATGCAATTGATGGGGGTCCTGGCGGGAATCAGTACATTTTTGCATGTGAAAGGACTGTGAATAATTGGAATTAACAGGAAAGGCGATTGTCTACTTTTGTAGTAATGGCCACCAGTGATTCACGCCCTCAGTCTGCAAGTAGCCCCTTCCCACATTGAGTCTGGGCTTGGCCGTGTGAATGACTATGGCTGCCAATGGGACATCAGCACATGCAATGCATGCAGAGGCCTGGAGAAACACTCGCTCCTTAGGGCTTGCCCTCTCTTGCTGCTTCCATGGAGCCCTCCCATCACTACATGAATGAGCCCGGGTTGACCGATCAGAGGATGGGAGACTATGTGGAGAAGAGCCCCAACTGTCCCAGCCAGCCCAGCTGAGGGTCTCAAAGATGTCACTGAGTTCCACTCCAGCCCAACTGTCTCAAACTAGAAGAAATACTAGTTATTCCATAGGATCATTTGATTGTGTTAAACCATTAAGTTTTGAGATGGTTTTTTAAGGCGGAGAAAGCTAACCAATATGGAAAGGCTCAAATGTAGATAAATCCAGCAACAGATGGAAGACAGGGGAGGTGACATTGAGGTAGCAAAATCTCTGGAGCCAGTTGTGTGGGCAGTTTCCTAAGAAAACCTAAAGCAGTTCACAGAGGGTGACCCTACTATGGCCAATGGAGAGCCACAAAAAAGAAAATGCCAGAAGTCAAGTTCAATGGGAAAATTGAAGATGGAAACTGAAGCATGAACAGTAAGTTTGGAAGTCCGTGGGATTAAGAAGAGACCAAGTGGTGGGAGAAATGAATGGATTAGACCAAGCGATTCAGAAATAAAGCTTTGGGCAAGAGGAAGTCATAGGTCCTCCTTTTATGAAGCAACTAATAATGCCTATACCCTACTGTACAGCAATTAAATCTGAATCTCTGAGAGTAGGGTCTAGGTATTTTTTAAGCATTGAAAAAAAGCTTTGAAAGAGTATTTAACAAGCTTCCCAGGTGATTGGATTATGGAGTAGGAGAAGACTCTGGAAGAGATGATGCAATCCCTAGAGCAAGACCCATTAGGTTTCTGAGAAATGAGTAAATACAGAATCGCTCAGAATCTCCTCATTTTCATATATTTGTGATTGATCTAAACTGCTATTAACCTCAAAGATCAGTGTTAGGACTTGATGACTAATGGCTACTTCTGAGTCAAAAATGAAATAGCACTTATTTTCATAACGTAATAAAATTCAAGTGCACATTAACTCAGATCCCATGAATCAGCGAATATGATCATTTGAACAGAGCCTGAAGTTATCTATGGAAATATATTTTGCATAAGTTATCACACAAGATTTCAAGATTTTGGTAGAAAGGCTTAAACTAACGAAAAAGAAATATCTTAAATGAGTAGGCCAGCCTGATAACTGAGACAATAAGGAGTAGTGGGGAGCTATGACAAATCAGATTTAGGGAGGAGGCTTTGTGCCAGCCAAAAGAAAAGAATTGAAGGCCAGTTTAGCCCACAGGCTGCCAGTTTATGGAACTCTGAGTCATAATAGAAACCATTATAATAGAGAAGTAAACATAAGTATAGAATTACAATAAATGAAGGGTCAGGAAAGGATTTGAAGAAGGAAGGAGCATGGAAATATTTTAAAGGCTGAGCAGTTTTTTTGACATCTTTAAATTTAATTTTTAAATTTAAAAAACTTTTCATTTGGAAATGATTTTATTGACAAACATTCTTAAAAAATTGTACAAAGGCTTTCTCCATATTCTTCACCAAGATTCTCCAAATGTTGACATCTAACAAGACTACGTACAATGATTAAGATCAGGAATTTTTCTCTGACATAATACTATTATCTAATCTATAGGCCTTATTCAAATATCATTAATTATCCTAATGATCTTTTTTTCTGGCTCAGGACCTAATCCAGGATCACACATTGCATTTGGTTGTTAAGTTTCCTTTAATCTGGAAGAGGTTTTTGTGTGTGTGTTATTGGTAACCTTAATATTTTCAAACAATTTTGGTCAGTTATTTCACGAAATGGCACTGAAGTTGGGTTTGTCTAATGTTTGCTCACAATTTAAATTTGGGTTATACATTTTTGGAATAAATATTACAGAGTGATGCTGTATCTTAGTGCATTGTAATCAGATATATGATGCCAATTTGGACCATTATAGGCCATGAAAATTTTGATCACTAAATTAGCATGGAGCCTGCCATGTTTCCCTACTATAATGTCACTACTGTTTCCTTTGTAATTAGTATAAAACTTATGAAGTGAAAGCTAACCAATACAGGGAGGCTCAAATAGGGATAAACCCAGCAGATAGAAGATGAGGGAGGTGACATATTTTGACATATGTAAATATCTTGTCAGTCATCATAGTTTTGTTCACTAATTTTAAAATTTATTGGTGAATCTTGCCTAAAGCAATTAGGGTGGTATTTGCCAGATGGTGATTTTCTAACTCCATTATTTCTTTTATATTTATTAGTTGGAATTCTACTGTACTTCTTCTTCTCTCCCATTTATTTGTTTGTTAATATCAGTATAGTCTCGCACATTCTTACTTTATTCCTTGGATTATAATCCATTACTAGCATTATCTTATTGCTCAAATTGTCCCAGATTTGACTGTAGGGAGTTTCTTCAAGTAGCCTCCTGTGTTCTTTTGACATATTCCCAATCTTTTTGTGGGTATATTTTCTTATTTCTGGCATTATAAGACAATTCATGCCCATCTTGTACTTACCCTGTCTCAGACCTAGAATCAGCCACTTTCTCCGAGAGACCTAGTAACTTTTATTGGTAAATGGTATTAAGAAACCAAGATCTGGGCAATTGGTATGTTAATTGGTATTGGGTGTCATTGCTTCTAGGCTCTCTCTGCAGACAGAAATAAGAAATACATGTGGGAACACACATGCATATATTTATAGATGCATATTTCTATATGTATCTATAAATTAAAAGCCATGAGTTCATGCTGATACCTCCAATTCTAATTCAACACTACAGAGTTCATTCTAGCTTCCCACCTTTATTTGTAACTCCTTTCTCTGACTCTCAGAAACACGGCCCTAATATTTTAATAATACATTATTTCTAAATCCTTGGATACATAGAAGTGGTTTAGAAAGTCTACTCATCTTTCCATACATTCATTTTCAAAAATGTCCATATCTAAATAAAACATTCTCACTCTGTCTCCTAAAAATACACAACCAAAGTATTATCCAGTTACAGCATCTGTCTCCAAGTCCAGGACTTCTGGATAATATGAAATCTTACTTCATTTTGGATGTAGTTCTTTGTGGTTAGACAAAACTATGGCTATAGCAAATTTATCAATCACCCACACATCCAATACACAATAAAGAGAAGAACAAGAATGACTTCAATAAAAAATGTCAATTACAAAGAGAATTGAGAAAACACGCACACGTGTGCGTGCGCGCGCACACACACACACACAGGACATTAGTACATACAAGACGTAATCCCCTAGGATGGGTATGTGACTTGGGATGAGAACATGACTTAAACGATCCAATCAGTCAGGGTGAATCTTGAGCTTCTGACTTAGAGATGCTGATACTGAGGATATTCTTTCTTTCTTTCAGCATTATGGTCTGATAATGCTCTGACAGTGGGGGAGGTCAAGCAATCTGGCAGCCTCCAGTTTTCATCTCTGGGAGACTCTTCTCTGTTCATTGACCTCCATAGCCATATCTAGAGAAGTTTCCCTTCCCAGGGGCTGCATAACTTTAGCATCCCCTTTTCCTTTTCTGTGTGTGTAACTTTACAGAGCCTGAGATTGCCTTAGGGCTTGAGCAGACATGGACTGTGGTTGTCCAGGATTGGGATTTCTTTAGCAATATAGCTGATATAGTTTGGCTGTGTCCCCACCCAAATCTGATCTTGAATTATAGTTCCCATAATCCCCATGTGTTATGGGAGGGACTAGGTGGAGATAACTGAATAATGGGGGGCAGTTCCCCCATCCTGTTGTGGTGACAGTGAGTTAGTTCTCACGAGTTCCGATGGTTTTATAAGGGGCTTCCCCCTTTGCTGGGCACTCATTTTTCTTCTCTCTGCTGCCATGTGAAGAAGGACATGTTTGCCTCCCCTTCTGCCATGATTGTAAGTTTCCTGAGGCCTCCACCCATGAGGAACTGTGAGTGCATTAAAACTCTTTCCTTTGGCCAGGGGCGGTGGCTCACGCCTGTAATCCCAGCACTTTGGGGGGCCAAGGCGGGTGGATCATGAGGTCAGGAGATCGAGACCATCCTGGCTAACACGGTGAAACCCCATCTCTACTAAAAATACAAAAACGTTAGCCAGATGTGGTGGCGGGTGCCTGAAGTCCCAGCTACTCAGGAGGCTGAGGCAGGAGAATGGCGTGAACCTGGGAGGTGGGGCTTGCAGTGAGCCAAGATTGCGCCACTGCACTCCAGCCTGGGCGACACAGAGAGACTCCGTCTCAAAAAAAAAAAAAAAAAAAGCAAAAAACTCTTTCCTTTATAAATCACCCAGTCTTGGGTATGTCTTCATAGCAGCGTGAAAACAGACTAATACAATAGCTTTTTACAAAACTTAATTATCATCAGTATATTTGACAAATCACTTCCACGGGCTGGAAACCATAGACAGAAAGCCTGTCTCTGCTCATTCTATTTGAGACAGGAATTTCCACTGTCTAAAAACAGGCCTCTGTTATATCATCATCCCGTCAGGCTTTAGTGTAATTGCCACTTTTATCTTGGCTCTTCTTCTGGAAGTTTCTGACAATAACTTGGAGTATAATGATTTGCTCCCTGCCCTCAGGTTCTGATACGGTTTGAATGTTTTGTTCCCTCCAAATTTCATGTTGAAATACGATCCTTAATGTTGGTGGTGGAGCCTAGTAGCAGGTGTTTGGGTCATGGGGGTGGATTCCTCATGAATGGCTTGGTGCCTTCCTCGTGGTAATGAGTGAGTTCTCACTCTGAGTTTATGGGAGATCTGGTTGTTTAAAAGAATGTGGCACTTTCCCCCACCCCCTGCTTGCTTCCTGTCTCACCATGTGAAACACTGGTTCCCCTTTGCCTTCTGCCATGACTGTGAGCTTCCTGACACTCTCACCAGAGGCAGATGCTGGCACCATGCTTCCTGTACAGCCTGCAGAAAATGTGAGCCAAAAGAAATGTGTTTTCTTTATAAATTACCCAGCCTCAGGTATTCCTTTATAGCAATGCAGAAGAGACTAATACAGGTTCTATCACAACTGTACTTGTTTGCTTTGTCAGATGGAGACTTTTCAGTAGGAAGTATTTGGGAGTAGCCTGAAGGGTTAGTGTTGTCTGTTGCACCCATCTTACCTCCTGTTTTTACATGTATGAACCTTAACTTGGAGTGGAGTATTCAGTCTTTGCAACACCACTAGATTCTAGTCATTTTGGATTGCAGTTCATACTCAGAGAGGGTCTTCCTAAGTAAGGCCATATTTTTTCCTTCTCTGCTTTTAGATAGGCCACTTCATCTTAAGATTGTCTCTTTATTATAGGACATTACTGTAATCCAAAATCCTGAATTTTTCCTACCATTTCCCCTGATATACCTTGCAGACATATGGCCTGAGTCTCAACAGGCTTTTCACCTAGTTATCTCTGCTCAGACAAGTCTATGTTTTAGAGTTTATATTTAATTGCATCCCACTCCTGGTACCAAATTCTGTATCAGTTAGAGAATTCTTTGGCTGCAAGAAACAGAAAATCTGGTTCAAATTGGCTTAAATGATAAAGAAATGTATTTGCTTTTATGAATCGAAGTTCAGAGATAAAGCAAGCTTAAGAGAAATCCTACTTTTGAATGGAATTCATTTACCTGCACCTTTGTCATGTCAGCTTCATCCTATTTTCATCCTGGTGGCAAAATGACTCCAAAAGTTTTTGTTTTACATCCTCATCCTCTGGTTCTGAGAGGAAAGGCAGAACAACAACAACAAAAAAACTTGAATACCAACATTACACACCAGAATACCAGTCTTGAGATTTACCCTGATTAAACTATTTAGGTTACATGGCCACCCTAAACCAATGAGAAGTTGAATATCTTTGGTATGAGCCAACCAGACCCATTCCATAGGTAGAGTGTAGGAATGGTAGATACCTAATTGAAAACAAAGTACTATTAGAAAGGAAAATGTGTACTTTGGTTGTCAACTATCAGCATTCATTAATCAATGTTATCAGGCTTTTAAAATAGTCTTATATTATTATCATTTGAAAAAATAACATTAATCTGTATCTGAAATTATTTTATTTATATGTCTCTTTTTGAAGAATCTAAAGCTCCATGAGAACAGAAATTTTCCCTGTCTTATTCATTTCACTTGTAAGACAATGCCTGACATTCAATAAATATTTTCTTAGTGAATGCATGAATGAATGAATCTTGTTTATCCTGAATCTCTGAGACCTTCCACCATAAAGTCCCAAACCTCCAGGCCATGAATACTTCATTTGAGATGCTTGGGCTTAAAGCTTCACAGCTGGTAAGTGGATGGCCAAAACCTGAACTCAGGCTGGCTGACTCCACTTATTGTGTATTTCCAACTATTCCAAGCTGCTCTAATGTGTTAAAATAAGCCCACAGAGTTTTAACACAGCTGTGTTCAGAATCCATGTAGGAAATACATAAAACATTCTGACAGTTAGTATCCAAATAGTAATTTGGAAGATTAACAAGAGTTTAAAACTGGGCATGAACCAATATTTGCTTTTCTTTTTTTTTTTTTTTCTTTTTCTTTTTCTTTTTTTTTTTTTTGAGACAGCGTCTAGCTCTGTGTCCCAGACTGGAGTGCAGTGGCATGATCTCGGCTCACTGCAACGTCCGTCTCCAGGTTCAAGCGATTCTCCTGCCTCAGCCTCCTGAGTAGCTGGAATTACAAGCATAAGCCCCCATGCTCGGCTAATTTTTGTGCTTGTAGTAGACACAGGGTTTCACCATATCAGCCAGGCTGGTCTCGAACTCCTGACATCAAGTGATCCCCCCACCTCGGCCTCCCAAAGTGCTGGGATTACAGGCATGAGCCACCACATCCGGCCCAATATTTGCTTTTCTTATCTGGAGCTATCAACATACTCCAAGTTAAAATCATATCCCGCCTAATAGTATGTGAAAGAATGGGATTGATCTGCTGCAAGTCTAGTTTCTCATTTTGCAACAGCAATAATATAAGGCATGTTATAATTTTCCTTATTGGATGTTGCCCCTGATTAAAATAAACCCTTTTTATCTGATAGACTAATGGGGAGATTTAATCAATAGAGAAGAGAACTAATGTTACCTGTCTACCATGACCTGGGTACTTCATTCATTAATTTACATCTTTTCATTTGTATCCATTTGTTGCATGTTATTAAGTACCTTTCATGTGGTAGGCATCATGCTAGGGGCTAATGATGCAGCATTTAGCATAGGCTAGAGAGACATTGTAGTGCATCAATTAAAATAATGAACTCTCAAGTCAGAAAAATGGAAGTCCAAATCCTAGCTTTGCTGTAGCCTGTAGATCCTGGGTATCCACAGTGGACTTCTCTGCATCTTATTTTCTTCATCTCACAGAATTGTTCTTTATTTCACATACAGTTGTCTTGTGAGGCTTAAGTGAGATAATATAATTGTTGCCCTTGCTGTGTCTAGTATAGTGTCTGACACATCACAGTTATTTAATTAAATGTTATTTATATTACCAGAAGGTCCCTATCCTCAAGTTGCTTACAATAAATAGACATAAGTATTGACGCTTAATTTTTCTTAAAATGCTCTGAGATAAGTGTTATTCCATTTTAGAAACACGGAAACTGAGAATTTCAATAGTTCATTCAAGGACTGAATTAATTAACAAATGAGTCAGAATTCTAAATACAAAGATATCTCAGTCTGAAGCCCATGTTTTCACCAATTATCTGAATGAGAAATTGAGAGACAGGGCTTCTAGTCCTGATTTTAGACCAGTGATTCTCAACCCTGGAGAGCTTTATAAAGCTCCAAGTGCCAACACTCTGTCCAATTCACTGAAATCAGAATATCAGGATGAAGGCCTGGACACTGCGTATTTTCAAAACCTGTCCAAAAGATTCTAATGGGCAGCCAGGGTTGAGAATCACCTCTCAAGGCTTTACCAGCTTCACACTCTGTATGGCATCAATTGTCAGAATGAGACCACTGCTGGTAGAAGGAGGAATGTTCCAGGTCTTTCCTCCACTGGGGCTCTATGGTCTCCACTGTGTGTTTTGGGGAAAGCTAGTGCAGGTAATGCTCCCTTTACTGAACACCATTGCTATGGGGTCATAAGACACCCTAGAGTATCCATGTGGCAGACCCAGTTCTGCACGAGTGCTTGTGGAGGAGAGTGGTAGGAACTCAGTCTCTCTCCTCATTGTTGGGTCGATAGATCAACAGCATCTTTCACACACAGAAGAAGGAGCAGCTTGGGAAATGTCCCAGAAAAATGCAGCTGTTCTTTGTTTCTGGAGAGGAAGCCAATAACATTTTGTTCCTTGGGGTTCTCAAGAATGAAAATGTGTGCATAGCTATAAAAACAAACAAACCCATAGGGATAGTTCTCTTACTAACCAATATGTCGCATATATACTTATTTAAGCTCATTCAACAGTAACAGGTATTCTGGTCTATACTCTACCATGGACTTTGTGTTGAGATGGTCAGCAAAGGGAAGAAGGACAGTTCATCAGCCACTGGATGCTCTCTGGGATATTTCAATTACTCAGAAATCAAATCTTCTGCAGCTTCTTAAACTACTATCATTTTAAGAACTCATCCTAAAGTCTAGTCCACATAAGTCTAAGCTGCCCACTCTCTGATTTGCTCCTTGTAGTAATTCTGTGCAATACACGGTCATGTATCATTATCCCTGTTTTACAGAGTTGGAAACCAAGGTTTAGGAAGGTAAAATAACTTGCTCAAGGGCTAGAAAATGCATGGCCTGCACTCAAACACATGTCTCTGGATTCCAAATTCTCAAATTATTCAATTGAGTCAGGAGGAAATTATACTATTTAGGCACACCACGGGCCAGAAGTCAGCCAATCAACCAAATTAAAGCAGAGGCATTTGAACAAAGACACAGGTATTGGATTCTTATGATTTGTTACTGATATATTATGGCTTTAATGACCTCACTCCCTCTTTGGGATCCAAGACAAATGTGCACAAGACCAACAGGTAGGACCCGGGCTCTCATTGTATTTGCTCTTCCTCACGGCATGTTGCCCCTAGCCCAGCCTCAAGCAGCAGGCAGTATCGAGCCTTCAGGTATCTAGCCTCTGGGACAGGCCCATGGGCCATGCAACGTTCAGTTAGAGGCTGACTAAGAAAACTGCCGTGCATGAAAGGCAGTTGAGAAGAGTAACCCTTGATAGGTACGGGTGTGAGACCTCTCTAGACCAGCACTGTCCCATAGAAATATAATGTAACCACATGGGTAATTTTATATTTTCTAGTAGTCACATTAAAAAGAGTCAAACAAGTGAAATAAATTTTAATAAGGTATTTTATTTAACCCAATATGTCAAAAATATTTCAGCATGTAATATATAAAAAAATTAGCAATAAGATAGCTTACATTCTTTTTTTGGTACTAAGTCTTTAAAATCTTGGGTACACTTTATTTTTGCAGCATATCACAAGTGCTAAGTAGCCATGGGTGTTTAATACCTTATTGGACAGCACAGGTCCAGACCATCTCAACACAATTATTAGACTGATGTATTTAATATATATTAATATAGAATATATAAAGTTTGCTGATGCTTTCTCATTATTTGGAGTTTAATTTGTAACAAGCTAGTTTTCAATTTAATGTAAAGAATAAGGCTTTGGTTGGTAAGGCAGTAGAGTTTTTTTGAGTATTAGTATTGCCAGATACTGGGTTTTGCTCTAGGAGCACAGGATGAGCAAACGCAACCCTTTTAAGAGCCCTGGAGTGCTTTGAGTAGAAATATTAAGAAAAGGATAACTATGCATCTGTCTGAAGTTCTGAGGGTACAGTTCTAATTACAAGCTTGTGGGGCTGCAGGGAGAGATACTGAATAACGGAGATCTAGATTTAAAAATCAACAAGTGGCCAGGTGCGGTGGCTCACGCCTGTAATCCTAGCACGTTAGGAGGCCAAGGCAGGTGGATCATTTGAGTTCAGGAGTTCAAGACCAGCCTGAACAACATGATGAAAACCTGCCTCTACTAAAAATACAAAAATTAGCCGGGCTTGCTGGCAGGCACCTGTAATCCCAGCTACTCGGGAGGCTGAGGCAGGAGAATTGCTGGAACTCAGGAGGTGGAGGTTGTAGTGACCCAAGATTACACCACTGCACTCCAGCCTAGGCAACAGAGCGAAACTCTGTCTCAAAAAATAAATAAATAAAAATAAAAAATAAAAATCAACAAGTATTTGAGCTCTAGTTGTGAATTCCACAATTCTTATGTGTTGTAGGTGATATGAAAAATGTATAAAATAGAATTTTAAGAACTTAGCAGACTTACCTAAAAAAGGACTGTCTTAGGTTTGGTTCCCTCAAGGTTCCCCACTAAGTTGGGTTTAAGTTGCTTATTTGAGAGGCAATCTCAGGAGACATGACAAGGGAGTGGGGACCTGAGGCCTTGAGGAGATGTAAGCGGATACAGGACACATGATGAACGGGTTACTGCCATGGGCAACTGGAACTGCATCGCACTGGGGATTCCCTGAGAGATTGGGTGGAACATGGCTCAGAATCCACTCAATGAAAGGTAGGGGATCTGGGGCATTTATCTTCCACCTCCTATCCCTCATTCATTAAAAGTCTCATCTGGGATGTTAACACCCAGCACTCTGGCTGCCCATACTTGAACTGAGCTTACTCCTGCTGCCAGAGAACACCCTTAGGAAGAGAAGGAAGAGGCAGAAAGCTATAGATGTGCATTGGAATTATCACAGGCTATTCTGGTGTAGGCCAAGAAGATATGATTTAGGTTCCTGCAGTGTCTACAATGATAGTTAACAGTCCTAAGTCCTTACCGAGTTACCAGACACTGTCTTTACCACCGTCCATGTACTCATTCATTTAGTCCTCCCGACTATAAGGTAAGTACCTATTACTATTACTAAAAAAGAGGAAATATGGTGAGGAGAGGTTGTGTAATTTTTTCAAGGTCATACAATTAAAAAGGGGCAGAACCAGACTGAGTTTGGTGTCTTAGTCACTGTTTCATTAGTTATCAAATAGTATGAATTGCATAAAAACTGAATCTGCCTTTCTGAGAAAGCCTTCCTGGTTATATTTTACAAATTCTAAATATGTATTTCAACAGAAAACTAACTTTAAAAGTCTCAGTTTTACATTCTGGACTATCTAGACTGTTCTTACCATCAAATTCTCTGTCTGGTAAGTGGGAAAGAAAAGTTCTTTAAACCCAGAAATATTAATAGATAAGGCAGGGTTATCACAGACAGAGGCTTGCAAAAAAGAGAGACGGTGAGTATTATAGAAATTAAGAGTATGTTTATAGGTCAAGTCCCAAGACTGCACACCTCCAAAAATTTCACAAAATCATGGCATACAAAGACCTCTCTCCCTGCAATCTTTGCTCAGGTAAATGAAATATTGTGGGGCTGGCCTTGTAGCTCCTGAAACTAATTTTTCTTTTTCTCTCATCCGTGGACTTCTGTTTGACTTCTCCATCAGATCTCTCTTCCCCACACCTGAAGAGTATCTCAGGCAGACCTTTCCCCTTCTAGTTACTGTCACATCCCAAGCAGGTCTTATTTTCAGGTATCACAAAGTCTAGTTCCTCTAAACCCAAACTTCAGTTTCTCATGTGCTTCAAAGCTCCTCTCCTCTGCCATTTCGGGCCTGACCCAGACTCAGATACTTGCATTAGGGAAGAGCAGAGGGTATTGATTGGTTCTTTATTCACCTGTGACACCCTCCCCCAACTTCCTCTGCTGCATCGAACTCCTCCAGAACCAGGGCAAGGGGATGGAGAGAGGAGAAGAGGCAGAAAGTCTTATCTGAGGAGCACTGCTGCAGTACAGTCTTGGTGCCACCTACATGGCAAACCCTGGCTTTTTCTTTCATCTTCCCAGTTTTGTTGGCTTGTTGGAGATCTCCTTGCAGGGACATCTCTCCGAAACCCCCTTAGCTCCTACATGACAGTTTACCCACCAGTCTCTTTCTGCTGGGCTGGCCAGTCCCTGAAGGTGGGACTGGACTGGTGGGGCCTGGCTCCTTTCAAGGCAGCCAGAGTCCGGCTGTCATTTGAGGTGTCCTTCCTGCCCCCATGAATGACACTCATTCCTCCCACCTCAGGTGAAAATGCTATTTGTTTTGCCTTTAGCTCTCTCTCTTACCCACCATCGAGGCTTGTTCCATCAGCTTCCCCCTTTGGATTTTTGCAGGCTTTATGCCCTCCCAATCCTGGGGAACATCTGCTGAACTTTCCTAAGAATTAGCTCTGATCCCATAGCAGCCTTGCGCTTCTGCAGTCTGCAAGCAACTTGCTTTGGAGTAGGTGGGCAAGATTGAGAGGTATTCTCCCCTGCTGACCAGCGCCTTCACTTCCCCTCCCCTCCCATTATACACTTGCATTGACTAAGAGGAGGGGAGGAAATATTCTGTGTTCAGAGAAATTCTCCCTCACTAACCTTCCAGCATCATTATTACCTTTTCCTTTTCGTTTCCTTTTCTTTTCTTTCTTTTTTTTTGTTTATTTGTTTGTTTCTTTGTTTTTTTGAGACAGAGTCTTACTCTTGTTTCTCAGGCTGGAGAGCAATGGCATGATCCCGGCTCACTGCAACCTCCACCTCCCGGGTTCAAGCAATTCTCCTGCCTCAGCCTCCTGAGTAGCTGGGGTTACAGGCCCTCGCCACTACACCCGGCTAATTTTTTTTTGGCATTTTTTGTAGAGACGGGGTTTCTCCATGTTGGCCAGGCTGGTCTTGAACTCCTGACCTCAGGTGATCCACCCACCTTGGCCTCCCAAAGTGCTGGGATTACAGGTGTGAGCCACCACGCCTGGCCCATTATTGCCTTCTTTCTATGTAGGTGAAGGTGTGTGGTGCTCTATGAGTTACAAAAGTGGTTCCAGCCTCTTAGCAAGTCCTGCGCATGTTCTAATATCTATTGCCCTCAGCTTTGGAGGTTGAATCAAGACCAGGACCCATCCTATGTAATATCCTGTGGCAGAGAAAGAGAGACAGCGACCTCTCCAGGCTGGCTTGAACACAGTCCTGCTTACACACACTGAGAATCATCAGATTACCCCAAGCTCTCTTCTAACATTCAGGGTTTGTTTTTGTTTTTGTTTGTTTGTTGATTTTTTTTTTTTGAGACAGATTCTCACTCTGTCACCGAGGCTGGAGTGTGGTGGTGCCACCTTGGCTCACTGCAACCTCTGCCTCCTGGGTTCAAGCAATTCTCATGCCTCAGCCACCCGAGTAGCTGGGATTACAGGTGCGCACAACCATGCCTGGCTAATTTTTGTATTTTTAATAGAGACAGGGTTTCGTCATGTTGCCCAGGCAGGTCTCGAACTCCTGACCTCAACTGACCCGCCCATCTTAGCCTCCCAAAGAGCTAGGATCACAAGCGTGAGACACCACGCCCAGCCCCAACGTTTAATTTTTAATATTCACAAACTTAACCTCTGTTTGTTTTCTCTAACCCTAAGATCATTCCTAAATTGCTTAAGAAGTGGGGAAACTACTTTTTATTTCTTTTAGACATATGGAAAAACATAAGCCAGGTATAATACTGAAAAGTGATTCAAGCACCCTCAGCTCCACCAAAATACGAGTCATTTAACAATAGAAAAACTTAACAAAAGTGTGATCAGAATAGAAGCATTTGAAAGAAGCCTTCCCCTCCTCCACTAGTGTTCAGCCACAGAAAACTTGAAATGAGTTAAGTTCCCACACTAAATGATTTCCATTTCTACCTCTGAGGAGGGAAGAGGGGGCAGCATCACCCTAATAATATATTTTTAAATGCCCAGCGGAACTTCAAATTCAAAGAAATATAAATCTCTCGCTGTCTGTGATGCATATAGCTATATATCAGAGAGATCTATAAGCTGTTCTCTCTGTGTCATTTTTTTTCTTCTTACAGAGAATCTGTGTGAATCATCATAGCCATAAAATTATATGACTGAACATTGATAATTACATGACTTTTAACTGGAAGTGAACAATAGCTTTAGTTCCCTGATGGAACCATCTTAGCCATAGATTTTCTGTCAACATGCAGCCAAGAGGGTCTGATTTTCTGCCTTTGTGGAAGATTCGGGCATGGTTACCAGCAAGGCTCAGAGGCACAGGGGTGCAGCGTTCCCAGAATCCCTGTTCAAACCAGACCACAACCGGGACAAGGGGAGAAACCCTGCTAGAGTGGGCAGCGCCTGGCTTCCTGTGCTCCCAAGGACCCTTGGCCTTCCCAGTGCCACCTCCTCTGATGGCGGCAAGATACCCAGGAATATAAGGACAAACCCTTTTCCCTTCTGCTCTCACATGACATCAGTTGGCACAAGAAATGCCAAAGTACAGGAGATTGGTTTAATAGCTGCGATTTAGTCTGTTTCCTTAAAATAAAAATAATGTGCTTTCAAACTGCAACATGTTGCTTTAATAATATTTAACAGAATATTTACGGGACAGCAGTTCTAGTTGTGGAATGCAGCTTCATATCTTCCTTCCAAATGCTTTCCCATGCATTAGCTCATCAGGGCTGACACTGATGAGGGGGTAGATTGCACTGATATCATTACCCCTGTTTAAAGCCATGGAAATGGATAGTTCTGAATGGATCTGCCTCAGCTCACAGAGCCAGTTACTTTCAGGGTCAGGACGAAGCCAAGTTTCCTCACCCTCCGAGTCCTATTGACTTAATCAAGGAGAGAAATGCTATGCATCAGTTTTTAAAGAATAGTTTATATTTTTCTGATCACAGAAGTAATTTGCGTTTATCACAGAAAATTGGAAAAACACAGAAAGCATGAAGAAGAAAAGACAGATCACCCATATTCCCAGACAGACCTGCTGACTGCCTGCTGCAAACATTTGGATGCATAGTCTCACATGTACTTGTTTCCTTAAAAATGGTTTCATACTATGCATGCTGCTTTTTAATAGTTTCTTGCATTTTCTTCCCAATTATAAAAGTAACCCATGCTTACTATGGAAAAAGCAGAACACACAATCATAAAGAGCATCAAAACCATTCCGCAATCCCACCCACCAAGAAGTAACCATTATAAAGCAATTTCATTGAATCTGACATTTACAAAGCCAGTAAAGTTGCCACATGCCTCTAAGGCAAGGATAAGAAACGAACACTCTGCCATTATCTTCAGTTAGAATCTAGGCTGATTTATCCAGAATGTCTCTGGGTTTTCAGTTTCCCTTTTTTCTTTTTTTTTTTTTTTTGAGTCTGGCTCTTTCGCCCAGGCTGGAGTGTGCAGTGGCGTGTTCTCGGCTCACTGCAAGGTCTGCCTCCCGGGTTCATGCCATTCTCCTGCCTCAGCCTCTCAAGTAGCTGGGACCACAGATGCCTGCCACCACGCTCAGCTAATTTTTGTATTTTTAGTAGAGATGGGGTTTCACCGTGTTAGCCAGCATGGTCTCGAACTCCTGACCTAATGATCCGCCCACCTCGGCCTCCCAAAGTGCTGGGATTACAGGCGTGAGCCACCGCGCCCAGCCCTGTTTTCTCAAATATAAGCAAGAGTTTCCAATTAACTTCACAAAAATATTTTCAGAATCAATAATATGACATTGGCTGGGAATTGTAAATGTTCTGAAAGAAATCTACAGTCTCCAGGAACCACACTCATTCAGTCTGGGTTCCTCCTTGCCAGGCTAGACCACAAGGAATTGGGGCCACATGAAAATAGTAGAAGGTGGTTTGGCTGCAGATGCACAATCCAGCTTTATCTGGGCCAGAGAATAAAAGGAGCTGACAAAGCAGAGGGGAGTGTGGAGGCTCGTCGTTCCTCTCTGGAGTCAAAACTCCCCAAGCCACACCAAGTGCAGGTGCTAAAGGCTCTGGAAGGGTAGACAGACAGGTCTCTTTACTGTGGCATTTGTACGGATACAGAAAAAAAATGCCTTGAAAATAGGGATGGACCTGAGGAATGGTCCACCATCTGACTTAATAACTAGCTTAATGATGTGGCTGGACCTGCACGAATTGAGCTGGCACCATGGCTTGATCACCTACACAAGCAGCACTGAATTTGGAAGATGAGAGTGTTCTGGTGAGAGTGTATAGAAGGTGAAATTACAAGGATGACTAATAAGACAGGTGGATTTTATGGCTGCAAAGAGGCCCTTAGAAGTGAGCACTCAGGCAATGTGCTACTTCACTACTTAGCTACATAAGACTGAACAACCCAATCCAGCAGATGAAAACATTAAGCGCACCTCTGACGTGTCCCTAGCTGCTGTTATCTCACCTTATCCTCACACCTTGTGCTTGCCAGAGCCTCTTCCTCCTCCTCCTCCTGCATGCTCCATGGAACCACTACTTTCCCAGACGCCCCCAAGCCAAATTCCTCAGCATCATTCTTGACTCCTCCCTCTTTCTCTCATTTCCCACTTCTAATTAATTGCCAAGTCCTGCCAATTCTACTTCCTAAATATTTCTCAAGTCCTCTACTCCTTACATCTCCACTTTTACCAGCAGAGTGGGAGCCACCGTTATCTCTCGCCTCCTCCGCTGCTATAGACTTCTCATTGGTTTTTCTGTTTCCATTCTTGTTGTCCTTGAGACAAGGTGATCTTTTGGAAACACAAACCTGACAGAGCTACTTCTCCACGGAAAACCTTCTAATAACTTCCCATGTGTTTTTCTTAAAAATTAGAGAGTAATATCCATTTCCCATGTTTTTTCTTTAAAGAGGAATATCCATGCAGTGAAAATAACTCTTTTGAATGCATAATTACGTAAATTTTGACAAACACACAGTCAGGTAATCACAGCATTAAAAATATAGAACAGTTCTTTTTGGTGATTAAGAATAGAGCTTTTATAAGCATTCTCATAGAATGTTTTGTGGAATGTTAAGTTTACATTTTACTTAAGTAAATACCTAGGAGTGGCATTTCTAGGTGTACAGTAAAGACAGATTTAACTTGATAAGAAAATGCAGAAATGTTTTCCAACATAGCTGTACCATTTTGCATCCCTCTGCTGGTGGGATAAAGTTCAAACTCCTTCTCAGGTCTTCCAGGGCTCTCTACTCCAGCCCTCTGGCTCCCCACTCACAGCCCTCTCCCTTACTCCACCCTTTCCACGCTTTGTCACCGACCACACTCAACTTCTTTTGCTGCTGTGAACAAGCTCTTACTCATCTCCAGGACTCCCCACATGCTGTGTTTTCTGCCCAAAATATTTTGTATTCCCTTCTTTGCCTAAATAACTTCTTTATCTGGCCAATTTGTTGGCTTAAACATCTCCTTTGCTAGGAAGCTTTCCCTTAACCTAAATTAGGTTCCCCTGTGTGTTTCCTTCCTTCATTCATTCAGCAAATGTCTGATGAATAAACCCAGGATCTAGGCTCTGATCTGGCACTGGAGTTGGGGCAGTGAACAAAGTAGACAAAAGTACAGGCTCTCATGGGGCTTACAGTCCAGTGGAGCAGATGGACAATGAACAATAACAACAACAAAACAAACATGCACTAGAATGTCAGGTGGTGGCGAGTGCTATAAAATATAAAGCAGAGTCACAGGGAAGACTAGTGAAGGACTTGGGGCTGCTGTTTTAGACTAGGACTGTTGAGAGGACATCGTAAAGGAGCAGCCCTGAAAATATCTGGTGAAAGGTTATTTCAGCAGAGTAAACAGCAAAGACAAAAAAGAGATTGGCATGAAGAGGATGGTGTGCTCAGGAGGTAGCTCGGAGTCCAGTGTGGCGAGAACACCATAAGCCATGAGACAAGGGAAGAAGACAAGACGAGCAAGGGTCCAGGGTCTGATCGCAAGTCGCTTCAGTGGCACTCTACACCCCCAACACCGCTCTTTCACCCTGCATGCTTACTGCTTTCTACATTGTCTGTCTTCCCCTCTCCATGGTGTACTCTTTGAGACCCAGGGCTGTGTTTATTCTGCTCATTACTGATTTCAAGCATGTGACATGTTAGATTCTTAGTAAATATTTGAATGACTAAGTGACTGAATGGAGTAACTCAACAACACTGAGTTTATTGATTCAATGACAAATCTCTGAGAAGATGGCATGAGCCCATATCACCAATAGAGAAGAAGAGGCTCAGATTGCATAAATTACTTTCCCAAAGGGAGAGGTGAGTTGTGTGGCTGAAATTCAGCTTCTTTGTGATCAAAGCTCTCTCTCACAATACCAATATCGGCATTGCCTGTCCTAAACCAAGAGGTAAGGTACAGACTCTAGCATCCAAACATCTCTCAGCCCATTCTCATTCTCTATCCCTCTGCTGACTGAATTTGAAATACTATCTGTCATGGACTGAATGTTGTATCCCCATCAAATTCACACGCTGAAACTCTACCCCCAAATGTGATGGCATTAAGGAAGTTGGGACTACGGGACATAATTCGACTTAGATGAGGTCATGAGAGTAGGGCCCATATGAATTGGATCAGTGTCTTTATAAGAGTCCTAAGGGAGCTTGCCACGGGAGCACACAAGGAGAAGTCAGCAGCCTGCACCCCAGAAGAGGGCCCTCACCAGACCCCACCCCCCGGCTCCCTGATCTCAGACTTCCAGCCTCCAGAATGAATGGAAATAAATTTCTGTTATTTTACAAGCCACCCTGTCTATGGTACTTCATTGTGGCAGCCAGAATGGCCTAAGACACCATATCTGAGCCATCCATTAGGGAAGTAGTTGATGGGGGGCAGCAACCCAGGAGCCCACAGATGTTTTTATACTTGACACACAGAATGATTTTTAAAAACTGGGAAACATCATCTTAAGAAAATCAACATTTGTGGCCTATCTGAAATATCTGAATATGTGGCAATGCAGAGTTCACTGTGTCTCATGGAAAAACCCAATGAGTTGAATATTTACTGTCCCTTGATGGAGGGTAGATCTCTCTAATGGCCTTCGATGCTTTTTCCTGGTCCACTTCACTTGTTTAGGTCACTTGCTTGTAGGGTGATAAAGTGTGCTTTAATCCCCTACAGCAAATGGACTCAGTGTCTCTGATTTGGGGCTTTGGAGACCGGGGCCAATCTACTTGTGTATTTCCCTTTCCTGCACACTTAAGTACTTGAATTAAGAACAGAATGACTGTCTAGAGAAGCCTTGAAATCAGCAAATCAGGAAACAAAGGTGATGCCCCAAAGAGTTGTATGCAGCAGAGGAGATCGTAAGAGGAAAACAGGCAAGGCAGTGGTGAAGGCTGTGTTCCCTCCACCCAGCTCAGCATGTGGGCCTTAGGTTCTTACCTGGGCAAAAGGCCCACATGGCTTCAGTGCCAGCTGGCTGAGCCCCTGCTTCTCCCTTGATGACTTAACTCAGCACTCCAGCCATCCAACACCATTTAGGCTACTGTTCTATTCCAGTTGTTTATTACAGATATCTATGCATACCAGGCAGTACTGATTCAAGAGTAGTCTGGCTTGGGGGAACTCTGGAAGAGAACTGGAAGGAATTCTCCATGCCAGGTTATGTAATCCAGGGTCTACCACAAATCCTGGCACACAGTTGCTAAATACTTTCTGAAAATGAATGAACTTTGGGGAAGTTACTTGTCCTGCTTCATCTGTAAAGCAAGAGGTTTTCACTTAGTTAATTTTCAAGACCTCATAGAGCTCCAAAATTCTGTGGTTCTATGGGTTTCTAGGTAGTTACATGCAAAGTAGAGGTCAGCAATAAATATCAGGGACCCATTTGTTTCCTGGAGAGTGATCCAAACAACATAGTAAAACAGATGTTAATGGTGGTCAACAAAGAATCAGAAAGCTTTGAATTTTTCACTGCTGAATTGAGATAATGCCATTAGTCATAGCACTGATATGAGTGGATAGATCAAGAGTTTATATTTTGCCTATGAGTAGAGTTTGTTTGCCAAAAATGAATTCATCAAAAATTTGCCTCCACAACTCCAGAAACACGGCTGTAATGAGTGTAAGATACAGGTGGGGCCAGCCTGCGTGGAAGGGCCAGGCAACTGGGGCTGCCTGGCTGGTATAATTTAAAGAGCACCCAGAGGCCCCTGGCTCAATAATTTTCACCTGTTAACCTGTCCTGGTGCCTAAAACACCCACTTAGTCATACCTCTGAGCTAAGGCCCTGAAGCATGGTCTCCAGATGCTCCAATATGCTAAGAGGGATTTTAAATCAAAGAAGCTGCAATCACTACCATGCTCAGAGATTACTATTCTCAAAATATAATAATGATACTTGTAACCTGTTGTTGAGTAGAAACCCTATACCCAGCATGTCACATGTGGCGGAGTGCTTTTTGTTTCCTTTCACCTACACAAACACCTGTGTGGCAGGTACTATATTTATTCATGTATATAGAGGTTAAACAACCCTAAGTGGATTCAAACCCAGATCTCCTGGTTTTAGACCCTCTTATTTTTTTTTTTTTAAGGAGTAACTTACCTGCTGTGAAGTGCTTGGTCTTAAATATACAGCCAGATGAATGTTTACCTACACATACCACCTCATACAGCCACCACTCCAACCAAGATATGGAAAATTTCCATCATCCCAGGTGACTCCCTCCTGTCTCCTCCCAGTCAGTCCCCCAACACTCCTCTCCTACAAAAAGAACAGAGCCCTAATGCTTGACTTTTTGGCCATGCAAAGGGAAGAGGTAGCTCAGGCAAGTTCAGAATGAAAGAAAACAGTCCAAGGCAAAGAATATTGGGAATGTGCAGGGAGGGGAGGCACCACGAGGGAGATGCGTCTTGGAAGAGACAAGGGCTTGTTCTCAGATGCCACCCAGGTAGCTGGGACAACCCGCAGCATCTCCCGCAGCATCAGCATGAGGATCCAAGCGTGCAGAGATCCATGCAGAAATACAGGTCCTGCATTTCAAGCAGTGCTCGTCTCTCCCACTGCCGGGAATCCCAGTCTCTAACAAGAAACAGAATGCTGACAAATGAAAAGGAGATGTGTTTGCTGGCACAGAGTCCACAGAGTGGGAAGACAGGCCAAGCCTGGGATCCCACAGGAAGTTTCGAACCCACTTTTTAATTCTTAGTTTAGCTATCATCAACTCTTCCCAGATCCGATGTTGTGTTTTTACTTTGCTAAGTTTAAATCAAGCTGCTTCTATTGTCTTTCCTCCTGCCTGGCTGCTCAGGCTGTCAGTTTGAAATTTTATGACCTCCTCACGCTGCTGCACTGCACTGCATTAATTCTGTTTTCTTTAGGAGAGCTCTTTTGCAAGCTGTCAAGTGTTGACTAGCAGTTTGTATTTATTTTTATCAGTTCTTCTTTAAATATGTATCATTCTATCTCCAGATCTGAAGTCCTAAATGGTTGGCAGGCTTAGGAGACACACCTCAATGAAATCCGGTGACTTAAACTACCATTTGATCCAGCAATCCCGCTACTGGGTATCTACCCAGAGGAAAAGAAGCCATTATGAAAAAAAAATACTTGCACACGCATGTATAGCAGCACAATTCACAATTGCAAAATCGTGGAACCAACCCAAATCCCCATCAATCAATGAGTGGATAAAGAAACTGTGATATATATGTGATATATATGTCATATATATTATATATGTGATATATATGTGATATATATGTCATATATATTATATATGTGATATATATATATATCACATATATATGTGATGGCATACTACTCAGCCATAAAAAGGAATGAATTAACAGCATTTGCAATGAGCTGAATGGGATTGGGGACTATTATTCTGAGTGAAGCTACTCAGGAATGGAAAACCAAACATCGTATGTTCTCACTGATAGGTGGGAGCTAAGCTATGAGGATGCAAAAGCATAAGAATGATAGAATGGACTTTGGGGACTTGGGGGAAGAGGGGGAGGGGGTGAGGGATAAGAGACAACAAATATGGTGCAGTGTATTTGAGTGATGGGTGCACCAGGATCTCACAAGTCACCACTAAAGAACTTACTTATGTAACCAAATACCACCTGTACCCCAATAACTTATGGAAAAACAAAATAAAAAACAAACAAACAAAAAATGCCAGGACAACTGTAGACAAAGATCCAAAGCTACTATGTAGGTTTCTGCTGATGGGGAAAGAGGAGTGAGTGTGGGTAAAAGGGAGGGAAGGTGGAAAAAATGGGAAAAGAGAATGAGGAGTGAAAGGAGACAGGGAGAAGGTAAAGGAAGAAGAAGAGGAAGAAGAAGAAGAACAAGCAGAAGAACAAGCAGAAGAAGAAGAAGAAGAAGAAGAAGAAGAAGAAGAAGAAGAAGAAGAAGAAGAAGAAGAAGAAGAAGAAGAAGAAGGAGAAGGAGAGAAAAAGAGTATGAGAGGGAGATAGAGAAAAGATAAGGGAGCGGAGAGGGAGAGAGGAAGGAAAATGGAATAAGTAAAGATGAGGAGATGTATTAATAGTTCAGACTTTCAAAGAACAACAGAGGAGTCTACAACACAAGCAAAATGGACTTTTGAAGGCTTAATCATCTATGTTAATTCTTGATAATAACCAAATAGCAAAGCACTGCCAAATATCTGCATCAAGGGGTGCCTATAAAAAACCTAAACACCAAAGATCTCAAATATTAAATATTCTGCCCTGTAATGTTCATAAAAATATGCATACTTAGCAGATAATGGGATCTTGATTTGGCCTTGATTTGGGGTAAGTATATGTTTGGAACCAGAAATATGTTTGCTCATTGTCAGTCATGTCACATTTTACACATCTCAGAAATTATTACGCATGGGAGAAATAGGAACAAACAGAGATAGACTGGGGCCACTCTTTTCTTTACAACTCCAGTTAGGGAGGATTTTTTAGCTATAATTGACTATGCTAAAACTGGACACTGAATTTTCAGAACATTCTATTTAAGAAGTCAGGAGAACATATCGTGCATCTTGGAAAAGTTTTATTGGCATCATTACATCTTTTTTCACTGTTTATGGGGGTAAATCTTCAGTTTGAACTGAGCTACCTAGACTTGCACATCCCTCCCGCATTTCCTCCAGGAGCTCCAGAGAGCCCAAGTTTTCCTTCATGTGTTTGTCATCAGAGTTAGAGAAGGCCCCAGAGATCTGCTAAATGGTGGGTCTGTTTGGTTAGGTTTTGGGGGCAATAGAACATTTCAACTTTCGTTGTTTACTTATCTTTCAAAAACATTCCTTGCTAGTCAAAAGATTCATATAATTAAAAAAAAACACAACAAATGAAGAAACTCATTTTGAAGCACATAGAAGTCATGGTTCAAATGTGTAATAATGTTCTATTGGTATTTTTCCTAAGTTTATAAACATAAATGCACTAATACTTATCATGTAAAAGTTAGAATTCTGGATCTACTAACCTAAGTTCAAATCTTAAAAAACCTATTTAAAGAAGGCATTTTAGTGAACTGGAAACACTAGATTAGATAACTTTACTTTTTGTTCATCTTATCTATTAAATAAGTATTATTTTTGGGGAAGTCATATGTTTATTTGTTAATTCCAGACATATTCTAATGAGCACTTAGTATGTGCCATACTCTGTACTAAAATGAGGATATAGAGATGAAAGCCTCCTTCATGCCACCCTGTAATTCCTGACAGAATGTAACTAAATTGTAACAAATTATTTCAAAGCTTACTGCCAATTTTCTGACTCTGAACATTCAACTATGAACTCCATGAGGGAAGGGACAACACATGGCACATGGTATTTATTCAACAAATATTCATCAGATGAATTAATTTATCATAATAAATTAACATTTACATAACACTTTCATCCATTATCTTATTTAACCCTCACAATAACCCTGTGAGATAGGTCCTATTCTCACCATTTTATAGTTGAGGAAACTGAGAACAAGAAACATTAAGAAACTTGCTGAAGGTCACAAGCAGAACTGGGATCAAAACCCAGGCAATCTGGTGTCAGAACTATATTCTTATCCACTATACTATACTGCCTATGAATGTACCACTAAGTAAATGGATGAGTAAATAAATGAATTTAAATAATTTACAGCCTCTAAGCTTTAGGATCGTTAATTGCAATATAAGAATATTGGACTAGAATCAGTGCTCCTCAACTTTTCCACCAAATTTTAATCCACTGTCTTTTAATTTAATCACTTTACCAGATTATCATCAGGCGCTGTCTACTTACTAGTTCCTGACGAGCAGGAATGGTTCACGCTAGTGGCCCGTATGCCACTGATACGCCCTTACATTTCTGTTCCTGCTACTTGAGTCATATTATCCCCAAAACTGTTTGTGTCTTTTGTACTTACATAACATGACTTAATTAAATATTATTTAAATGTAAAGAATATGAGTACAAAAAGAAGTAGAGCTGGTATTTCTATGAAAGCTGAACTAACAAGGTGGTTGATATGCAAGGATAGATTCTTGTCTGTATGTTTAACATATTTTGAAATGAATAGTGAATGTGGAAACACTAAATTAAATGGCTTGGAAATTTATGATTAATGCAAGTCATTAAAAAATTGCTTCCAGTAATGTGTTTATGAGATGACTTTTAAAGAATTGTAGAACATTTTGAGGGACTTTTCAGACCATTTGCTTTTCTAGTGGCTTGAATTTCTCACATGGACAATGCACTTAGAACTATTATGAGCAAGAAAGACAATGGGAAATGACAATCGATGAACCCATTCTCATAGAAATCCCCTTAGACATCAAAAGACAAGGGGGTGAAAATACATTTATGTTTTTTAAGATAAAACATTTCAGGCAAGTACATGTCATTTTCTATGATTCCCTTATTTAGTCAATATTTTAGTGGCTATTTTGAAGCTTTATGTTTTACCCTAAAGATTTTAACTTTGCACCCTACTCTGTGGTAGCCATTAATACTGTTCACCAAATCTTTCTCATTACCATTTGTGTACATATTGTTTAAAATCGGTGAATTTCTAGGCTAGGTTCTGGTAACTGAAGGGCTTTTATAAGTACTGTATATTGTCTATACCAAAGGAATGCTGCAAACACAGTCTGGAGCAAAATGGGAACCAACATGTAAGAGATAATATTGAGTATCAACTTGATTGGATTGAAGGATGCAAAGTATTTTTCCTGAGTGTGTCTGTGAGGGTGTTGCTAGAGGAAATTAACATTTGGGTCAGTGGATTGGGAGAGGCAGACCCATCCTCAATCTGGGTGGGCACCATCTAATCAGCTGCCAGCGAGGCTATTAGTAAAGCAGGCGGAAGAGTGTAGAAGGACTTGAGTTGCTGAGTCTTCCAGCCTTCATCTTTCTCCCGTGCTGGATGCTTCCTACACTCGAACATCAGACTCCAAGTTCTTCAGCTTTTGGACTCTTGGACTTACACAAGTGGTTTGCCACGGGGTCTTGGGCCTTTGGCCACAGACTGAAGGCTGCACTCTCGGCTTCCCCACTTTTGAGGTTTTGGGATTCGGACTGGCTTCTTGCTCCTCAACTTGCAGACGGCCTACCGTGGGATTCACCTTGTGATTGTGTGAGCCAACACTCCTTAATAAACTCCCCTTCATATATACATCTATCCTATTAGTTCTGTCCCTTTAGAGAACCCTGACTAATACACAACATCTTTCTAAAGTCAGGCTTAGAAATTCTAATCCAGTAACTTAAGATGTTTCCTTTCTCTGATAACAGAGTTGATTCATATCTGGCTTCTAAGCCACCATTCATAGGTATAGTCAAGAAAAGACCACCAAAAACAAGACCAACCAATCCACCTCATTTTATGGTATGGGTTTCAAATTCCAATGACCTCAATTCAAAGGTAAATTTACAAAACTTCTGTAAAATACATGTACTATCAGAAATGGGTTCTCTGCCATTGGTGAGCCGACAGCTATATGAGCCTGTGTCATGTTCAAGATGCATAGAAAAAGACTGTTTGCTATTAGGCCACGGAGAACAGCATTAAGTTCAACATATATTGATCCATGTTCAAGTAGTTTCCTTTCTGCTTCTGGAAGCTGGTTAATTTTTCTAGTTATGATGCCTAAAATTACGTTTTCCTTGAAAGTGCTATCTGGCTCCTGATTTTCCATCTTGAGCCTTATATTCTCCTTCCTCCAGGTTCCAGTGCCTGTCCAGGTCTTCCTCAGACATGCCAGGGCTCACTACAACTTTTGTTCAACTCACCTGAGTGCAGCCATCTTTGGCTGACAGGTGACTCTACTGTTTACCAAATATTTCTAGTTCTTCTGGACACATGGTAGGATTGCCCTTCCCTGCCCCGCTTTGAAAATAGCTGGGTCAAACGTGACATGATTTGACCAATGAAGTGTGTGTGTGGAAGTGACATATTCTACTCCCAGGTGGGAGTATTAAGATCTAGCTCATTATTTCCTCTGGATTTACTGTTGTCTTTTTTTTTTTAGTGGGGGACAGAGTATCACTCTGTCCCCCAGGCCAGAGTGCAGTGGCGCAATCTCGGTTCACTGCAAACTCCACTTCCCGAGTTCACGCTATTCTCCTGCCTCAGTCTCCCATGTAGCTGGGACTACAGGTGGCCGCCACCACGCCTGGCTAATTTTTTGTACTTTTTTTTAGTAGAGATGGGGTTTCACCCTGTTAGCCAGGATGGTCTCGATCTCCTGACCTCATGATCTGCCCACCTCGGCCTCCCAAAGTGCTGGGATTACAGGTGTGAGCCACCGCGCCCGGCCTACTGTAGTCTTTTCTTCCACTAAGGCAATACGTAGAGGTCTAGATAAAGGCTTCTCTGTTCATCTGAATCATGGAATGAAGAATGCTAGGAACTCAGCCCCCAGCTGACCCTGACGGATGTGTAGCATAAACAAGAAATAAGCTTTGCTGTTTTAAATCACTGAGATTGAAATTTTTGTTAGTGTTGTCAGAGTATACATAATCCATGATATATGTGTACTTGTTTACATATATAAACGTATCCTCCCCCTTCCCATCAAATTTTAAGATAATTTAGCAATCCAGAAAGACACACCACATTTATCTGGTGACTGTGTACACTGCCCATAGTTTTTTCCCAATTTGAGAAGCATAGAACTAGTTGTTCTTCAGGATCCCTTCAAAAGCTAGCGTTATGTCATGCTATGTATGAGGAGAGAACAGGCACCATGTCACTTAACTAAACCAAATACAATTAAATTAATTTGATTGGAGAGCTGTTCTATCTGATTGTGGGGCAATTGATTCGATTGCTATAGAGTCCATTGGATTTGGTTGTTAGCGTCTCAGTTGTCTTAATGAGGGGATCGGATTGCACAGTGATCCCACTGATTGTTTTGGCAGTTGGCCTACCAACTGTTGGCCAGTCAGCCAGAGCCACAGTTTGACCCCAGGACAGGATGTAAAATTAATTTGCTTGAATGCAACGTTCAAGCATTTTTCTTGGTAAGCTGGTATGTGTCAAGTACTATCATATAATAAATTATACTTATCAACTGCAAATATTTAAAATTTACATTCTTCCTTGTATACATGCCACCAAGAACTCTAAATATTTTACAATGCTATGCACTGTGGGCCAAGCTTAAGTTTTAAACTCTGTGCAGACCTCCGCTTCTCTGAAGAGCTTCATTCCAACATTCCTTAGGGTCAAAAACTGACCATTGCTTGCCATTAATAACAACTGATTCTGATTCCATCATTTAAAATGAAACTATTTATGCAATGGTGGAAGAATGAACTCTACACTCCAGGAGACCAATGATTTGTCTATTCTATTCACTATTGTGTGCACTCAAACAATGCCTGGGCTTGTTGTAGATGCTGGCTACCTATAGTATCTGAAGATATTGGATGAATAAGTGAATAAACAATTAACTAATAATTCAGAAGCACCAAAATTTCTTAATTTCAGCTATTTTCTAGAAGTGAGGAAAGTGCTTTTCTGAATATGTGAAGCAGTATAACAATGATTAAATGTTTTGACTTGGGAGTTAGTTGAGTCTGAATTTGATTTCTGATTGTGATGTTGTTGCAGATTGCACTTCACAAAGATGCTTACAATGACATTTCCCATTCCACACACTCTTTCACAATATGGACTTGATACTCACCCATCCTGAGATAGTCAGTTTCTCTACTCTTGGTAACCTGAATCTGGGTCAATCTTTTGATTAAGTTTGAGCAACTTAATTCAGCAGAAGTGATGATGCACCAGTTACAGACATAGCTCTTAACTGATCTGGCAACTTTTGCTTCCTGCCTCTTGGAAGCCAGCCGCCAGATAAAAATTAGAATCCTCTGATATTTCAAGATTCTGGTTGGATTGCTGGATGGATAATGAAAACAGAGAAAAGTAACGTTTTAAGGGAAAATAGGATGGATTCATACCAAACATGTTGAATCTGCTTTGTTTTGGGGACACACAATTTTAGTAGGGAGTTGGCTACATAGGTTTACAATTTAGGAGAGTCATATGTACTGCAGATGCAGACTTGGGAGTTGACAGCTAATAGATCATAATTGGACACATGTGAGATGACCTAGAAAAAGCACATAGGATGAGAAAGAAAGTGGGCCTGGGGCATAAGTACAAGGAACATCATCATTTTAGGAAAAGGCAGAGGAAGAAAAACCACAAAAGGGTAGGTAGAAACCCAGGAGAATTCTATATCACAGAAGCCAAGAGAAGAAGGGACTTCAAAGAAGATGTCAAATGCTGCTGAGATGACAAGGGAGTTGAGAACAGATCTACTTGGAAAAATCAAAAAGCTCTAGTCTCCGTTTTCAGACTCCCTTGCAGCTAGGGTTTGGATTTGAATGAAGTTTCCCCGGTTAAATGAACTTACTTGATATCTGGAAAGTGAAACAGAGCAATCTTCCTGGAACTTTGGCTTTTTCCACACCCACTGATGATACATTTATAGAAGTGGTAACTCAGTTCTATTTCTAGAGAACATACTAGCCATTAAGGTCCTGATTATCAAGGACATTAAAAGCAAAATCAAAAAATCTAAAATAACTTTTAAGAAGACAGCATGGAACTTAATGTGCCAAAAAGTGCTGTCAAGTTGAAGTTTTTAGATCTGGACATAAAATGTGAAGATCAGACCCAGAGTATCATCTTCATTAAATTTGAATAACAAGACCCATTTAAGTCATAAAAACATCAGTTTGCATTAACCTATACACTGCATAAAGAGCTGAAATATGGAGAAGCAAAGTGGATAAGATGTGCTTGAAGGACGGGGCATGCAGAAACCCTGCTCCAAGTGATGTACGGCTTTGGGGTCTCTAGATGCTAAAGCAGCAGACAGACTCAGGTTGGCTTCTGCTGTGCATCCAAGAAGTCAAATAGATAACTGAGAAGGAACCAGGTTCAGCAGATAGTGGTGGCTGTCAGGAGCTAAAGGGCTATGCTTACTTGTATGGTATGTAAATTACTTTGGACTAATATCAACCTTTTCAACTGCTATAATTGGTGACAATTTCATAAAGAAATCTGGAATTTACAAAGTCTTTCCCATTTTATATCTCTGTTATATGACTTTCTTCTGAGAGGGTTAGGAAAAACAATTGAAGAACCTTCACTTTATGGGCTAAATTATGGCAAGGCAGGGTTAGAAAATTTTCTCTAAGGTCATAGCAGAAGCTACTTAAGATTTACCCAAGTTGCTAAATAATGCTGAGGATACCTCCTTAAAACATAGTTGCTTGCAGATTTAAAAGACCTTTATCTCATGTCATTCTTGCCACAACCCTATAATGATAACAAGGCAAGAGTTCACTCCTAATTTCATCTTACAAGTGGAGCAACTGAGAGTCTGGGGAGTTTGATTTAACCAGGTCAGATTTCTGGAAGCAGCAGAGCAAACATGTAACTCTGGTCTTCTCTCTGCTAGTCTTCTGGTGAATTCAGTAAGTTGAGGTACAGCTCGACCTTTAAAAGCTGGGGCTTTCATAGTTACTGAGCAACTCCTAATTCATGGAGAAAAACCAAGAAACACATCTGGGATAGCCTGGGACTTCAGGGTCAAGAGACAGCTAATTTGGTATGCTAGAAAAAATGGTAGTATGCAAATATAGTGCTGTAGTCAGTGGTTCAGCATTGATTATTACCAAACGCTAATTCCAACTATTAAATTTCTTTGTACCTTAAGTTTTTCCAGTCTAGTGTGAAGGTGGCCTGGGGGCTTAAATCACAAGTGTCCATAAGAAAATGGCCAATACTATCATGTGTCCTACTCTGTGGGTCCACTTTCACCTCCTCCCTTGGAACTGAAACACAATGCTGCACAGCTACAAAGTATGTGCAATCATTTTTCATTACTTTTCCTTTTGCCTCTATCAGAGACCAGAGTTTTGGCTTCTTTATTGTGTCATTAATTTCAGTTATGTTCTGAACATGGAGTGAAGAGGTCTTCAAGGCTCTGGATGACTGACAGTATTTAGACAAGCGTAATTAAATTTCTCCTGTTTGGAGAATCTTGGAAAGATAAATAAATCACTGAAACTTTCATTACGAAAACCACCATTTGGCAGTGGAGACATTTCTCCTGGGAAAGCAATGAAGATTTATGTCAGGAGGAAGGGAACAGCGAGTTGATCAGACCCTTCCAGGAAGACCATTCCTATCTGAAATGAACTGAACGAAGGACCCAATTCAGCTGTCTCTGCATTCCACTGCTCTTCCTGTCCCTGACCCTCTTTTCCAGGTTTTTTTCTGGATAAAGATGTGAATTCAAGATGTTTCCTTCACTTATGTTTTTCAGATAGGGTTGTGGTAAGGAGGCAGTGCCGAAAGGCGATAATATTCTGGCCAACACTCCAAATCAGCTGTTTGATACACAGGCCCTCCGGCTACCCCCTGTACTCACTCTTCCAGGGCCAGGCTCCTCCCACGGCGCCTTTTTACCCCAGGTGCAGCCCTAATGCTAGTGAAAATCCCAGGGGTTTTCTGGCTCTTTGGAATTCTCACCTGGGGCAGTCACCATCCTCCTATGGTCCTTGCTCCTGTTTCCTCCCTGCAGCCCAAGAACATCTGGGAATGTTTATGATGATCTCACAATCATTAGGAAAAGCAAATAAATTTGTATGCAAACAAATTATTAAATGGCATTAAGGAGTTACTGTTAATTTTGTTAGGTTTGTTAATGCCATGGTGGTTAAGTAAATTATAAAAAATTTCAAAGAAGTGGGCAATGCATTCTGAAGCATTTAGGTGAAATGTCATAATGTCTGAATGTGCTTTAAAAATACTTTAGAGGCCAGGCATAGTGGCTCATGCCTGTAATCCCAGCACTTTGGGAGGCTAAGGTGGGAGGATCACTTGAGGCCAGCAGTTAGAGACCGGCCTGGCCAATATGGTGAAAATCCATCTCTACTAAAAATACAAAAATTAGCCAGGCATGACGGTGGGCACCTGTAATCCCAGCTACTTGGGAGATTGAGGCAGGAGAATCACTTGAGCCTGGGAAGCAGAGGCTGCAGTGAACCGAGATCAGGCCATTGCACTCCAGCCTGGGTGACAGAGCCAGACTCTGTCTCAAAAACAAAACAAAACAAAACAAAACAAATTTTAGAAAAAAAGGGCGGGAGGGGAAGGGATATATTAGTCAGGGTCCTGTCAGGAGACAGAGACCACATCATTTATTTTAATAGAGAATTTAATAGAAAGGGATTATTAACAAGATTACTAAAAGGCAAAATAAAAGAAAACTAAGATATCATGGAAGTAGCAGCTGTAGGAAACCCTAGGGTTCGGGACAAAGAGAAGAGGTTGTATTTATCAAAATGTAGCAGCTTGAAGGAGAGGCCCCCACCCAGCTAAAACACAGACCCGTGAGAAGAGCCCTAGTGTCTCTGAGCTCACAGATGGGGCACCAAAGGGTGGGACTCCCAGAGTGCCCCAGCTCCCTGTGGCTGGTATCTTTGAGGAGGGTAATGAAGTTGGTTATGTGAGTATCATAAAAGCTGCCAACTGGGCCGGGTGCGGTGGCTCACGCCTGTAATCTCGGCACTTTGGCAGGCCAATCAAATCACTTTTGGGAGGTGGATGGATCAATTGAGCTCAGGAGTTCAAGACCAGCCTGGCCAACATGGTGAAATCCTCTGTCTACCAAAAATACAAAAATTAGCCGGGCGTGGTGGCGCCTGCCTGTGATCTCAGCTACTCCGAATCGCGTGAACCCGGGAGGTGGAGGTTACAGTGAGCCGAGATCATGCCACTGCACTCCAGCCTGGGCGACAGCGCGAGACTCCATCTCAAAAAAAAAAGAAACTGCAAACTGGAAATTACCTGGTAAAGAAGCATCGCTGGGTGGTGTTGACAGGAAGCCAGTAGGAAGAAGCAAGTCCCCTTTGCTTTCCGAGCCTAGAGCCTCCGTCTTGCAGAGTCCAACAGGGAGCCAGTGGGCAAGGCAAAAGTGAGCGTTGGAGAGCCCCAGCCCCAGCATGGCAGGGAGAGCAGAGAAGGGTGGGTTTGCAGCTGAGATCATAACTCACCAACCTGCATGCAGGGGATAGTCCTGAGGTTGAGGAATAGAGGTGAATTGTTGAAACTGGGTAATGGGTACATGAGGATTCATTATGTACTATTCTCTTTCAGTACGTTTGAAAATTTTTCATGATATGAAGTTAAAAAGGGAGTCGATAGGCTCACTTTAAAAAGAACATCTTTTAAACTGTCAGTGTTATTATTATCATATTTTTTGGAGACAGACCCTCTGTCACCCAGGCAGGATTGCAGTGGCACCATTATAACTCACTGCAGCCTCAACCTCCTGGGCTCAAGCAATCCTCCGACCTCAGCCTCCCAAGCAGCTGGGACCACAGACATGCGCCACTACACCTGCCTAATTAAAAAAAATTTTTTTTTGTGCAGACAGCATCTTCAACTCCTGATCTCAAGAGATCCTTCTGCCAAGGCCTTCCGAAGCACTGGGATTACAGGTGTGAGCTACAGTGGCCAGCCTATTATTAGTATTAATCCATTAAAAATATCAAAATACTGTTAATGGAAATTTAAAACATTTTTTTCAAGATATATCTATAATCCTGCCATTCAAAACAAAATCAAATTTTCTTTCTTTTTTGTTTAGACAACATTTTACAGATTTGCTTTATCAAGAATCTCAAATGCCAAGTGTAGCCAGCCCATTTCAGTGGCCTGAGTTCAGTTTTACTCTTCCCACCCTTTCTTTGTAGACAGTTTCTACTTAGAGACAGAATGAGTTCTCAGTCTTCAACTACATGTAAGGATATGATGTAGCTCATATATACGTTGCTTTTATGTACATGAATTCCTTATATATTTCTTACATATATATTCCTAATATAGACATGCCTTTAATATATTTCTTTAATCTTTCTCCATGTATCTTTTTTTCATTCTTTTCATCATGCTTACTCTCTTTTTGAACTCCCTCCAGTAAGTCCATTAACACAACATAATCTACAGAGTTCAACTGAAACATAAAGCAATACTATTGCTGGAAATGACTAGTTAGCTGAAACGGTGCTCTCTGTCCCGGAGGCCAAGGTGGGGCATTGAGTTCTTCTTTTCCAGCTATAGGCTGCCTCTCAGCCCCAGCATGGAAATTTTATATAACATGTTGAATGGCAACTGGAAGGACATGAGTGATTCCATGCAAACTGCAGCCCCACTGCAAAGACAAAGCAAAAATCCCAGAGGCAGTAGCTTGGTAAAGTCTTTATTACGAAAGTACAGCCTTAAAATAAAGACATATTTATTGGTATGTGGTCTGGTTTAACATTTTCCTCATTTGTGGATATATAAACTGTTCTTCCATTCAACATATCTGGGAAAATGAATGGTTACTTTCAAAGGTAGCTGCGGTTTGAGCAATGACCCTAAAACATGTTAGAATTCATCTTAAGTAGAAACTTCTCTTTGTTTGAGAAAATACTTTATTAGATTTTTTAAGTTAATCAAGCATAAAATCCAGGCAATTTCATATGGAAAAAGCAAAAGATAAATGGATCTTTATGAGAGACTGGTGGCAAATGCGGATGTGTGAAGGGGGCTGGCCGAGGAGCCAGAGGGCTTGGCAGGGTCAGGATGATGAGGAGAAGGGACAGGGGAGTGGCAGTGGCAGGGAGAGGGGTAGGCGAGGCAGGTGGAGAATGGCTTCCAGAAAGACAGAGAAGAAAAGTGGCAATATGTGGCATCCCAATCCCTGATTAGGGGGTAGTCAGTAAGAAATGTTTTGTGTTGGGGAAAAGGGGATCAATGTCTAGGTCACTCCTCTCTGTTAGTCAGTTTGGATTTCTTTTCTGCTCCTCATTGTAATTGCCTACCCTTCCCATCCCATCCCGCGGAAGATTATTCCAGTCTAAAGAGCACCTTAGGCCAAATTAGAAAAAAGATACTACTTCCTCTAAACAAAAGTAGCCCTGTGCCATGGCTCCTGGCTTGGCCCCAACCCCTATTGGGGCCCTAGGCTAGATGCCATTGAGCGGTGAATGATCTCTACAACTACAGGAAGTGGCCTTATGCTAGCTACCTTCCAGGGTCCCAAATCTCCACTACAGTATGTTACGCACAATGGCCTTTTGTCAGCAGAGCTTTGATGGAAGGAAAGGAAAGGAAGAATATTCATGCCTGGAGTGAATCAGTGAAGACACCAGCATCAAGAGGGAAGAAAGAGGGAAAAACTGACCTCAAACCAGGAATTCAGACCAAGAAGTTATAAGGAAACATAACTTATTTTTCTTGCCACAAACCCAGTCACCCATCTATCCTGGGGAACCCTTGGAAACATTAGGAATTTGTGCCCCTCCATCATATACGAATATGTGGATTTTAAAGGAATGTGTAGCCCAGAGGACTGGAGTGTTTGGATATATTTGGGATACACACATTTTACTGAATGCTGACTTTCTGCCAGGCACTGTGTTAGCAGGATTGCCAGATAAGATGTAATGTACCCAGTTAAATTTGAATTTTAGATAAATAACAAATATTCACCTTTACTGTAAGTATGCCCCCAAATATTGCATGAGAAATACTTATTCTAGAAAATTATTTGTTGTTTATCTGAAATTCAAATTTAACTGGGTGTCATGTATTTTTCTTTGCTAAGTCAGGCAAATCAACATGTTCGATGTTGAGTATAAAAAGGTCAAAGAGACAGTAAAACAATAAGGAACTCATAGTTCAGGGAGGGTCTCAGACAACCAGCCAAGAGCAATGCAATGTGATGAATGCCTGGTGGGATTGGCACGAGATGCTCTGGTTGCACAGAAGAAGGGCACCTACCTTGATCTTGGGAAGAAGAGACCTAATTGAGTCCTAAAGGTTTAATAGGGTTATCCAGGTAAATTATGGATAGATAGGTTGGGTAAGATATTGATTCCGGCAGAAGGAACAGATGGAGGAAGGCTCTAGAGTTAAGAGAATACCTAAATACAAATCAGTGTGCTGTGTACAAGTAAAAGAGTAAACAGTGTGTAAGTCAGAGGCACAGTGTGGCTGGGACATATAATGCTGGCTGAATAGGGTCTTAACATGCCATGCTGGGAACTTTAGAATCTCCTGAAGACAACAGGTCCCCATCAAAGAGGAGTGCTTTGAATAGCTTAATGATTTGGAAAAAGTGTCATTGCTGGAATGTGAAGAATGGATTAAAGAGGAGCAAGACCGAAGACAAGCAGAAAAGTCAAGATTCTGGAACAATAATCCCATCAAAAGTGGATGCTAACCTAAAATAAGATAACGACCAAGGATGTAAAGAATTCAAGGAGTCTGGCTGGGCACAGTGGCTCATGCCTGTGATAGCAGTACTTTGGGAGGCCGAGGCAGGTGGATCACCTGAGGTCAGAAGTTCGAGACCAGCCTAGCCAACATGGTGAAGCCCCCTCTGTACTAAAAATACAAAAAATTAGCTGGATGTGGTGGCGCATGCCTGTAATCCCAGCTACTTGTGAAGCTGAGGCAGGAGAATCACTTGAACCTGGGAGGCAGATGTTGCAATGAGCTGAGATCGCGCCATTGCACTCCAGCCTGGGCAACAAGAGCGAGACTCCGTCTAAAAAAAAAAAAAAAAAAGAATCAAGGAGTCTGAGAGATAATGAGAAGATGGAATAACCAGGACTTGAACATGGGTTGGAAGTGGAGCAGTGAGGAAAAAAAGAAAAGAAAAGTACAAAACGACTCTGACATTCCTTGTTTGTGCAATCAGCTAAGTGGGTGATGTTCTCATTCACTAAGAGAGAAAATACGTGAAAAAAACTGGAGGCAGGAGATGTTGAGTTTGTGTTGAGATGCTTGAGGGTGAAAATTCTGAGGGCCACCAGAGTGGGAGTGTACACTAATCAGTTGGGTACATGGTCCTAGAGCTCACGCTTTGAAGGATCTGGGATGAAGATGTGGATTGAAGGTTATCTTTTATTTTTTATAATTGTATTTGTTTTCAATTCCACAAAGATACATAAATATATTTGAGTCATAACAAATTTAAGCAGTAAACATAAATTAATGTATCTCTTGCTTACCCTCCACCCTCCTACTTCCTCACTACAGGTAACTGCTACTGTTTTCACCTGTACTCTTCCGGAACTTTTCCCATGCTTTTACATATGTAGAAGTACCTACAGAAGCATGTTTTGTTTGTGAGTTATTTGTTTGTTTACCTGAAAGGCCTTGAGCTGCCTTAAGTCAGGTTGCCCAGTAAATAGCTTCTGAGATTGAAATTTGTGTGCAGAAGGTTTTTTTTTCTTTTTGAGACGGAGTTTCACTCTTTCGCCCAGGCTGGAGTGAAGTGGTGCGATCTCGGCTCAATTCAACCTCCACCTCCCGGGGTTCAAGGGATTCTCCTGCCTCAGCCTCCAGAGTAGCTGGGATTATAGGCACCTGCCACCACGCCCAGCTAATTTTTGTATTTTTAGGGTCTTGTAATGTTGGCCAGGCTGGTCTCAAACTCCTGACCTCAGGTGATCCAACCGCCTCAGCCTCCCAAAGTGCTAGGATTACAGGTGTGAGCCACCATGCCTGGCCTGTATGCAGAAGGTTTTGTAACAAAATTTATTTTATTTAAGTTCTGGGATACATGTGCAGGATGTGCAGGTTTGTTACATACGTAAATGTATGCCATGGTGGTTTGCTGCACATATCAACCCAATAACCCCCAAATGCCCCGCCCATCAATGATAGACTGGACAAAGAAAATGTGGTACATATACACCATGGAATACTATGCACCCATAAAAAGGAATGACATCATGTCCTTTGCAGGGACAGGGATGGAGCTGGAAGCCATTATCCTCGGCAAACTAACATAGGAACAGAAAACCAAATACTGCATGTTCTCAATTATAAGTGGGAGCTGAACAATGAAACGTATGCAGAAGATTGAATGGGGGGAAATGAACTGATGGAACAGCACCTGTAGGGGAGTGAGGGAAGCAGCTGGGCTGAAGAGCACGTTGAACTGTGACAAAAATACAGAGGATGTTCCAGCTAATCTCATGGGCACTAAAACTAGGATAGGCTTTCAGAGTTGACCCAAATTGAAGCAAGGGGGCTGGAATATTATATCCTCACATTCACCAATCATTGAATGTGAGCTAGCCCTGAGGAGGATGCACAATTTAGAAAATATGACTCCCTTCAGCTGAGGACAATTCCTAGGGAGGGACTCTGTAGTGATCCTTCAGCAGCCAATGCTCCTAGCAGCAGGAGAAATGTGCATTGATCCTGAAGAGAAGACCTAGGAGGCACATCACAGCATCCACTATGCAGGCTATACAAACAGTTCTGAAACTTGCTTTTAAGCCTAAGTCTATGTCCTGGAGATCTACCTCTTTTAGTAGTTAGATTGGCTTTACTCTTTTAAATTGTTCCATAGTATTTCAGAGAATAATGACCCACAGTCTCTTTAATCACTCTTTTCTTGATGTATTTTCAGTTGTTTCTAACTTTTTACTCCTAGAAACAATACTGCAGGACAAATGGATTTCCAGCTTCTGGTGGCGACAGAATAAGTCCCTCCCAGAGGATGCCTGTCCTCCTCTTCTCCTAGAAACAATGACAAACCCTGGATGTATTCATAATAATATGAAAACAACCACCTGACATGACTGGAGTGTGAACAGAAGCAGATTGACTCTTGCAGGGAGTCAATGCTTGAAGAAGAGGAGCACCGTGAGGAGTTCTGCATTTTGCCAACTCTTAGTCAGACTAATGAGGTCTATTAGGCATTTGGCAGCCCAGTAGCAAGAGCACTGATGGAAAACCTTCAGCCTTTCTGGTCAGCAGAATCAGAAAAGTAAAACTGAAAAACTGCTACCGAAGCAAGTAGAAGAATCCTGGAAGGAAAGAGAAAGGAGATAGAAAAAACGATCCCTAAATTCTGTCTGCCCATATCTTAGGCTGATCTCTGAACTATGCATGCCTGGGACAGAATAAAGAAGCTCAGCTAAGCAAATGATTCGAATCAAGACCAGAGCTGCTGCTCACAGAAACAGAGTTTGCACTTCAAGCCCAGCCAAGAAAATTGCCTGAGAAAGCAAAGGGATCAACACGTGTTAGAGAAAAATAGCAGAAATCAGACTCTTCACAATCTCACATTCATAATATACAGGATACAATCCAAAATAATTTGACATATGAAGTATCAAGAAATGGAGCCAACTCTCAAGGGAAAAGAAAGCCAACCACATCTGACCCTGAGATGAACCAGATGTTGAAACCAACAGAGAATAATGTTAAAGCCGTTCTTTTAACCATCCTTGATACAGTAAAGCAAAATACGCTCTTGATGAATAAAATATAGGAAAATTCATCAAAGACATTTAAACAAAAAAGGACCAAAAGGAAATTCTAGAACTAAAAAAATATAATATCTGAAGTTTTAGAATTATTGGATATACTTAGTAACCAAACGGAGATGTCCAAAAAACAAAACAAAACAAAGAGTAAATGAACTTGGAAATAAATCAATAAAATTATCTAAGGAGATGAAGAGGAAAGAAAAAAGATTTTTAAAAATGAACAAGGGACCTCTTAAATAACACAAATGGTTCAACAGACAGGCAGCCACAGGAGAAAGAGGTAGAAAAAAATTTAAAGTAATAATGGAGGAAAGTTTTCCGAATTTGTTGAAAGACAGAAATTTACAGGTTCAAGATTCTTTGTCAACACCAATTAGAAGAAACATGAAGATGCTCACATTGAAACACATCGTAGTTAAGCTATTGAGCCAGAGATAAACAAGAAACCTTGAAAGCAGTAAAAGAAAAATGAATCATTACATATAGAAGAACAGAATTTGATTAAGAACTGAATTCTCATCAGAAACAATGGAAGTCAGAAGACAGTAGAATGACATCTATAAAGTGCTGAAGGAAAAAATGCCTCTCACCCCAGACTGCCTAATCCAACAAAAAATATCCTTCAAAGATGAAGGCAAAATAAAAAACAATTTCAGACAAAAGAGAACTAAGAGAAGTTGTTGCCAGCAGATCTGCACTATAAGAAATTCCAGTGGAAGTTCCTCAGGCTGAAAGAAAAAGAATCCAGATAGAAATGTGGACCCTCAGAGAAGAATAAAGAGCATCGGAAATGGGAAAAAAAGTAGCTGGGGGAATGCAAAAGATTATTTTTTCTTGTTTCTCTTAATTTTAAAAATAAATCTGTTTAAAGCAAAAATCATGACAGGAATCTATAATATAGGTATATATAATTCATAAAACAACTATAACACAAAGAGGGGTAAGGGGTGGAGACGACCCTGTGTATTTGCAAATTTTTCATGTTTTAAGCAGTGTTATTCTGTTACCATGTTAAATGTGAAAAGTTAAGGATATATTTTGTAATCACTATTCAGCTACTAAAAGAAAATGTGGATGCCAGGTACGATGGCACACGCCTATAATCCTAGCACTTGGGAGGCCAAGGCAGTTGGATTACTTGAGCCCAGGAGTTCAAGACCAGCATGGGCAACATAGCAAAACCCTATCTCTACAAAAAGTACAAAAATTAGCTGAGCATTGTGGCACATGCACCTGTAGTCTCAGCTACTCGGGAGGCTGAGGTGGGAGGATCGCCTGAGCCCACGAGGTCAAGGTTGCATTGAGCCAAGATTGTGTCACTGCACTCCAGCCTGGGCAACAGAATAAGACCCTGTCTCAAAAAAAAAAAAAAAAAGCAAAGATGCATAGCTGTAAAGCCAATAAGAAAATGTAAATGAAATTTAGAATATTCAAATAATTTGTAAAGGCAAGAAATGAAGAACATAGGCTAAAACACCACCATAAATAAATGCAATTATTATTTGTCAACTTATATACATAGTACAAATATATACTCTCCACATACACACACACAACTAAAAAAAATTGCAAAAAAACTCAGAGGAGACAAGTAAAACACAAATAATAAAATGGTAGACTTACCCAAACATATCAATAATTACATTAGATATTAATGGATTAAACAATTCAGTCAGAAGGCAGCAATAGTCAGAATGCAGTTTATAAACTAACAAGAGACACACTGTAATTCTTAAGACACAGATATGCTCTAGGTAAATGAATGAAAAATATATATACTATTCAAATGAAAAGCATGAAAAGGTTCATGTGGCTATACTATCCTCAGGCAAAATAGATTTCAAAATCTCAAAATTGTGTCTCCTAAAAAGATATCCTAACCCCTGGTAACCATGAATGTGACCTTATTTAGAAATCAGATCTTTACTGAGGTAATCAAATTTTGCTGAGGTCATGGTGGATTGGGGTGGGCCCTAATCCAATGATTGGTGTCTTTATAAGAAGGGAAAAATATGGCCACACAGACACAGAGGTACACAGGGTGAGGAAGGTTATGTAATGATGGAGGCAGAGATTAGATTGATATATCTACAAGCCAAAGAGCACCAAGGATTACAGGTAACAGCTGAATTCTGGAAGAGGCGAGGAAGGATTTTTCCCTAGAGCCTTCGGAGGGAGAATGGCCTTGCTGATACCCAGATTTCTGTCCTCCAGACTGAAAGAGAATTTCTTTTGACTTAAACCACCCTCTATGTACTTTTTAATAGAAGCCCTAGGAAACAAATACACAAGACAAAAAAATTAACAGAAATAAAGAGTGGTATTATAATATTATATTATAATAAAAGGGTCAATTCATCAGGAAGACATAACAATCATAAAGTTTATGCAACTCACAGAAGAATTTCAAAGTACAGGAGGTAAAAACAGACATAATTACAGGAAGAAATCGACAATGCCACAGTCTTGGTGATTTTATGAGTCTTTTCTCAGCAATTAATTGGATAACTAGACAAAAAAAATCAGCAAAGACATAGAAGATCTGAGAAAAACACTACCAACCACATAAATATATAGAGGAAATAACAGTTGTTACTCTTGGAACATTCTTTTCTGCTTTCCACAGTTTTCCTGATGTCCTCAATTATAGTCTTGGTCTTTCTTCTGATATGCAACATATTTACCTTCTTTCCCCCTCAAATTGTGGTTGCAAATGTTTTTAATTTGCTTTTTAAAATATATATCTTATATCTTTTATGTGTTTTTTTAACCCTTTCTTCTTGGCTAATCATTTTAAAGTCCTTTTTTCTTATCAATATATATCTTTCAGCTATTTCTTTCTTCTGTTTTTTAAAAAATTCACACTTCTTTTGTAGATTTCTGGTTTTCTTAAAATGGTAATAGCAAACACTTCTACGAGCTCTTAATATGTTGTCATTAATCATTTACCACAATGCTCTGAAGTAAGCACTATTATTATCCCCACTTTAAAGATGAAAACATTGAAGCACAGAAAAGTTAAGTAACTTGCCCTAAGTTATACAGACAGAGTATGGTGAAGCCAGACTCTAACCAGGAGTTGGATTCCAGTGCCTATGCTCTTAACTATTGGGGTATGGAGTCTGCCTCTTTAGATTGTCAAGTGAAATATTTTGGTTCCTGTTTTTGTAGCTTCTTTTTAATTTTCTCTTTCAAAGCCTTTTTCATTTTCAAAGGCTTTGAGCGTTCTGTCAGTTATACCATTATGCATCACTTTCTGAAGGGAATGCGTTCTGAGAAACATTGTTAGGTGATATTGTATGAGCATCATGGAGTGTACTTACACAAACCTAGACAGTAGAGTCTACCACAGGCCTACTCTACCTGTTATAGCCTATTGCTCCTAGGATACAAAGCTGTACAGCATCTTGCTGTGCAGAATACTGGAGGCAACTGTAACATAATGGTAAGTATTTGTGTATCTAAATATAGAAAGGTACAGTAAAAATACAGTATAAGAGATAAAGAGTGCTACATCTATACAGGGCACTTAACATGCATGGAGCTTGCAGGACTGGAAGTTGCCCTGGGTGAGTCAGTGAGTGAGTGATGAATAAATGTAAAGGCTTAGGATATTATTGTACACTACTGGAGACTTTATAAACATGATACACTTAGCCTTCACTAAATTCATGAAAAAGAAAGTAATTGTGGTATGACATTATGATGCCTATAAAATTGCTAGGCATTAGGAAATTTTCAGCTCCAATATAATCTTATAGGACCACCCTTGTATATGTGGTCTGTCATTTAATGAAACATTGATATGCAGTGCATGAATGTATTATTCTTTATCAAATTACTTCTTCTTGCTAACTCCTTTATCATCATGAAAATGTTTTTTCTTTCTAAGCCTCCTGGAACTTGTGAATGGGATTTTATAAGGCAGTCTTTGCATATTGCTTAAGTTCAGGGTCTTGAGACAGGAAGATTATCCTATTTTATCTGAGTGGGACCTAAATACAATCATATGTATCCTTAAAAGAGAGGAAGAGGGAGATTTGACACATACATGCAGGGCAAAGCAATGTGAAGACAGAGCAGAGAGAGATTTGGAGATGCTGACTTTGTAGTTTGGAGTGATTTGGCCACAAGCCAAGGAATGTTGGCAGCTACTAGAAGCTGGAAGAGGCAAGAAACAGATTCTCCCCAAGAGCATCCAGAGGCAGGGAAGCCCTGCGGACACCACCTAGTGTTGGTGTTGATTCTACCCAGGGATACTGATTTCAGACTCCTGGACTCCAGAACTGTGAGAAAATAAATTTCTGATCTTTTAAGCCACACAGTTTGTAGTAATTTGTTATACCAGCCATAGGAAATGAATTCGCCCCTCCTCTACTAGCTGCACTATTAAAACCTACTTCTTGTTGCCTTCTTTTCATGAAGAAGAGAGATAATTTTGTTCTTTCATTTAAAAAAATATTGATTATAAGCCTACTGTGTGCTAGTCTCTGGGCATAAACATGTGAAATAGACAATGTCTTTATTCTGACAGAGCTTGGGTCAATGTTGAGCAGTGCTGAGTAGGGTAATGTCAAACAAAATGCAATAAATTATGTGTTATGAGACTGAGAAAGGATATGGGGTCACACAGGAGGGGTATGAACTTGAAAGGACTAAGGGTGGCTTCCTCGAGGAGGTGGCATTTAAACTGAGACCTACACAAAAAGTAACTGTGAGCCAGGCAAAGAGTGGTGGTGTTCCAGACACAGGCAATAGCACGTGCAAAGGCAGTGGTCAGTTCATCTCTTAGGTCCTTTGCACCTCAAGACACCCTTTTTTCCTTCAGTTAATTCATAAAGCTTATAACGTATTTTCTTCTTAACCTGTGCTTAGTAGCACAGGTTAAGCTACTTTAGCTATTTTCAGGTCCCTAATCTGAAAATTTGAAATTCAAAGTGCTTCAAAATCCACAACTTTTTGAGCATCAACATGATGCTACAAGTGGAAAATTTCACATGTAAATAACACAAACTTTGTATTGTACATACATTTTATATAAAATTACCTTCAGGCTATGTGTACCAGGTGTATATAAAACAAGTGAATTTTGTGTTTAGACTTGGATTCTTTCCCCAAGATATCTCATTATGTACAGGCAAATATTCCAAAATCTGAAAAAAAGCCAAAGTCTGAAATAACTTCTAGTCTTGAACATTTTGGATGAGGGATACTCACCTGTATTTTATTCATGTTTACTAACAATCCAATGATAAAAGGTAATTTAAAAGTAACCAGTTTCCTTGCATTTTCTTCTTATATCTATCAGTAGATCAGCAGCTGAGAGTTGCAGATGGGAGATTTAGTTTCCATTTCCTTCTCACACACACCCACATTCATAAAGTGGCCTCCCCACAGTTGATGAGTTTCCTGATATTAATAGAATACATGGGGCATAACAAACATGAACTTACTTGCAGAAGTATACAGTGTGGCCAGAATGAATGTCACACTTACTCTCACCCAACCCCTAAATATGACTTTCAGAAACTGACTTAATTTTCAATGTTTCTAAAGACCCAGGAAAGCCACTGGGTAATTTTTCTGTCTCAATGAAAAAGGTATCAGCCACCTCTAAAACTCATGACTTCACCATTCTGCTAGATTGTTAACTCATTGTGGGCAGGAATTGACTTACTCAATTTCCTTCATATCTGGCCCTGGCTCTTGGGCCAGAAACCGCACACAGGAGTTGAAGAAAAACTGTGTATCAACAATTTTTTTCTTGTCTTTATCAAAAGAGAAGCTCATGTTTGGTTCTATGTCCCACAAAGCTCTTAGTTAATAGGGGTCCTTTACCAATGTCAACTAAGATATTTGAAAGTTTGTTCACTATCTTCATCAACATCCACTATGATTAGTTTTATGTTTAAAGAGCAACATCAAAAATGTGGATACTAAACCTTGTGTGAGCTTTGAACTTGCCAATCAGCTTTGAAGGTCAGAGGAAGTAGTTTGATAATAATGAGATCAAGAATTAAAAAATATTTTTAAGCTTTCTCTCAGAATTGAAGGCAGTAGGGGAGGGATACAGAAGTTCCGGAAATGGCTGACTGTGTAGACAAGATGGTGTGGTTTCAGAGTACAGCTGAATATATACAGCCAACCCCTTTTTTCCTCCTCCATTTAACAAACATTTGGTTGGCTGAGTTATAGAGCTTCCAGCTCTGCTTCAGAAGGTCTTTGTTTATCTTTGCAAGGACAATTAAGTGGCAGGAATGTGTAATATAGTGAAGCACTGCCAACACAAACAGTTCTCTTAAAACGTTATGTAGAAGTGGCTATTGTTGCTGGTGCTTCTGCAAGAGGCAGAAACCACTTGCTAATAGCTTAATTCTATTTCTCTGCAGACAAGCTGATCCTATTGCAGAAGAGGGACTATGTGGTCTGCTGGTTAGAGAGATGTACTGGAAGCCAGAATGGGCCCATATTTTACAACATAGCTGAGTAACTGACTCACTCTGTAACCCAGGGTTACATCTCTCAATCTCATGAGGCTTGTTGTCCATCCAGCTGGAAAATTTGGTAAGATGTTAGGCTGGACTGAAAATCATTTGTGGTGCAGCTGAGTTGCTTTTCCACAGGGACAGGATGAGACTGACAGGCCTGACTGAATAACAAAGCCCCGTGGACTGTGATTGGTAAAGGTAAGCCTCGCAAGATGCAAAGGGAGTCCAGGATGGTGAGAATATTCTATGAAGGACAGAGTCTTCTTTGCTGAATCAACAAATGCGTACTTCTAGTCTCTGTCCCCATTCAGCCTCACTCAGTAATCATATTTCTCTGTGAAATAGATATTGCCTGGATCAAGATCCCCAGCTCACCACTACAGAGTGACCGGGCTTAGGAAGGACAGTATTCTTCAGTTTCTGATATCTTCTTTGCTACAAGGATCTGCAAAGTTGGCAGATTTTAGGGTCAGGCTAGCTATGCTGATACAGGGATGAGCTGAGGAGAAGAGGAGCAAGCCATTTGCCTGCTTTCCAAAGTGGAAAGAGTTTACAAAAAACACATGCGCCTAAACGTAAAGATGATTGATTGAAAACTGGTAGGTTCAAAGAGAAAACAATTTGAGGAAGGGAATGTTTCTCCTCATAGGAAATTGACAGTTGGTGTTGCCTTTGGGTTTGTAAAGACACTAGAAGGTGTTCTAAGGATGGTGGCTTCCGATCCAGGGTCTGGAATTTATAATATTTTGGTAGGGCAGGATTGGCCTTTGAAGGTGAGACTTCAGCTAAAACCTACAAAAGTCCCAATAGGTGATATGTACTTTACTCTTCACCATCAAGGGAATTTCCAAAGAGCCTGGGAAACTGATAATTTTGCTTGAATTGGCTCTTGCATTCACAAGGCCAATAATGGTTGGTTTGTGTTTAAAGTACCTTTTGGCTAGGCTAAACCTAAACAGGTCAAAGGAGAATTATTTTGGAGCAAATGCAACATTAAGTGGGGGCCAAAAATCATAGGACAGCTGTGGATATTTGTTGTGAGAACTGTCGTTTACAATCTGCAGGCACCAACTGACAGAGTTGCGCATATTTATCTCCTCATCTTATCACAGATGAAAACTGTCATCTCTATAAGAGTGCCTAAAAAGGCACTGTGTACCGATGTGAAATCTGGCCTCTGGTTGCAGGACCTCATTCAATGTTTGAAGCCCTTTATGTCCACCATAGGAAGGGTATTTGGTTCTACCATTACTTTTAAAGAATCAAGAGGAAAACATTGCCAGCATCCTGGAATAATAAAAATTAAGAATGAGACTAAGAGGATAAATTCAGAGGAAGCCAAAGGAATAAATCCTTAAAAGTAGTATTTTGAGCCTAACTTACTTTATTAGAGAGATTGGGATGGCATTAGAGGACTTCCTAAGAAGCCTGCACTCACATAACTGACAGTCACCTGCCACTCACTCATTGATTTAGCAAGTTTTCATTTATTGCCATCTACTTGCATAGCACTGCCATAGGCACTGCACAGGATTTGAAGATGACAGACAGCATGGCAATCTGAAATGCATAAGGTTTGAACATATGCATAAAGTATCTATGATGCATGATTATATATACATATATAATATTATATATAACTTAGTGTATATACAGACTAAGGAATTCAGAGCAATATGTTATGAGCATTTTGTTCTTAAAAAGAGAGATTTAAATGAGATATTTTTAAAAAGATTTATTTAAATGATATTAAAGTGGAAAGACTAGAGAAATAACATTCATGACAAAAAGAATAGCATAAATAAGAGGGCAGAGGGCTGGGAATGCAAGATATGTTGGATAGATAGTTGGTTCTATGTACAGGAAGATCCATTAGGGAAATGTGAGACACAGGATTTGTAAGAAGCTTTGAATAATAGACTTCCTCCTATAGGCAATGGGAATAATTGAGTGTTTGAGTCATTCATTGATTAATTCAACTACCATTGATGGAGTACCTTACATGTCTCAGATCCTTTGCTAGGCTTTGGACACGTTTTTAAAAAAGCAAAAATGTGTCCCTGCCTTCAATGCACTTATGTTCTAGTAGAAAAACATTTTGTAAACAAATAATTGGTCAAAAGTGGTATAATAGAGGTATACCTTTGATATGGTTTGGCTGTGTCCCCACCCAAATCTCATCTTGTAGCTCCCATAATTCCCACAAGTCGTGGGAGGGACCTGGTGGGGGATTATTGAATCATGGGGTTGGGTCTTTCCCATGCTGTTCTTGGGATAGTGAATAAGATCTGATGGTTTTATAAAGGTTTTCTGATGGTTTTCTTCACCTTCTACCATGATTGTGAGGCTTCCCCAGCCATATGGAACTTGAGGCCATTAAACCTCTTTCCTTTATAAATTACCATGTCTCAGGTATGTCTCTATTAGTAGCATGAGAACAGACTAATACAGTTAATTGGCACCAGGTAGTGGGGTGCTTCTGTAAAGATATCCAAAAATGTGAAAGTGGATTTGGAACTTGGTAACAGGCAGAGGTTGGAACAGTTTGGAGGGCTCAGAAGACAGAGAGATGTGGGAAAGTTTGGAACCTCCTAGTGACTTGTTGAATGACTTTGACCAAAATGCTAATAGTGATATGGACAATAAAGTCCAGGCTGAGGTGGTCTCACAAGAAGATGAGGAACTTTTTGGGAACTAGAGCAAAGGTGACTCTTGCTGTTATTTAGCAAAGAGACTGGTGGTATTCTAACCCTGCCCTAGAGATTTGTGGAACTTTGAACTTGAGGGAGATGATTTAGGGCAACTGGTGGAAGAAATTTCTAAGCAGCAAAGCATTCAAGAGGTGACTTGTGTGCTGTTAAAAGCATTCAGTTTTATGTATTCACCAAGATATGGTTTGGAATTGGAACTTATGTTTAAAAGGGAAGCAGAGCATAAAAGTTCAGAAAATTTGCAGCCTGACAATACTATAGAAAAGAATAACCCATTTTCTGTGGAGAAATTCAAGCAGGCTGCAGAAATTTGCAAAAGTAACAAGGAGCCAAATGTTACTTACCAAGACAATGGGGAAAATGTCTCCAGGGCGTCAAAGACCTTCACAGCAGCCCCTCTCATTACAGGCCCAGAGGCCTAGGAGGAAAAAAATGGTTTCATAGGCCAGGCCCAAGGCCCTCCTACTCTTGCAGCCTAGGGATTTGAGGCCCTGCCTCCCAGGTGCTCCAGCTGTGGCAAAAAGGGGCCAAGATACAGCTCAAGCCATGACTTCAAGCCATGACTTCAGAGGGTGCAAGACCCAAGCCTTGGCAGCTTCCACATGGTGTTGAGCTTGTGAGTGTGCAGAAGTCAAGAATTGAGGTTTGGGAACCCTTGCCTAGATTTCAGAGGATGCATGGAAATGCCTGGATGTCCAGGCATAAGTTGGCTGCAGGGGTGGAACCCTCACGGAGAACCTCTGTAGGGCAGTGTGGAAGGGAAATGTGGGGTAGGAGCCTCCACAGTGAGTCCCCACTGGGGCACTGCCTAGTGGAGCTGTGAGAAGAGGGCCTTCATCCTCCAGACCCAAGAATGGTAGATCCACCAACAGCTTGCACTGCGTGCCTGAAAATGCCACAGAGGCTCAATGCCAGCCCATGAAAGCAGCTGGGAGGGAGGCTATACCCTGAAAATCCATCAGGGTCAGAGCTGCCCAAGACCGTGGGAACCCACCTCTTGCATCAGCGTGACCCGGATGTGAGACATGGAGTCAAATGAGATCATTTTGGAGCTTTAAGATTTGACTGCTGTGTTGGATTTTGGACTTGCATGGGGCCTGTAGCCCCTTTGTTTTGGCCAGTTTCTCCCATATGGAATGGGTGTATTTACCCAATGCATGCATCCCCATTTATCTAGGAAGTAACTAACTTGCTTTCGATTTTACAGGCTCACAGACAGAAGGCACTTGCCTTGTCTCAGATTATACTTTGGACTGTGGACTTTTGAGTTAATGTTGAAATGGGTTAAGACTTTGGGGGATTGTTGGGAAGGCATGATTGGTTTTGAAACGTGAGGACATGAAATTTGGGAGGGGCCAGGTGTGGAATGATATGGTTTGGCTGTGCCCCACCCAAATCTCATCTTGAATTGTAGCTCCCATAATTCCCACCTATTGTGGGAGGGACCCAGTGAGAGGTAATTGAATCATGGCAGTGGGTCTTTCCTGTGCTGTTCTCATGACAGTGAATAAGTCTCATGAGATCTGATTATTTTATAAAGAGGAGTTCCCCTACACAAGCTCTCTCTTGCCTGCTGCCATGTAAGATGTCCCTTTGCTCTTCTTTCATCTTCCACCATTATTGTGAGGCCTCCCAGCCATGTGGAACTGTGACTCCATTAAACCTGTTTCCTTTATAAATTACCCAGTCTTAGGAATGTCTTAATAGCAGCATGAGAACAGGCTAATACAACCCTTAAGCTGAAGATAAGAATGATGAATAAATATTAAAGTCTAGTTAGTTGAGTTGTTTATCACTGTTGTATGGATCAGCAATTATGAAACTGCTTTCAGTATATTCTAGGATTAAACAGGTAAATATATTTAGGATAACAGGGCCAGATTTCTCACTGTCAAAGAACAGTATGTTGAATTAGAACTGGAAGTATCAGTATAAATTCATGATTTATATCGATACATATTTATCTATTTTATAGATGGTTGAGTTTTCTTTTTTTTTTTTTTTTTCTTGAGACAGGGTTTCGCTCTTGTTGCCCAGTCTGGAGTGCAATGGCTCAATCTCAGCTCACTGCAACCTCCAACTCCTAGGTTCAAGCGATTCTCCAGCCTCAGCCTCCCAAGTAGCTGGGATTACAGGCATGGGCCACCATGCCCAGCTAATTTTGTATTTTTAGTAGAGACGGGGTTTCTCCATGTTAGTCAGGCTGGTCTTGAACTCCCGACCTCAAATGATCTGCCTGCCTTGGCCTCCCAAAGTGCTGGAATTACAGGCATGAGCCACTGCAACTGGCTGATGCTTGGGTTTTCTAACTAAAGCAAAGGACCAATAGATATTATTTTACTTCTATATCTATATATCAACAGGTATATAGACATGTTATATCTACATCCACATGGATATAGATGTATGCATAGAGGTGTATACACATATGTCTATTTCTTACGTCCCTGAGAAGGCCTCATAGCAATTACAGTTCAGTAGCAATGAGCACATATAGTGCACAGATTTTTTTGTCTCTAAATACTACACTATTCTCCACTGAAAGAAAGCAGGGTCACTTGAAGATACAGCTTATTTCATGGCTAGGACAGGAAAAGTTCAAGATCAGCCCGGAATATCATCTTGGGAAATAAATAAATTCTCAAAGAATAGAGACACAGAAAGATGTTTGAAGGGGCTCCCATTGACAAACTTGGGATAATTCAAGCATCCGAATAAATAATATTTACAGATTACCTACCAAAGAAAATGGAAACCCATAAATTCATACTGACTTAAATGAGTCAATGAATGAAAGAATAAATGAGGGATGAGGAAAAGCTTCTCCCTTTGTAGAATGCCATGAAATAAATATAGAAAGAATAAAAGAGTTTCAAAATCACTTTACAAAATTTTTGCAGTGATTGATTCATGAAGAATCACCAACAGTTGCTAAAACTAGTGTACAAAAGTTTGACATGCAACAAGATATCTCCATAGTCTCAAAATATCTTCTCACAAAATACTTATTAATGACAAAAGCAAATGGTAAATTTAACAAGGAGAATCTGGCAAATACCTCTGGTGCTTCATAATCTAATTTAACATTACCAGTAGTGGGACAAACTGACACCATGTTTCCACTGACATGATGCACTAAGAGGGACGCCACATGACATCTGTGACGCTCCTGAAAAAATACTTCAGCTCACTCACATTGTAAGCAAACATTACAGATACCTGAGTCAGGCTTTCCTCTGATATTCTCATATTACTCTGTGCATATTTCTAGTATTGTATTTATTATATGTACAACAAACCTGCATTAATTGGGTCTGCTTCCTCCTTGACTGTGGTTGTTAGGGTCAGGGAGAGAATACTATTTATCTTTGTACACCTCTAAATATACTGCCTTCCTATGCATAACTCTATAATCACATTTATTATACTGTATTTAAAATACTTATTTTCATGGCTTTCTACCTTGCTTTGGTTAGAAAACCCTACAGTGGCTTCAACAGTAAAGGCATTTGATTACCTCATAAAAAGTAAGTCTGGACATAGGCGATTGCAAAGTTGGATCATCATGGCAGTGATGTCATGGCACTGGTGAGCATCTCTATGACAGGCCTTTCTCTCAGTTTCAAGAAGGCTGCCAGAGCTCCAAACATCATGGTCTCATGCAACAGGGCCTCAACAAGTAAGGAAGTAGGTAGTTGGTTCCTATCTTTTATCAGAAGGGGAATCCTTCCCAAAATCCCCAGTAGACTTTCCCTTAGGTTTCATTCACATGCTCACTCCTAGACAAATTACATGGCATCCCTTCTGGCTGGACACATTATTGTCCAAACAAAATTGAGGTTCTGTTAACAAGAAAGGAGGGGGCAACTACTGAGAGGGCAGGCTTTGTGCCTGCTGTACTCCGCTACTAGGTTGTAACTTCTTTGATGGCAGGAACTGATTCTTACTCATTTTCCTTTTGTACCTCCAGAGTATCGCATAACACTGACAATAGGTGCTCAATTAGTGTTTGTTGAATGAATGAAAATGACTAAACATGGCATGATATTTAAAAAATAAGCATGGGGAACTAACAAAGTTACAACATTGTACAGATCTTACAACCTTGAATCCTGACTGTGCATTTTCAATTCCCTTCACTCAAGGTAACTAGAAGAGAAGTTGAAGTCATAAAGAGTTTTAATGTTTGGGGTGGTTAATCTGGCATGAGTAAGATGAAAAGTGAGATATTTATAGGCAGAGGGGCTGGTGTATCTGTTGGGATGCTATGTACTTTAAAATGGAAATGGTTGCAATTGCACATAACAAGGAATGCAGGGGAGGGGCAGGCCTGTGTGCCGCACAGGAGGAAGGGACACAAGAGAGTCTGCTATCACATCAGATGCCTCACATCCAGAGGAGGCAAAGGACCTGATGCCTACTTTTTAGAAGCAAGGAAATCATTCCCTAGAGGCAGATAGTAAATGTCCTCTCACATCTCTTTGGGCAGAACTGGGTCATCTGCCCATTCTTAGGTCAGTCACTGGAAAGGGGGGTGGGATTCATGAGATTGGTAGAGACTCACCATTCAGGGTGGGATGGGTTCTGGGGAGATTATCTGTATGGCTACAAGTCCAGTTTAGGAGTTAATGCCATACTATAGGTCAAGCAGTTTCAAAGCCTGAACTTGTTTTATTTACTGTGGTAAAAATGGTTGTAAAAGTAGGAAGTAAGAGATATTTTGCAAAGAGAAGAGTCATTAATCGAATATGGAGGAGGGAGAAACAAGTAAGATAGAGGAATCAAAGAAGATTTTGAGGTTGGGTTTCTCTTCAAAATTGATCTATAGCAACATCAGAAGGACGGCAGAGCCACTTACTGACTATTTCCAGAAACTTGGAAACTATTCCCAGACTTAAAGTTCAGTTGTGGTTAACAATGAACAAACAAACAAAACCCAAAGTAACCAGTAGAATGCAGGACTCAAAGCATTTTATTATGTGGTAAAATCAGGGTAAGGTCAGCTAAGAACAACAAATGCAATAAATTCTTCATGTGGCTTCATCTCCCAGAAGTCTGAAAAAATATAATAACTGTTCTCCTTATCAAAAGCCCTTAATTTTGACCCATCAGAACAAACTAGTTAGTTAAGAAAATAGCAACTAAAAGACAGTGGCAGCTTAAACTTTTGGGAAAATGGAGGAATATCATTAGCTCAGTTAGACATGAGCTTGCAATATTCGGAGGTAGATTTTCAAAGTTCAAAGGAAAAATAGAAGGTTGGGAGACTCCTATGAAGACATTCTGACAACAGCTCTGATGGTCCAAAACTGGGAGGGGGTGGTCGTAAGAATCAGGTAGCTGCCCAAGGTGCTCTCTGGATATCCATCAAAAGAGGGAAGGAGTCGTCACACGGTGGCCAAAACCTATAAAACTGGAGGTACATCCTGGCAATGATTCTTAGTAGCCGTGTGGCCTTAGACAAGTTGAATAACTGCTCTGTGCCTTCATTTCCTCATCCTTAAACTGTGTGTGAGAAGTCTTCCTCCACTGGGTTGTTGTAGAACCAAACAGATAATGTAAGCAGAGCACATTAGCATCGCGCCTGGTGCAAAGTAAGCACTCTATGTATACATAGTATTTGTTGCTGCTGTAGAAACAACAGTAAGTATTTCACTTGTAAAAATATTTTTTAATAAAGGGAGGGAAATTAGGGGAAAAACCAGAAACATTTTCCATAATTCCATTTTCCATATAAATCTCCTTGGCATGTTTAGAGAATTCAATCAATAGAGAAAAACACCAAAGGAAAATCTGAAATCTCCTGCCTCTATGAAACCTGCCCCCCTCCTCTTCCCAAATGTAACCACTACTAAAAGTTTCTTATGATTACTTACAGAATAACATTCCAAAGTTTTATTTTTAATTAAGTGCTAAATAAGATTCAAAAAAAATTAGTGGTAAGTCAAACAGGGTGTGTGATGCAATATAAATTGATGGCAGAATCAAAAGGGAAACATATTCAATTCTCCTCTCTTTCTCTCCCTTTATTTCTGCCTCCCTTTTTTCTTCCCTCCATTTCTCCCCATCTCTTTTTCTTTTTCCCCCTGTCAAGTAGAAGACTGAGGTTCCCTGGCCTGAGAGAAGTGAAGATCCAGCCATGAGAGGAGCTAGCCAGTGAATCTGGCCCATCTCAGTGATATTAAGCTTGAGGGCCATTGTGAATTGAATTTCATCTCTGGGAACTGAGAGGACCCTGGATGAAGCAACTTATTGTGTTTAAGGAACTTTGGTGATGGCTGAAAACTGGATACCAATTTTCACAAAGTGGATCAATGTGGATGCCCCAGATAATAGTCACTGCAGTACAGAACTTGAGCAACCTTCTAGAATGGGTTACTAAAGAAGATGCTAGTGCCTGGAAAGGGAGATTTTGAGAGCCAAGTTGGATTGGACCATCCTCACTCTCTTTCCTCACAGGTTTAATTGACTTGACCATGAATCAATAAGGAATGCTGTAGACATAGTGGGCCTGGATTTCATGAGGCAGTTGAAAATGTTTCCCATGAGATCCTCATGGGAACTAAATAATATGGCCTGAGGGATAAGGAGATTTATGTGGCTTTCTAGTTAGCTGAACTGCCAGGGGTAAGGGGTGCTGGGAAATGGTCCGTGTGTCAACCTGCCCAAGATCTGGAAAGTGGTGTCCAGAAAACATCGTCTGCCTCATCTTATTCAACAGGAACATGGCTGGCAGGAGATTTTAACCTCATTTGACATACTTTTTTTTTTAAATGTAAGTGTGTTTTAATGTTAATGCGTAAATGAAAATTAACTGTTAAGAAATTTAATATCCTTTTGATCCCTCCCCATTCTTGCCAAGATAAACTCCAATCATGTAAGTTTCCTATGCTTGATTGATTGCAAAATGGCTACAATTATTCATCCCTTCCTATATAGAGAGACTTTGCAATAAGACTTTGTAGCACCTGCCATCAAGAGGTAGTCTATGCCCTTGTCCTTTGAATCTGAAGTGCTCTTGTGACTTGCCATGGTCAATAAAATGTGGCAGAAGTTATGATATGCCAGTTCCAACCCTAGGTCTGAAGTGGCCTGTATGTTGCCACTCTTCCTGGCAGCACTGTGTGAACTAGCTCAGGCTAGCCTGACACACAGCGAGAAACACATTGCCTTCTCACCCAGCCAATGGCCAGCAAGTGAGTGAGGCCACCCAAGACCAGCCAGCCCCCAATCTGCCACTCGACCCCTGACACATTAGTGAGCCCAGTGGTGATCACACAGGCCCCAGCCAGTTCACCAGAGCTTTGCAGCTGACTGGTTGACTCGTGAACAATAATAAAGGTTTATTGTCTGAAGTCACTAGGTTTTGAAGGTGTGTTGTTAGGTAGCAAAAAGCCAATTATTACAGCCCACACATATCTGTCCTACTTCAGCTCTTGTCTTGCTACTCTGGCCCTTATATTCCATGCTCCAGTCATGCTGTGAACAAACTGTATGTCAATTCCTCCACAGCTTTGCAAACACAAACCTCTGCCTGTCTATCCTCCCTCCTCCCATACCCATCCTTCTTCATCTGGCTAATTCCTACTCATCTTCTGAGACTCATCTCAGGCACCACTTTTGGTAGTCTAGGCAGCATTCTCTGAGCTCCCTGTCCCCAGACCTCTTCACACCCTGGTTGAGTGCCTCTCCTCCTGCACACTGCTGATGGTCCTAATCTATGCCTTTGTCAAGCACTTATCCTAAATTAAAATCATCTGTTTACTCAGCTTCCTATTTTCATTTCACTATGAATTCTTTGAAGGTAGCAATCGTGTCCTTTATCTGTTATTGCAACAACTAGTACAATTCCTCAAAAATGGTGCTCTGTAAATGTTTGTTAAATGATATGAATTCAATTTTAAAATAATGAGTATATTTAGTTTTGAAAAGAGAAGTGTGTTAGTCCGTTTTCATGCTGCGGATAAAGACTTACCCGAGACTGAGCAATTTATAAAGAAAAAGAGGTTTAATGGACTCACAGTTCCACATGGCTAGGGAGGTAGAAGGCAAAAGGCACATCTTACATCGTGGCAAACAAGTGAGAATGAAAGAACCAAGCAAAAGGGGTTTCCCCTTATAAAACCATCAGCTCTTGTGAGACTTATTCATTACCACGAGAACAGTATGGGGGAAACCGCCCTCGTGATTCAGTTATCTCCCACCAGGTCCCTCCCACAACATGTGGGAATTATGGGAGCTACAATTCAAGATGTGATTTGGGTGGAGAAGCAGCCAAACCATAGCAAGAAGATATAAAGGGGCTGATAGAGTTAATAAATATACCATTAGGCTCGAGAATAGCCAGAGGTTACCAATTAGATCTTCCTTGCTCCAGAGGAACCAGTTGGTAAGTTTTAGTTCCTTTAGCCATTTATTTCCAGCAGGTAACATGTATTCCTCAAAACAGATGTCACCACTGACCAACACCCACTGTCTGTAAAGGAAAGCTGAATAAAACCATGAGCACCCCCATAAAGTCTTTCATTTGGATGGGAACAAAGATCATGCAGTATAACGTCTCCAAGGCCCATCTTCCATCCACCACTGAGTTACTGATTCTATCATTTTAAAGAAATCAGAAAGAGGCAATCCTAAATATAATGAATTCATGGACAGCATTTATTGATGACCTCAAGGAAAAGACTTCAAAGCAACATAATCATGTTCTTCAAATCACTTTTTTGAGTCGTCATATGGGAGAAACTTACTCTTTATGGCTCTGAAAGGCAGAGTTTGGACTAATGAAGGTAAAATTCAGACAGATGCATGTATGGATTTCCTAATAATTAGATGTGTTTTAAAAAATGGAGCAAGAAGATCTTGAGAAACAGTGCTCTCATTGTCCCTGGAGATGTCCGAAGAAAGATTGTTCGATAACGCATCTGCAAAGCTGCAAGAAAGTTTCATGCCATGGGAACAGGTGGAGTTCCTTCTAGTTTGCTATTAATCAAAAGACAGCTCTATTTGGGGATTGCCACAAACCATTTCCCACAAGCTGTCTGCTAGAAAACTACATCCCCTGGCCAGAGGTGACCAACTGGGACTGGGGGTGGACATTTGACATCATCCTGAACTTCAAAGACAGAAATTTGGATACGGTGGGGGACTGCCTTCTGGCATGCCCATAGAGGAATGTAGGAAGCTTCTCTGCAGAGAAATACAGTAATAAATGCGGATTGAGCAACTACTGTGTGCCAGGCACTGTGCTAGGCATGGGCAAGCCTGAAGGAAACAAATCAAACAAAATCCTCGCATTCATGAAACTCACATCTAGTAAAACCCAGGAAATAAAAATGAGAGGGAGGGAGAAAACAGAAGAGCATGGCCCCTGAATGCTGTCTTTGGGTTCTGTGAGAAACTCTAATGATTCTCCAATAAACTTCCTGCTTTGCTCACATCTACTGGAGCTGGTTTCTGTTGTTTGCAACCCCAGTGATCTTAACTGAGACCCCATACTAAGTACATTGACTCAGTATCCATTCTCTTCACAAGCACTTTGGGGCAGGAAAAGAAAGGGACCTTTTTAAGATCAACAGGTCAGAAACTAGTGAAAAAGAAAAAAGATTTTTTTCTCACCATCATTCCATATATCAGTTCTTTAATTTAGGGTCTTGGGGTTTTTAGTTGCCGTAATAAGGAAGACCAAGGGAAGCTGTTTCCCCAGATATTCAGGATGGCAGAGCAAAGGTTATATGATAGGCAGAGTTTTATGTTCTCTACCGCATCCAGGTATTATTATTATTTTATATTTCTACTTAACTGCATGATAAGCAAGGAAGTACATTCTCCACCCAGGCTTATAATAATAAATAAAATCATTCCAAAACAAGAAAAGAAAAAAAAGCTTTTCCCCCCAAGAGCTTAGCGGGGAGAGGCAAATGAAACAATACAAGACAGAGATGTGGCCTGAGATGAGTCCAGGGAGTTTTAAATAGACCGTGTCAGAGCATGGACGGGTTTCCAGGGACTTTTTGAGAAAGCAGAGAGAGCTATTTGGATGGCGACCAGGCTGGCGTGCTCAGCAGAGGGGTACAGGACCTAGGACAGTGTGTACCCTATTCTCCAAGGAGCCTCTGTTCCTTAGACTTTTAGTTTTGGAATCTTCAACTTATTAAGTAACATGGTAAGAGAGAGATTAAAAAAAAACTCACCTTGCCATTTTGCCAAATCTGCTTTTATTTTAATGACTCCTGCAGTAAGATGCAGATCTTCTTTCAATTTTCTACTTGCTGATTAATTTCCTGTTGACTCTCAACATCACTGAAAACCTTTTGGATGAAGCAGAAATAGCCTTAATGCAAGTGATTCTTGGTTAGGGGGTTGAGTCATCTGGGGCCAGGCTTTGGGGGCTTCCTCTGAGCTGAGGGTGGGTGGGTGGTTTTTGGCACTTGTTAATTTAATATGTGTCCATTTGTAAACATATTCAACACAGTCATTCTCCTGCTTCCCATGTCCCGGGAGGGTTGGCCTCATGTTCATCTCTGGAGGCCCAGTACTCACCCATGCTATGGAAATCTCTCTGCCCTCATTCTCCTGCCCAGCCACCCTTCTTTGACTTTTTCCATCAGTGTTGACATTTTCCTTTCTTTCCCCTTGTTAAGGTTCCTAAGTTTAAGGCCTTCCACCCAGCTATCACTACCTCCTGGAAAGAAAACATTTTATGTTAGTCATGAACACTTGGGTGTGAATTTAGGTCAGGTGACTGCTCCTAAGGGCACTTGAGTATCAACCCTTGCATCTGAAGGGTAGGGAGGTAATAGGCCAGTTGTTCAAAGATTCCACCCTACTTCTGGTTCTGCAGCTAAATGGCTGGGTTTCCTGGGTCAGATACTTTACTTCATGGAGCCTCAGTTTTAAAAAATATCTATTAACAACATAAGTTTAACTAGATGATTTCTAAAGCTCTTTCCTACTTTTAAAGCTATGAACTTCTAGTCCCAATATTAGAGGGGGATATCTGAGGATAGTTGAAGCCCCCCCGACCTCTGAGCCTATCATGTTGTTCTCTGCCTTCATCACCCAGATGCCAAGAGATCCTAAGGTACCTTCTACCGACTGTGATCCAATGTCCCCGCTTTTCTCTTGGAGTTTTTGCTAGGATTTTATGCAAGAAAAGGCCCACTCTTTATTCTGGGTAACATTCTTAGTACTGAAACGAGAAAAATTCCTTTGTCCCCCTTACAGGGTGTGCGATGGGGGTGTGGCTCGCTTCTTCAGTGTCCCGCCGCTCAAACCTCTAGGGGAGCATACAGAAGGGCAGGCTGTGGGGGCTCTGACCCCACGGCAGTGTCTAGGGGTGAATGTGTATGGCTCCTGAAGCCCGAGTGGGCATGTGTTACAGGATACTCTTTTAGTTTAGCCATCTGTAGGCAGCTTGTTTGTTAGCTCAACTAGACCCCCTTCCTTATCACAAGGACAGAGGGGTTTCTGTATCCCGGGGTTTCTTGCCTTGGTGTACCAGAAGAATCAGATCACACCTAGGCTTGGAGAATGAGTGCAAGATTTTATCGAGCAGAAGTAGCCCGCAGCAGATGGGGGAGCCAGAAGGGAGCTGGTTTCCCCCGGAGTGGGCTGCGGTGGCCCGGGCTCTCCTCCAACTGCCCCGGCCAAACTCCACCTCATTCCACCGGTGGATGGCCTGCTGGTGGACGGCCTGTCGGTGTGCCACCAGCATGCTCCCCTAGACGTCCTCTCGCCCACCAGCTTCATGTGTCTTCTTCCACTGATGTGCTCCTCTCAACGTCTGGCCACCTGTGTCTGCCTGCTAGGGTCTCGGGGTTTTTATAGGCACAGGATGGGGGTGTCGCGGGCCAGAGTGGTCCTGGAAAATGCAACATTTGAGCAGGAATGCAGGAGTGCCTGTCCCCACCTAGGTCCGTGGGGGTAGAGCCCTAGCCAGAGACCACGCCCTCCTCTACCCGGCACTTCCCCTCCCCCTTTCCAGATCATTTAAAGGGACCACGCTCTTCCCTTCCTGGCACTCCCAAATCAGTATGAATATTATAACTGATATTAATGTTCCTATTACTAGCTTCCTCACACTCACCTAATACGATGTGACCAACAAATAAGTTTAAAACGAAGAAATGTGAAAACACACATTTGGTTGAAGCTTAAAGCCTGTAAACCAAAAAGTATCTGAGACAAGCCTCAATCAATTTAGGAAGTTAATTTTGCCAGGGTTAAGGACATGCCTATGACATAGCCTCAGGAGGCCCTGACGACATATACCCAAGGTGGTCGGGGCACATCTGGGTTTTATACGTTTTAGAAAGACACGAGACATCAAAAAATATATATGTAAGGTGTACATTGGTTTGGTCCGAAAAGGCAGGACACCTCGAAGTGGGAAGGGTCCAGGTCTTAGGTAGATAAAAGACGAATGGTTGCATTAAACAATAGGGCGAAGGAAGCAATCAGATATGCATTTGTCTCACGTAAGCAGGGGGGATAACTTAGAGTTTAATTTCCTTGTGGGCAAAGTGTGAGGGAGGTGTGTAACTTTTTTATCTTAGTAGCTGTTTTAGGAATAGAATGGGAGGCAGTTTTGCCCTAAGCAGTTCCCAGCTTGACTTTTCCCTTTGGCTTAGTGATTTTGGGGTCCCAAGATTTATTTTCCTTTCTCAAGCCTTTCTACATAATTGCTGTCGCCCTCCTGTCTCCAGGTGTGTGTTCGTTGCATAGCGCTCTAGGCAGTTGTTTCCAACCTTGGCTACACAGTAAATTTCCTGAGAAGCTTTTATTTCTTTTTGTTGTTGTTATTGTTTGTTTGCTTTTTTATTAGAGACAGGGTCTCACTCTCACTCAGGCTGGAGTGCAGTGGCACAATCCTACCTCACTTCAGCCTCAAACTCCTGGGTTTAAGAGATCCTCCTACCTCAGCCTCCTGAGTAGCTAGGACTACAGTCCCACGCCACTACACCCAGCTAGTTTTTTTTTTTTTTTAAAAAAATAGGGTCTTGCTATGTTGCCCAGGCTGGTCTCAAGTCAAACTCCTGGCCTCAAGCAGTCCTCCCACCTTGGCTTCCCAAAGTGCCGAGATAAAAGGCATGAGCCACTGTGCCCAGCCCTGAGGAGCTTTTAAAAGTCCCATGCACAGGCCAGCTGCTGACCCAAAGACATCAGCCTCTTTTCCTGCAGTGGGACCAGACAGTAGTATTCTGAAAAGTCCCCGTAATTCCAATTTTCACCAGAATTGGAGATCTATTTAGGGCATACACAGGACTTGAGGAACATCTGAGGTGGAGCTATGTCATCTAACCCCTGCGTGGACGAAGGCATTACCTCGGATTTTTTCTTTTTCTTAAAACCTACGCAGATTAAGAAGTGTCCTTTTTATTACTCTGTGTTTCACTGGGGAAATCATACTTTGTACCTTTTCTCTCAATTTCTTCTTTTACCTTGAGTAACCCACATGTTGGCCTCCTGGGTGTCCCAGGTGCCTCAGACTTGAGGATCTTCCTGTTCTCTCATATGTTCAATTAACTTTCGTTAAGCCTCGTGTTCAGCCAACACATCTGAGGATTCCTGAGGGACTCATATTTCCACTGACACCTCTTCCTGCTTCTCCTAAATGTTTTGTCTCTGCTCTCTGTGCTATCTCCTGCAAGCATCATCTGTCTTCCTCATTATTTTTCTCCGTTACCAACGCCATTCCTATTACTTCATTCCCTCAAAGCACCACTAACAAAAGACTGTGTGTGCAACAGACTTTCACGGATATTTTAGTGCTAATGAAGGATTATTACCACACAGAACAGCACAGGCATCAACTTAAAATTGAACGTCAGACATTACCGGCCTAACATCCAGTGGCCGTGGAAAATTCCAGTCATGTAGAATTATTTTTTACTTTTTGGGTCACACCCACTCCAGAGGCTTTTTCATCTTTTCTCTAGCTCTTAGGCTTGACTTGCCCAAATTCCTGACACTTCTTTTATGCAGGGATAGTCAGCTTTCCACATCCTCAGTGAAAGTAGCCTTTGGCTGACTTTGACACATCCCTCTGCCCATTCACTCAGCTAACCCAAGGGCCAAAAGCACAAAGGGATGCACAAACGTTCCTCTTACGTCATCCCTTTCACCTGGTCATCTTTCCACGCAGAGCCACCCTCCCAGGTCGTGGCTTCCAACTGTCTGCCCTCTTTGTTCTGTTGTGCTCGTTGTAGTCTGAAATCAATTCCTTGATTTAACAATCGGTCTCCGAGTACATAGCACCAGACCACCCACTATGTGATGTCTCTGCTAGGTGCTGGCGGGGGCAGCAGAACTGTAAACATTAGAGCTGGGAGGGACTCAAGGACAATCTAGCTCCTCACTGGAGATGAATAGAGTTGAGACCAGCCTCATGTCAGGCCGAGGGTGGAGTGGGTCTTGGTGGGAGCTCAGGCTTCCTGCACTCATAGTCAGAAGCACAGTGGTGTGACCCTGGGCAAGTTACTTAACTTCTCTGTGTTATTATTAGCTCTGAGGCTAATAATAGAACCAGTTTATCGGGCTGATGGAATAAATGAACTGATGCAAGCAAAGTACTTGGAGAAGTGTCTAGTGCATAGCACATGTTCAATCAGATCATGACCCTGGCCATGGGCCCCACAGCCAGTTAGGAAAAACCAGATGGAGAACTCAAGCTCTTTGGCCTCTGGTTCCCTATGCCTCTTACTCTGCCAGCCCACAAAGGATAACACACAGGCGAGCCCACAAGGACTTGCCATCTAGCTGGGTAAACAAAACAAAGACACCTGAAACAATCAGGGGCCACTATTAAGAAACAGATAAAGGGCCAAAGCAGTGATTCTCAAGCATGATTGCACATTAGCGTCACCTGGGGAATTTTTCAAAGTCCTGATGCCCAAGCTACACCCAGACCAATTAAATCAGAATCTCCAGAGGCAGGGCCCAAGCATCAATACATTCTAAATCACCCCAGGTAATTTTAATATACAGCCAAGGAAGAAAATCACTGGCTCCAACAATCCTGACACCTTGATGGGTAATGTCAATGCAAAGAGGTAATTTGCTCCCAATTTTTTCCCAAACACTACAAGTACTTGGAAAGCCTCAACTTGTCCACATTATTTTTTTACTCCTCATCCAATCGTTAATTTTTTAAAGCTCTCATTGGTTAGGCCTTCACTATGTGCCAGGCTGGACACTTCTCATGCATTACCTCATTGACCCAACACAATAATCCTATTAACCTGTACTATAATTAACCCCGCTTTACAGATGTGGAAACTAAGATCTGGAGAGATGCAGTCATTTGGCCAAGATGACACAGTTAATGTGCAGTAGATCTGGGACTCAAGCACAGGCCTTCTGACACAGAGCCCATGGAACCAGATGGGACCCATCTCAGAAGCTCTGGCCTGTGAAGCATCCTGGTGTCTGTCACCTGCCACCCACAAATTTGAGGGCAGAAATTTCTCTAACATCTCACCACCAGCACCACAGCCTCCACCTCCTCTAGCACGATGATTCAAACCCATGCTGGTCATTTTTATAAAATATAGATTTTTGTTTGGCTTCAACCCCCCACTCTAAGAGATCAACTATTCCCTTTCTCTCCCTTTTCTCACTTAAAAATTGTTAGCACAGCATACAGCAAAGCGTTGTTCTCACCACCCCAGTCTTCCAGAGAACAGTTATTTTGCTCTCAAAAGTCTTCATCAAACAAATTTGAATTTCCTTTCCCTTTCTAAGGCCAAAGTCCTTATTATGGATGTATTAATTATCTACTGTTGTGTAGCAATATTACCAGAAGTTTACTAGCTTAAAACAGCACACATTTATTATCTCACAGTTTCCATGGGTCAGGGATCCTCTACCTAGGATCTCATAAGGCCGCAATCAAGGTGTTAGTTGGGGTGGCAGTCTTAACTGTAAAAGAACCCAGTTCTGAGCTCTTTCAGGTTGCTGGCAGCATTCAGTTCCTTGCAGTTACAGGACTGAGGGCTTCCATTTCTTGTTGGCTGTTGGTCAGAGACAGACTCTCAGCTCCTTGCCACACCGTCCTCTCTATGGGCAGCTCACGATGCTGCAGCTTTCTTCTTCAAAGGCAGCAGAAGAGGGGGGCTCCTCATGAGGTAGGAGTATAAATTGTGGTCACCTACATATAATTACTTTTGCTGTATTCTGTTGATTAGAAGTAAGCCACAGGGCCCACCCACACTCAAGGGAAGGGATAAGGGCACGAATATCCCAGTGCGAAGATCATGAGGCCACCTTAGAGACTGTCCTTCACAATAGGTTATGGATGCCTTTCTGCCACTCCTTCTGAATGTTTTCTCTTTTTTTTCTATCTCCACTCTCCCCAGTTCTCAGTCTTCGCCCAGGTTGCCCCCAGGTTTGGAATGCAAAGGAAAGTGAAATTTATTCCATCCCCAGCCCTTACTCTAAGGATGGGGAAAGCCATTTGGGTGGAAACCCTTCATTGTCAGTGAGGGTAATACAATATGACAATGTAACCCAGAGCAAGGAGAAGCCGAGTCCCTCTCAAAAGGTTTACAGCACTAAAAACAGGCTTCAATACTACTAAAGGGTTTCAGCCCTGGTTTGCATGAAATAGAGCCAAATGTATGCAAATAGAAGGAATATGAGTTTTTCATGCAAATCAAATGGGTATATTTAGAAGGAAATTAATCCTTGTTATATGAGGTGACTTTAAATTTGGAGATTCAGAGAGAGAACTAGTCACAGGTCAGAGTAAAAGTCCCTTCACTCTTTCCCACTGGTCAAAGCTGAGTCCTATATGTATACCACCCCCTCTCCAAGCCAGTGGTCTCAGAGGCCAGAGTAATAGACATGGGCCAAGGAGAAAGACCACTGGAGATGATGACTGAGGTTTCAAGACACTAGAAAGAACCCAATGGTGTAGGACTTGATTATTTTTCTATGCAGTGGTGGGCTTTATCTTAGCAAGAGAAGTAGAGGAAGAACGATGAGATAATACAGATGATCCTGGATTTATAGTGGGGTTACATCCCGATAAACCCATTATGAAGTTGAAAATATCATGAGTCAAAATGCATTTGATACACCTAACCTATTGAACATTATAGCTTAGTCTCATTTATGTTAAACGTGCTCAGAACACTTACATTAGTCTAGAGTTGGGCAAAAGCTTCTGACACAAAGCCTATTTTACAATGAAGTGTCAAATATCTCATGTAACTTACTGAATACGGTACACAGCAGAGCATTGGTTGTTTACTCTTGCGATCACGTGGCTGACTGGGAGCTGCAGTTCACTGGCACCACCCAGCATCGAAAGAGAGTATCCTATTGCCTTCTACTGAATATGTATCACTTTCATACCCTCTTAAGGTCCAAAGATTGTAAGTGAAACCATCATAAGTCAGGGACTATCTATATATCAGAATTGGTTTCAGCTGTAAGAAACAGAAAATTCCTGAGTGAGAGTGACTGAAATAAGAAAGATTACGTCTCTCTCATGTTCAAGAGGTCTAGAGGCAGCCAGAGCTGGGCTGGTAAATAATCTACGGGGCGAAGAGTCTTCTCTAACTTTATGCCACATACACTTTTCATTTCCAAGGTAACTTCATGGTCCAAGTGGCTGCTGGAGCCCAAGTTATTACATCTGTCTCCCAGTCAGTAAGAAGGAAAAGGAGAGAAGAAAAACACCTACTCTTCCACTTAAGGATACGCTGTGGAAGCTGCACACACATTTCTGCTAATATTCCATTGCCCAAAAAGGAGTCACAGAGCCGCACCTAGCTCCAAGAGAGGTTGAGAACTGTTGTCTTTATTGGGGGTAGCTAAGCATCCGGATAATCATCAGGTACTTAAAAATGGGGGAAATGTCTACAGGTGGATGACAGTCTCCAACTAAGGTATGGTGGACATAAAGACGCACCACCCAGCTTCCACATGCAGGAAGGCCCCATTGCCTCACCTGTCAGGGGTGCAGGTGGTGGACAGCCTTCACCTCCAGCCCTTCAGGTCAGTCTTAGCTGCAGAGAGATGCCTGACCCAAGGGCTTGCTGTCCCGCAGGCAGCCCACACTTAATGGCTGATTGAGGTTGGCACATTGGGGCCTGCCTTTCAGCCCAGCATGGAACAGGTCTGGCAGGCCATGTAAGCTTCAGAGCTCCCCTTGCAGTTGGCTGAGGTTGCTATTGGTCACTTCGAAGTTCTACTTCTCCTTCAACCCAATCCTACTCTGCTCCATCCTTTTCCCAGATGTTGATCCCAAGGGCACTGCCTGATAAACATCCTGTACTCTTAACTCTGTCTCAGAGTCTGCTTCCCAGGGAACCCCACCTGCAATAACAGAGGGGATGAAGACTTAAGGGAAACAACTGTAGGATGTAAAGAGAGAAGAGAAGAGTGAGGAAATAGGGAAGTTCACAAAAGACTGGAGTAGTCAGAGTTCTCCAGAGAAACAGACCTATTGGATGGGGATCTACCGATGGGATGGAGATACTTGTACATATATAAAGAGAATTACTATAAGGAATTGGTTCACACAGTTATGCAGGCTGTTATAGTGTGGACTGGTAGGCTAGGGACCCAGGAGGGCTGATGGTGCAGATGAGGTCCAAAGGCGGTCTGCAGGAGGATTCACCCCTGCTCGGGGAGGCTGGTCTTTTTGTTCTATTCAGGCCTTCAATTGGCTAAGACCCACCCTCATTATGGAGGGCAATCTGCTATTAATGTTCATCAAATTAAATGTTAAATTCATCCAAAAATACTCTCCAAGTTGACACATAAAACTAACCATCACAGTCACCTTTCCAATGCCCAGGAAGGTCTCTCTCCCATAATCTCCCTTCCCTTCCCTGCCCCATACATATGCACGTGCACACACACACACACACACACACACACACCCCTAGGTGTAGAGGTTTGCACTTATGGCAGTAAAATAGAGCAAGCTGGCTGGTTTCATCACCCCTCCCATGCTCTGTAATGCTATTAGACTTTACAGAATCCTTGGGAAAAGAGCCTTTTTAGGCACTGCAATATTAACTTCAGGAAAGGTAAGAGAGGCTGGGATCCAACCAAAATTTAAGAAGATTATCTCCCTCTATTCAGTACAGGACATGGTACCAGCTGTTTAGTAGATTACTAGGCCATAAAGCATCTATGCACAAACAATTACCAAGGCAGAAAATGTCATTCCTTCCCATTTTCCATGCCCCAGTGAGAGCAGAAGAGGTCACTAGTAAGGTTTCAGCAGGAAAGGGGCTGCCTGCTTACCTAAGCACATCCTCCCAGCTCAGGGAGGGTCTGGCCTGGCTCCTGTCAGGTTTTCTTGCCTAACTCCATCCCTTCTCCAACTATCCTTACCCATATTAGACCTCCCAGAACTCCTTTTTGTTCTGCATAGATCTAAGTTAGATGTAGGTTAGTGTTGTTTCTGTCAGATTACTGGCAACACTACTTCAGTGATGATGTCTACTCTTTAAGATGAACCTGCAAGGGCCAAGTCTGGTTCTGTGGCCTATGTACATTCAAAAAGGTTGAGACCTTTTCATATCATTAAAAGTACATTTTTACCATAAAAATGTAGGTGATATAGTAACTTCCCTGTCCAAAAAATATCTACTGTATACACTCTGAAAACAATAGTGGGAGATCTGGAAAAATCAATTACTTGCCCTGCATTTCCAGGATGTATCCAAAATACAATAAAAGAAACTTAGAAGGCTTGAAAGATGGTTTAGAGCTGAGCAGGCTTGCACTGATTAAAAAACCCAGTCCCCCTGGGAAACTGAGACTCGAAGAAATAACATGATATGTCCACGCCCAAACAGCTAGTTAGTTGTGGAGCTGGGTTTTGAGCATAAGCCTCAACTCCTGTGATAAAGTGTAAATATTACTCAGGTTTTCTTGACTTCTTATTTCCATTCAGTGAAGGCATCATTTTTACAAAAACAATATCACATGCAAATGGGACTTTCCAGTGTTTGCTGATGGATTGGCAAACAGTACTTAGATTCTCACTGAAACCCAACTTTTCTTCTCACTGCATGCACAATGGGATCATCGGTTCCCTTGCCGGGCACCGAGTAGGGAAGAGAGTTCTGCTAATGTGTTCCAATTCCTTGGGATCAGCCCAAATTGCCCCAAGGTTTAGGGATTTGCAATACCAGACATCTGACTGGATTATTCAATAGTCATCTCCTCCCCACCCCCAAACCCCTGTCAAAAGTGCAATAAGGCACATCAAGACAGCATCTTTAGAAAGAAGTTTTAGTATACCTTCTTGAGACAAAGCTAAGCTTTTGGTGTTGCAAACCAACAATGGCTCTCATAGTCCCTCCCTCCAGGAAAATTAATAATACATGAGGATTTTCAGGAATTGCTAGAAGCATGATACCCACTCTTTCCAGATTTCCTGGAAGAATACTGATTTCTGTCTGACAAATAAGTTCATTAAGCATGTAATGAAAATTTAATTTGATTTTCAGACCTTTGCAAATGTATCCTATTCATCAACCCATTCGTGAGAAAAAAGAATCCTTTGATGGACCTTGTGTCCTGATGGTTTGTTTGGAAATGCAGGGGGTGCAACCCAATATAAAGAATGAGCTGAAGACAAGAAAGCAGCCTGAGAACCTCCATGCTGGCCTGGTCTCGGCTCCTCCCACCTCCACCCAGCCCCCACCTCCTGGACGGCAGGCAGGGCAAACATCTATGCTCCACCCAACACACATGCATGAGGAGCATTCTTTCTTCCCACAAGGCAAATTTCGTTTTTGCAGAAAATGCATCTGACTCACTTTCTCCTCTGAGGGTTACGAGATGTCCTGCTATAGGTCACAAGTTCAGCTGAGTCATGAATGCTGAATTGCCAGCTGTGCTCATCCAATCATATTTAACATTCAGAAGTGCCATGAAACCCCAAACCCACAAAAACAACTTAACTGCAGGGCCCAGACCAAATCAGTAGCAGAGGGGGGTTTCAATGCTGTTCTGTCAGCTATTTTCCCCTGAACCCCAATCTTTACCCCCCAACCCTCTGGTCATCATCTCCTATCATCCTTCCCTCCTCTCCATCTTCTCTCTGTCTCTCTGTCCCTGCATTTCCAGTCTGGTTAAATCTGAGTTTCAGCCGGGCGTGGTGGCTCACACCTGTAATCCCAGCACTTTGGGAGGCCAAGGCGGGTGGATAACGAGGTCAGGAGTTCAAGACCAGCCTGGCCAACATGGTGAAACCCCATTTCTAATAAAAATACAAAAATTAGCCGGGCATGGTGGCGGGAGCCTGTAATCCCAGCTACTCGGGAGGCTGATGCAGGAGAATCGCTTGAACCCAGGAGGCGGAGGTTGTAGTGAGTGGAGATCGTGCCACTGCACTCCAGCTTGGGCGATAGTGTGAGACTCCGTGTCAAAAAAAAAATTCTGAGTTTCAATGTGCAGCGTGATTTCTTCTCTTCCTCATGATTGCTGTCAATTCCTGGCTGCAGGAACAAGGATCTTGCCAACAATCCTGAGCCAGAGCGTTCTGAGCTCCCCACCCTTTCTTCCTGTCACCTTCCGATTCATTTCCTGTAAGCTGTGACCCTTTCTTGGGAACATTAATTAGCCATGATGCTTTTTTATCAGAATTCTAGGAAAATGATACCGGTATGACTCACACTTCTGCTGTTTAAACAGTGTTTACTATATTTGAGTGCGGCAGATGAGCTTTTTGCAGGGTGCTTACTATATAGATTTATGACCTTCTATAACCATTCTGGGAAAGAAAGAAAAAGCATGCATCGGCACCACTTAATGAGGCTTTACCGTATCATTCAAACTTTTAGAGTGAAAACATATGGGATGCAATATCTTTAGATGATCTCATAAAAGCCTTTATTTAGGAATACAACACATTTCTTTCGTGATGCTAGTTTTAAGAATGAAGTTACCACAACCCCCAGAGATTATATTCTACCACTCTTTGCTTGATAAGAGGGTGATTTTCACAATCTACACTGTAGCTATCTAAGGGATTTTACAATCTATGCAGTCATGAGCTGGATTAAATAAACTATGTAAATTTATGTGGACCAGGGTCTAAATTAATTCAGGCCAAAATAAATCAAACCTTAGCTAGACCATGATTTAATTAAAAATTGAAAATATGACTCATGGCACTTAAGTATACTGATGTTTACTGCCAAAAGAAGCATTGTTCCTGTGACAGAGATAAATGCAGGAAGGGCTGATAGATTCCTCAAGGTTGAAACAGAGATACTGAGATGGACATGGCATCATACACATTCCTACAATTGCTCAAATAAATATCTTTTGGATGAGTATCAGAAGTGAACTCAAAATATAGTCATGAAAAATCCATAGATATGTATGTTTTTATTCCCAGATTCTTCTCGCTCTAATTTTGGAGTTTTTGTGTTTTTCTTCTTGTGACTATATATATGTCATATATATTCATATATACATTAATATATAATCTCTATATATGAATATGTTTTTTGTCAATTTTTAAAAGCTCTTCTCCTTCCCGTTTTGACTTTTATATATTACTTATGTATTTTCTCCCTTCTATTTTCTGGAATCTGTCCTCTGACTTGCAATGTTAAGAGCATTCCTACTAGTGTGTCCTGTGCTGTGCAGGTTTGCATGTTTATGAAGCTTCCTTCTTGGAATATATGGACGATCTTTCACCTGGCTGAGGCTCCTCCTCCTCTTGCGTCCTCAACAAGGACCCGCGGCCACTGTCAGGGCTGCCCTCAGCATGACGCGGATTTCAGGGAAGGCTGGGTAGGGTAGGAATGTGTTTGAACCCCAACCAGGACCCATGGGAGGACTACTATGTGGGTGTTTAGGCAGCTATCAGGACAGTATTCGAAATCCAGATTCTCCGGGGCATGCGGCCTTGGCCATCACACGGATCTGGGGGACTCCCAGGCTGCAGACACTGCAGGCAGAAGGAAGCCGTGGTTCCTACCGGAGGCGCGAAGGCAGTGAAGTCGCCTCCACTCCAGTGTTCTGCTCTTGCTCCCTGCAGCCCTCGCCGCCCCGCCCGGTCCACGACCAGCTCCTCCCTGGGGATCTCTCCGAGCAGTGCCATTTTGCAATTCATCCTCCAACATTTCCAAGTAAAGCTTTTCTGTCATATTTGTGTTCGGGGAGTCTCTAATGCTTTAAGGCAAAGAAGTCAGTAATTTGGAGCTTCAGGCCTCTAGCAGGGTGGGAAAGGGGAGTCTCTTGCTAAGTCAGTAGGCGCCTGGGTGTCCTCCAAACCCCATAGGGCTTGTGGGACCTGTGCCACCCCTCCTACAACAGGGCCTCCTGTTCCTCCACAACAAGCTGGCTCTGTGACCTGCAGGATGGAGAAAGGTTGTCCTGGCCCCTGCCAGACTGGGAAACATCAGGGCTCTCAGGAAGGACAGGGATTTCCCCACACATTAACCTTGTGCAGGGGATTGGGAGGGAGTTGGTGCAAGCCTTTGAATTATTGTCCCCTTCCTTTCACTCTTCAGTATGAGCGTGAGCCTTCCTCCCCAAATACATGAACAATTTTTAGGAGACTTAGATAGAGAGAAACGCAATATTTAGGATCAAGTTTAAGATCCCCCAGAATTTCCCTCAAGAACGGCTAAAGCACATGGCCAAGAATCCCCTCACTACCAGCTGTGATCAATCAGGAGAGGGGAGGGGGCAGCTCCTAACACGACAGAGGCGAGTCTTGGCAAATGGATCTCATCTCCTGTGGGCTGGTCTGATCTTAAACTCCAAGGGAACCGCAGAGGCCTTTGTTCCTGCCTCACAGAAGGCGGCCGCCCGGGAAGCCGAGGAAGACCCATGCATTAGCCTATGGCGCCACCTAGCAAAACCAGGGGGTACTTAAGAAAGATGGAGCTGGGAGGTTGTGGGGTTTGTTTTGGATTGGTTTTTTTCCACAACCAGAAAAGGGGGTTTCCATTTCATTCACAGAGTTCTGGGAAATGGAATTTGTATAAAACATTTTTTGGTCATGATGGAAAACATTTATTTGACTCTAATGAGAGAATCTGACCCAAAGGCAATAGTAATCAAAACCTACGAGGACAAGTGCTTGATTCTCTGAACTTGTTGTTTTTTTTTTTTTCTAGTAACAGCTGTGACTATGCAGTTTTTGCTTCAAAAAGAACTTGATTCTATCTTACGTTAAAGATATCTTAAGTTAAAGAGTTACTTCTGGGCAATGTCTTCATGTCCAGAAGGGAAGAGGGGCTCGACACCGTGCTGCAGACAAACAAGTACGGTTGTGTCAAGGGACATTCTGACAATTTTATGATGTCACTTTGCCCCTTTTGGGTTCTGGAAAGTGAACTGTGGCTTCCCAGCTCCCACACATTAGCCCCATGAGGAGACACTTGGTGTACGTGCTGAAAATGCAGCACACCCGGCCGGGCACTGTGCCTCACGCCTGTAATCCCAGCACTTTAGGAGGCCGAGGCGGGCGGATCACCTGAGGTCAGGAGTTCGAGACCAACCTGGCCAACATGGTGAAACCCCATCTCTACGAAAAACATATAAAAATTAGCCGGGCATGGTGGCGGGCGCCTGTAATCCCAGCTACTCAGGAGGCTGAGGCAGGAGAATCGCTTGAACCCGGGAGGCGGAGATTGCAGTGAACCGAGATCGTGCCACTGCACTGCAGCCTGGGCAACAGAGTGAGACTCCGTCTAAAAAAAAAAGAAAAGAAAAGAAAATGCAGCACACCCAAAACATCCTTGGAGACCACGTCCAGATGGGAGCAGCCCTTCCCATCTGAAACATACAAATCTTTGTGGAAACAGAGACTCAAGAATGCCTCTAGGTTCCAGGCAAAAAGTGTTTTGATAACCGCACTGAGAAGAGACAGTCTTTGCCTTTAAAGGGTTAGGAGAATACAGTGGTTGTCAATATGGGCTCTGGAGCCAAATGCCTGGGGTCGAGCTCGCTTCCCTATTACTTCAACTTCAGTAACCTTAGTTCTCTATAAAATGAGGCTAATTCATAGGGTTTTTGTGACGTTTAAATGACATAAACCATATAAGGTGCTTACAATAAGACCTGGCACATGCAGGCACTTAATTTAAATGTTAACTAGTATTTAATCATTCTAGAATTTAAAGGAACAAACCCGAGTTTTCTCGCATCCTAATAAACCAGCCATGTTTTTTGATCCTACCTGAAGCGGTCTTCGTTAATTAGCATAGCGTATTGTGCCTGCGTAGCAGCCCCCAATGGCAATTTCTTTTTGATACCTTCACATTGGCAGCAGAAATAGGAGCAGGTGTCCAGCTTTTAAAAATTCTTTTAGGAGGTGCAGCACACCAACATGGCACATGTATACACATGTAACAAACCTGCATGTGGTGCACATGTACCCTAGAGCTTAAAGTATAATAATAATAAAAAAAATTCTTTTAGGAGAAAAGCATTCAAAAAAGTTTGAAGACCACTGCTCTATCTCAAATGGATGCTCAATTAATGCAGTTGACCAATTGATAATCAAGGTTTTTTTTGTTCACTTGCTTTTTCATGTATTACATTTTAAGTTTCTTAAGTGCAAGGATCCTGCCTGGCTACCCTATACCCCCAAACAGCAAGAAACTCTTATGTAATTTTAGATTAAACACCTAGACTAAACACCTAGACTATTTGAAAAGTGGTACCTTTTCTTAATCATATTAATATGACCAAGAGTCATATTATTAGTCAATTGAACTGACACTGTAGGCAAATAAAAACAAGAATTAATTTTTGGAGCCATCTTTGAAGGGCTAGCCACTGTGTATCGTCATTGACTCTGGTCTATTATTCTATTCAACCAATGCCTCACAAGAATCAAGTTACAACACAACATTATGAACAGCCCATTTCTTAGGGTATGGCAAACCGATGCCTTTTCCCGCAAGGCGAGTGCCTAAAGAATTTACCAGAAAGCCTTTGACAGTGATTAATGTCAGTGAAATAGCACTTTATTGTTAGAAGACATGGGATACATATCAACATACAAAACTTAAAGCGGAAGCCAAAGTGCAATGCTTCCTTGAGCTTCATTGACCAAGACAAATGAGGTCGTGCTCAGGCACTGGTGGTGGGAAAAATGGCTTGACAAATCTGCTATGTCCAGTATCTCCAGGCTTCACGTGGCTTTTTATTTATGCCTAATTAAACTGCAAAAAAAGGAATATTAATTTGATCTGAGAGCAGAGTAGTCTACATTCTTCCTATTTTTTATGTTCATCCTGCACCCATATTTGTATAATCACACATTCTCATCTGAATTGGATCAAGAGTCTTTGTTCTGAAAAATTATTACAAATTCTTTATGGATAAGAAGACATGGATAGCCATACTAAAGACCAAAGACTTTTTTGACTGCTGTATTCTATAGCATTTGCTTTCAGGTCTGATTGCAATGTTTTGTACAAAGCACACCAGAAATACAAACTTCACTGGAATTGCAACAGCAATTCACTGTACTCATGTAATAGTAATAGCAATTCCTGACATCTTCTGATTTTGGAACAACCCTTTGTAGGTGAAAACTCTGTTCATGGCAATTTGAGCATAAACTCTCTTTCCATATTGTTGTTAAATTTTGATGTACTGGAGCTGGGAAAGAAGCACCAACTTCATGCAACTCCATGCCAAACCAACCCCCTGCCTCTGATATGCCACAATGATCTGATGAATTATAATGTTCTACATATGATCTACTTGGCTGCAAAATGTTATCAGGTATATAAGCACATACACTTGGAGGCACATGACTTTATGTATTTAATATAATCCTAATAGAAATTTCCATGAGCTTCTCAGGAACCCTGGCAACTAATCCCAAAATGAATATGAAAGAGCCAAGGACCAAGAAAAGACATGACACTCAAAAAGAAGAACCCTACAGGAGATCTTGTCCTCCAGATATTACAATTGTTCTAGGGCTATAGCAATTAAGATAGTGTGGTATTGGGATAAATCATATAGATGGACCAGGGCAACAGAATATAGAATCCAGAAACATAACACACATGCATAGAAATTTTTTTTTCCTAGAGCTGGCATTGCAGACACTTGGAGGAAATATTAATTATTTCAATATGTGGTTATGGGGAAAACATATTACTCATGTGTTAAAAAAATAAAATTGGACCTCTTATATCACACAAAAAGCCAATTTCTGGTGTACTAAAGACTTAAATTTGAAAAGCAAAATTACAAAACTTATCAAAAATTAATATACATTGATAATTTTATAGCTTCCTAGTTTATAAAGACTTTCTAAATATGTATATTATAAATAGAATGATTCTTAAAATGAGATCAACCACATTAAAATTAAGAATTTACGTTCCTTAAAATGCACTGTAATGACCAACCTGGGAAACAGTAGGATGCCGTCTCTACAAAAAATTAAAAATCAGCTGGGCATGGTAGTACACACCTGTAGTCCCAGCTGCTTGGGAGGCTGAGGTGTGAGGATCGCTTGAGCCTGGTAGGTCAAGGCTGCAGTGAGCCATAATCGTGCTACTGCACTCCAGCCTGGGCAAGAGTGAGAGCCTATCTCAAAAAATAAAAAATAAAAATAAAAGACACTGTAATGAAAGTAAAAAAATAAGTGTCAGAAACTGGGAGAAGGTACTCATAACATAGAGAATTAAGCCCCAGAATATACAAAGAACTCTATAAACCTGTAAGAAAAAAATGAACAATCCAACTGATGAATGAGCAGAAATGTTACATGTGTGTTTCACAGAAGAGAAAGAAATGGCAACAAATACATGGAAAATGCTCAATCTTACTAGAAATTGGGGAGAAATTAGAACAGCAGTGATCAGATGCCATTTTATATTTACCACACACACAAGAAGTAAGAATCCTGACAATACCCGATGTGACTGAGAATGTGCAGCAGTAGTTACACCACTTTGGAAAATAAGTTGGCATCATTTAGTAAATACAAAAAGTAGCTGAACTCTCTGACCCAGAAATTTCACCCCTAGGTATATTCCCTAGAGGAATTCTTGCACTGTTTACTAGGAGGCATGGAAAAGAATGTTTATACCAGCACTGTTTGTAATTGGAGAAAAAAAAAAACTGAAAACAGACCAAATGTTGATTAACAATGGAATAAATTGTGGTGTATTCACAATGAATACATCAATGAAGAAATAAAAAAGCTACAGATGGCTGGGTGTGGTGGCCCATGCCTGTAATCCCAGCACTTTGGGAGGCCAAGGCGAACAGATCACCTGAGGTCAGGAGTTCAAGACCAGCCTGACCAACATGGTGAAACCCCCTCTCTACTAAAAATACAAAAATTAGCCAGGAATGCTGGTGGGCACCTGTAATCCCAGCTACTTGGGAGGCTGAGGCAGGGAGAATTGCTTGAACTCGGGAGGCAGAGGTTGCAGTGAGCTGAGATTGTGCTGCTGCACTCTAGCCTGGGCAACAGAGCGAGACTCCATCTCAAAAAAAAAGCTACACAGATGAGATTTAGAAAGGAAATGTTAAGTTAAAAAGCAACTGGTGGAAGAATATATGCAGAATGACTCAATTTACATAGCATTCAAAACACACAAAACTAAATACATTTAGGAGGATATAAATACATGAAGTTAAAACTATAGAGAAAAGCAAAGAGATAATGAATACAAAAATCTAGTTAGTAGTTGTCTCTGATGGGAGAGGGAGAGGGAAGAGGTTGGGAAAGAGTGCTTTAAAGCTTTCTAAAGTAATGGTAATGCACTCTTCAAGTGGGTGGTTGGTAATGAACACCTGTCGTACTCTTATTATTTAACACCCCCCCCCCCGCAAGTGTTTTAAGCTCTTTATTTTGAAATAATTTCATACTCATATAGAAATTTCAAATAGAAATTTGAGTTCAATGAGTTCCTATGAGCCCTTCATCCAGCTTCCTCCAATGATATAATCTTGCATAAGACAAGTTCAATTCACAACACCAGGAAACTGACATTGAACTAAATGGCAGGCTTTATTCAGATTTCACTAGTTTTTACATATACAATTTTTGAGAGTGTGTATGTAGCTCTTTGACATTTTATTGCATGTATAGATTCCTGTAATTGCCATCACAATCAGAATACAGAGCTGATCCATTAACACTAAGAAACAATTTCCTTCCTCTTGAGAGTCCTACCCTCCTCCCAGCCCTAAGCCCTGGCAACCACTTATTGGCTTTTATCACAATAATTTTGTTACCCTACATATATATTTTAATGTTTTTTAGTATCTATTTAATTTTTTTCTTTTTTTTGAGACAGTCTCACTCTGTCACCCAGGCTGGAGTACAGTGGCACGATCTTGGCTCACTGCAAGCTCCACCTCCTGGGTTCACACCATTCTCCTGCCTCAGCCTCCAGAGTAGCTGGGACAACAGGCGTGTGCCATCATGCCTGGCTAATTTTTTGTATTTTTAGTAGAGACAGGGTTTCACCATGTTAGCCAGGATGGTCTTGAACTCCTGACCTCAGGTGATCTGCCTGCCTCGGCCTCCCAAGTGCTAGGATTACAGGCGTGAGCCACCACACCCAGCTGTACCTATTTAATATTTTAAACAACCACCTGCCCCCCCTCCCCTCCTCTGACCACACACACACACACACACACACACACACACACACATACACACACACAGTTTCAGAAGAGAAAAATGCTTAGAACCTGTAAAGATTATCCTCACATCCACCATTAGCTCTCTTAGTGAAATTTTCCCAGGCTTACTCAATTACAAGTAATTTCATGTTCACCCAGTTCACTTCCTTCACCCACTCTTATAAGACCAAAGATAAAGATGTGCACACATTTTTTTTTTTATTCTCTAGAGGGTCATCTTAGAATCAAAAGACCACTCTGTTTTCCCAAACCTCCCCCCAGCCAGGAGTTTGTCAGGTTTTTTTTTCATATTTTCAAAGTATCAAATTTTTACTATATTGATACTTTCTACAGTATATCTGTTTTCTATTTCCTTAATCTCCAATCTTTTCATTGGTATCTCCTACCTCCTTAATAAATTTAATTTACTGTTCTTTATCTCAGACCTCTGCAATGGGGAAGACATTTATTACAGTCTCCGTTTCAGAGAATAAAGCTAGCCCAGCCTGGGGAAGTTTTACACAACAGATTAAACACAGGTGGAAAAATCACAGACACAATCACAGACACACTGAGAGTCACTGATCTTGACTGATCAAACCTAACACTTAAGTCATGCCCTGCACTTTCCATTCCTTTCCCCCCAGGCTGGTTTGCTCCTGTTTTTGCAGATTCCCTGGCAGATCCCAGGCTCCTGACGTCTGGCTGCTCCAGACACAGCCAGTTTAGGTTGAAACTAAATGATCTCATTCACCTGAACCTCAGTGTAGTTGCCTGCCTTTCCTGGAATCCAACCCACCTCTTCCTTAATCAGATCCTTTTCCTCCACCCAGCCTCCTGGGGAGAAAGCCTTCCCCTCCTCTAAACTTTTATTTAAAAACAAGCAAAAAAAATGGCTTCCCATTTGTGCTCTTATGACTCCCCTTGATGCTTACTGCATTTTTCAAACCTGGTTCAAAACAGCTCCACTCCTCACCCCTATTTTTATTCTTTCCCCTGGTTCTCCTCTTTTGCCTGAGGTGTGTTTTGTTTGTTTTGTTTCCATTTTTCAATGCTCACCCAGGCATGTATAGGCAGACTCTGTTTTCACCACAACCAACCAATTCTTGGAATCTTCCTCCTAAAGACAGTTATGTTTCCTTCTAAGAACAATGACAACATTGGGGATTGCATTCTTGAAGAAAGCTCAACAATAATTAAATGAGTTTATTAGTGTATTCCTTAGGATAGCATCATGTGATTTGAAAATGGGTCTATGGACAAATAAATCTGAGTGACAATGGATTTAACAGAGTGCTTCCCAAACTCTGACATGCAAGAATACCCAGATCTTTTTTGTGTTACCCACATACCTCCTTTTTTTGGAAGGCAGGTTTCTATGGAAGGCATCTTGAGTGTAGAACAACCACTGAATTAAGACATGTGTATGACAATAACATGTTATTTTTTAAGAAACCAAGTTAAAAGAGCTGAAGGTTCTGTTCTCCAACTTCTATGACATGAGCACAAACACATTCCATGTGATGAATATGCTATTTGCTCTTAGATCCACCGTCCACCCTGCCACCTCCCCAAAGGAGCTGACCTATAAAGAACAGGCTCCCTTGTTCTTCATTCCAGTCTCTTCCTTGATGCCAAGAATACTCCCCAATAAAACTCTTGGATCCATCTCAGAATCTACTTTCCAGAGAATCGGCCTATGACAAGAGTCAAATAACTCTATAGATTTTATGAGAAAGAGCAGCCTTTCTTTTTGCTCTCATTACCAGTTTTCCAGAGGCAATTAGTTTCAGCTCCTCTGATATATTATTTGCGTATCCCTGGAAAAAATGTTTATATTGCTACTTTTTAAAAATTTTTCTGTTTTAGCATTACCATCAACTTACCTCTATGGAAACTGAACATATTGCTCTCTTACACATACACACATACAGGGATTGAGAGAGAGAGAGAGAACAATTCCCATCTACCCACCATCCCAGTAAACTTAGAATCAGTGCCCAGTAAACATGTTATTATGACAATACATAAGTGACAAAGAAAGCTCAGTAATATAATAGAATATGATTGCTTTTCCCCTTACATTTTCTTTCCCTAAAGTGAATGTCTGACTTGTTTTTCCATTTGCTTAGTTTTCTATGTATTTATCACTAATTTCCAAACACTCCCCCTGTAAATCTCCTCTTTATACATTCAAACAAATTAAGTACACTATCACTTTTACTTTTTGGAAGATGTCTCTTCTAGAACCTTCTGGACCACATTAATTGGATGATCGATACCTAGGATTGCCTACTGTTTTCTTGGAATCTCCTTTCCCATTAATTTAGAGACTTCCTTTACATCTTTCTTGCATTGAATCTCTTGTTTCACTCTTTCTTGGTTTACTTCCTTGTTCTGGTGGAGCCCATCTATCAGTACTTTCCTTGGAAAGGGTGCATGGTAAGTAAATTTTTTGAGATCTTGTTTATCTGAAAAATAGTTTATTTTACCTTTATAGTTGGTTGATGTAGGAAGATAATAGATCTAATGACTTCTCCTCCTTTAAGCAGATGTCATTAAAAAAAAAAACTCTTCTTCCTTTTATTGTATCTCTCTAGCTCCTAAGGTCTCCATAGTTAAAGAAAAAAAAAAAAGCCATGAATAGAGACTTTAATTCACAGGTTAAAGATGTCCTTGGTCTAGAAATATCTTCACACAATATAGCTAAGTATCAATTTAGGTAATATGAGGAATTACTTTTTAAAGGCAACTTAACTTTTCAATTATTTTTTAAAGCTGAGTTCACTTTTACTTCATGATTTAATTTTAGATGTCTAGTTTCAAATAGTTTTATTCCCAGAAAAACTATACTTTATTATGTAGATACTAATGAGGAATTCCAAATCTCCTCCTAAAATACAGAAGTAATCCTATAAAAAGTACAAAAGTCTAAAGATGTGCCACAGTAAAAGTTTTCATGTTATGGAATACCATGCAGCTATAAAAAAGAATGATATCACGTTCTCTGTAGGAACATGGATGGAGCTGGAGACCATTATTCTTAGCAAACCAGTGCAAGAACCAAAAACCAAAGACCGCATGTTCTCAGCTTGGCCAACATGGTGAAACCCTGTCTTTACTAAAAACACAAAAATTAGACAGGCATGGTGGCACATGCCTGTAATCCCAGCTACTCGGGAGGCTGAGGTGGGAAGATCATCTGAGCTCAGGAGGCGGAGGATGCAGTGAGCTGAGATCATGCCACTGCACTTCAGCCTGGGTGACAGAGCGAGACTCTGTCTCACTGCCCCTCCCCCCTGCCAAAAAAAAGACAGCATGTTCTCACTTACAGGTGGGAGCTCAGTGATGAGAACACATGGACACATAGAGGGGAACAACATACACTGGGGCCTATGGGAGGATGGAAGGTGGGAGGAGGGAGAGGATCAGGAAAAATAACCAATAGGTACTAGGCTTAAACCTGGGTGATGAAATAATCTGTACAACAAACCCCCATGGCACAAGTTTACTTATATAACAAACCTGCACATGTACCTCTGAATGTAAAATAAAAGTTAAATTAAAAAAAAGTTTTCATGTTAGAGTAAATATACAGAAAAATAGTTATATTAGATATTACTGCATTTTATTTATTTATATATCTACATACACATTTATGTATATTTGTATATATATTATGCATGCACATATATAGCTAATGCATCCACATTATTCAAAAATAAGAATTGTAAAAGTATACAATGAAAAGTTTTTTTCCCCACCCAGTTTCCTAGCTCATAGAAAATGATTACTTGTTTTTTTGTGTTTCCTTCTAGAGATATTTAATGCACATACAACCAATTATTAGGAAATACTTTGGTAATCTGAAAGGAGTTTAAGGAATAAATTATTCAAAATGGTGTGGACAGAGCAGAAGGAAATGACATGGAATGGTAAGGCATCTGTAATTTTATTACAAAGCTATAGTAGTCAAAACAGTATGGTACTGCCATAAAAACAGACACAGAGACCAGTGGGACAGAATAGAGAGCCCAGAGGCCAAGTTATGAATTTAGTCCATTCATTTTCAACAAAGGTGCCAAGAACACACATTGGGGAAAGGATGGTCTCTTCAGTAAACGGTGTTGTGAAAACTGGATATTTACTTGCCATAGGATGAAAATGGACTCTTATTTCACACCATATACAAAAATCAACTCAAAGTGGATTGAAGACTTAAATACAAGTCCTGATACTATAAAAATCCTGGAAGAAAAGAGAGAAGAAAAGTTTTTGACACTGGGCTTGCCAATAATTTTTGGGGGTATGACACCAAAAGCACAGGCAACAAAGTCAAACACAAATAAGTAGCACTACATCAAACTAAAAAATTCCTGCACAGCAAACCATATATCTGATAGGGGCTTAATATCCAAAATGCATAAGGAACTCATGCAACTCATAACGTGATTAAAAATAGAGCAAAGGACCTGAAAAGACATTTTTCCAAAGAAGACATACAGATTGCCAACAGGTATATGAAAAGGTGCTCAACATCACTAGTCATCAGGGAACTGCAAATCAAAACCACAATGAGATAAGACCGCAAACCTACTAGGATGGCTATTATCACAAAATCAAAAAATAATTAAGTGTTGGTGAGGATGTGAAGAAAAGGGTACAATTGTAAATCGGCACAACCATTATGGAAAACAGTATGGAGTTTCCTCCAAAAACTAAAAATAGAACTACTGAATGATTTAGCAATCCCACTTCTGTGCATATATCCAAAGGAAATGAAATCAGTATCTCAGATATATCTGCACTGCCATGTTCATTGAAGCGTTATTCCCAGTAGCCAAGATAGAGAAACAAACTGTGTTCATCAATAGACAAATGGTTAAAGAAAAGTTGTGTGTATGTATATGTATATGTGTGTATATATGTATACATATGTATATATGAATATACACATATGTATACCTATGCATATATGAATATACACATATATGTATACCTATGTATATATGAATATACACATATGTATACATATGTATATATGAATATACACACATATGTATACATATGTATATATGAATATACACATATATGTATACATATGTATATATGAATATACACATGTATACATATGTATATGAATACACATATGTATACATGTGTACATGTGAATACACTTATGTATACATGTGTACATGTGAATACACATATGCATGCATGTGTACTTGTGAATACACATATGCATGCATGTGTACATATGAATATACACATATGCATGCATGTGTACATATGAATACACATATGCATGCATTGTACATATGAATACACATATATGTATGCATGTGTACATATGAATACACATATATGTATGCATATGCGTGTATATGAATATACATATATGTATGCATATGCGTGTATATGAATATACATATATGTATGCATATGCGTGTATATGAATATACATATATGTATGCATATGCGTGTATATGAATATACATATATGTATGCATATGCGTGTATATGAATATACATATGTATGCATATGCGTGTATATGAATATACATATGTATGCATATGCGTGTATATGAATATACATATGTATGCATATGCGTGTATATGAATATACATATGTATGCATATGCGTGTATATGAATATACATATGTATGCATATGCGTGTATATGAATATACATATGTATGCATATGCGTGTATATGAATATACATATATGTATATATTATGTGTATATATACACGCACTGGAATACATGTGTACATATATACATACATGTAAACTGTATACAATGTATACATGTACACATGCATGTATATATACATACTATATACATCTGTACACCTATATACATGTATATACACATGAATACATATACAAGTATATACATATGTATATACAAGTATATACATATGTATATGTATACACGTGTATATACGTGTATATGTGAGCAGTGACAACGTGCTAGCAGCCCTCACTGGCTCTTGGCACCTCCTCGGCCTCCGCGTCCGCTCTGGCCGCACTTGAGGAGCTCTTCAGCCTGTCGCTGTGCTGTGGGGGCCCCACTCTGGGGCTGGCCGAGTCTGTAACCAGCTCCCTCTGCTCTTGGGGAGGTGTGGAGGGAGAGGTGCCGGCGGGAGCTGGGGCTGCGCGTGGCATTCACAGGCCGGTGCGGGTTCCGGGTGGTCAGGGGCTCAGTGCCTGCTGGGCTTGATTGGGGGATGAGCTCCCTCTGGGCTGCCAGAGTGCCCGGGCTAGGTGCTGCAAAGTCCCGCGGAGAGTGCCATTGAGAGGTGAAGCCAGCTGGGCTTCTGGGTCAGGTGGGGACTTGGAGAACTTTTGTGTCTAGCTAAAGGATTGTAAACACACCAATCAGCACTCTGTGTCTAGCTAGAGGTTTGTAAATGCACCAATCAGCACTCTGTGTCTAGCTAAAGGTTTATAAACGCACTAATCAGCGCTCTGTGTCTAGTTAATCTGGTGGGGACTTGGACAACTTTTGTGTCTAGCTAAAAGATTGTAAATGCACCAATCGGCACTCTGTGTCTAGCTAAAGGTTTGTAAATGTACCAATCAGCACTCTGTGTCTAGCTAGAGGTTTGTAAACGCACCAATCAGCACTCTGTGTCTAGCTAAAGGTATGTAAACACACCAATCAGCTCTCTGTAAAACGGACCAATCAACTCTCTATAAAATGGACCAATGAGCTCACAGTAAAATGGACCAATCAGCAGGATGTGGGTGGGGCCAGATAAGGGAATAAAAGTAGGCCAACCAAGCCAGGAGCGGCAACCCACTCCACTTACCTCCCCTTCCACACTGTGAAAGCTATGTTCATTCGCTCTTCGCAATAAATCTTGCTGCTGGTCACTCTTTAGGTCCACGCTGCCTTTATGAGCTGTAACACTCACTGCGAAGATCTGAAGCTTCACTCCTGAAGCCAGCAAGACCATAAACTCACCAGAAGGAACAAACAACTCCGGACGTGCTGTCTTTAAGAGCTGTAACACTCACTGCAAAGGTCTGCAGCTTCACCCCTGAAGTCAGCGAGACCACGAACCCAGCAGAAGGAAGAAACTCCGGACACATATGAACATCTGAAGGAACAAACTCCAGACACACCATCTTTAAGAGCTGTAACACTCACCACGAGGGTCCGCAGCTTCATTCTTGAAGTCAGCAAGATCAAGAACCCACCAATTCCGGACACATATGTATACATATACATATCGATATGTACGTGTGTATATGCATACAGATATGTGTATGTATGTATATTCGTAGGTAAGCACACATATATACATGCCTGTATACACATGTGCATATACATGTGTGCATGTGTACATGTAGATACACATGTATTCATAAGTGTGTACATGTATACATCTATACATACATGTGTATACGTGTGCATACATACATGGTACATGTGTATACGTGTACATACATGGGTACGTGTGTATACACGTGCATACATACCTGGGTACGTGTGTATACGCGTGCATACATACCTGGGTACGTGTGTATACGCGTGCATACATACCTGGGTACGTGTGTATACGCGTGCATACATACCTGGGTACATGTGTATACGTGTGCATACATACATGGGTACATGTGTATACGTGTGTATACATACTGCACACACTGGAATAATACTCAACTTTAAAAAAGGAGATCCTGCCATTTGCAACAACTTGGATGAAACTGGAGGACATTATGCTAAGTGAAATAACCCAGGCACAGAAAGACAAACGCTGCTTAATCTTACTCATATATGTTATCTAAAAAAGTCTAACTCATAGAAACAGAAAGCAGAACGGTGTTTGCTAGCGGGTAGGGGATGGAGGAAAATGGGGGAATTTGGTCAAAGGGTACAACCTCACAGTTTTAAAATGCACAAGTTGTGGAAATCTAATGTATTGCATCATAACTATAGAATAATAATATATTGGATATTTGAATTTTGCCCAGAGAGTAGATGACCAAAAAACAGATATGTGAAGTGATAAATAGGTTAAATAGCTTTATTTGGGGAATCATCTCACAATGTGTATGTGTATCAAAACACCACGTTGTACATCTTAAATACATACAGTGTTTGTCAGTTACATCTCAATTAAAAATAAATAAAATTAAAAATTGACTAATAAATTACCAGTAATGGCTGTGCATGGTGGCTCATGCGTGTAACCCTAGCACTTTGGGAGGCCAAGGCAGGTCGATCACTTGAGGCCACGAGTTCCAGGCCAGCCTGGCCAACATGGCAAGACCCTGTCTCTACTAAAAATACACACACACACACACACACACACACACACATTAGCCAGGCGTGGTGGTGCATGCCTGTAATCCCAGCTATTCGGGAAGCTGAGGCATGAACATTGCTTGAGCCCAGGAGGTGGAGGTTGCAGTGAGTTGAGATTGCGCCACTGCAGTCTAGTCTGGGCGAGAGAGTGAGACTCTGTCTCAAAAAAAGAAAAAGAACCAAAAACACAGGACAAGTAATTTTGTAGGAAAACAAGAAAGAAGTATCATATGGCAGTGAAAATTCGTAGTGATAATGAATTTTTTAAACTAGTAGGCGAACCACCAATGCTTAGGGCTAAAATGAGAGTTGTCTTTATCATCCCTAAACTTCCCTCAGTACACACAGGCCACCACCACTACCACCACCGCCACCACCACCACCACCACCACCAGCACCAGCACCACCAGCACCAGCACCAGCACCACCACCACCACCACCACCACCACCACCACCACCACCACCTTATTTTCAATAAGCCACTTGGGAAATGCTGATGATAACAGTATTAAATGTGTTGGAATTTAAGCACTTGAAACCTGGTGGGGAGGCAATGATAGAAGGCTAATACCTCTTAAACTTTGATAACTGGGTAGGCAAACTGTGACAGTGTATGTTACGATACAAGTAGGAAAAAGAAGCTGATTTGAAGGAAAATGTAAAGTTTAAAGTTCAAAAGCCATGATTATTAATAGATATTGGGGAAAAATATAATTTTGCAAAGATAGTTACTTCCCTAGAAAATCACTCAAGATCTGTCACGGGAAGAATTTAAAAAAACTGGCGGCTAAGCAGAATGTGAAAAACTCTTTTTGAATTTATTTAAAATAAATACAATAAAAATATTCCAATTAAAGTGGGCAATTGAAGTGATATGTTTCGTGCCAAGTTTGATAAATTAATGCCTCTGTGGTTTACACGTTCTGACATCCATTGAGGATGATTCATCCTGGTGATTTCAGTTGTAAATTGTGTCTAATCAAGAAACAACTGAATTTTCTCTTTAACAGCAATTTATACACTATGTTTATTTACAATATAATATTCATCCTGAAAATGATGTTGAATTTTGTGAAGTAATGATGAACTTTTAGAGACGCAAACTGAACTATTTACAGATGAAATGACAGGATGTTTCAGATTTGCTTTCAAATTACCCAGTGGAATGAAGGAAAGTGGGTCAGAATTTAGATGGCATAAGATTGGCTGGGACTAAATAATTCTTTAAGCAGGGTGATAACCACATGAGGTTCCTTATAATATTTTTCATTACTTTTGCATATGTTTGAAATTTTCCATAATAAAAAGTTTTTGAAAAATACAATTAGACTCCCGAGATAAGAAGTTGGAATTGTGGTGGTATTGATTGTCACCATTTTGAGAGGACTGATAAAATTCAGAGATAAAATTCATCTCTCTGGTGGGCAGCACAATAAATCCCTTGGAAAAAAATAAATAAATCAAACTCGGGCAGAAACTAAGGGGATTTCAACCTACCCATCTTTATCCTCTGCTCACAGTAAGTTCTAAGATGTGGCTTCTCCCAGGAGTCTCAGTTATATGTTAGGTGCAGTGTATATATATATATATATACTCTCATCTCTGAGTCATATGTTTTCCTAACTCAGCTTAAGTGGTAAGACCAATTTGGGAGAAGTATTGTGTAAGAAGGAACACATCAATTTTTAAAATACTTTATTTAAAAACAGCTTATTTCAAAGGTTTCCTGTTTTTGTCTGAAGCAATTATAGACTTCAGCAGAAGCCAGGGTTCAAGGTTGGTGGGAGGCTTCTGAAAGTCCTTATTCATCTTCACTTTGAAAAAAAAATGCTCAAAATCAAACGTGTTTTCAGATGAAAAATTCAACAAAATGGTACTTTCACATTTAATTTGGATGATTGAAAACCTGGTAATATAATAAAAGTTATTTCAGGCTGTGTGTCAATTTTATATCTTTTTAAATGGCAAACGAAATTGAATTTATCCTCCCATGCCGGGAAATGTCGGTATTCAAACAAGACCTTTCTTTCTTTTATTTTAAATGATGTTTGTTTTTGTTTGTTGTAGTTTGAGTAAAGCAGAAGTTTCAAAAGAGAAAACCGTGAAAGATAAAAACTGAAAAATTAGAAAGGGACTAGATCATCAAAGGCTTTAAATGATAAATTTCCATCTATATTTAAAGGAACTTTTAGTTGTATACACACGAGTGCCCAGCCTCTCTAGTATGTCTTTTCTCTGCAGGAGCCAAGTCAATCTCCTGAAAGAGATTTCCTGCTTTATTCTGTGAATTGGCAGTTATTAATATCCACCCCCACCTGCTGTGGGTAGGTCACAGTCATCTCTGAAGACAGCCTTAGAAACAACATGAACACAGGGATGATGTCTCACAGGCAGGATCTGGAGCCCAAGAAAAATATTCTCAGCTTGAGATTTCTATTGGAAGTTGGAATAGATCTGGTCATCTTTTTTTTTTTTTTTTTTTTTTTTTTTTTGAGACAGAGTCTTGCTCTGTTGCCAGGCTGGAGTGCAGTGGCACGATCTTGGCTCACTGCAACCTCTGACACTCTGGTTCAAGCGATTCTCCTGCCTCAGCCTACTGAGTAGCTGGGATTACAGGCACGCAGCCACAATGCTCAGCTAATTTTTGTAGTTTTAGAATAGACGGGGTTTCACCATGTTGGCCAGGATGGTCTCGATCTCCTTACCTCATGATTTGCCCTCCTCAGCCTCCCAAAGTGCTGGGATTACAGGCATGAGCCACCGCGCCCAGCTGATCTGGTCAACTTTTTACAAAATATTAATTCCCTTCCTTCTTCCCCTGGAGGACAATTATACTTTCCTATTCCATTGACTTTGAGCTTGGCCAGGTATCTTACTTTGTTCAACAAAACAGAAGCAGACATAAGAGCAGAAGCTTTCAATGTGCTGTGTGACATGGCTTCTCTCCTAAGCTTCTTTGATCTGTCATGGGATGAACATGTCATGGGTAGAACATGTCATGAGTAACTGTCAATCAAGGGCAATGGGGAGATCAGAACCCAATCTGAAGCCCAAAGAAAGCCCAGGTGACCTGCAGCCTGAAGCAGAGCTGCCCCAAATGACCCATAAACCTATGAGTAAAAAACTATAAAGGCTTGTTGCAAGCCTATGAATTTGGCAGTGGTGCCATGGTTTGAATATTTTTTGTCCTCTCTAAGATTTACATGTTGGAAACTCAACCTCAATGCCACCATGTTGGGAAGTGGGGGCCCTTGGGGAGCTGTTTAGGTCATGAGAGCTCCACCCTCATGAACAGATTAATGCCACCATGAAAAGAGCTTGTGGGAATGGGCTGTCTCTCTCTTCTGCTCTTCAGTCCTGTGAGGACATAGGAAGGCATCATCTTAAAACCAGAGACCAAACCTGAAGGTGACTTGATCTTGGATATCCCAGCCTCCAGAACTGTGAAAAATAAATTTCTGGTTTTTTATAAATTACCTAGTCTCCAGTAATTCTGTTATGGCAGCACAGAACAGACTAAGATAGGTGGTTTGTTATGCAGCATTTTTGCGTTAATAGCTGACTAACATAGAAATCATCTGCGCACACAGGAAATGGAAACGTGAGAGCAGATGCATTTCCTAGAAAGAAGGCATAAAGCAGTGACTCACCCTGTTTATGGCTTATAGACTGTTTATGGCTTGTGGTTTATAGACTGTGGTGGAGTAAATGTTTGTGTTCCCCCCACCAAATTCATCTGTTGAAATCCTAGCCCCCAAGATGATAGGATTAGGGGGTGGGGTCTTCGAGAGGCAATTAGGTCATGAGAGGGGAACTCTCCTGGATGGGATTAGTGCCCTTATTAGAGAGAGAGCTCCCTCCATCCCTCCTGCATGTGAAGACATAACATGATGGCCATAGATGGCCATCTATAAACCAGGATGTAGGCTTTCACCAGACACCAAATCTACTGATAGCTTGATCTCAGACTCCTCAGCCTCCAGAACTGTAAGAAATAAACATTTGTTGTTTAGGCAGCCAAAATGGACTAAGACATGGATTTTATTGAAAATCTAATAAATGCCTTTATCAGATTCTTCCCCAAAATAGCTTCCTTGCATCCACCCGCCTCTTTTCAGGTCTCCATACTATATGAGTCCATCTGATTGGCAGAATCTAAAATATGTCTGGAACTCAAGAAACAAAGGAGTTTAGGATATGTAGCTTTTTAGCTTTCCAGCCCCTGAAACTCAGGAGGAGGTTAAGATCAACTTGAGTGAGCCAATCTACTCTTTCTAACAAACCACGATGTAAGTAGACAAGCAGTTTAGGGAGGAGAATGAGAAGATGAAGCTGGAGAGAATTAGGAGAAACTGATGTCATAGAAATCATGACAAGAAATAATATGAGGAAGAAGGAAATGGTTAATTATTTAAAATAGGTGACGCAGAGAAACACCATGTAAGAATGTAAAGTACTGCTGAATTGGGCAATAACAATGTCCCTCAACACCAAAACAGGAGCTGCTTCATTGGTAGAAAGATGAGAAGGTAGAGACAATGAGTCCTAGAATACTCTTTACAGAGGTTGGTTGAGGAAGGAAGAGGAAGGATGTGGTTACCATCCATGAGACCTTGTGTGATAGTGAATCGTTCCTCAGTAAAGGATTGATAAACTCTGCCGTGGATAGACTAGAAAAGTTTCAATCTTTCTCCTTTGTGTCATTAAAAAAAAAAAAATCCTCTCCCTGTTCTCTAAGCTAACAGGTCTTCTTCTTGGGTCTCGCAAATCATCTTGTGAGTGAACAGAAGTGACTCTCAGATTTTCTTTGTATCTTCTTGTTGTGGAATTATCCTCACCCACAGCACAGGAAAGTTCCCTGAAGTGGCTGTCTCTGTGCTCCACTTTTCTTTTTGCCTCGTGCAACCTGTATCCCATTACCCCCAGGGAAAGCTGTCTCTCTTATTCATCTTCTTTGTCCTAAAATTCACATTAATTTTTACATCATACTCACAGTCCTCAACCCCCAGAGTTCCCTAAGTCAAACCATTGTTGGCTTCATGACTTTGGTAGATACTGCCAATAATCTCCCAATATCCATCTTCCCTTCTATTTTTTTTGGTAAAAGAATCCCCAAGTTTTACACGAGCCCAGCTAGAGACTAATTTCTTGTCTTCTTAAGCAGCTAGATGTGACCATGTGATTCTGTCTGAACCAAAGGGACTCTCACTTGTGCCTTAGGTGATGGCTGGCTGAAGAAATCTTGGGAGCCATATATTGAGCATGATAAAGCTGTCCTACCGACCCAGGCCACTTATTCTGGACTGTTAAATGGGAGGGAGATAAATTTAGATTTTAGGTAAGCCACAGTGTTGTTGTTTTTTTTTTTTTCTTTACTTGAAGGGGATCAGGATACGCTACCCCAAAATATGCCACTTTAACGTAAGGTTTATTTTGACCCAAAGGCAACTGAAAATCAACAGATGTAGAAGAGTTCTCCACCCTCCCTTTATCTGCCTAGAAGTTGGGCATGAGTTTCCCTTTGTTATGGTGTCTATCTCCTGTATCAGGAAAAGGAGAGCAACTTATATCACCAGAGATGGAGAGTTGGCACCAAGATAAATCTGCATAACAGACCTTAGGAAAAGAACCTTTATCTTCTGTTAGTTTCCCCCATATATTTCCTAGTTACTTCCCCATGATTTATCATCCCTTGAAGTTCAAATTTTCCTTTATTAAAATTATATGTAAACTAGAAGTCTAACTACTTCTTTGAGTTTCACTTCTTTTCTGTGAACTCTTGTGCATATAAATATTAGCAAAAATTGCACGCTTTTTCTCTCATTAATCTATCTTTTGTTAGTTTAATTCACAGGCCCCCAGATACTGAACCTAAGAGGACAGAGGAAAAGTTGTTTCTCCCTGAAAGACTATACCCTAAATAATACAAGGGTCACAAGGCATATTGCTCTCCTTTATAACAATGGCTGTGTGGTCCAGCTGCCACACAATATCCAAGACTGGTTCCACAATGACAACTGCATCTTTCAGGAACAGCTTCCATAACTTGTTCTCTGCCTATTAGAAGTCTCCTCTGACTAGAACAACATCGAAAGATGTTTCTCTTCTATATCTCATGACATCTGGAGAATTTGGGGCAAGAATGAACAGCACCTTGTAGGATGCTCTTGGAAACTTTGTCTTCTTGGAAACAATATACATATTCCCCATGATCTTTTGGCCTTGGAGTCAGCCAGCTTGCAACAAATTCAAGCTCTACCTACCACTCAACAGCAATGCTACTGAGCTTTTCTCTGTCTCAGTTATAAAATGGGGTAATAATTGTACTTGTCTTCAAAAGTTGCTATGGCAATATTTTTAGGTGAAATTTTATGCAAGTTTACATTATTATAATTATACAGTTAAATTATCCTGCTTTTGCAAATGTTAGGACAAAACATGACCATGTAAACCAATCCTTGAGCCTCTCTCTGGGTCTATGGAAAAGTCTGTGTCATTAGCTTCACAGTAAATCCACTCTGACTACCTCACAGGGGAATTAGAGGATGACACAACATACAGTCAGGGCCACTGGCACAAAGGTAACTTTGTGCTTATTACACAAGGGTGACCCCTCCAGATTGACACAGGGCTCAGGGCCAGCAAAGCAAGGGCTAGATTTTAGCTCTCACTATTTTTCTTGGTTGGGGGCCTTTGGCATTGGCAAAACTGGAGGTTGCTGATATAGCTGGGGGTTGGTGCACTCCACCAAGGTCCTTGGCCAGCAGGGCGGAGGTGAGCAGGAACCACATTCAAGTCCCCTTTTCTTGCCAAGTTGTGTGTCTCGACATGCAGCTGCATATACCCAAGAATAGGGCATGTTTGGCTTCACACGAAATCTCTGTCTTTCTGCTAAACCCTGCACCTACTTTTCTCTAATGTGTGCAGAGGTGCCTTAGAGCTTGTGGGTGGGCCAGCACATTGCACCAGTATAGGTAGCAGCCCTGATCCCTGGCACGCAATAAGCACTTTACAAACCTAAACGTTCCTTTGTGTCCCTATCCCACCCCCCATTCTTTCCTACCTATATAATGTTTTCCTTACTTGCTCAACCTTGTATAACTCGAGGTCATTAAAAAAGTTAGTTTGCATATTTTCAAGGAAGCAATTGGAAACCTAAGTTGCTCCAGGGAATTGCCTTACCAGTGTGTCCCTGTGCTTCCAGGGGATTCCACATAAGATAACATCTTTGGGGATTTTGCCAGATTCCTTGTCTGTATGCATTGGGGCACCGTGACAAAAATCCTTCGCTTGGCCAAACTTTAGTCAGAGTCCTGAACCCTCTCGTAGGCTCATATGTGTATTTCCTCGTAAAATCTAGTTTTAGCAAGAACTCTGTTAAGTCAGTTTAGCAAGACCACCCCCTACCCCACCCACCCTCAATATCTGATCAGGTTCTTTATCATTCACCATCTCCCAGGTGATGTCTTATCACCCTGGCCTGTCTTCAGCAAGAGTCTTGTGAGGTTGCCTTACACAGAATCCCCCTTACTCCTCAGGTTTCCCTTAGCACTTTTCCATCCACTGACCACCACCCTGCTCCTTGGCTATACATTTCTACTTGCCCATGCTGTATTTGGAGTTGCAATCCCATTGCTGTGGTCCCTATACCTATGGGATGGTCCGAATAAAGTCTTTCTTAACAGGCTTTATTAATTATCCATGAACAATTTTTTCTTTAACTAGCAGGGAAGGAATTTTCAGTTGTACCACTCTGGGAATGCCCAGAGCTCATCTTAGGCAAAGTCAAGCTAGAGGGCTGTGCCTGGCCAGTCTCAGGTGGTGGTGGTAGGATCAGGTAGCCAAGCATCAAAGTCCTCTGATGTCAGTCTTGCCTTTTGCACCGTGGTGGGAAGACGTGAAGCAAATTCCTCAAGTGGCCAGTTCTCTAAAAAGCAGCCACTAGAGGGCTCTATAGGGGGGCTCTCTCTCTCTCTCTCTCTCTCTCTCCTCTCTCCTTCTCTCTCTCCTCTCTCTCTCCTCTCTCTCCTCTCTGTCTCTCTCTCTGTCTCTCTGTCTCTCTCCGTCTCTCTGTCTCTCTCTCTCCTCTCTCCTTCTCTCTCTCCTCTCTCTCTCTCTCTCTCTCTCTCTCTCCTGCTTTGGACCTTTTCTAGGCTGGTTGAGGGGTTGAGAGTAGGCTTAGGTTAGGGAGCTGAACAGCAGGACAGCACAGGCCTTGCTCACATCACCCACATTATCTCTGCTGAGTGAGTTACCTTGAGGTAAAGGAGCAATTGATGGGCAATTGTCCATCAAAGTAGTCACACATTTAAAATGTTGGTAGTACAAAGGCTAATTTATACTCCCACCAACAGCATTTGAGAATTAACTGTTGATCCACATACCTCATCAACACTGGGACATGACCAATCTTGTAAAATTTTCAACATGATAGATTAAAAATACATATTGAGCACATTTTTGTATTTTAATTAGCCATCCATATTTAGTCTGTTCATATCCTGTTAATATTCTTTGCCTTGGATGGACATTAAAAATGATAGTTTTTAATCCACAAAGTCTCACTGTACACATGAAATATGGTTTCTGTCTAGCCCTTTCCTACCGGAATATCAAACCGCCTTGGCCTAGTCCTCATTCCCTTCCAAACAAAATGTGGTCGCTTTCTGGTGAAGTCAGTGTTCCCGTGGTGTGTGATAGTTCAGTGTGTCCACAGTTTTATGATTGAGGCTGTAGATTGTTAGTTCTGTCTGCTTTCTAAGACCTTCTGAAGGGGCAGAGCTGGTTTGCTTAGTTGCTTTCTTCAGCAAAATATATACTGTTCAATAAGTGTTGCAACTGACAGATATGTTTCAGCCTTGGCTTCTCCTTCCCAGGGAATAAATCTAATATGTGATTCTGACCACAGCGAATGTGTAAAACAGGGAATGTGGCTAACATCTATGCCACCAGGAAAAATAAGCACTAAAGAGCTGCCCTCTGCTGATAAAAAAGCTTACTAGCATAACTTCAGATTCGTATCTGTAACAACTTATACTTTCGATGGTCTGAGAATTTCTTTTTCACTTAAAAAAAAAAAGCCTTGGCTTTCAAGTTATCCATAGTTCTTTTCGAAAAAATATGTGATCAATTAAGAAAACTTAGCAATGTCTTTGAAGCTGTAAAAAATAAAGTAACTTATAACCCTACTATTTAGAGATAACCACAAATAACATATTTTCTATTTCCTCTTAGTCTATATTTTAAGTACGTATATACATGTATGATTTTTTCCCAAATTAGAATCCTGAGTCTACATTCTTTTCACTTATCATTGGCATTTTCCTGTCATTAAGTACTCTTCAAAATCTGATTTTTAAAGCCTAAATGATATTCCACTATAAAGATATATCATAATTTATTAACAAAGTTCCTCCTGTGCCCAGTGTGCTTGCTCATTCTGTCCGCTGCTGCCTCTCCTTGTGCACATGGGATGCTCGCATTTCCCCACCTCACTTGCAGTTCTGCTGGGGCCATGTGACTGGGTTCCAGCTGATAGAGTGTGGGTGAAAATGACTGGCCCGGGGCTAAAAAACTCATGTCTCCCTCCAGCTCTCTTGTCTGATGCTGCAGTGGCTTTGGAGGTTCTAGTTGACATGGCTGTAATACGGAAGCAGCCTAGATTCCTGAGTTACCACTTAGCAGAGAAAAGACCATCTAATCGGCATCAGACTATATGATCTGAGTGAGAAACAAGCCTCTGTGAATTACTGCACTTAGTGAAATGATGCCTTAAGTAAACCGACCTAATGGAAGACCTACAAGTGGCTTCCAACTTTACATTATTGTAAGTAAATAGCAATATTTTGGTTATTTCTAATTATGTTGCTGTCATAAATGAGAAATATTTGGGTTATTTTTTCCTATTTTAAGTAAATGGATAGTTACTATTTTCTTCTGTTTTTGTATAATTTTGTAGTTTTATACAGAAAGCTATTCTTTTTTTTTTTTTTTTTTAGATGGCGTTTCACTCTTGTTGCCCAGGCTAGAGTGCAATGGTGTGATCTTGGCTCACTGCAACCTCCACCTCCCCTGTTCAAGTGATTCTTGTGCCTCAGCCTCCAGAGTAGTTGGTATTACAGGCATGCACCACCACGCCCAGCTAATTTTTTTGTATTTTTAGTAGAGACAGGGTTTCACTGTGTTGGTCAGGCTGGTCTCGAACTCCTGACCTGAGGTGATCCACCCACCTTGGCCTCCCAAAGTGCTGGGATTACAGGTGTGAGCCACCACGCCCAGTCCAGAATGCTGTTCTTTAAACAAACAAATATTAAAAGAGTGTGGGCCAGGTGCAGTGGCTCATGCCTGTAATCCTAACACTTTAGGAGGCTGAGGCGGGAGGATTGCTTGGGCCCACAAGTTCAAGACCAGCCTGGGCAACATGGCAAAACCCTGTCCCTACAAAAAATACAAAAATTAGCTGGGCATGTTGGCACATGCCTGTAGTGCCAGCTACTCTGGGGGCTGAGGTGGGGGGATTGTTTGGGCCTAGGGGGTCAAGGTTGCAGTGAGTCCAGATCGCACAACTCCACCTCAGCCTGGGCAACAATGTTAGACTCTGTCTCAAAAAAAGGAAAAAAAAAAAAGAGAGAGAGAGTGTTTGGAGAGAGACAAGTTGAATTGTCTGCTGAACGACCCTGAAGTTGCCATCTGTTGATGGGCTGACCTGGAACAAGGGTTACCTCCTCCCCATGGGAGGGTCTGTGCCCCAACCCAGCGCCATATGGGTTGAGGCATCTCTTCTTCAGCTCTACGAATCTAATTTCTAAAACTGTTGTCAGGTGCTAGGAGCCAGCATTCTCAGACAATGGCTGCACAGCCTACATCTAAACTCAGGCTATTTGGCACCAAAGGTCTGCCTAGCTTACATAAAGCCCATTTGTTAATCTCAGCTCATACATACAACACTTTAATTTAGTCTCTCTCTGTTAATCATCATTTTATTAATTTTAATTTTTAAATAATATATTTATATAAGTAAAAATTCAAAAGACAGAAAAAGGGAGACTTAAGCCTCTCCTCTCTGACCCTTAGGCACCCAGGGACTTTCCTAGAGGAAACTAATTTTTTTTTTTTTTTTCCTGAGACGGAGTTTCACTCTTGTTGCCCAGGCCAGAGTGTGATGGCGCAATCTTGGCTCACTGCAATCTCCGCCTCTCGGGTTCAAGTGATCCTCCTGCCTCAGCCTCCCAAGTAGTTGGGATTACAGGCATGTGCCACCACACCCAGCTAATTTTTGTATTTTTAGTAGAAATGGAGTTTCACCATGTTGGCCAGACTGGTCTCGAACTCCTGACCTTGTGATTCTCCCGCCTCGGCTTCCCAAAGTGCTGGGATTACAGGTGTGAGCCACCGTGCCTGGCCTGTTTTTTGTTTTTTAAAATATATCTTAAGACATATTTTATCCTTTTCTATCCTCTTTTTCTTTTAAAAAATGCATCCTTTATGAACTGTCAAACTTTTATCCTTTGTCTATTTCAGTGCAAAAATTATCATATGACATTCAATATCTTTCTTTATATCTGGCTCCAAACCTTCTTTATGAAGAATGTTTTACTTCCTTCCAATAGACATCTCTCTTTCCATTTAGCAGGCCTGGGAATTGCCTTTTCAATAAAGTCTGTTTTTTTTTGTTCAGATCTTTCTACCAGCCTGGAATTTCTGCCTCACTGCCTAACAGTCAGTCAGACATCTCTGGGTCTTCTTTGGTTCCAGCAAGCAATTTAGTTTCTTCCTCTCTTTAAACTGGGAAGTACTACCTTCCTTTCAGCTCTGACAAGGCTATACTGTAGAAAATGGGTCTCTCCTCCCTCCAGTTTCCCTGCAACTCAGAAACCCATTCAGAGCTTAATCAAGCCAGCACTGTCCCTGGAGACATGCAGAGCTGGATAGTGCTAATGAAATAGTTGGTAAAAGGATGCCTTCACCAACAAAGTATGCTTGCAAACAATCTTGCTGTTCCCATAAGAAAAATCAGCCCTCCTTGTCAGGAGGAAGATCCCCTTTCAGACACACCCTCTTGCTCATTTCCTATAATTCTGTTGTTATCTCTATTATCTGTCCTAGGCTCGTACTTTTTCTTTCTCGTAGCTCTTAAACCCCTCCTCCTTAACAGTCAAAAGTCATCACTCCTCTGAACTCCTGAAAGACTATTGCCTGTGCTTCTCAATCGGTGCTTATCACAAATAGCGTTTATTGTCATAGTCCACAACTGGACAGTAAACTTCTTGAGGACAGGGACCAAGGCACAAGTTGTTTTATGGATTATCCAAAGAACCTAGTGCAATACCTTGTATATAAGCATTTTATAAATATTTATTGATTATAAATTGAATATAACATTCAAAAAATAACAAGTGATGCTTCTTTTCTAGCAAGGCATTCTTTGATTTCAAAAATCATTATTTTTAAGAAGTAAAAATACCAATGATAAAAAGCCAATCTGCACAGACAGCTCTGAAAAGCACAAGCTTCTCTTACTCCTCATCCTTCATCTTTATAAAGACCTTCTCCACAAGAATAACTTGTTACCAATTTCTTGTAATCCTATCCAGAACATTCTTATGTATCTACTCCATAAATATTAAGAAATTAAATAGATGAAATGGATATACTATATATACATTTCTGACTTCTGCTTTTTCACTGAGTTGTGCATGATGGACATATTTCCATAGGTGCACACATATATAATCTTCCTTCTTTTGAAAGAATGAATCATAGTTTTCAGTCTTCTATTAGCAGATTTTTAGATTGTAGTTCTTTGTTACTACAATATTCTTCTAATGAGCATTCGTGTGTTTGTGTGTGTGTATATAATTTTGCAAGTATGGATGTTTGTAAGCCTAAATATCCAGTCAAGCAGAATATTCTTTAACTTTTTTATTCTTTTTAAAAACAGGGAAGATTTTCAGAAGAAATTGCCTATTGTCGTCTTCTTTTTTTTTGAGATGGAGTCTCGCTCTGTTGCCCAGGCTGGAGTGCAGCGGCACCATCTCGGCTCACTGCAACCTCCAGCTCCTGGGTTCCAGCGATTCTCCTGCCTCAACCCCTGGAGTAGCTGGGACTACAGGCATGCATGAGTACGCCTGCTAATTATTGTATTTTTAGTAGAGACAGGGTTTCACCATATTGGCCAGGCTGGTCTTGAACTCCTGACCTCAGGTGATCTGCTCGCCTCGGCCTCCCAAAGTGCTGGGATTACAGGGGTGAGCCACCATGCCCAGCCTGTCTTCTTTTTCAAAACAAACATTTACAATTTTATGTTTAGGCATCATGTTCCATGATCTTATGATAGGAAGATAAGTTCTTATAATTATTTGTGGTTTGAGAGCTAAGAAAATTTATATAATAACATTTCTTTCTTTCTTGGGTGTGCTATCATTTTCTCTCTTAGCTTGGTTGCTTCGTATTAAATTTGAATAAACATGTTTCCCTAGCCTGTTCTCCATATATTTCCCGTGGGAGTATGAAAACTATCTGACCATTATTCCAAAGTGACTAAGCATCATAGGCCACAGTATAATTGGACAAAAGGAGCTACATTTAAGTAGCTGATAAGATTGAGTATAAAAGTGAGTGCTTTTAGGAAGTTTTTGTTTTAGTGTACATGGAGGTAAGTTAAGCACAAATAAGGTAACAAACATAAAGGTATAGCTTACTGTAACTCACTCAAATGAATTTTGTGTTTAGCATTTGAACAAAGTTCAGAGGAAATCCAAGAATGCATTTAACTATTCTCTTTTTTTGATTAAAATTCTTTCCTTTGTATTATAGTGGTATTAATATTTATTTAAGCCTTCATTCTAAAGTGATGTTCAGCCATAATAGATTAACCGTACCTGATTTCAGAAGGTTTTTACTCAATTTCCAGATTTAGGTCTATGCAAATGTATTTCAATCTTCTGAAAAACTGGGTTGCATCCAAAAGAATGTTCTACTGGAGAGAAATCTAATTTAGCAAAGGAAACAGTTCATACTAGCTCCTCCCAATAACCTAGCCACTTAGCAGATATAACTACAATTGCAGGGAGTGCTACTTTCAGCCATTGCTGAGTAGCTCTGTTTAATTGACTGCCCCTCCCCAACATATAACAATATAAAACACTAGAAAAATATTGTTAAAAATTAAAAACAATTATCGGCAGTGGAGAGTGACCAACACCAGGCAGATTGTGGAGGAAAGTCAACACTTGGCAGAGGAAAGGCATGGAGCAACTTTCCCAAATTTTATGACCCTCAGCCCAAGACTAGTGCATGTCTGTGCAATGTGAGGTAGCTAAAACTCTGTTAGAAAATATGCAATATTTCTAGTTTGAAGAACCAGGGGTCAGGGTTCACAGCAACAACATTATTTGGAAAGTGAGGCGGGAAAACATAAAGGAGGGAGCAAGAGAGGAAGAAGCCCAAATTCTGTATTTAAAATAAATACCAATTATTGGATAATCTCTGAACCATGCTTGTGCAAGGCAAACTCAAAGCAGCCTGGTCAACATTAAAAAGTGAATTCAGATTTGAGCTTCTACTTACTGTAAGCAATATCAGGTTTGCAGTTTGAGTTTAACCACACTGCTTGCCATTTTAAAAGATAATCAGTGTCATTGGAGGAATAGAACAGAATCTTCATCACATAATATTTATAACGCACAGGTTGCACTCCAAAATTATTTGACAATCCAAAAATAGGTAAATAAAAAAAACAGGAAAATGTAATCCATTCTTATAAAAGAAAAAAATCAGTGGAGATTGACTAAAAGATGATGTAAATATTGGAATAATGAAGCAATGTTTTAAAAGCAGCAACTATAATAACTATGCTCAATGAAGCAAAGGAAAATATGTTCATAATAATAAAAAGAATAGGGACAACCAGTATAGAAATAGACAATATATTTTAAAAGAACAGATTGAAATTCTAGAACTGAAATATACCATATATATGACACAAAATTTACTAGATGGATATAATAGCCCAACGAATATAACACAAAAGGAATTTGTAAGCTTAAAGATAGTTCAATAGAAATTATTGAATCTGAAGAGCACAGAAAAAAAGTTGAAAAACAACAGAGGCTCATGGGCATTTAGGACTATATTAAGGGGTCTGACATACTTGTAGTCGGAATTTCAAAAAGATAAGAAAGATAATGGTGCAGAAAAGGTACTAAAAAGATATACAGGCTGAAAAATTCTCCAATTTGGTAAAAGACATAAATTTATAAATTCAAGAAGCTTAGCAAATGCCAGGCAGGGTAAATAATAATTTTAAAACTTCTAAGCACATAGTTGATAAACTATTGACAATCAAAGATAATGAGAAAATATTTAAACCAGAGAAAAAATGACACATTATATTGACAGAGGAAAGAAGAATCAAATAATGGCTGACTTCTCATCAGAAGCAATGAAAGGCAGTAAAATGTAGAACAGTATCTTTAAATAGTTGAAAGAAAATAGAATTCTATCCAACAAAAATATTCCTTGAGGACGAAGTGAAATAAAGATATTTTCAAATAAAATAAGACTAATACTATGTATCTCCAATAGACTTCCAATAAAAAATATACTAAAGTAAGTTTGTTAGGCTTACAGAAATGCTACCAGAGAGAAGCTTAGATCTTTGGGAAGGATTTAAGAACATTAAAGGTAAATATGTGTATAAATATAAAAGAGTAGTTTTCCTCTTAATTTCTTTAAAATACATACTATATTGTGGGTTTTATCTTGTCTGTAGATGTAATACACTTTACAACTATAGTGTAAAGGATGGGGTGTGTGGTTAAATGGACCTATTAAGTGAAAAGGTACAATACTATTTCAAGTACACAGTGAAATTTAAGAATGTACACTGTAATCCATAGAGAAAACATTAAGACATCATGCAAAGAGAAATAAGAAAAAGACAAAGGCAAATAAAAATGAAATTTAAAAAGCGTTCAAAGGCAGATATGGTGGCTCATGCTTGTAATATCAGCTACTTGGGAGGCTGAGGCGGAAGGATCGCTTAAGGTCAGGAGTTTGAGACCAGCCTGGGCAATGGAGTGAGACCCCAACTCTAAAAAAATTAAAATGGAAATATAAAAAGATAAAAAGTATTTATATAGTCCAGAAAAAAAAGAAGAAAAAGAAGAATAAAAAAACAAAACCAGAGAGAACAAAACACAAAACCTATAGTAAAATGGTAGGCTAAACACAAGCATATCAATAACTGCCTTAAATATAAGTCTACTAAACACTCTCTATCAAATTAAAATGCAGAGATTGTCAGTCAACTTCTAAAAAAAAGTCTCAACTATATGTTTTCTGTAAGAGATTCAGTTTAAATATAAACACAACTATAGACTTATTTCGGATCAACCTTAAGCCAATAGTTTTCAAATATCCAGAAAGTTCCCATCTAATTCTCTCCAAAGTATTTCTCTCTCACTGTATTAATGTTCTAAACTTTAGCATTAACAACTGCACTCAAATTTAGTAAGTGCCATAACCACAGGCCAAGAGAATAAAAGCAGCTATCAATATTCAATATTTTCCCTAAAGTCCCTGAGGGAAAAAAAGTAAAAGATCCAGGGAGGTTCTCCTCATTGTCTGGTTTCTGATGACTTCTGGAAGAAGGTGTGAGCACAATTACAACATCTGGAAGAGGGTGGAATGTGCAAAATCCATCCATCAATCAATCAATCAATTTTCAGATAATATCTAGTTTAATCAAGGAATTCCTGTAGAATTATTGTGGATAATATTATTCATCACTTAAGAGATTTTGAAAGAAAAGCAATTCATCATTAAGTAATTATAGGGAATTCCTAAAATGATAAAATGAGAAAGTCCCACATAGTCTTCTTACGCTCAACATCTTGCTTTGTCATTGCAGTGCCACTTTTTTGGATATTTAGAAGTGTTAGATGTGTAACTGCACCAGACCAGTCTGGTTCAACTTTTTTTTTTTCTTCCAATTTTTATTTTAGGTTCAGGGGGTAGATGTGCAGGTTTGTTATGTGGGTAAGTTGTGTGTCAAGGAGGGGATTGGTGTACAGATTATTTCATTACCTAGGTAATAAGCATAGCACCTGATAGGTAGTTTTTCAATCCTCACCCTCCTCCCTCCAGTAGGCTTTGGTGTCTATTGTTCCATCTTTGTGTCCATGTGTATTCAATGTTTAGCTCCCACTAATAAGAATATGCAGTGTTTGGTTTTCTGTTCCTGTGTTAATTAGCTGGTTCAACTTTATGGTTCACCATTTATATAGCGAAGCTGTGAGTTGTTTTTTAGTTGCCATGGACCCCCAGGTTGAAGGTCATGTAACTTGAGGAGGCTCAGATGAACTAAGAATGCAACCATGGGCAGAACCTAAATGCTTGGATCACTAAATTAAGAAGTGGACACCACATGGCAGGATCCAGGATCCAATGAGATTGCGCCCTGGTGTCACCTCATGGCAGGATCTAGTCAGATGGTGCCTCCCAGCCTCACCTTATTGCAAGATGCAATCAGGTCATGCCTTGTTACCCTCTGGCTATAAAACCTGACCCAAGTGCCAGGTGGGGACACAGATTTGAGCCAGACCCGTGTCCTTGCTTGGTAGCCTTGCAATAAATTTTTCATGCTATGAAAACCGAGTGTTTTGGTGTTTGGCTTTCCATTGCACAGTGGGCAAATGGACCCAGTTCAGTTCAGTAACAGATGTCCTTTAATTAATCAAGCTTTATGATAAATTTCAGATTAAATTTTTTTTTGGAAGACCTGTTTAGCTTTCCACAAAATAATTATTTCCACAAAATAATTTTAATTTCCAATAACTTTTTTTTAGAAATAAGGCCAATATCACCACCAATAATAATCACAGAGGCACGCGTTAAGGCCTAAAAGTGAATCTTTAAGATGTCAATGTCAGCTGGGCACTGTGGCTCACATCTATAATCCCAGAAATCTGGGAGTCTGAGGTGGGTAAATCACTTGAGCCTAGGAGTTCGAGACCAGCCTGGAGAACATGGCAAAACCCTGTCTCTATAAAACATACAAAAATTAGCCAAGCATGGTGGCGCGTGCCTGTAGTCCCAGCTGCTTGGAGGACTGAGGTGGGAGGATTGCTTGAGCCCAGGAGGCGGAGGTTGCAGCGAGCCGAGACTGCACCACTGCATTCCAGCCTGGGTGACACAGACCCTGTCTCATTTAAAAAGAGTCAAATGTGATAATATGCCAACAAAACAGAATTCTACAGAACTTGTCGATGAGGGTAATTGTAAACCATTATCCACTGCTTAGGTGATGAAGTCACTTTCTTCACAAAATCCCCGATACCTTCAAATTCCATCAGTTGGTAACAAAATGCTGCCATCTTGTAATTATAGCTATTTACAGTAGTGGAATAAATAGAATCATAATTATATTTCACAATTTACATAGCTGATTTCATAGATGTATGTAAACATAGATATAGAGATATAGACAAATATAATGTTCCTGACAGTTATAGAACTATTTTTCCTCTGAGAAGTTAGATAGGTTGGCAATACATTCCACTAATCCCTCCTCCATAATAGTTATACATATGAGACTTTCTGATGGAAGATGGAAGATGAAAGAGGATGGATCGAGAATCATTCCCAGGGTTTTAACTTCAGTGTCCAGAGGACACTAAATGAAGGCTGGCCCATTAACTTAGTAAAGGTTAAAGGCTGGACCATTCACTTAGTATAATAAAATCAAGTGAGCATAACTGAAGTTTGAATTCGGGCATACTAATTTCAAAGTACTGTCTGGAGTGCAGATGAAATCATTGCAATGGAAAGGAAGAGCTGAGAGCCATCAAGGCACAAGTGATCATTGAAATCCTGGATGTGAATATGATTATTCAGGGGGCCCTGGGGCCCTGGGAAACACCAACATGTAGGGGGCAAGTGGAGAACAAGAAGTCCAAAAATATGAGGGAGGAGGAAGTCAGGGAAATGAAAGAAGAATGGAGAGAGTATTGCTACTGAAATCAAAAGGAAGAGAGAACGTCAAGAAAGAGTGTTTAATGGGCCGGGCGCGGTGGCTCACGCCTGTAATCCCAGCACTTTGGGAGGCCAAGGCAGGAGGATCACGAGGTCAGGAGATTGAGGCCACCCTGGCTAACACGGTGAAACCCAGTCTCTACTAAAAATACAAAAAAATTAGCTGGGCGTGGTAGCCGGCGCCTGTAGTTCCAGCTCCTCGGGAGGCTGAGGCAGAATGGTGTGAACCCAGGAGGCGGAGCATGCAGTGAGCTGAGATCGTGCCACTGCACTCCAGCCTGTGTGACAGAGCAAGACTCCGTCTCTAAATAAATAAATAAATAAATAAATTAAAAATAAAAACACACACACAAATAAAAAAATAAAAAGAGTGTTTAACGAAGCAGAATAATATGTGCCTTGGCCACACAATCTTATCAAAACTAAGCAAGGATGGATATTTTAGCTCTTAGCTTAATAAGCCATTGGTATTTTTCATCTTTTTCCTATTAGTTATTTTCAGGATAATTGTTTAAAACTAACTTATGGAACATAACCTATGTATCAGTTTCCTAAGGCTGCCATAACACATTACCACAAACTTGGTGGCTTAAAACAACAGAAATGTATTCTCAATCTGGAGGCCAGAAGTCTGAAATGAAGATGTTGGCAGGGCTAGCTTCTTCTTAGGGGTTCAAAGGGAGCCTGTTCCGTTCCTCTCTCCTAGCTTCTGGTGGTGGTCAGCAACCTTGCCATTCCTTGGCTTGAGTCAGCATAAGCAGGATCTGTCTCAGTGGTCACACAGTGTTCTTTCTGGGTGTCTGTGTCCAAATTCCCCCCTTTTCAGAAGTACAGCAGACACTGGATTAATCTTATATGACCTCAGGTTAACTTGATTAAAGCTGCAAAAACATTATTTCCAAATAAACTGATATTTGGAGGTTTTGGGTGGATCTGACTTTATGGACCCAGTGCACCCACTGTTAAGGGTATAATCGCGAATTTATATGGTGCTACTGCATCTAGATTCTAGAATAACGTATAAATTTAAGAAATTAGAATGGTGCAAAAACAGATAAATTATATGTGGGCACCAAATTTTTACACTTCAGTCTCCTTCAATTGCAATAGGAGCCCAAAATAAGCCTCACTTTTTAGAAATTCATACTGGGCTGAATATTTTTATTTGACATCTCATTTGCTAGAAGAGAGATCCCTTTTAACTGTTTCTATAAAGAATAATTTTTTTTCTCAGTAAAATATAAAATCATAAAGACTTTCCAACTCTTGGGCTTGGCAGTTTCCATAACCATGCAGATGGCTAAACTAATGGACTCTTTAAAACTCTTCAAGTAATGAGAGGTGTGGCAAAGGACCATACATTTATTGAGACAAAAATACATTTTATTATCATCAAATATTTACTATGCATCATGGTCTTTGTGGCCCCATTAGGTATTAAGTGTATTAGGGCCTTTAGGCCTTTGTTTTAGGAAAAATAAAAAAACAAAAGGACTCTCAGCTTTCCTTGGGATGACATTGGGGAGGAGCCAGATATGTGAACAAACACAAAAGTAACATTTTAAAATAATTCTGACATTATTTTGAGTCATCCAGTCAATTCAATATAGGATTCTAAGATATGTTTATGGTCGATACTTGTTGATCACTCTTGGTTCCCTCCCCCACCCCCCTCCTACAACCTTGCTTTTGTGATACTTTCCAGGGTCCCCAAACTCAAACCAAACTAGGCTCAGCTGATCTGGAGCAAGGCCCCTTGCCTGCTGATTTGTCAGGCATCCAGACAGGCGAGGCTATGGGAGCTCCCGGTCCGAGGCTGCCTCGGAAGGCTCCTGTTATCCTCTAAGAGAGGTGAAATGCACCTTTCAAAGGCCCAGACACGGTAAAGATTGGATGGCATTTTTGGCCGGGCGCAGTGGCTGACGCCTGTAATCCCAGCACTTTGGGAGGCTGAGGCGGGCGGATCACGAGGTCAGGAGATCGAGACCATCCTGGCTAACACGGTGAAACCCCGTCTCTACTAAACATAGAAAAATTAGCCAGGCGTGGTGGCGGTCGTCTGTAGTCCCAGCTACTAGGGAGGCTGAGGCAGGAGAATGGTGTGAACCCGGGAGGCGGAGCTTACAGTGAGCCGAGATCGCGCCACTGCACTCCAGCCTGGGTGACACAGTGAGATGCCGTCTCAAAAAAAAAAAAAAAAAAAGGTTGAAGATTGGATGGCATTTTTAAGGGGAAAAGTAAACCATGTGTAGCATGTCGTAGCATTGGGAAATAAAGGTTTCGGGACTGTTGTAGCCGAAGAAACTTTGTCGGACAGGGCGTTTCTGGATAGAACGCGAGTAGGGGAAAAATGGGGACCGTTTGATTCGGTTCAAACACGTTTTCGTTGCTCTGGACGCCAAATGGAAACACGGCCAAAATTTAGTTAAAGGACTTCTCTTGCCTGAAGATTTTCGGACGGGGATCTCACGGGTTTGGC